>NC_000005.10:141953659-142578659 GCF_000001405.40 Homo sapiens
GCAGCCAGCACAGTGTTCAGCACAGAGTTTATCCAAAAAGCACCTGATAAATGGATGGATGAATGGAAGGATAAATGAATGGTTGGCTCTGGCAGCCTCTGGGTCTGCACCGATCCCAGGGCAAGATTCCTAAGAGAACAGCTGGGCCATCTCCAGGTGGCTTCCTGAGGAGGGAATAGGGAAGGAAACTGTGTTTTGCTTCACAGGAAACCTGAGCTGATAGCCTGGCCAAACAGAAGTGTGCCTTGGGCGGGCAGCCTGGCACAGTGAAAATATCTGAGGTTCACAGAAGCAGATATGGGTGTGAGATCAGGCATCATCCCTGGAAAGGTTTCCCCACTTGTGTCTAGAAAATCCCAGGTCCTTAGACATTTTGACACTCATCATCCCATTTAGCCCTCACACTCTAAGGAGGCAGACACAGGGTAAGTTTGGTCTCATAATCCCCATTTTATAGATGAGGAAAATGAGGCTCAGATGTTGAAGGACGTGTACAAGGTTGCCCAGCTCCTAAGTGGCTGTGTTGAAATCTGAACTCCAATCTGCCTAACTGCTAAGTTCTAAGGTAATTTCCACTGCCCCATCCGCAGGCCCAGCCGGAAAGCTCTGGGGTCTCAGACAAATTATTTGCAACACCTGGGTTTGGGTGCAATGATGCCTATGCTGGCCTTCTTCATAGGGAAGTTGCCCAGATGAGATGAAGGCAGGCAAATAGTGGAGATGGAGAAGTGCTTTGAGGAAGTAATAGTAATAATTTGCTGAGTACTGACTACATGTCAGATGGACACTGTTCTACAGGCATTAAGAGCATTCACTCATTTTATTTTCAAGCAAACTTAGAAGATGGGTGGTGTTAACATAGACATCTTCAACAGAGATGTTAACTTCCTCTGTGGTTCAGAGCTAGGAAGAAGTGGAGCCAGGATTTGAACCCAGGTAACCTTGCCCAAAGCTTATACTCTTAATCACTACCTTTGCTGTGTGTCTACTTGTGAGGCACCATAAATGCCTTATAGGAATTAATTGATCAAATCCTCTGGACAACTCTACAAGGTAGATACTCTTACTATCATCTCTAATTTACAGATAAGACAACTAAGGCCCAGAGACAGTAAGGAATTTGCCTAGGATCACACAGCTAAGTTCAGCCGATCACAAAGCTGTGCCCTGAACCATTGCTACCCAAAGCATCAGAAAGTGCCAGGTGAGCCTAAGGAAGAAACATGAGGACTGTGCAGGTTATGGGGGTGTCTGATTCTGTTTCTGGTGGTCCAGGAGTGACCAGAGAAAGAGCTGCCCATGCCCCAGGTACCTGAACAGGAGGAGAATCCACAGTGAGCTCCTCCACGGGGTTCCGCTCGGCGAAGGCAGCCACAGACAGCCGGACCAGGCTCCGCAGGATCTGACGGGGCCCTGATTCTTTCTCAGGGGACACTTTGCCATTGAGATGTCGCTGCCGTCTCAGGGTTGCAGAGGAGGCTGGTGGCCTCTGTGGGGCTTCCTCACTGCCCTGGTCTCCAGCCAGCCTCCCTGTGGGGCTGCCTGCAACCTTCAGAGGCCTGGAACGTGGCTGGCCTGTGGCAGGCTGGGGCTCGGGAAGGTTCAGGTTCTCCCGGGAGGCATTCCTCTGCCTGGGATGGTTGAAAAGGAGGTTGACCGTGTCTTGCAGCACCTCTCGGCTCTCCGCCGGTGCTCCCTGGTTGCCTTGATTACGCAGCGTCCTGTACAGGGTCGGGGTGAGGTGGAAGGGGGCCTGCAGGCAGGGGTCCCAGCCTGCTTCCATCATCGCCTCCTTGTCCACATCTTTGTGGGACTGCCCGACTTCACAAGGCTCACCTGCCTGACCCCTGAGCACAGGCACGAGGTGGATGTCTGCCTTCTGAATGTGTTTCTGGGGCCTCTTGGGCTGCTGGCGGTAGGTGGACTCGGCCTCCCGACAGTTGTAGGCCCTGTTGTCCTTCTTTTCTGTCCGGCAGATGGACATGAACAAAGCCAGGATCAACCCGAAGATGCCCAACAGTACAGCCAGGCAGATCACCGTCAGCATCGACATGCTCAAGGCCCCAGGCTTGCGGGCTGAGTCCCTCAGGTGGTCCACACTGGTGACAAACATGACCCTCAACAGGGCTCGGGTCTGTAAGGGGGGGCTTCCCTGGTCCTCTACTACTATCTCCAGCTCCCACTCACTCCCAATGAGGCTGCTGGCATTGGTGACATTGACGAACAGCTGCCCCGTATGAGGGTTGAGGATGAAGAGGTGGGCTTCATTTCCACTGCGGATGCTGTAGAGGGGCTCTCCATTTGCCCCCGAGTCTGCATCTCTTGCCACAATGGTTGTCAAAAGGAATGGCCGGGAGCTGTGAGTGGCCAGTGGAGGTGTGTCAGTGCCCGCTGGGCCCAAGCCATTGGGAGTCTCGATGGGCACCAGCAGGTGGCCTGTGGAGGCATTCACAAGCACGGAGAGGCTGGCTTTTCCATCGCTGAGCACAGGCTGGACCACCTCTGGGGCATTATCATTGGCATCCAAGAGGCTGACCCACACAGAGACACTGGATGCAAGCATGGGTTGCCCGCTGTCCTCTGCGATCACCTGGAACTCAAAGCCGGCCATCTCTTCATAGTTCAGTGACCTCTGAGCAGTGACCTCTCCTGTGTTGGAGTCAATAGCTACTAAGTGAGCAACTGGGGAGTCCTGGATGCGGTATGAGACTTTTCCATTAATGCCCAAGTCTGCATCATGAGCCTTGATGGTAATGAGGTGAAGAGAGGGTAAGTTGTTTTCCCGCGTGGAGACTTCATACCTGCTTTTCTCAAACACAGGTGCATTGTCGTTGATGTCACTGATCTGAATGCTGAGCTGTTTCTTGGCTGATAAGGGCTGGAGTCCTTGGTCTTGGGCTAACAGAGTGAGGGTATATTTGGGCCACTGCTCTCTGTCCAGTGTGGCATTGGTTAGCAACATGTATGTGTTGCCATTAGTTCTTTTCAGCCTGAAGTGGCCCAGCTCTTGGCTCAGCCAGCAGTGGACCAAACCATTGTGTCCTGAATCCAAGTCATCTGCCATGACAAGAGCAATAAAACTGTCCTTGGGAAGAGCTTCTGACACCAGTGATGGCTGGGAGGCCCATGTGACGTGGATGCTTGGGATGTTGTCATTGACATCCAGAACCTTGATGAGAACTTTGCAATGGGCTGGGATAGGATTGGGACCCAGGTCCCTTGCCTGAACATCCACCTCGTAGGCAGGGTTCTTTTCATAGTCTAGAGGTCGACGCAGAATGACCTGGCCTGTCTTGGCATCAATACTGAAGGTGTCCAGCACCTCTGGAGGCATGTGCTTACTGAGGAAGAACTCCACCTCCCCATTGGGGCCTTGGTCAGGGTCTGTGGCGGTCAGTTTTATGAGAAGCGTACCAGGTGCAGCATCTTCTTGGATTTCCAGTGCCAGTGAACTCTCAGCAAACGCAGGGCTATTGTCATTGGAGTCCAAGACGTTGACCTTGACCAAGCTGGTACCTGACTTGGGGGGGTTCCCATTGTCATAGGCAGTTAACACCAGATCAAAAAATGAATGGATTTCCCTGTCCAGCTCCTTCACCACTATGAGTTCTGCATGTTTGGTCTCATCAGGGCCCACAATGACATCCAAGGCAAAGTGCTCACTGGGAGACAGAGTGTAGGTGTGCAGGGTGTTAGGGCCTGTGTCTGGGTCAAGAGCTCTGTCCAGGGGGATCCGGGTTCGCAGAGAGGCGCTCTCAGAGATTTCCAGCTCCTGCTCGCCTTTGGGAAACCGTGGCTGGTGGTCATTGATGTCCAGCACTTGGATCTCCACATGGATCAGAGCCAAATCCCCTGTGGCAAGCACATCAAAGGAAACCAGGCAGGGATCCCACTGTCGGCACAGCTGCTCTCGATCCAGCCGCCTGCCTGTGCTGAGCAAGCCTTCCTCAGAGTCCACCTGAATGGGGAGCGCCTGAGGCAGCTGCAACACCTGGAAGGCAGCCCCAGCTTGCCTCCGCCTCTCCTCCCGGCCCAGTTCCTGGGACAGCTTCCCGATCACTGTACCAGATGGCACTTCCTCTGACACTTGGTATTTCACCGTGAGAGTGGTCACCTCCTGACAATCCCCTAAAAGAAATAAGTAGCCACCTGGCCCCAAAAGCCCCAGCAGAAGTTGCAGAAGTTGCATCATGCTTACCGCCAAGTGGGCTAGATTCAGAAACCACTAGAGTTCTTTCAAGGCTGGACAAGTCCTCCAGTGTTTCCTGGATGGCTTGATCAGCCCCGTGCTCCTTCCCCCAGAGCTGCCGGCACAACCTTGTCCCATAGTTAGATGATTATGAAACAAGCAGGACCCCAAGGCAAGGCCATCTTCATTGGAAGCGATCTGAGATGTCCAAACGCCGATCAAGAATTGCCAGGGGAGACCCCCTACTGGGGAACTAGTTGGTCCACTTCAGCAAATGATGGACAAGAGCTGGTCTAAGAGGGACCTGACCCAGTTGAGCAGGATGTGGGACTCTGACTGCCAAACAGTTGCTAGGCTGGGGAAACAGAGAAGCAGCTTTTTCCTATGGAAACCCCACCTACAGGAAAAGGGAGGGCTGTGAGTTTCAATGCCAATTAGAGAAAGAGCATTTCCTGTGAAGCTAAGTGGCCTGCCGCTGAGGAGGATGAGGCCGGGGCTCCGGGGACAGGCCAGATGGGAAGCTGCTGTCCACGCAGCAAGGCGGCTGCTGAGGGAAAGGGAGCCTCTGCATCACCAAGTGAGCAGAAAACTTGAGCCTCCACCTGCTTGCACGTGGACTGATGCCCCTCCCGGGCAAGTCATGTTTCCTGTTTCTCTCCCCTTCCCCAACTCTCTTTGTTCCTATCTTTTCCCCCATTGTTCCCCTCTCATTCCTGTCTTTTTCCCAATCTTGTTTACCTCTCTGTCTTGACTCTGCCCTGATCACCCGTTTTTGTCTCACTGGAAAGCAGCTGTGATTAACAGAGCAGCCATCAGAGGTAAACTGCCTGAGTTCAAATTCTGACTTTGCAACTTACCAGCGGTGTCATCTGGGACAAGTCACTTAACTTTCCTGGGCCTCCATTACCTCATCTGTAGAGTGGGGATGGGAGTAAGAATAGTAGCCCTTTCAGCAGGAAACTGTGAGGATTAAACGAAATGATGTAGGAAGGGCTTTGGCCTGGGCCTGGCCCCGAGTCACAGGCAGTGACGTTATTGCAAGGGGTGAGTGTTGTAATCTGCACAACTTGTCACACCCTATGGCTACCTCTGGATCTTGGATTGGCCCTGGGGCAGTCCCTGCCCACACTGACTTATGAGGGTGCCCATGGTCTTGATTCCAGAAGCTGCAAGAACCTGTGCAACTTGACCGTGTGGCTCTCCTCCCGCTTCCCTTCTGCCCCCCTCCAGCCTTGAAGTCCATTGTTCTCTGCATCTGGTCCAGACTGAGTCTCTGTCTGGGGAACCCCCAGCCTCCCACTCCTCTTGGAAGCTTTTATACGTTTCCCTCTCCCACACCTTCCCCTCCCTTTCATCTATGTCTTTCCCCCTTCCTCCAATTCTTCTCTCCCCAGTTTTGTTTATAAGAGTCCCGTGAAGCACATCTCCTTTGCTGCCCCCAACTCTCCTTTTAGATGTTTTAAGGGATACCCTATCTTCCACTCACCTCCTCATAAGGTGAAATTCAGGAAGGAAGGAGGTGAATGAGCAGTTTGCTTGGGTGGGCTTTGAGGTGGCCTTATTGCTTCTTATTGTGCCCTTCAGTTTGCTGCCCCCAACATTCTCCCAGCCTTATACCCACTTCAAGGTTGATCCCTGAGGCTCATGAAGCATTTGAGGTGATGAGAATGAACGCCAGCTTCCCTAGATGGGTGTTTGCTACTAAGCCCTTGGGGCCAGAGATGCCATGTTTGGACCCAAGTGGCACTAGTCAGGGCTTATTGGCATGGAGGCCTGTGGTCATCAGGACTGGGGTGGCTAAGGGACAGTCACCTGCACTCCTTCCCTTTCTCTCTGGCTTTTCTTTCCCTTAACTCCATATCCCACTCCTGAGGTTTCCCAACTATTTCACTGAAACCCATTAAACCATAGCAAGGGGCCTGAATCCAGGGCCACCTCCTACAGCATGGCCCTGGAGACAGACAGGCCACTCACAAGCTCTGAGACACTGCACAAGGGACTTAACCTCTCCTAGCCTCTGTTTCCTTCTCTGAGGGCTGTCATCGATCTCACAAGGTGGGGTAAGGACTCAGCACAGGGCCTGGCTCAGAGAAAGCACTCAGCACATAAGGACTATGATTTTGCTGTTTATTATCTTCCAAGTTTTATGCCTCATACGCAAATGGCAAAGATGGCCTTGCATTTGTCCCTTCACTTTTTTCTTTGCCTCTTTGGCAGGAATCCCATTTCTCAGGTCTCCCTCAGCTTGGTGTGGGCAAGGTGCTGCCTAAGCTACTAGGAGCCCCTGGGAGCTCAGGGACACAAGGGTGCCCATTGCCCCCTGCTGGCAGCCCACGTGACAGTCTCACTATCCGCCCCGCAATCGTCCCCCTGTGTGCCTGACAGTGAACAAGGCAAGGGGCTGACAGTCGCAGGTGGGGGCAGGGAAAATGAAAGGCGAGAGGCCAGTAGAATGGCTCTGGAATCAGGCCTGGGGGTCCGGGAGGCTCCTCATGGAGGGCACACGCTGAATCCTGACGGACCTGGAGGAGTGAGCCCGAGGAAGTTGAATAGGCAGGAGACAGGCAAAGCTGGTGGCAGGGGCAAAATGGGCAAAGGCCCCGAAGTGGGCAGGCTGGCTCCTGGCTGTGCTGCAAGAGGGTCAGTGCAGTAGTGTAGGGAGGAAGGTTGGGCAGGGGACATAAGCAGGGGTCCTCAGATGATGCAGTGGCCTGGGTTCCCATGGCTAAGAATTTAGACCTTGTCCTGAAGGTCGTGGAGTGCTTTTGAAAAGCTCTACGCAGGATAATGAGAACAGCGACCACATGCCAGGCCTTGTCCTAAGTGCTTTACCTACATCCTCTCATGACGCACTCACAGCCATACCATCACATTGAAGATGCTGAGCACACAGCGTTAGGTAACTTGCCCAAGATCACACAGATGTGCCCTCCAGAAAGGCCTTTTGGCTGCACCCTGGAAAATGGCTTGGAAGGGAACAGAGAAGAGGGAGGGAGCCTAGTTGAGAGTAATGCAGGGGAGCTTTGATGCAGAAAACTCGTTTCCAGAGCGCCATCTGGTGGCCAAAGGCAGAGAAAACGGCACAGAGGCAGGGACCGGGGACAGCCACGAAAACAGGAAGTGGGTGCCTGGGGTTCATAAATATCCACAGCTCCAGCCCCGTGCTACACAGAAGAATACAACAGGAGAAGCTACTCACTGATGACAATAGTATCTCTTAATGGAAAACCTAACGTGGACCAAGGCCACAGAAGGAGTTATGGAATTCATGATAATTTTACTTGTGTTAACATTTATATTCTTCAGAGGACATTGTTTTATCTATATATATTTTACATGCAGTTATATATCTGTTGGGTGTGTGTGTGTGTGTGTCTGTGTTTTGACTGGGAATGTGAATGCAAAAAAATGATGCATAGGTCGCAAGAAAGTTTGAATTTAGATTTCATAGGTGGTTTTTATTGTTTGTTTTATTCACACTGGGGACATGAAGCTAAGATTACCCTTTGAGATTTCAAAGCTGGCAAACAAGGCCCCAGACTTTTTTAAGGTGATCACCTCTGGAAATGAGGTCCCCATTTAGCAATTTTCTCTCCTCCTTCTGGCTGCAGGGGTCAGCTGATCTTTAGCAGTCAAATGCCAAGGGGTGAATGGAGCTGTCACTAGAGTTCGTCTGGAAAGGCGACGTTTTCCTGAGTTTTGAAAATAGGTTTGAAGGAGTGGAGGTACTCTGAAATAGGTTTGAAACAATTGAGGACAGCCTCCCTTAAGTCCAAAATATTTTTTTTAAAAGGGCAGGATTAGGGTTTGTGCTTGAAGGCCTCACTAACCACCAAACTTGGGGTTGTTCACACTTGGGTTCTTAACCACAGGGAGGGCTGAGGGGTGAAGTGGGAAGGGTGGGGGTTCAGAGAATCTTCTTAAAACACCTGGAGTCCTAAGGAACCTTGAGGGGTCAGACTAGTAAGGTGTGACTCTGACCCTTGGAGGACTCCCAGGCCAGCTGAATGAAGGCTGAGATCACACCTCGCCCCTACGAATGTCCCGCTGGGCTGGCTGCCCCACTTCCAGGGCTCTGGTCTTCCAGGCTTTCTCCTCGTGAATCTCCCCTGTGGTTGCCACAGCATCACCACCAAGACAGCTTTGGGGAAGCCAAGAAGCATCCTCCGGCTTATCCCAGGTAGGGAGGTGGTTGGACCGTCCAAGCTCAGCGTCTTTTTTCAGGAAGATCTTGTTGAAGTTAGATTCCTAGTCAGACCAGGAATCTTGACTGGGAGACTCAGGTAGATGTTCTGGGTTATCTGCTCCTAGCAGGGCACTTTGTGGACTTTGTTGAGACAGATGACAGGTGCTGTCTCCCACACAATGGCACCTGTTTCTGGGGTCAGTGCAGAAAAAAGAATGCACTTTGCAGGGAGAAATTTGCCAAGAAATAGGACCTTTCAAGAAATGAAAAAGCTTTATGTCTTGGTTAACAGCGGCAGTTCTCAAAAGGGTCCAGATATCGAAGTCACTTGGAAAGCTTTACAAAATACCAGGGACAGGGCAAGAAAATTCATACTTTTCCCTTTCCCAGAATACTGCCAAAGAATAGTCTGTAATTGCCAGCTCAGTTCCGCACCCTTCATTTGGGACAGGGTTGGGGAATTTGATTGGACCTTTTTGCTGGAAAGAGAGGCTAAGTTGATTTACGTGATAAAAATAAATAGACGGGAGGAGGGAGATTTCTGCAATCTGAGAAAATTCTGGAGAGCAATACAGCAGACAACAGCAGAGGCTGTGAAGGAGGTAGAATGAAGATGAAAAGGACTTTTGAATTCGTTATTGCAAATTATAGACCTCCTTCATGATTTTCAAGAAAAATACAAGAAAAGATTTGTATGTTCTTTTCCAAATTTATTTTGTGCGTTAGTAACCATAACATGGACCCAAAACTGGACCACTTGAGTTCTGGGTTGATAAGAGTTACACACACATGTCTTTCTCCCCAACCTTCGAGAGGAAGGGCACTACTTCTGGTGTACAGATTTCAATTTTGATATATTCTGGGTGATTCCGACATGCATCCTTATCTCCACCCCAACTTCATCGAGAACCACCTATTAGAAATTCTCAGAATCACCATCCCCCATTGCAAAGGCCAAACTCTATAGCGATCAGGCCTTTCTTAACCCAGCATCCTCATGGTCCCCACCTCTCCCTGACATGTGTGTCACTATTCATTATAGAGTTCCATACTCACCTGGTTCTCTCTCCATATTTCTGCAGACTCCTCTATCTGCCTCTCTGGCTCCTTCTTTGGTTTTCCTTCCTTCTAACTCCCAGGTGCAGGCATGTCCCCTAGAAGCTATCTTCTGTCCTTTCCTCTACGTAGGGTTATTGGTCCAGAAAGGGGTTGCCAGATTTAGTAAATAAAAATACAGAGTGCCCAGTTAAATTAGAATTTCAGATAAACAATGAATAATTTTAGTATAAATATTTTAATCTGACAACTCTGCCCAGAAATAATGTATGCTTTCAACACAAGTTCCTTTTTTTTTTTTTTTAAGAATTTTGGTTTGCACAGTGAATTTGAAAATCTATTAGTAAACAGAAAAAAAAATCAAACATATTGACTGGGAGCATCATCTGTGCATGAATATTCAGAAGCGAACTCTGTTGATTGGCCTTGTTATGTGTTCAGCATTTCTGGGTGACTCCAAGATCGAACTGTTTTACACGAAAGAACCACCCTGGAGGAAGCCTAGATTACACTCATTTATTAAATCATTCAGTCATCCAGTCACTCATTTATTTGGTGGAATTTAGCATGTTCCTCTCTATTTACAAGGTCATTTTTTTGGCAAGGGAAGTAGCTCAAGTTGACCCACATTTTCCCTTCCTCTAAACCATTGGCTTGGTTTTTTTCTTCATATAGAATCTAATCGGCCTAATTCTCTCCTTGCTTCAGAAAGGCTCTTGCAGGAAGGAAAATGAGTCTTCCCATCGTTACATAAATTCTCATGGGGCTTCCCTTTATAAGTTTATGACAGCCAGGAGTTGAGCCTGGAGCTCTGAGAGAAACAGCCACACACTGATTTATGATGGCAGCTGCTGCTAAATCTCACCCCTCTTTCCTCCTTACAGAGCCATGTTACCTTGGGGTTACAAAACTCTTTTCACTGTTATTCAGGGGAATAATAATAAAATGCCAGGTTGCGAGTATAAACATGATCATTCTGTGCCTATTATTGTAAATCAAATTTTAGCTTGCATCAAAAGCACAGAAAACATTTTATACTGTCAGCCACCTCAAGCCCTTGTAGCAGTCTGTCTTTATATAACCCTGGGCTGACCTGACCTGAGTTATTGTTTAGGTTGCACTGGCCAGGGAAGCTGGTCACGCAGGTAATCTGGCTATTTCTCCTTACAGACCCAGCTGACCACTTTCCTTGAGCCAAGTATTGACTTGGTCTAAGCATAGCAATGGGGTTAATGATGTGGGCCCAGGGCACCAATTGCCTGGGTTCAGGGATTGGCTCTGTAATTTACCATCTGTGTGACGATGGCAAGTCAATTATCTATGATCAGTTTCCTTAGCTTTAAAATAGGAATGATGATGATGATGATGGTGCTATGTTATAGGGTTGATGTTGGGTTTAGCTTAGTTAACATACAGCACTTAGAGTGGGGCCTGGGATATAAGTAGCACTTTAAGCGTTATTTATAATTGTGCTTCTAGTGTAGGCACTTCCAATTTTTTAGGATGAAGCCTCTATTTTTTTAAATTTTGTTTTATTTTTTGAGACAGAGTCTCATTCTGTTGCCCAGGCTGGAGTGCAATGGTGCGATCTGGGCTCACCGCAACCTCTGCCTCTTGGGTTCAAGTGATTCTCCTGTCTCGGCCTCCCGAGTAGCTGGGATTACAGGTGCCCGCCACCAAGCCCGGCTAATTTTTTTTTTTTTTTTTTGTATTTTTAGTAGAAGCAGGGTTTCACCACATTGGCCAGGCTGGTCTCAAACTCCTGATCTCAGGTGGTCCACCTGCCTCGGCCTCCCAAAGGGCTGGGATAACAGGCATGAGCCACCACGCCTGGCCTGAAACCTCTAATTTTTTTTAAAAAAAAACAATGTTTCAGAGGCCCACATGATAATAGACTTTTAAGATCTACATGATGAGCAAATACACAATGACAAGAGACCAGCAAGAAGTCAGGGACACTTCTGTACTGGGGTAGGGCTCATTAAGGTTCAGTTTTATCCAAAAGTTGGGCAGGGTTTTCCTCTCCACACTGCTGCCCCTCTGTGTTCAAGGGCTTGTTGCAGGAGTGCTTGCGAGTGGTGGCCATGGAAAAGGAGGCAGTCCCCCCTGGGATGGTGGGATGAGTTCAGCAAAGTTTCGGGACAGCTACCAGATGCCAGTGATGGATGGGAACAAATGCAGGCACCGTCAGGTCTGCTAACCCCTATAGTGACAAGCCATAGTTTGTGACTCACTTCTACTCTCCACTCCGTGGCCTGGGTCCCGACCTCTGGTCTAGGTGGTACACTGTAACCTCTCCTCTCCCTAGGCTCCGTCATCATCCGGTGTCCCTGGGGACAGGGGGTGGGAGTTGGGTCTCTTTCTCTGTCTGTGTTCTCATTCTCACCTATCCTTAAGTCATAAACTCGAATCCTAACTTCCCCAGGGCCTTCCCGTTTAGTTCTTAAGGCCAGAACTATTTTACTCTCTGTGAATTTGTTACAAAAAACCCTTATTCTCTGACAGGCTCCTGGAGAGAGTCAGACTGATGAGGAATCGGCTCTAACCCTGGCTCCACCACTGTGTGATACTGGCCAAACCTTAGTGCCTCCATCATCTTTAGCAAACTAGCACAGGAACAGAAAACCAAATACCACATATTCTCACTTGTAAGTGGAAGCTAAATGATGAGAACACATGGTCACAAAGTGGGGAACAACACACACTGGGGCCTACCTACTACAGGGTAGAGGATGAGAGGATGAGAGGAGGGAGAGGATCAGGAAGAATAAAAAGTACTAGACTTAATATTTCGTCACTGGGTGACGAAATAATCTGTACAACAAACCCCCGTGACACGAGTTTACCTACATAACAAACCTGCACATGTACCCATGAACTTAAAAGTTAAAAAAAAAAAAAAAAAGTGGCCCAGGCGCCGTGGCTCACATCTGTAGTCGCGGCACTTTGGGAAGCCAAAGCGGGTGGATCACTTGAGCCCAGGAGTTCAAGACCAGCCTGGGCAACATGGTGAAACCCCATCCCTACTAAAAATACAAAAATTAGCCAGATGTGGTGGTGTGCACCTGGAATCCCAGCTACTCAGGAGGCTGAGGCACGAGAATCGCTTGAACCCTCTACCGGGAGGCAGAGGTTGCCGTGAGCTGAGATTGTGCCACTGCACTCTAGCCTGGGTGACAGAGTGAGACTCGGTCTCAAAAACAAAACAAAACCCCAAAGTATAATACACCTGACTTCAACTTTATGACATTGCTGTCTTTTATTACATCTTTTTATATTAAAAATAAATAAAAATGTCATAAATAGTAATTGTGTAAATATAAAAGGCCTTATTAAAAAAACAAATCTTAGTGCCTCAGTTTTCTCTTCTGTCAAGTGGGCACATAAAATTACCTAAGTCATAGGGTCCTGGGCATTTAAATGAGAGAATGTACGTGAAATATTTAGCACAGTGGAGGGCTAGGCACACGGGGAGACTGCAGTTTAAAAGACTAACCAGGCACATGAGACCAAAGACACAAAAGTCTGTTATTTTCCTAGAGTCAAAAACAAAACTTATTAGAAGGCTGTCTTTACCCAATCTTGTCCTCAAAATTGACTCTAAATCTTTAGTTCACTTTAAACATTCAGTAAATTATTAACACTGCTTTGAAATTCTCTTTCTATTCTCTCTATCCTGTGACCTCTGACATGATGTCACAATTCACCTTCTGCTCTGACTTTGTGAGGATTTCCCAAGCTGGTTGGTGCATGGGCTTCCTCACTTTTTTCCTCACGAAGAGGTCTCTGGTCTCCCCTCTCTGAGCACTCTGAGGTAGGGTTGCTGTGTGTTTTGCTCTTGGTCTAATTCCTTTGGCTAAACATGAATAATTATATTAATGAATGGCTTTGGAGATTCTTCTTCCGTCCTTTGCATTTTTCCGAGATATGTTTCTGGTTTTGGTATCTATTAGAAGGGTATTTTGGTTTCTGTTTTGTGACAATCAAGATTTATAGTACAGAAAATTAGAAGTGATTATTTCTATTTCAAGGTTCTTTCTGTGGCAGCCAGGTAATCCCTTGGGTGCCCTGATTTACTCACTTGGTTTTTTTCTCTCTCCTGGGTATAAGACCAACTACATAATTTACAAAGCCCAGGGCAAAATAAAAATGCAGCCTCTCATTCAGAAATTATTAAGAACTTCAAGAGGGTGAGAGCACAGCATCAAATCAAGAGCAGGGCACTTCTTTTTTATTTTAATTTTTCCATAAGTTATTGGGGTACAGGTGGTATTTGATTACATGAGTAAGTTCTTTAATGGTGATTTGTGAGATTTTGGTGCACTCATCACTCGAGTAGTATACACTGCACCCTATTTGTAGTCTTTTATCCTTCGTCCCCCTCTCATCCTTCCCCCTAAGTCCCCAAAGTCCATTGTATCATTCTTAAGAGCAGGCCACTTCTAAATCTGGGGCCCTTCTAAGTGCAGGGCCCTATGTGACTGCACGGGTTGCTGGCCCATGAATCTAATCCTGCCCGGGAGGCAATGGTGGTAAAAGCTTTAGAATCCTGTAGGCTTGGGTTAGAGTCTTAGCTCTGCAAGTTACTCTTTTGGAGGAAGAAATATATGAAAAAGCGGACACAGGAGCTTATTAGATTGTGAGGAGCACATTAGTTTGATGGGTCCCAGGAGAAGGAGCCAACATTTCTGTATTCCACTTAAGCGCTGAGAACGGTGCTTTGTACCTAAAAAAATTTTTTAATTAAGACATAATTCACATGCAATAAAATTAACTCTTCAAAAGTATACAATCCAGTGGTTTCTAGTACACTCACAAAGTTATACAACTATCACTGCTCTCTAATTCCACAATATTTTCATCACCCAAGAAACACCATATCTATTAGCGGTATCTATTAGCAGTCACTTCCCATTCCCTCCTGCCTTAGTTTCTGGCAACCACTAAACTACTTTTTGTCTCTATGGATTTGCCTATTCTGGACATTTCATATAAATTAAAAACAATATATGGCTTTTTGTGTTTGACTTTTTTTTTTTTTTTTTTGAGACGGAGTCTCGCTGTTACCTAGGCTGGAGTGCAGTGACTCACTGTAACCTCTGTCTCCTGGGTTCAAATGATTCTCCTGCCTCAGCCTCCCTAGTAGCTGGGACTACAGGTGCCCGCCACCATGCCCGGCTTATTTTTTGTATTTTTAGTAGAGACGGGGTTTCACCATGTTGGTCAGGCTGGTCTCGATCTCCTGACCTCGTGATCCACCCGCCTCGGCTTCCCAAAGTGCTAGGATTACAGGCGTGAGCCACCGCACCCGGCCTTCTAAGGGTTTTATAGTTTTAGTTCTTACATTTAGGTCGTTGATCCATATTTAGTTAATTTTTGCATATGGTGTGAGGAAGGAAGTGTATAATTTTAATTCCTGCTTAGCCTGACGATAATCATGTGACCCTTGGTAAGTTCTTGCACCTAAGTCTCAATTTCCTTATTTGTAAAGTGAGAATAACAAATGGTAGCTAAATCATAAGATTACAGTGAAGATAGAAAATTTACGTAGAGCATTTATCACACTGCTTGAAGCATCCTAACTACTCGATAAATGCGGTCGGTGTTACAGTTATAACATGAGCGATGAATGCGTGCTTCCACAGTGGAGTGCCAGAAAGACCGGCAGCATTTCTGAGAAGGTAAACGGGAGGAAGTAGGCTTGCTTAGTCCACTTGGAGAAGCAGGTCTGGGATTGTTGTGAGAGTCTCTGCCCTAGGTAGACCACTGCCTCATGATCCCCTCTAGAGATTGGTAAAAATTCGAATTCTCGGGCCCCATCAGAACTACTGAAAAGAGCCTCCTGTGAGCACAGGGCTCGCAGTAAGTGGGGGTGACGGTGGTCGCGCCGGCAGCGCCGCCTTGGGCCTGCGGGAGGCGCCCGAGAGGCAGGGGCGACCACGGCGGCTGCGCAGAGTCCTCCCTATGCCGGCGGTCGCGCCAGCGGGATCCGCCTGGCTCAGCTGACAGCTCCCGAGAACGGAAGAGGCGGCGCGCCGGTTGAGCAGGGCGTCTCTAGGCCTGGTCGGCTGGCGGCGGTGAGTGGGCCCCAGGCAAGGGCGGAGGGCGGAACTTTGGGGTTCGGCACTGCCGGGCGGCCGGAAGGTACGGTGGGGATAGCTCTCTGGGCGCGCGAGGCAGAGAAGGGGACCGGGCTGGGACTGTACACTGGGCCTCAGTCCCTCAAATCCGGGACCGGGCGTCCGCAGCTCGGCTGGCCGGGACTCCCTTCGGGACGCTGAGGAGGAAGGGGAAGGTGTGGGCCCTGCTCCTTCGGGACGCCCCAGGCTGGCCAGCAGCTCACACATCCGCATTGCGCCCTCTGATCCCAGCGTTGGGGCGGATAGCTAGCGTTGGGCCTGCCCCTGTTTTGGGGCAGTCGCCCAAACGACGCCGCACGCCTAGTGGCGAGCTGAACCCAGACTAGGACACCCGAAGACCAAATGGATAGAGTGAGAAGGAAATGGGGGTTAGCAACCTGAATTGAGGTACTGGATTCCAAGTGACAGCTTCACAAGCTGAAATCTTGTAGGGTAGGTCATGAGGAACTGTTGAAACTGCTTGGAGTAGAAGTTCTTAGCCCTGGCTGCATATTGGAATCACCTGGAGAACTTGGAAAACTACTGAGGCCTGAATTAATTGTTCTAGGGTGTGGCCTGGGTATTGAGATTTTAAAAAACAGCTCCTCAGAAGATTCTAATGTGCAGTCAGATGGAGAACACTAACCTAAAACCATAAACTGCATGAATGAATCTCTCATCCCATTTGCAAATGTTTTAACAGGAAGAAACAAAAAGCTTAATTCAATTAGCACCATATACTCCCACCTAGTAAAATAAGACAATGTGAAAGGACCTAATACAGTACATAGTAGGTGCTCAATTAATGTAAATTGATTCTGAATCTCATTCTTATCTCATTTGGGAGTTACACATCCGAGAATCTGGTTTTTAATTATGGTTTTGTATATAGTATTTTTGCATATAATTTTAGGGTGTTGATAGGATTCTCCGTAGCCCATCTATAGACCACACTCCCTTTTCCCCTCACCCCAGTGAAGAAGCCTAGCTCTAAAGCATTTAGAATAAAACTTAAAAGTTTGTGTTTGTGTACTCTTGTTTTGTTTAAGTATTTTTCTGTTACCAAAATTAACCTTGAGTGCCACTGGCAGGCTTAATTCATGAACAAGAGAGGAAAAACTGGAGGGGAGTGGCAAATGAAGGAATACAAGAAGCAGAAGAGGAAAGGAGAAAAAAACAAAACAAAAAACAAACTGAAGAGATTGTTTGTTATGGGGCATGGTGTCCTGTACTTTCATATGACCTTGGTGTTCCTCCTTAGCTCCTCCCATAGCTGAGGGCAGACAGATAAAAAGTCCTCAGTCATTGCTGGGGACATGCAAATACTCCTTTAACCACATGGCTCAGTTAGCCTGCCCTAGGAGAGTAACATGCACTTGTAGATTAGGATTGGCTATATGTTAGGATATGTTTGACTTAAGCAGTGATCATGGAAATTCAGAATTTTAATTTGGAGAGGGTCCTAACACCATCTTTTGTATTTCTTTTCTGCAGATGGCAGGATTTTCATAATATATGTAGTATGAGTTCCACATCTTGGCCTCTTACCCAGCTTCAGCAGTCTCAGCTCCACCAGTTAGAGAATAAATGGGATTTGCATGAACTCCACTCTGAGCTGAAATACAGACTGCGGTGTTAATATCCTTTTCTTCTGATTGTTATTAACAGGTACTAACTGACCTCAAGTAGAACATGTAATTGTGTCTTAGATAGGGATGCAGCTTAAGCAGAGCCATGAACTAACATCTCCTAGAAAAAAAGTGTTTTTTGAAAATGAAATCATTTTTAATTTCATAGTATGACCTTTTAAAATGTAAAAAATCCTAACTTTTTACTTATGTACATTTTAATTAAAAATATTTTAGTTGTGAGGGAGGATATTTGCAAATGCAATTGTAGTTCAATATTTTAATTGACTGGTAGTTTTGTTTTATTAAAATGATTTTTGTAAATTCTCATTGCATATTTTTTTCACATTTAAATTATCTGAAATTGCTGTATCTTTCAGTTGATGCTATTTTAAAAAACATTGATTCATACTTTATTTTTTGAGACAAGGTCTTGCTCTGTCCCCCAGGCTGGAGTGCAGTGGTGCAAACACGGCTCACTGCAGCCTCAGCATCCAAGGCTCAAGCGATCCTCCTGCCACAGTCTCCTGAGTAGCTGGGACTACAGGCACACACCACCACACCTGGCTAATTTTTTATAGAGACAGGATCTTGCTATGTTGCCAAGGCTGATCTCAAACTGCTGGCCTCAAGTGATCCTCCTGCCTTGGCCTCCCAAAGTGCTGGGATTACGGGCATGAGCCACCATATCCAGCCAGTTCATACTTTAATTGTAGCTAATTTCTTTTTCTTTCTTTCTTTCTTTCTTTCTTTCTTTCTTTCTTTCTTTCTTTCCTTTCTTTCTTCTTTCTTTCTTTCCTTTTTTTTTTTTTTTTTTTTTTGGAGACAGAGTCTGTCTCTGTCACCCAGGCTGGAATGCAGTGGTGCAATCTCAGCTCACTGCAACCTCTGCCTCCTGGATTCTAGTGATTCTCTAGTCTCGTGCCTCAGCCACCGAGTAGCTGGGATTACATGCGTGTACCACAATGCCCGGCTAATTTTTTTATTTTTAGTAGAGATGGGGTTTTGCTGTGTTGGCCAGGCTAGTCTTGAACTCTTGGCCTCAAGTGATCTGCCTGCCTTGGTCTCCCAAAGTGCTGGGATTAAAGACTTGAGCCACTGTGCCTGGGCCTTGTAGCTAAATTCTTAGTATTACCTAAAATAATGGTAAATCTTTCTTAAAATTATTATCTTTTAAATATTCTTGAGTCATAATGGTGAATCTTTAAATTGGTGACTGCTTGGATTTGACAAAATCTATTATTTCAAAAATTTAATATTATTTTGCTGCTTGCTCAGTTATCTAATTTTCTTCCATAATATCTATGCCTGTAACATTCTCAAGCACTGTTTTCTCACCTGGGAGCAATTTTGCCTCCAACCCCCATCCTGCCCCAGGACCTGGCGCTATTTGGAGATATTTTTTTTTTTGAGACAGGGTCCCACTTTGTCACTCAGGCTGGAGTGCAGTGGTGCTATCATGGCTCACTGCAGCCTCGACCTCCCAGGCTCAAGTGATCCTCCCATGTCAGCTCCCCAAGTAGCTGGGACCACAGGCAAGCACCACCACACCTGGCTAGATATTTTCAGTTGTCACAGCTCTTGTGGGTGGAAGCGGGCCACTATTGGGTATCTAGTGGGTAAAAGCCAGGGGATGCTGTTAAGATTCTATAATGCACAACACAGCTCTCCAACAACAATTATTTACTTCAAAATGTCAATAGAGCTGAAGCTAAGAAAACTTGCCCTAAAGATTCCTGTGGATTTAAAAAATTTACTTTTTTGTTTTTTTGAGACAGAGTCTGACTCTGTCGCCCAGGCTGGAGTGCAATGGTGCAATCTCAGCTCACTGCAACCTCTGCCTCCCACGTTCAAGCAGTTCTCCTGCCTCAACCTCCCGAGTAGCTGGGATTACAGGGGTGAGCCACCACACCCAGCTAATTTTTGTATTTTTAGTAGAGATGGGGTTTCACCACGTTGGCCAGGCTGGTCTCGAACTCCTGACTGCAGGTGATTTGCCCGCCTCGGCCTACCAAAGTGTTGGGATTACAGGCACGAGCCACCGCGCCTGGCAAATTAACTTAAGAAAGGAGTGTAATATACTTTGACCACTTTTGCGAACCAGGCACATTGCTAGGTTCAGTGGACAAGTCAAAGTAAATTTGTGATTTGTCCTTTTCAAAGAAAATTTTCAAATTGTGCTTTTTTTCCTCTAATTCAGTCATAAAATATCTAACTGATAAGATCAGGAATTAGAAGTACCACAACCATCCCTTTTGAAAAAGACTGTTAATATTGCAAAACTAATGGAATGCCAGATATGGCTGTCATTTTTGGTTTAGGAGAAAAGTGATAATATCGATTAATTCTTTGCAGTTGTTTTTTGTGCCATTAAGCTTTTTCCACCTCTGTGCATTTTCTTTTCTTTTTTTTTTTTTTGAAACGGAGTTTCACTCTTGTCGCCCAGGCTGGAGTGCAGTGGCGTGATGTTGGCTCACTGCAGTCTCCACCTCCCGGTTCAAGCGATTCTCCTGTCTCAGCCTCCCAAGTAGCTGGGATTACAGGCACCTGCCACCACGCCTGGCTAATTTTTGTATTTTTAGCAGAGATGGGGTTTCACCATGTTGGCCAGGCTAGTCTTGAACTCCTGACCTCAGGTGATCCGCCCGCCTCGGCCTCCCAAAGTGTTGGGATTACAGGTGTGAGCCACCACACCCGGCCAGCCTCTGTGCATTTTCTGTTCTTAACTGATTTTAATGTTTTCAGGTCCTTATGTCGTCAGAAGATCGAGAAGCTCAGGAGGATGAATTGCTGGCCCTGGCAAGTATTTACGATGGAGATGAATTTAGAAAAGCAGAGTCTGTCCAAGGTGGAGAAACCAGGATCTATTTGGATTTGCCACAGAATTTCAAGATATTTGTGAGCGGTTAGTTAATAATTTCTTAAACAGATTTTTCTATTATTCTTTATTTCTTAGTGTACCTTAAACTATTTGTCATTTTGTGTTTTAGGCATTAGTGATAGGTGGTAGTATTACAGAGGTAATGCATGTTTCTGTTTTAAATGAAAATTGCAATGAGGGGCAAGCAGTTTTCAATTTGATTCTACCTTTTTGATCACTGAAGAGGGATATTATCCTGCATATTTCATACATCCTGGTCTGCTAACTAGCAGTTTATCAGCCATGAGTCATTGGCTGTTACATAGCAGTAATCAAAGAGAAAATGAATGTATGTGAAAACGCTTAGAAATTTTCAAGTACAGTGGTGGTGGTTAATACTATTTGGTTTCCAGAATCATTTCAACTACTATAAACATATGACACATGCTATTACTCTGTGACCTTTTGCTTCAGAAAAAACAAAACTGCTGCTTTTGATACAGACATTTACAGAAGACTTTGATGCACACTTTCTCAAAATGTTTCTACTATAAAGGGATTGAGTAAGGAAAGTAAGTGTGGTAATTTAAATGAAACTTTGATTGTGAGAGTGTTGTGTGCTATATTATATCCTCAAACCTGAGATCATTGTGTTGGCACAAATTTTCCCAACTGATTCATGGGTAGTTGGGACATGCTGGTCTAAGTGGGACATGCTGGTCTAAGTAGGTCATGCTGTTCAATGGAAATGAACATCCTTTCTCTAGATTGTGTCTTCAATCATCCACTGTAAACCAAACCACAACAAAACAAACATTGTGTGTTCCTTGGTCATTAGTGTTAGGAATTGTACTCAGAAGTGTATACAAGAATAAGTTGTAGTATTTTCATTATACATTTCATGGTGCTGTAGATTTTTCAAGGGCTTACAAGATTTTTTTTTAAGGTGGTGGCTACGAAGTTAAAATTAAGAAATAGAAAGTGCTTTGGGGGAGGGTTTTTATTCCCTCAACTAAAGCATTAAGTCTTTCTTGAGCGCTGCTCAACAGTAGTGGACACTCAAGTGTTGACCAACTGATCCTTTCTAATCTTTGTTTTTGGTTCAGGCAATTCAAATGAGTGTCTCCAGAATAGTGGCTTTGAATACACCATTTGCTTTCTGCCTCCACTTGTGCTGAACTTTGAACTGCCACCAGATTATCCATCCTCTTCCCCACCTTCATTCACACTTAGTGGCAAATGGCTGTCACCAACTCAGGTTAGACTTGAAACTTAATTTTTCCTATCCATTTTTAGAAACTTAAAAATCACCTTTAATTGAAGACTATCTTAAAGATCTTGAATTCAGTGCATGAAAAACAAATGGCTTTGGTTTTGTAATTTTTTTCCCTTGCCTTGGTGAATCCTGATGTTAAGAAATTGAAAATGTTTGGTGTTTTAAAAAGGAATGGCAGTAATTAAAACAATCATGAATTGTAGTAGGAGTAATTTTTAATCAAGTATATTATTTCTTTTCTTGTCTTGCTATTTTCCTGTTTAATCTGTATTATAATGGAGACTAAGAGGTCTTCCTCATTTTCCTTAGACATTGATACTACTTTTCTCTTAGTTTCTTATCCATTCCTTAAATGAAAGATTCCATTGTAATTAGGACTAAAAATTGAGCTAATGTAGTTATAATAAGCAAATTTTCTGAGTGAATACAATAACTGATTTTCTTTGTAAAAATCTGTATTAATAACAAATAACAGTCAACTGGTATCACGTAGACATAAATGCATACAAGTAGAAATGTGTATAGTTCCTGTAGATATCTCAGTAAGGCTTGAGGCCTTATGTTAAGCACCTCATTTCCTCTGGGTTATATATACTTTTCTAGTAACAACCTCAACTCTTGATTGAGACATAAATATGGCTTGAAGCTAAATATAAATAATATAAAGCATTCTGGGAGAGATAATGAATCAGCAGCTGCTTTTCTAGAAGTCATAATGAAGATCAATAGACTAATGTGTATTAAGACAAAAGCTCAGCCTGTGCAACATGGCGAAACCCAATTTCTACAAAAAATACAAAAATTAGCCAAGTGTGGTGGTGCGTCCCTGTAATCCCAGATACTTGGGAGGCTGAGGTGGGAGGATCACTTGAGCCTGGGTGGCAGAGATTGCAGTGAGCCAAGACTGAGCCACTGCACTCCAGCCTGGGTGACAGACAGAGACCCTGTCTCAAAAAAAAAAAAAAAAGAAAAAGACAAAAGATGTCAGAGTTGCTGACCTCAAGGAATAGCTCATTAGTTTTTCTCTTTGGATCATACAGTTTTCATTTCCCCATCCACCAATCTAATCTTTTAAGTGAGAGTACTTTCACAAACTAGAGCTTATGGTTTAAAAGCAAAATTAAACCTTAAAAAGGATAACACAGGTAGAATAAAAAGGAGTATTACTTTACATTCTAATGTCTGTGCCAGAGGCAACAGATGCAAGACAGTTGATTTGTCCAGGAATATCAAGACTGTTTGGCATTTAGGCCACTGATAGTTGGCTTAATTATTTAGATCTTCATAGTCCTATTTCACCAGAGAGCTTTTCATACTTTACATCCACGCATGTGCGTGCATGCACGTGCATGCACACACACGCACAAAACAGGGACAGATTAACTGGATGCGTGGTTGTGGTTTCAGATTCCAGCCAACCAGCATCTACTTAATGCTGGATTTGGGGGCGGAGGTGTGTGCTGGGGAAGAGAGTTGTTTTATGTGTTACAGCTAAAATTACAGTAGAATTCTTAATCAAATAAATGTTTATGCATATAATTAACATTTTAATTGGTCTCTTATATTCCTTCTTGGTTCAGTTCTTGTTTGTTGCTGTACCCTGATTCCTTGGCATTATGACTCTCACCTGTTAATGGTGAAATTGACACATAGAGCTGTCATTCCCTGAATTGGGGCGGGTAGACAGAGGGAAGTGGTTTTAGTTTTCTAAAACCTTATTCCTTATTCCTCCCCCAATATACTTACACAGTCTCTTTCCCGTCCCCCTTCCATTTACATGCATTCCAGCTGCCTTTCTCTCTCTTTTTTTTTTTTTTTTTTTTTTTTTTTTTTGAGATGGAGTCTTGCTCTGTCACCCAGGCTGGAGCACAGGGGCACAATCTCAGCTCACTACAACCTCTGCCTAGTGGGTTCAAGTGGTTGTCCTGCCTCAGCCTCCCAAGTAGCTGGGAATACAGGCGCCCGCCACCACACCTGGCTAATTTTTTGTATTTTTTAGTAGAGACAGGGTTTCACCATGTTGGCCAGGCTGATCACCAACCCCTGACCTCAGGTGATCCACCCGCCTTGGCCTCCCAGAGTTCTGGGATTACAGGCATGAGCCACCACGCCCAGCCCCAGCTGCCTCTCTTGAGAAGGGACTGGGGTAGAAAAGAGGTTGGAGAATGGCTTCTTCATAGGACTTGGTAGCTCACACAGCACTCATAGCTTCCCTTTTAGTATTTATCACATTTTACAGATGTTAGCAGATTTCTCAAAAGCATGGTTGATTTATAAGGATATTTATGCAAATGTGAAAAATCATTAGTTGTTCAATCTTAACTCATCAATAAGTATTTAAGGTAGTACCTATGCAGGGTTTAGTCAGTGGCACTACACAGAGTGTAAGAAACAGAAAATCTGGTCCCTTTTCATTTGTCATTTAAATTTACAAAATTTGTTTGCCATCTGGAAGGCATATTTTTGGATGTTTACCTAAAAAAGAAAAGCTGCTTATAATTCCTGTGCTCTAGTTAAAAATATTTTATATTTCTAATGGAAAATTCTCCAACATTTGCCTTTCAAATTGAACAGACCACTTTTAAAGAGGAAAATTCCAAATAATTTAATTTTGGTTGCTTAGCTTAGGAAGTGTAAGCTTTCTCTATGGCTGCCAAACCTTGCTGAGGGCTTGTGATTAGGACCAGGGTCAATATCAGGCAGCTTCCCTCCATTAACCAGGATCTGATATAAGCCCAGATTGCTTACTTAAAAGCAGCTTGTAAATCTGAACAAGGACTCTGAGGTTGAATTCTGTTAGTGATTGTTTCAGATGAGTTGACTTTTTGATAAAACTGAAAGAATTAATTTTAAAACTTGGATAGTATTTTTAAACTATTCTTTTTCTAACCATTATTCTAGGATACGAACAGGGCTAGGACTCCTAATGGAAGAAAAATAGTTTATTTTTAGAACTAGATCTCTTTGTCCTACATGAGGTATATGGCAGTACTAAAAGATTAAAGAACAGAAAAAAGTCTTCCATTTCAGTGGCTAAAATGTACAGCTATTTCTCTACCTTACGGAGTCTTGCTATTTCTCTTCTTCTCGTGGTACTTCTTGCTTCTGACTTTATGTTCTACTCTGGCTCATGTTGCCGAATAGTTTAAGAAGTGCTCCAGTAAGAATGTTTGTACTGTTTTGTATGTAGCACAGTGTATCACAGCAGTAAAAAATAGTGTTAGAATAAGGGCCTAACTTGCAAGTGGAAAAGATTTCTAGGGAAACCAGGAGTTGGCAGCAGCATCATCTTTCCAAACTCACCAACATCTTCATGTGTTTTCTCCTAGCTATCTGCTCTATGCAAGCACTTAGACAACCTATGGGAAGAACACCGTGGCAGCGTGGTCCTGTTTGCCTGGATGCAATTTCTTAAGGAAGAGACCCTAGCATACTTGAATATTGTCTCTCCTTTTGAGCTCAAGATTGGTTCTCAGAAAAAAGTGCAGAGAAGGACAGCTCAAGCTTCTCCCAACACAGAGCTAGATTTTGGAGGAGCTGCTGGATCTGATGTAGACCAAGAGGAAATTGTGGATGAGAGAGCAGTGCAGGATGTGGAATCACTGTCAAATCTGATCCAGGAAATCTTGGACTTTGATCAAGCTCAGCAGATAAAATGCTTTAATAGTAAATTGTTCCTGTGCAGTATCTGTTTCTGTGAGAAGCTGGGTAGTGAATGCATGTACTTCTTGGAGTGCAGGCATGTGTACTGCAAAGCCTGTCTGAAGGACTACTTTGAAATCCAGATCAGAGATGGCCAGGTTCAATGCCTCAACTGCCCAGAACCAAAGTGCCCTTCGGTGGCCACTCCTGGTCAGGTAACTGTTTACCCTGCTGATGGTTGCCTCCTAATTCTCTTCCATAAATGGAGATATCATCTCAGGAACTTCCTTGATAGGGCTCATGGGGCAGTCCGAGGCCTTGGAGCCAGCCCACAAGTTGTTTTGCTGTATCCATTAAAAATGCTATGGTCTTAGTCTACTGCTTAAGCAAATGGAATGCTTCCTTTGGCCTTGCAGTGGGCAAGGATGAGTGTTAAAGTAGTTATTAAGTAATTGTGATAATTTACTTTGTATATCTGCTAGTAGGATCCCATAAACCTTGGGGAATCACTAGCTTATTCTTGTGTGAGGTTGGCATCTGAAGGGGACGTCTCTTAGAATGATTAACCAACTTTTTTATAGACTTCAGCAGAAGTACAGCCTACTTAGGTGGTGGTGGTGTTGTTGTTGTTGTTGTTGTTGTTGTTTTGTTTGAGATGGAGTCTTGCTGTGTCACCCAGGATGGAGTGCAGGGGCATGATCTCAGCTCACGGCAACCTCTGCCTCCAAGGTTCAAGTGATTTCCTGCCTCAGCCTCCCAAGTAGCTGGGATTACAGGCACCCGCCACCATGCCCGGCTAATTTTTTTTGTATTTTTAGTAGAGACGGGGTTTCACCACGTTGGCCAGGCTGGTCTTGAACTCCTGACCTCAAGTGATCCTCCCGCTTTGGCCTCCCAAAGTGTTGGGATTACAGGCGTGAGCCACTGCTCCTGGCCAGTTTTTTGTTTTCTTATTAAAGCATAATTTTACTTAAAATAAACTACACATTTAAATCATACAAGGCTAGCATGGTAGCTTACACCTATAATCCCAGCACTTTGGGAGGCCAAGATAGGAGGATCGCTTGAGGCTAGGGGTTTAAAACCAGCCTGTGCAAAATAGCATGACTCCATGTCTTAAAAAAAAAAAATCAGGCATGATGGCAAGTGCCTGTTGCCCTAGCTACTTGGGAAGCTGAGGTAGAGAATCATTTGAGCCCAGGAGTTCAAGGCTGCAGTGAGCTATGATTGCACCACTGCACTCCAGTCTGTACGACAGAGTAAGACCCCATCTCTAAAGAAATAAAACTAAAATATAAAATAAATTGGACACTTTGCTTAGTTTTAACAAATGTGTAGACCCCTATAATTGTCATCTCAGTCAAAATGTACTTGGTTTGATTTTGAAGTGAAAGAGAGGTTTTAATTTATGTGCCCATCTGGTTTACACTAGCATCCTAAGAATCGCCTCAGGTTCAGAACTGGTTGTGGAATCATCAAACCTATGGTGTTTTGTATTTCCCTCCAGGTCAAAGAGTTAGTGGAAGCAGAGTTATTTGCCCGTTATGACCGCCTTCTCCTCCAGTCCTCCTTGGACCTGATGGCAGATGTGGTGTACTGCCCCCGGCCGTGCTGCCAGCTGCCTGTGATGCAGGAACCTGGCTGCACCATGGGTATCTGCTCCAGCTGCAATTTTGCCTTCTGTACTTTGTGCAGGTTGACCTACCATGGGGTCTCCCCATGTAAGGTGACTGCAGGTATGTTTTAACTGTGAACCCAAACCCCCATCCCCAGTCTCTCCCTCACATTTCACTCTACTACCAGGGCCTTATGACTTCATTCTTCAATTTGGAAGTATTCATTTAGCAGATATTTCTGTGTCAGTGACTATCTCAGGCCTTGGGGCTGTAGTAGTGACCAGAAGAGACAAAATGTCTGCCCTCATGGAACTCACATTCTACCAGGGGAGACAGGAAAACAAAATAAGGATATTAGGTGGTGGTAAGTGCTGAAGAGGCAGAAGAAATAAAGCAAGGACAGGATATGAAATGTTCTGAAGGGGAGGGGACTTGGGATTTTAGTTAGGGAAAACAGGGGAGGCCTCACCGGCAAAATGGTTTAAGTAAGGACTTGAAGGAGGTAAGAAAAACCGTGCAGATACCAGGGAGGAACATTCCAGGAGAAGGAATGGCACAGGAAATTCTATATACAAACATGGAATAATGTAGATCCTGGATGGCCAATGCAGGGCATCTAAGCTGCCATTCTTGTCTCCATGGCACATGTGTTTGACTAGTCATCAAATGCTTTCTCCTTGAGCCCAGAGAGGCCTCAGAATCTTCCTCAACATGGCACTTCGGAAAGCTACCCTCTGATGAAGTAGACACAGGAGTGAAATGTGTTTGCCGTTTCCAGTCTACGTAAGGAATCATAAATCAGGCCCTTAACGTCGATTTAATTGGACTTTGGTGGCTTAGTCTTCTTCAGACTAACAGGGATAATGATAACAGCTACCTCACAAAATTGCAGCTAGAGCAGATAACAATAACTTCACGGGGTTATTCTAAGGATGAAGGGAACGAATATCATGCTATTCAAAATTGTTATATTTGTTACACTGGTGTATAATATATAGAAATTGAGAGGGTTAGAAACTTTTATAGTGATTTCACATAATTTTATGTCAAATCTAATAAAAATTTAGACTTTTTTTCATTTTTCTAATAATTGATTGTTAGCTGACTGTGGTGGTGCACACCTGTAGTTCTAGCTATTCAGAAGGCTACAGCAGGAGGATCTTTTGAGCCTCAGTTGAGACTAGCTTGGGCAACGTAGTGAGACTCTGCTTCTAAAAAAATTAAATCAAGCAAACCTGGTTATATCTTATAAAAGTGTTGATCTTTGACGTATCAGAGAAAAAATAAACTGGGCCTTTACCATAAATAGTTTGAGAAACAGTGGGCTAATACATGTAAAATGCAGAATGGGGCTGGGCATAGTGGCTCACCTCTGTAATCTCAGCACTTTGGGAGGCCAAGGTGGGCGGATTGCTTGAGTCCAAGAGTTTGACACTATGGCAAAACCCCGTGTCTACAAAAAAATACAAAAATTAACGAGGTGTGGTGGTGCACATCTGTAGTCTCAGCCACTCAGGTTGCTGAGGCGGGAGGATCGCTTGAAACTGGGAGGTAGAGGCTGCAGTGAGCCAGATTGCACCACTGCACTCCAGCCTGGGGGACAGAGTGGGACCCTGTCTCAAAAAAAAAAAAAGAGGAAAAAGAAAAATAGTAATTATTAATGCTATTATTATTGTAGTTATTACTTGCTAATGTTAGCAGACTGTCATTATTTCCAAGAAAGTACCATGAGAGGAAAGAGTGGGTAGATAATTTCAGTTGCCTCAGGCAGCACCTTGCAGAAGGTAAGGCCAGATGGAATGGAGAACTTAGCAATGTATAATATAAGCCTTTACTTTAGACTTCTGTAACCTTTTCATTAAAAGTCAACAGTACATTTCAAGTGTTTCACAGCATTCAGGGAAGAAATTGAAGATAGATTCAGGGCTTTAGCAAAATTAGGAATCTCTCCCTCTCTTTGTATGTATATATTATATAAAATATGAAATACAATTTTATTATTTTGGGAAGACTAAAGCAATATAACCTTTGTCCTTAAGATGCCTAGGAACACAAAAATGCATTGAATTATTAGAGGGATGAGATTTACATTGCTTCACTGCTACATTGAAGTAGAGGTGATGAAGCTGTGGGAATGTACTACACAGAGAAAGAATTCACAGGTGAAAGCAAAGAGTGGAGATAGGATATAGGATTCTATACCAGAAGATGTCTTTTGCTTTAAAAGGGAGATAGACTTCCAAATAATGTGAGGAAAGTAAACTGATAAAATAACTAGAACATTGTTGAGAAAACTCTTTAATTAATTGTATTGAAAAATTAAGGTAATACAACTGTGAACAAAAGCCTTTTGTCTGCAAGTAAAACCTTTGGGATTGGTTACCTGTTCCATTTCAGTTAAATGATAGAGCAGTAGAAGCCAGATTGAAGAGTATCGAGGGAAAACTTTTCAGCACCTGTAGCAAAGCATAGTACGGGGTGAGACTTGGGTGCTAAGTTTTATTCACTGATTTTTTTTTTTTACACAGAATTGAAGAGGTAGTCTTTGCCCTTAAGCCAAAAGTGCCTTTGTATTTGGTAGGCCTCTTCATTATCAAACAGTGAATGGTGCTGACTTAGTGGAAAAATCAATGTCTGTTTCAACCTTTGTGTCTTCTAGATAAGTCAGTCTTTAACTGCATACTTCTAGATGCATAAACATACCAACATTAAGAAATCAAAATCAAAGGAAAAAAATAGCCTATCTTATTCTACCACTTTTAGCAGATACATCTTTTCTAGTTGGGGGATTCCTTTCCATTTATTATCATTTGTGCAAGTATAATTTTTACTGGGTTATAACATAAATATACTTTTTTTCTGGATTCTGTGATGAGTGTTTTAATTGGGTTGTAGCGAACCTAATTATGTTTTTAATAATTGAATATTATGTCATTAAATGGCTCTTCCAAACATAATTATTTCCTTAGAAATTTAATTTTTTTGCCATTGTTATATGCATCTCCATGCATATGACTTTGGATTATTTCCTTATGATAAAGTTCTAGGAATAACATTATTGAATAGTCGAAGATTATAGCCATTTTTAATGATTTTTGGTCAGCATTACAAAGTTATATAAAAGTTAATTTTCCATTTCACTTTGTAGAGAAATTAATGGACTTACGAAATGAATACCTGCAAGCGGATGAGGCTAATAAAAGACTTTTGGATCAAAGGTATGGTAAGAGAGTGATTCAGAAGGCACTGGAAGAGATGGAAAGTAAGGAGTGGCTAGAGAAGAACTCAAAGAGCTGCCCATGTTGTGGAACTCCCATAGAGGTAAATGTTTTGGGACAGACTTGGAGGCCATCAGACTTGCAAGGATGTTATGATTACCTTAAGAAGCCTTACTAGTCAATTTTATGACTTACAAAACACATGCTGGTATTATTACACCTTCTTACGTGGAAGGTGGAAATTTCACTATTAGATCTTGTTATCGACCTTAAATGTTTGTAGACTTCCCTTTTCAAAGTATTTGCTTACAGTGACCATTGTTCTCACATTGTATCCACCTCAAAATTGAATGGGTTGTAAGGAGGGCATACTAGAGCTATGGTCAACTCTTACCTCATCTATGTGATTAAAAAAAATCAAATCTGATCTCTCAGAACTATTTATCCTGGAATGCTGCACACCTGTTTAAGATACACTCAGGAATTAATTTGAGTCAAAATAATTAGACAGATATATTGCTTCTTGACAAAAATCTTAATATGTTTTAAAATCAAAATACATCTTAGCATTTGATTCTATTGTTCTAATCTGTTATGTCTGAACTGAACATAGTGGGCTCCAGTTAAGGAAACTAGGACTATATGTAATCACTTTTTTTTTTTTTTTTTTGATACTGAGTCTCTCTTGCCCAGGCTGGAGTGCGGTAGTGCAATCTCAGCTAACTGCAATCCCCGCCTCCCAGGTTCAAGGAATTTTCATGCCTCAGCCTCCCGAGTAGCTGGGATTACAGGCGCCAGCCACCACACCTGGCTAATTTTTGTATTTTTAGTAGAGACAGGGTTTCACCATGTTGGCCAGGCTGGTCTCGAACTCCTGACCTCAAATGACTCGCCCACCTTGGCTTCCCAAAGTGCTGGGATTACAGGCATGAGCCACCACACCTGGCCATATAATCACTTTTGACATACCTTAGCCCTATGACAGAGTGGAGGACTTGGTACCAAATATTTACTTAGATTTCTGTAAAAATTAAAAACCCACACGTTACATCCAAACATTTTAATATTAATCTAACTACATTTTCCAGTTATACTTGTGTGATTTTTATCTACTGCTTGTCAGAAGAGATTGTGCCAAGTAACTAATTGTAGTAACACTAGCTATTTTCTGTATTTTACTTCTAATGCAAAATAGAAAGAATTACATAGTCATCAGTGTGTTACATTGATATCTCAACCCTGCATAAGAAAAGGGAGAGGACCAAGACAATGTTGTACTGAATCATTTTGGCATGTGCTGTCTCTTCTGCTTTTACAGCCTTGATATTTTTCTCTTTCTATCCTTCCCACCAGAAATTAGACGGATGTAACAAGATGACATGTACTGGCTGTATGCAATATTTCTGTTGGATTTGCATGGGTTCTCTCTCTAGAGCAAACCCTTACAAACATTTCAATGACCCTGGTTCACCATGTTTTAACCGGTATGTATACACAGAATTCCTCAGGCTCACCAGCAATTTTTGGTACTTGATTTGCAGACCACAAATCCAGTGTTTTATTTAAGTACTTGGACTTATTTAGAGAATTCTCTTACATGTTTTCCCCTATAAAGGAATTTTCATATTATTTTCTCAAAAATGAGTTTTATAATGAGACTTATACACCATCTGGAAGTTTTTATAGTGAAAGTTTTCAAACACAGAAAATTTGAAAGGATAGGACTATGAATAGTAGGATACTTTCCACCCAAATTAACAGTTGATAGTACTTTGCCATATTTGTTCCCTTAACATTTTTACTGAACTACATGAAGTTGGAGTTATGATAATGCTTCAACTCTAAATATTTCCACGTTTCTCCTAAGATAAGGAAATGCTTCTACATAATGACAGTACTTTTAAAAAACTTAATGATAGTGGCATACTATTATCTAGTAAACAAACATATTTGAAACTTCCTAATTATTTCTGAAAATATCTTTTAAAGCTATTTGATTGAACCAGAATCTGAACAAGTTCAGTCATTGTATTTGGTTCTATCTCTTTAGTCTCTTAATACAGAAAAGCTTTGGCCCACCTTTTTTTTGTGTGTGTTTTGTGAACATTCACTTTTTTTTTTGTTGAGTCAGAGTCTCGCTCTGTCGCCCAGGCTGGAGTGCAGTGGTGCCGTCTCGGCTCACTGCAAGCTCCGCCTCCCGGGTTCATGCCATTCTGCCTCAGCCTCCTGAGTAGCTGGGACTACAGGCGCCTGCCACCACGCCCGGCTAATTTTTTTGTATTTTTAGTAGAGACGGGGTTTCACCGTGTTAGCCAGGATGGTCTCGATCTCCTGACCTCGTGAGCTGCCCGCCTCGGCCTCCCAAAGTGCTGGGATTACAGGCGTGAGCCACCACACCCAGCAAAACATTCACTTTTTGAAGAGTCCAGGTCAGTTATCTTATATAACGTCTTACCTTCTAGACTTTTATTTGTCCATGGTGTCCTTTAGCTTGTTTCTCTTATTTGCTATAAACTGGAAGTTAGGTCTAGACTGAAGCTTGATTCGATTTAGAATAACATTTTTTATGCTGATACTTCATGAGGAGTGATGTGTATTCCGTATTGGATCACATCAAGAGGTCCATGATGTCCCTCATTAGTGTGGTGCTCATTTCTACAGTTTGCTTTATTGTAAAGGCAAGTTTTCCATTTTGTTATTAGGAAGTAATCTGTGGGGTGATTCCTTGGCACAATGTGAATATCCTGTTCTCCAAGAGCTCTCCACTTTCAGCATCAGTTGATGATCTTTGTTAAGAGGTGTCTGTTAAGTAAACACATTGGTATTGTGAAACTGTAAGAGAAATTGAAGAAACAAGCCCTGCCATGAACTATTGGAAATCTAGTGTTGGAAATTGCATAAGTTGTAGATAACATAAGGAAAGGAAGACAAATTGACAGCTACAAAACATTCTACAAATGGAGGGTGCAAGGACTGTGAAGATAGAATGGAGTGATGAGCATGTAGTAGTAATAATAGTGTCTTGAAAGGGTTCAGTTTAAATTGCCTGACTTCCCCAGTCTTGCCTTATTCCATGTATTGTATACGCTGAGTATCAGTTTTGTGATACCTATCCCTCATTATTGTTTATCCTTGGCCCTGGAGAATTTGTCTGGATTCTAAAAGGACTGTTTTGTTCGTTTGTTTTAATTTGGAAAGGAGAGCTTTATTTCTCATAAAGAGTTGAAGCCGGCAAGGTGGCTGTTATGACAGGTTGGGAAGCATAGCCTTCAGCCAGAAGCTGGAAACAGACACTCTAAGGATGGGAAGAGGAAGACAGGGATTTATGCCCTACAAGATAGCCAGATATACATATTCAGTAAGGTATAGGAGGAGTCATGAATATTTATGAAAGGAGAAAAACGCTGCATGTGCAGTTGAGCTTCATTACCCTTCAGGGGACCCATGTTCAAAAAATGGTGGCATTAGCATGATCTCTGGGGGAGTTCTCTGATATCAAAAGGTGAAGCAGAGAACACGAAAACCTCAGTCCACATCCTCCATAGACTGGCTAGAACCACTCCATGGTCAGTGGTCTATTGGCAGGAAGAAATGCTGGTCGGTTTTTGTGCCAAAACTGCAGAAGGGAGGGGCAGCATCAGGCAGTTGGTTGATATCAGCGGTGGAGCAAGTCTTCCCAAAGGGTTGGTTTGAACCCTTAGGGAAAGAAAGCCTAATGGTGGTCAGTGAGGGAGGGGGGTATGACCAGGTGTGTCTGGCCTCCCATCCCATCATGGCCGGGAACTGTTTTCAGGGTTTCTCTGGGGTTCCCTTGGCCAGGAGAGGGTCTGTTCAGTTGGTTGTGGGGCTTAGGGTATCATTTTTATTTCTCATTTTCCCCTTTTTGGCTGAGATTTGCCAGAGGCAGCATTGATGGTCAAACTTATTTTGTCCCATATCATTGCTGGAGTGGTGTGGCTAACCTGCCTCGCCTCCATCTAGGCCCTCAGTGGGACCCCTATGGCCAAGGGACTTAAGGCCAAAAGACAGCCAATTAAATCTTCTAGGCCAGTGGGAATGGAGCTGGACAAGTACTCATCCACCTTAAATGGGCCATTCTTAACTAACTTTAGGGTAGATTGTTCAGAGGGACCCATATTTCAGCCCTCCTCAGTGCAATGATTAAAGGAGAAGAAAAGATGTACAAAGATGTTATAAGAGTACAAAAAATATTTTTCAGCGGAGAGGCAATTTATATTGTTTCGTTCAAGTGTATAAAAATGTACCTTTTTTAATGCTTCCAGGCTGTTTTATGCTGTGGATGTTGACGACGATATTTGGGAAGATGAGGTAGAAGACTAGTTAACTACTGCTCAAGATATGGAAGTGGATTGTTTTTCCCTAATCTTCCGTCAAGTACACAAAGTAACTTTGCGGGATATTTAGGGTACTATTCATTCACTCTTCCTGCGTAGAAGATATGGAAGAACGAGGTTTATATTTTCATGTGGTACTACTGAAGAAGGTGCATTGATACATTTTTAAATGTAAGTTGAGAAAAATTTATAAGCCAAAGGTTCAGAAAATTAAACTACAGAATATTAAATATTATAATGTGCCCAAAGCTCTGAATAGTTAAAAATTAAATATTTATTTTCTTCCCCAAGCTTTAGGTAAGGAGAAGAGGGGTCAAGAGTTAAACTTAGAGACCCTTTGTCTCTGAGAAGCATCCTTCTAAGACATTCTGTTGGAGTTCCCTCAGTACTATTCCTTACAACTGGAGTGGGTAGAAGCCTTATGAAAATTATACTGAGAACCTGATCTCGTTTACTCCATGTTAATCACATTCCTACCAACCTAAATTTCTGCCAAGTCAGTTCTCTTTGGAGGAAGCCCATTACTCCGTAACTGACTGGATGGTCCAGTGTCATTTTGATCTGCTTTTCAGAATGGAAATTTATAATATAAATATATGTTTTAATACCACAAACACTGTGGGGCACTTGATATTTATTAGTGGTGTATATGGTCCACTGGTTTCAGGCCAAATCTAGAATTTAGTGATACTGGCTCAGAAGAATTTAAGTTCTATTCAGCCTTCCTGGGTGTTAGAACCTAGATTCAAAATGGCTTGTCTTTGCTACTTTTGTTCCACATTCTCTCTCTTTACCTTTGCCCTACCTTCTGTTTGTAAGGATGATTTTAATATTAATTCCAGGAACACATGTTTTTATTTCCTCTGCTGGAATAGGAGAAAGCTTAATATATTCCCAAGCTGAATGTTCTTGAATTATATCTGCATTTACCACTGTATATGCATATAGTGACAGTATAACCTGTCTATACTACAGTAGTTCCAGTCCTAACTTTCTGAATTATTTTTAAAGATCTTCTCTAACAAGCTATGGGAATTTGGCTTCATACTCTTTCTTTGCAACAGCAGTGTTCTGGGTGATAATTTTGAATTGATACCTGTTCCTTTTTCTGGGTTTTGTTGGCTTTTTGAAAAATTGTCTTTCCTTATCATTGGTGGGAGGCTTGGTAGCAAAGTAACATTTTTTGGAAAAGAGGACAGAAAAATTGAACTACAGCTTGAGAACGTATTCTTTTTTTCCTACTTTGTTATTGCAAATTGAGGAATCACTTTTAACTGTTTTAGGTGTGTGTGTCCAGAGTGAGCAAGGATTATGTTTTTGGATTGTCAAAGAGGATGCTTAGTCTTAAAATAAAAATAAATTTAAAAATCATCTTATAATTAGAACAGAGTTGCTGCTATTTGTTCTGTCACCAAGGCAACTAATCACATTTTAAAACTGTTCGGCATATAACATATTCTTAAAGTAAGAAAAAAAAGGTCACAGAATAGCATCTCTTTTACCTGGGCTTGTGACTGAGCTTAGGTTTTAGGGCCCATATTTTGTTTAAACCAGATAGTTTCATGGTCTTCCATTCAGGACATTTTGTGTAAAAATTGAGGTTAATTTGCTGGGCACAGTGGCTCACGCCTGTAATCCCAGCACTTTGGGAGGCCTAGGCGGGCGGATCACGAGGTCAGGAGTTCGAGACCATCATGGCTAACACGGTGAAACCCCGTCTCTACTAAAAATACAAAAAATTAGCTGGGCATGGTGGCAGGCGCCTGTAGTCCCAGCTACTCAGGAGGCTGAGGCAGGAGAATGGCATGAACCTGGGAGGTGGAGCTTGCAGTGAGCCGAGATAGCGCCACTGCACTCCAGCCTGAGCGACAGAGCGAGACTCCTTCTCAAAAAAAAAAAAAAAAAAAATTGAGGTTAAAGAATAAATTAAAGATAAGAAATGGAAATTAAAATGATTTGTTCTACAGTATATACCTGAGAAGAGTGATTTCTGTGATCAAAGAGTTCAATTCAGATTTATTCAGAAAGAGCTACTCAGAAGCTCTATAGTTCGTGAGCTACTTGATATTTTCTAGAGATCATTTTATGTTAAGCTGTTATACATTGTTGATGATGTCATAGAAGTAGGAAAGAAGCCTTTATAATACAGTTTTATGAAAGAAATGGGAGCCTTTTTTCCCATTTATGATATTAAAAACAACACAGGTATTTGGTGTTTAGTCTCAAAAATTTGTTTGGTCACCTTAGTGATTCTTAGGTACAAAGTCTTCATCACTCAATTTTAACAAAGAAAATAGGGCTTATAAAGTTATACTTTTGAAGCATGAGTTATGAGCTAATTTTAAGATGTATAGTTTTGGTAGAGTACTTTTGTCTCAGTAAAATGAAAGATTTGGGTAACTCCCCAAATGCCCTGTAAAACAAATGGGTTTGTGGAAGGTTGTGGTGTCAGCAAAATATATGATAGAATAAAGAGTTTTGTACCTACCTTAATTTCATGAAAGCCTTTTTTTATGAGTGGGTTGAGATTTGCCATAAATTAGTATGAATTTCATGGGCCTTTTTTCTTTTTGAGACAGGGTCTCACTGTCACCCAGGCTGGAGTGCAGTGGTGCGATCATAGCTCACGGCAGCCTTGAGATCTGGTCTCAAGCAATCCTCCCACCTCAGCCTCCTGAGTAGCTGCGACTGCAGGCACATAGCACCATGCCCAGCTAATTTTTTTTTTTTCTTTTTAGTAGAAATAAGGTCTCGCTATATTGCCCAGGTTGTGAACTCCTGAGCTCAAGTAATGCTCCTGCCTCAGCCTGCCAAAGTGTTGGGATTTACAGGCATGAGCCACAGTGCCTGGCCTCCTGGGTGTTTTTGGGGGAGTTTGAATAGTCAGTGTCTCTTCATTTTTATATAAAAGGTTTGGGTCTAGAGCTGATAAATGAAAATAAGCTATCAAATAACTTATTTATTTATTTATTTGAGATGGAATCTCCCTCTGTTGCCCAGACTGGAGTGCAGTGGCACAATCTCAGCTCACCGCAGCCTCCACCTCTCAGGTTCAAGTGATTCTCCTGCCTCAGCCTCCCAAGTAGCCAGGACTACAGGCATGCTCACCGTGCCCAGCTAATTTTTTTGTATTTTTAGTAGAGATGGGGTTTCACCATGTTGGCCAGGCTGGTCTCGAACTCCTGACCTAGTGATCCACCCGCCTCAGCCTCCGAAAGTGCTGGGGTTACAGGCATGAGCCACCACGCCTGGCCATAATTTTTTTTTTTAAATCAAAATAGCTCTGTGACATTTTAAGCTTGTGATCGAACTAACTTTAGGGCCTGCCTTTGTCAGTTGAGATGCATCTTGTTTCATCCATTTTTCTTTTAGTTTAAATTTTTATTATTATAATTTTTATTTTTTTAGCTACCCTATTAACAGACCATCCATTTTTTAAAAAGAAACTTTTTATTTTAGAATATAGATTGACAGAAAAAGTGCCAAGATTGTACAGCGTTCCTATGTACCCCTCACTTGGTTTTCCTTATTAACATATTAGTGCAGCACATTTGTCATATTAATGAAGTAGTATTGATATTATTAAGTAGAGTTCATACTTTATTCAGATTTTCTTAGTTTTACCTAATGTCCTTCTTCTGTTCCAGGATCCCTTCTAGGACACCACGTTATTATATTTAGTTATCATGTCTCCTTAGACCCCTCTCAGCTGTCACAGTTGTCTCATCTGTTTTTATTGTTATATAAACATTAATTATACCTTGGTACATCTGGATTGGGCAGGAGCCAGAAAACTTTTTGAAGACAGATTACCTAATCCTAGCAGGCTCAGCAAATCAGTGATTTCTTTTTGACTGAGGTCTTTTGTAGCTTTAAATCAGTTACTTCTCAGGATGCTTCAGTGCTGTGTATGCAGTTTTAGGCTGTTCACCTGTTCTGGTAATTTTCCTGCTCGGCTTCTTGAAAAACATCATTAAACACTGGGCAAGTTGATCAAGTCAGGAAGTCAGCTGGACCCATTAGACTGTGCCCTGGTGTGAGAATTAGCCTGCCATCTTGGCTAAATCCCGAAGTTTGTTGAGTAGATGTATCCCTTCCTGTTGACCTGTGGAGGAGCTGGTGAACGTAAGAAAGGCTCAGTATCAGAAGCCATATTCCCAGACAGATTTGTGGTGTTAGTCAGCAGTCTTTTTTTTTTTTTTTTTTGAGACGGAGTCTTGCTCTGTCACCCAGGCTGGAGTGCAGTGGCTTGATCTCGGCTCACTGCAACCTTCGCCTCCCGGGTTCAAGTGATTCTCCTGCCTCAGCCTCCCAAGTAGCTGGGATTACAGGTGCCCACGACCACACCCAGCTAATTTTTTATTTTTTATTTTTTTTAATTTTTAGTAGAGACGGGGTTTCACCATGTTGGCCAGCCTGGTTTCGAACTCCTGACTTCAAGTGATCCACCCATCTCAGCCTCCCAAAGTGCTAGGATTACAGGTGTGAGCCACCGCACCCAGCCCAAAGTCATTTGCCCAAAGTCATTTTTTTAGTAGTAGACAGTTCTAATTTACATTAGTAATCTCTTCATATACTTTGTATTTATTTTTTCTGTCAAGAGCAATGAGAGTTAATTAGAGGAGATAATAATAAAGTTGTTCACGTGGCTGTCTGCTTTGAAAGGGAATTTCAGAATTTTGACTGGAGTTTGGATCTCCCTCCTACCTAGTATTAACTTTGCCATAAGCATCACCAGCAGGTGGCAGCAGTTCCCATGTTCTAAAAATATCGTCACTAGTTAAGACAGGTATAGAGTATGTTGTTTTGTTACAGAAGTAGATTTAATTTCTGGTATTTAAATTTTCCTCATTATATTTCATTATAGTCTGTTTTATACTTTAGTAGACAGAATGGTATCTAACAGTACTATCAAGGCAGGAACAGCAGTATTATCAGAAATTTTTAAATACTCAAAAGTGTATGTGAACCACAGTTGACATCTTATGCAATTGTTACATAGTAGAGTGTCACTCCTGATAGTGGCACTTAACCTTCAACCACCAAAGTAGGGAAATTAAGTTGTATATAAAGCCCCTAAGTAGGACCAAGGAATTGTAACCCCATGGTGCCCTCTGATGCTGGTAAGAGTAGCCAGCCTGCTCCCCAAACCTTAGCTTAACTAAAAAAATCAGGCCAGACTGAGTGTGGTCAGAAATCTGGTTATGGGAGCTTTAGGGGTATTCTTAGCCAATGTTTATGGTAATAATCAACTTTCATCACCCATCGTTTAGACTGTACAGTTTCTCAGGTTGTCTGAAGATTTACCACTCCAAGGACTCCCACATTTCTCTGAGCCAGAGGATGCTTTGGAGAAGATTGTGTACATTGGAAACTTAGGGAGATTTGATGCTGAAGTTGCTAAGTACAAAGTTAACACAGTCACTTCTTTTCCTTGCTTGGATCTCCTTTTTTCCCTTCATTATAAAAACAAACCAAAAAAGGAAAAGCAGCTAAACTCACACTAATACAACATAAATACATGTAAATTTTAAAAGCGATTGTCTTACCCTCAGTACCATTCTACTTTTTGCAACCTATAGTATTTCCTAGAATAACTCACTTATTTAACAAATACTGATGGAATACCCAGCAATGGGCCTTACTCTTTTTCAAGGTGGTGAGAATGTAGCAGTAAATAAAACAGACATAATCTCCCTGCCCATGTGGAACTTAAATTCTGGCGGAAGGAAAGAGACACTAAGTAAATTATCTGGTTCATCAGAAGATAAGTACCATGGGTCGTGCGCAGTGGCTCCCTCCTGTAATCCCAGTGCTTTGAGAGGCTGAGGTGAGTGGATCACTTGAAGCCAGGAGTTTGAGACCAGTCGGGGCAACATAGTAAGACTCCGTCTCTCTTAAAAAACAAAAAAACACTAAAAATTTGCTGGGTGCAGTGGTATGTGCCTGTTGTCCCAGCTGACATTCAAGAGGCTGAGGCAGGAGGATTTCTTGAGCTCAGGCGGTCAAGGCTGCAGTGAGCCTTGATCACACCACTGCATTCCAGCCTGAATGACAAAGCAAGACCTTTGTCTCAAAGAAAAAAAAAGAAAAAAAAAAAACCATAGAAGTTGGGGAGAAGAAATAGGGAGTTAGGGGAGGCAGGGCAATGTTGGAATCTTAAAGAGTAGAGAAGACTCCATCAAGATAGCACTTGAACAAAGTCTCAGCAGTGTGGGATTGAACCTTCTGGACACCTGGGAGGAGAGAATTCCAGGCAGAGACAGCAAGGGCAAAGCCCTTGGGCTATGAGCATGTAAGAGGGCTCCAGGAACAGTGTGGTAGCCAGTGAGGGCTGAGGCAGACCCAGGAAGAGTGAGAGACGGGATGTAAGCATGTGGTCCTGTAGACTGTATAGAGCCTTGTGTGAACTTTGGCTGCCACTCTGAGAGGGGGCCATTGAGCAGAGGAGTGATAGGGTCAGGCGTGTGCTTTAGGGGATTGGTGAGCAAAGGTGGAAACAGACCAGTTAGGAGGCCATTTGCAGTAGCTCAGGTGAGAAGTGCAGGTGGCTTGTACCAGTGTGCCAGAAGTTAGAATTTTGAGAACTGGTTAGATTCTGTACTTACCTTGAAGGTAAAATTAATAGGATTTGTTGACAGGCTGACTATATGAGAAATTAAGGCATCAGGGTTGATTTCTAGGTATTTTTGTCTGAGCAGTTGAGATGAGAAACCTGTAGGTAGCACAGGTCTGTGGCTGAAGATCAGGAATTTGGTTGTGGACAGGTAAGTTTGAGATGCCTGGTAGTTATCCCAGGGGAAATGATAAACAGGCAGTTGGATATTCTAGTCCGGAGTTCAAGGGAGCAACTCAGGGTAGAGATAGAATTATGGGAGTCAACATGTAAATGGCATTTAAAGTCATGAGACTAGATGAGATTAGAAAGGGAGTGAGTTTTATGTAGAGAAAGGTCCAAGGACTGAGTCGTGGGTCACTCCAGATGCTAAGAAGTCAAGGAGATGAGGAAAAACCAGCAAAGACAGACAGTGGCCAGTGAGGTAGGAAAACCAGCTGTGTGTGGTGTCTTGGAAGCCAAGTCAAGTTTGAGGGAAGGAGTAATCAACTGTGTCATACGCTGCAAAAAGGTCAAGTACTGTGAGCTGTAACAATTGAAGCAGTCAGTATTGAGGTCCTTGGGGACTTTGACAAGTGCTGTTTCAGTGGAGGGCAGTTGCAAATCTAGAGTATGTTTGAGAAAGAATGGGGTGTCCTCATAATAAGAAAAAGGCTAAGCAAACCGATAATCAACAGCTTTTCTTACATCTGTCAGAGAATTGAGGTCACAGGGCAAACCTTCACCGCAAAAACAGGCAGGAAAATGGAGATCGGCTCACCTAAGGCAGAAGCTGTTGGAGACAGTAATTGAGATTTAAACATATTGCTGTGGGCTAAGTGTGGACTAGCTTGAGGGTTCAAAACCGGGAGCTTGTCTAAGGGAACCCCACACTTTGGTGGGTTTTACCTCGAGGAGACCCACTAGGTTCTCCTGTAAAGATGGCAGGAAAATTCCCTTGTGCTTTGGACACGGGAAGGGGGAAAGTAATCCTTTTGAAATACATCCAGGAAGAAATCAGCCCCAGATCTTCTGTTCTCCATGGCAGAGAACAGTTTTCTCAGGGAAAACTACTTGCAGAAGCCTTCTCTAGCTTAGGAGAAGGGCAGTTGGATGGCTCAACCCCCTTCTAGCCTTCCTGTCTCACATAGGAGGAGGAAAAAACAAGTCTCCACTAAAAAAAAAAAAAAAAAAAAAAAAAAAAGACAGATTTAATCATAAGAATATGCAGTGCATCTTCTCACCAATACGATACCATCAGTAGGGCTCCAGGATAACAGTGGATTACAACTGAGAGCTGCAAGACATGGACTCTATTTTAAGAAGGAATTTCTAGGGAAACCCAAAGACAACAGGGGAGACAAGGATATTGAGGAAAATTGGAGCCTCTAGCACCTACAGCGAACATCAGATGCAGCCTGTTAGCCAGATAAACATACAACTCACATTAAAGGTCTGTTTACGTAAGTTCTTGTTACCTAATATATCATGTCTGGCTTCAGTAAAAAAGTACAAAGCATGCTAAAAGGGAAAAAAGAAGAGACAAAGCGAGCATCAGAGCCAGACTCAGATATGTCAGAAATTTGAGAGTTATCAGACTGGGAATTTAAAATAACTGATTAATGTGCCAGATTTCTAATAGAAAAAATGAACAACATGCAAGAATAGTCACGTAGTATAAGCAACAGATGGAAACTTAGAATCAAAAAGAAATGCAAAAAAAAAAAAAAAAAAAGACCAGGTGCAGTGGCTCACGCCTGTAATCCCAACACTTTAGGAAGCTGAGGCGGGAGGATCACCTGAGGTCGGGAGTTCAAGACCAGCCTGACCAACATGGAGAAACCCCATCTCTACTAAAAATACAAAATTAGCCTGGCGTGGTGGTGCATGCCTGTAATCCCAGCTACTCGAGAGGCTGAGGCAGGAGAATAGCTTGAATCCGGGAGGCGGAGGTTGCAGTGAGACAAGATCGTGTCATTGCACTCCAGCCTGGGCAACAAGAGCGAAACTCTGTCTCAAAAAAAAAAAAAAAAAAGCTAGAAATAAAACACTGAAACAGACATGAATGACTTTGATGGGCTCATAAGACTGAACACAGCCAGAAAGAATCAGTGAACTTGAAGATATGTCAATAGAAACTTCCCAAATTGAAATTGAAAGATTTCAAAAAGGAATGGAAAATTTTTAAAAACAGCAGAATATCCAAGAACTGTGGGATAATTTTTAAAAGTGTAGGTTGGATGTAGTGTCTTACACTTGTAATCCCAGCACTTTGGGAGGCTGAGGTAGGCGATTGCTTGAGGCCAGGAGTTTGAGTCCAGCCTGGGCAACATGACAAAACCCAGTGTCTACAAAAAAAAAAAAAAAAAAAAAAAAAATACAAAAATTAGCCAAGCGTGGTGGTGCACACCTGTAATCCCAGCTACTCAGGAGGCTAAGGTGGGAGGATCGCTTGAGCCCGGGAGGTGGAGATTGCAGTGAGCTGAGATCATGCCACTGCACTCCAGCCTGGGCAACAGAGAACTTGTTTCCAAAAAAAAGGCAAAGTGTAGCTACGCGTAATGGGAATACGGTAGTTCCCCCTTATCCACAGTTTCACTTTCTATGGTCAACTGTAGTCCAAAAATAGGTAAGTGCAGTACAATAAGATTTTGAGAGGGAGAGAGACAATGCTCACATAACTTATTACAGTGTATTATAATTATTCTATTTTTGTAAATTTCTTACTGCGCCTAGTTTATAGATTAAGCTTTATCATAGGTATATGTGTATCAAAAAAAACTATCAGGTTCAGTACTATCCACGGTTTCAGGCATTCACTGGGGGTCTTAGAACATATGCCCTGTGGATGAAGGGGCGACTACCATACCAGAAGGAGAAGAGAGAATAGAAGAGTGAGAGATTAAAGTCAGAGTATGGGTAACTAGAAACTTTACTCTAAAGGAGATCAGAAAAATGAGGATGTACTTAGGGGGCAAATGAGGTACAGTTTTGTTTTTAAATCTTGTCTTGAATGCCATAGGAGTGGTCCAGGAGAGGACAATTTGATGCTGTAGGTGAGAGTTGGGAGTGTTGCCAGAGCAACGTCCTCAAGGAGGCAAGAGAGGATGGGATCTGGTGTGCAAGCAGAGGGCTCGGCCAAGGAGCAGGTAACAGGAAGACAGCAAGTGTGAGAGCAGGGCTGACGTCTGGGTATGTGATGATGGGAACTCGTGGACATTCTTTTCTGATTGCTTCTGTTTTCAAGGTCATTAGCTGAAAGGAAAGCTGGGATAGAGGGGTTAGAGGTTTGGGACCTTATGATTTAGTCTTTGAGGATACTAAATGGACTAGTCTGATTATTAATGTAGTATGACTGCCAGCTGGTGGTAATGGCTCCCCTGAGGTCCAAAGTACTATGTTCTGTTTTACCTGCCCATTATTGCATAACTCTAAATCCTGTCACACTGTATCTTACCGGAAATGGACGTGTTTCATTAGCATCTCATCACAGTAAGGATTTTGGTTCCCAGGAAAGAAGCATCAAATTTTCCAAGTTAGATCTCCTCAGTAGGCCAGTTGGCTAATCCATTATGTAATATGCCATGATTTCCCCTGATTGTTATGTACGATCACTACTCATGGGGACAACTATCAGGCTTATGGTTCAACAAGTACCAGTGCCTTCTAGATATCAAGGCACTGCTATAGGGGCAGAATAGAGCAGTATTTAACATCTACCTTCATGGAGTTTACATTTAGTGGGAAACAAAATACACGTCCAGTGGTAAAGGGTTCTGAGAAAATAGCGCACGGCAAGGATAGGAACTTGGGGATTGCAGCTTTATATTGGAGGATCAGGGAAGAGTTAATCTGATAAATGACATTTGAGGCAAGGCCTGAAGGACGGAAAGAGTAGAAGAGTAGGCCATAGGGGTAATAGCCAGGCTCTTGTGTTCACCTCTACTTTATAAACAGACTAATAGAAGGAAGGTGGCACCCATTGATGTCAACACTGCCACTTTTTACTAAATGTAAGTAAACACATTCTGTCTACTCTTCCTGAAATACAGCTCTGTGTGCACTTAATATTACATTTTCCTTTTCTTATCAAACTTGCTGTTTTACAAATTCAACTTGTTCCAGTCAGCTGTATTTAGTATTTCCTTTTTGATCAAATTGTGAAAACCTGTTCAGTGGGAACCCATTTAACTGGCTGTTTCGTCCTCTCAGAACTGCCTCAGACATTTTTGTTTTGTTTTTTTTCATCCCCAGACTTCCTGGGACAAGCCCCAGACTTTTTTTTTGGAGACGACGTCTTGCTCTGTAGCCCAGGCTGGAGTGTAGTGGCATGATCTTGGCACACTGCAACCTCTGCCTCCTGGGTTCAAGCGATTCTCCTGCCTCAGCCTCCCCAGTAGCTAGGATTACAGGTGCACGCCACTGCACCTGGCTAATTTTTTGTATTTTTAGTAGGGATGGGGTTTCACCATGTTGGCCAGGCTGGTCTTGAACTCCTGACCTCAGGTGATCCGCCCGCCTCAGCCTCCCAAAGTGCTAGGATTACAGGCGTGAGCTACTGCTCCTGGCCAGCCCCAGACATTTTTGAAAGCACCCTTATTTCCAGTAACAAGATATTCCAGGCCTACTCTGATCCCTACCCCCAAACATATTAGCTCCTGTACAAGGAGCCCTGGTATTAGAAGCCCAAGATGACCCAGGGGTGTACATCCCACTTGATCGCATAAGCACTGGTTGTAGCAGTACACTGCTGTTGAGCCACCAGGAAAACACAGACTCAGGAAGGACATCAGATCTTTCTAAGGTCTCAAGTTCATACAGGTATCTCCAGTTTAGCTGTCATCACTAAGTCCTTTTTTGTCTCATTTTAATGTAGTTACTATAACATACTTAAAATTTAAACCCTTCTTGACTGGATAAACAAAATATATGTCCACAAAACGGAATACTATACAGCAATAAAAAGGAATGGACTGCTGCTACGTGTTGTATGAACCTGAAAAATGTTATGCTTAGTGAAAAAAGCCAGACACAAAAGATGTCATGTCACATGATTCCATTTATATTAAATGACCAGAAAAGGTAAATCTGTAGACGCAAAGCAGACCAGTAGTTGCCTGGGGCTGGGGTTAGGAGTAGGGAGCTTTTGGGAATGATAGAAATGGATTGTGATGCTGGGCGCGGTGGCTCATGCCTGTAATCCCAGCACTTTAGGAGGCCAAGGCAGGCAGATCACTTAAGGCCAGGAATTCGAGACCAGCCTGGCCAATGTGGTGAAACCCTGTCTCTACTAAAAATACAAAAATTAGGTGGGTGTGGTGGTGCACACCTGTAATCCCAGCTACTGGGCAGTCTGAGGCAGGAGAATCACTTGAACCCAGGAAGCAGAGGTTGCAGTGAGCTGAGATCGCGCCACTGCACTCCAGCCTGGAAGACAGGGTGAGACTTTCTCTCTTTAAAAAAAAAAAAAAAAAAGGATTGTGGTAAGGAAGTGCAGTATTCTATAAACATAAAAATCATTGGATTTATATCAAAAAAATATATTTTTTTGAGATGGGGTCTTGTTCTGTTGTCCAGAGTTGGGGTACAGTGATGCGATTATAGTTCACAGCAGTCTTGAACTCCTGGGCTCAAGCAATCCTCTTGTCTCAGCCTTCTGAGTGGCTGGGACTACAGGCATACACCACCATGCTTGGCTAATTTTTAAAAATTTCGTAGAGACAGGGTCTTGTTATGTTGCCCAGGCTGGTTTTGAACTGCTGATCTCAGGTGATTCTCCTGCTTTGGCCTCCCAAAGCACTGGGATTATAGGCATGAGCCACTGCACCCAGCCTCAAAATAGTTAAAAAAATTAAACCCTTCTTTTAACTTCTATATCTACCTCCTTAATTGGCTATATTGCCCTAAGATATTCCATTATATTAACTTTAAAAAAAAAAAAACCTATATGTATTTTTGCATACCTTGCAATAATATCCCTCATCACAAATCTGCCTTAATCTTTATAACAGCTGTATCCTCGTTTGGATCTCAGGTACAGCCCCAACATGACAATTTATTGCTCATCTGTTCATTCCTACCCTTTTTCCTGTAAGTGCTCCATTTTCATAAAATCTTATTTTTCACTCTGATGATGGTTGCTATGCTTGTGGCCTTCCTGCAGGCTCTTGTGAGGACTGAATGTGAGGCTTTGCTTACCAGCTCTTTCTAAAATATATAAATAGCCCAGAGAGTCTTCTAAAATTGGGGGCTCAAATCCACAAATGACATGTTATTTGAAAATACTGGATTTAATAGAAAATATCACATTGTAAACAAATCCATTGATCCATGAGCTTAAAACAGAATGACGGCACAATCACATAGAAAAGCTAAAGACAAAACACTGGTACCAAACATAGCCCTTAGGCCTGGGCTAGGCTCTCAAAGGTCTTTCCCAGAAATGGAGGCAGCAGTAGCTTCAAACAGGCACAAAAACAGCCAGGAGGAGGCAGCATCCACTCCATGAAGGCCTAAGACAATGAAAGGAAGCCAGAGCAACAGACCACCTTGGGATCCGGGGAGAAGGGTAAATGGGCAAAAGGGTTGTATTTCCTGATGCTCTCAGAACATCAGACCACACCATGTGAATTTAAGCAGGACTATTTTAAGTGGGGAAACAATACTAGAAGCATTTGGTGTATTTTCCTGGCACTCACCTCCTAGGTAAGCAGGAGAGCGGGACACTCAGGAGTTGTGACTAAACTCACACTTAAGCTGCCTGCCCAGACCGTCCCCTTGGCTGAACACAACACTGAAATTGTGGCAGTGTCTGTTGCCCCAGTGGACCTCCCACTTACTAATGAGTATGTAAAACAGAGGAGCCACAGTGAGGCTTTCACAAAAACACAGGGCTCTGGGGGAAAAACGGCTTCCACCTTCTGCCTTTTGGTGCTGGAGAGTCCCTGAGGGAGAGAAGTTTGACGTGGCTGGGCCCCTTGAGGCTCTGGATTTATCAATAGAAGCCTCCTCTTTGGCCCCACCCACCCAAATCCACCCCCAGGTTCTCCTAGTTCAGAGAAAAGCTGTGAAAGTGGAAGAAGGAAGGGATCGTTTTCTTTCCATTGCACTTGTTACTGACCAAAGAGACTGCTTCCTTGCACTTATTTTAGATATTGAGAGTTTGTGCCTTCACTTGGAACAATGGTTCTCAACCAAGGGGCAGGCCTGTGCAAGAAGGACTCTCAAGACTCTTCAAAGAGGTGGTATCCAATATACATAAGCCCCTAATTCCCTCCCACTTGAAAATCAGTGCGTGTAAGGAGAGAAATTCCTGACGGGAGTGTGTCATATGTGTGAACCATGGCTGAAGCAGAACAAAAAGTTTAAAACTCCCAACCTGGGTTTGGCAGACATCAAAATGATGGAGTACATTTTGCAGATATTTTTTTTCTGATTAAGTTACAAACATTCTCCCTATAGCTAAACTCCGTGACTAGGCTCCCAGCCTCATGGCCAAGAACAATAAGTTCACCCACTTATCTGGAGTAACCATACTAGATTAAAGAAATACAATTCTTTCTTCTAAAGACAATTTCCAGAAAGACCTGCCTTTCCCTATGGGTACTTGACACTAGGTCCCAGCACAGGCTAATCGCTGTATGGTTTCTTCGAAGATTGGCTTTTCTCAGTTTCTTTCTCTTTGATACTGTACAAGGGGTCCACCAACTTGTTATGAACAAGCATTAAACCTACAAAAAATTAAAAACAAAAAGTAGTTAATTCAGGCAGTGGCAAGAGTTCCTTGATTATCAATCATAACATCCAGGAGCTCTCAAATTTTGTCTTAGAGCTGACACTTCTCTCTTTTCTCTATGATCCCCAAATGATAAACACCCTAAGAGTATAAAAAGAGTTATTCACAGTGAGTACTACATTCATGGAACTTTTATAAATTCAATCACTATGGGAGTTGGCTATTTAAAGGTTAGTCTTTTCAGCAAAGGACAAATTCCTAATTGACCTACTTGAGTAAAAGAGGATTTTCACATGTTTGCCTAAAGCAGTGTGCATCCTTTTAAAGTAAAAGAAGGGCTGGGCATCGTGGCTCACACCTATGATCCTAGCACTTTGGGAGGCCGAGGTGGGTGGATCACCTGAGGTCAGGAGTTTGAGACCAGCCTAGGCAACATGGCAAAACCCCGCCTCTACTAAAAATACAAAAATTAACTGGGTATAGTGGCGGGCACCTGTAATCCCAGCTACTTGGGAGACTGAGGCAAGGAGAATCACTTAAGCCCGGGAGGTGGAGGTTGCAGTGAGCTGAGATCACACCACTGCACTCCAGCCTGAGCGACAGAGTGAGACCCTGTCTCAAAAAGAAAGAAAGTAAATAAAAGAAAGGAATCGCTTGTTTAAGATTTGAAAAGAGAAAACCTGAGGCTTAATGGCACTGTGAGGTCACCACATAGTCCTTGGACCACATTGCGTTTTCTTTCCTCCTCCTCAGAGCAAACAGATCTCCAGAAATGGATCTTTGCAGTCACAGGCAGAAGAGAAATGACTGTGTAGTGTGATGCAGTTGGGTTTGATATTTCTTAAGATTACAGTTGTCAATTAAAATGACCAGAGGATGAAAGCTGGATCTACTCCTTACTCCTAGCACACCCTAAGCTTGACCACCTCCTCCTGGACCCACACCTCCCTCACCTTTGAAATACTTGACAGTCTTCACTTTCAGCTCCAAGGTGGCATCCTCGTCACACACAAACACGGTGCGGGGATGCTGCTGGAAGGCAGACACGGTCCACATGTGGTTCACTCCCTCCTCGATGGCCTTGTACAGAGCAAATGCCTTGTGAGCACCTGTGATAAGGATCATCACCTGGGGATCAGAAAACAAGTCTGTGATGGAGGGGAGCATTCCAGACACCCTAAACAGTTGTAAGGATGATTGTTTTTCATATCACATTGTAAGTGGTTACCATGCAACATACTTTTGCTCAGTGCTCCCTGTGCTTTATCACACAAATAACCCGAGGCAGGCAGCATCATTATCTCCATCTTATAAGAAAACAGAGCCCCAGGGGGTTAAATAACTTGCCCAGGGTCATTTATGACCCCAAAGTTCATGTTCTTGACTACCACGTGACAGTGCCTCCAGGTATCTTTGATGATGACTATGAAGGTGCCCTGTAAACAGACATGCCATGCCCAGGCCTGCTATCCCATCAGCTGGGTGACTCTACACAAGCACAGTTTGTGAAAGAGGGCTCCCAACCTGCACCACCAGCAAGGGCACTTTGCAAGCAATGGTGGGAGTTATCTGTGGGGCCTCTAAGGCTGAATCCCAGAAAGGTTGCCCCATTATCTGGTCACTTTCAGTTCACAGCATTAAACCTATGAACTAATGTGACTTGGGGTGATGGTTTTTGTTAATATATAATAAAACAAAGGCACAGTCTCCACTTAACAGTTAAAATATCGAGAATGTAAGTGATCTTAAAGAACTCAGCTCTATTCAAGGGCAGGAAAAGAGAAAAAAACTCAGTTCTGTAGATTTCCTTTCATTTTAATTCACATGTGCCACAGAGTTGTGAACAGGATTTACTGTTCCTTTCTTAAAAGATTAGAATGCAGAAGCAGAGAGGGAATGTGACTATTTCTTCCGGACCCCTCAGCAACCCAGAACTCTTTAGAAAAGATAATTTCCTGATTTCCAGCCCCAGGTCCTTTCCCAGATCAAGATGCCCTCATGATAAAGACGGCCCTAAACCTGTTTCCAAGCTGCAGAGCTAAAAACAGCGAGTAAACACCCCCACCCCACGTACTGATTGAAGATTACCCAACAGAAATCTGGGTGCCATCACTCATTTCACAAAAGTTCACTTTAAACAGGGAAGTTTTCACTGATTTAGATGCTTGTTTATTGGCTTGGGCAAAGAAATGTAAATCTAACATGTCTATACACGTCAGAAAGGAAGAGAAAATGCTTCTAAAGTTCTAATGAAAATAAGGAAATTGGAACCACAAAAAATTCACATTCAAATGATAGCCAATTTTTTAGGGGAAAAGCTAAATTCAGTTTAAAACACTTATATTTTAATCATACTTCACCACATTTATTAATCTCTGAGCACGGGGCTAGAAGCACAAGCATCCTTGGTGTCCCAACAGTGACCTCTACCAACTACAAGGAACAAGGGAACCCCTCTCTCCATACCTGGTCAGGTACAAATATTCCAACATTAGCGATGCTGGCCTCCTCTCTGCCTGTGAAAAGCATGAAAGGGGCCTGAGGCCAGAGAGCCTGCTGTCTCAGGCAGTCAGCCAAAGGCACCAAAAACGTGCTCAAGGGATTCACCTCACACTGGGAATAATGATGTCTTCCAAAGACGCAAGAGGAACAGTGAGTAACAGGGTCAGCAGGGATTTTAGCCTTATTTACCATGCCTTCATCTTTAATAAGAATGTAGGTGGTACCAGTATAGTTAAGATTAACAAGAGAAAGACAAGTCCACCAGCGCAAGCTGGTGGGGCCCTTATGCCCTTACCTCTCTAGCATCCATGACAGTGCCCACCCCCACCGTCAAGGCCATGGTGGGCACCTTGGTGAGTTCTCCATCGAAGAACCTAGCATTGGCCAGGATGGTATCCATGGCCAGCGTCTTCACACGGGTCCTGGACACCAGACTGGAGCCTGGCTCGTTGAAGGCAATGTGTCCATCAGGGCCGATGCCTATAGGGAGAGAGCCCGTGCAGCCCTGTCAGTCCCAGGGATCCAAGATTTCAAGAATGGACAATCTCTCCTTCCCTAACTAGGGTCTGAAGAAAAATCATTGAAAGCTGTGTCACCTTTCTCATTTGCAGCCCTGGGCAGGTACACCTTAAACATGTGATCTGTCCCCCTCCCTACCATTTCTTTCTCTTTGCCATACTGTCTCAGAGGAGACCCTCCCCATCATGTCTATCTGAGGCACACACAGACATTGTTAACTTGCTATCACCCTCAAAAAGCTGAGGAGGAAACACTCCAAACAGCTTCTGCCTCCCCAGATTGTCAGAAAAGTGGACCTTCTCTGTCTCTTCTGCCTGTAGTTAGAGGGTCCTGCTGCTGGGATAGAGGTGCAGTGAACAAAACACCCAGAGAACCTGGACAGGGGCTGCCAAGGTTCTAAAATCTCAGAGGATGAGAGGTCCTGCCCCCCTCCTCCCCACCTTGAAGTATAGAAGAGTGATCTCTAGAGCAATAAAAGGCAGTTCAATGTTACCCCTCATGGGTAACTCCAGAGGTGGCGATAGATGGATACACAGAAGGGCAGCCCAGAGGACCCGAGCACAAATCCAAGAAGCACACACTTGCTCCCACCTGTGAACCTTGAGTGAGTCACCTAACTTCTCTGGGGTTCAACTGGCTATCTACAGGGGCTGTGTGGAGCCTTCCGGAACTACATGAGTCCATGATGTTAAATGTTTAGATAAGTTCCAGGACTGATCCATAAAACCTTAAGACTGGGGAGTAGACAGAATCTCAGAGTCCAAACCCAAACCTCTCAGTTTACAGACAAGGCATCAAACTGCAGAAAGAGATCTCCAAGATAACATAGTTCCTGAGTAACAGAGCCAGGCAGGGCCCATTTCTCCCGCCTCTGTCTCTACGGTCACTAGCACACCCAGAAGAAGCTGTCTGCAGACAGGCATTGTGTCTTGTCCTCCTTCCCACGGGTCTGGCCCTGGACATGTGTGCTGCAGAGTGTCAAGCTCACCTCCAACAAATAGCTCGATCCCACCTGCAGCCTTGATCTTCTCTTCAAAGGCATCACATTCTGCCTGTAGGTCGACTGCATTCCCATCCAGAATGTGGGTGTTTTCTGGGTGGATGTCAATGTGCTTGAAGAAGTTGTTCCACATGAAGGAGTGGTAACTCTCCGGGTGGTCTCGAGGAAGGCCTGTGGGGCCGTGAGACACTCGGTTATGCCTAGGCCAAGCCAAAGCCCCTCTCCTAAGAAGGATGCCAGGACACCATGCTGACCTACAGAGACACTCCCAGGGGTCTGCCCATCTGGGAGCCTTAGGCACCAGCCCTCTGACCCCTAGCCACTCGGCACAGGCTGAGCCAGTATCCATAAGTGTCCACCCACCCAGTACCACCATCTGTGGCCACAGGGCTTGGCCAGAGTAACTGCACACCAAGGGCCTGGGAAATCCCCACATTCTGATCTGATCTGCTTTTCATAAGGCAATGACCATAGGTTAGAGGCTGGGGACACTCTGGCCACCTGGGGTAGGGCTGAACTCATCTTAGAAAGCAAGCAAGCACACCCCTCACCCTGTGCCTCTCAACCCACCATCCACTCCCAGTTCTACCCCACTCAGCCTGAATAAATCCCAGCTTGAACACCAGGTGGTTAGAGAGAACTATCTTAGGGCTTCCCCAGATCAACTTTTTTTTTTTTGGCCAGGAAAAAAAAATAATGTTTAATGTTAAGCATTAAGAATATGTAAAATCAGCCTTAAAAAGGAAGGAAATTTTGACACACACTACAACAATGGATGAACCTTGTGGACTTTATGCTAGGTGTAAGAAGCCAGTCAAAAAGACAAATACTTTATGATTCCAGTTATATACTCTAGTTTGATTCTAGAGTAGTCAAATTCATAGAAACAGACAGTAAAATGGTGGTTTCCGTGGCTGGTGAAGTGGGAAATGAGAAGTTGTTGTTTCACGGGTATAGAGCCTGAGTCTTACAAGATGAAAAGAGTTCTGGAAATTGGTTGCACAACAATGTGAATGCACTTAACACTACTGAACTATACACAGAAAGGTGGTTAAGATGGTAAATGTCATGTTACATGTATTTTACCACAATTTTTTTTTTAAAAAAAGGATGTTTAAAATGAAGCTATTACAAAAGGACTGGGTGAGGGAGAGGTGATAGAAGACCAAGGTATAGTCTTTCAGCAGCAGGAAGGATACCAATCTCAGGTCCCCTTCAAGTGTACCTGGCAGAAAGGGGAGCTGGAGGCCACACACAGAAGAGAAAGCACAGACACAGATCCTAGGGGAAACACCCGAGCCAGGATCCCACTTGCAATCATTTGTTCCAGAAAGAAATGGAATGGAGTTGAGGAGCAGGCAGAGGAGAAGGAGATACTCTAATATTTATTAAGTATTTGTTATGTATAAGAAACTTCCACATCTTTTATCATAAAAGGATTAAATGAATTTAATGCTTACAACCTGTGAGGTCAGCTTTATTAGCCCCATTTTATAGCTGAGTAAACCAAGAGGTAAGTATTGATAATTGAGCCTATCATCAAATGTCACTGGCTCCCCGATTCCTCTCCAGGACTGGGCCAATGAGAGGAGGAGCATCACTCTCCTAGAATCAGGAAAGAACCTTGAAAGAGAAAGACTCACCCACGTACTCATCCATGTTGAAGGTCTTCACATATTTAAAGGACAGGTCCCCATTCTTATAGTATTCAATCAGCTTCTTGTAGCAGCCAAGTGGGGTACTCCCTGCAAGAGTGGCCACACCCATGAACACCCCTTGCACCCCAAGTCTGGAAGCCCAGAGGGTTCACAGGAATAAGTCAGGGCTGCTCACAGGGAGAACCTGTCAGATCTGAAGTCCTACCCAGTACTCCAATCCTAACTGCCATCCATCCATTAATTGCTTGTTTAATGCCTATTTTGCCACTAGACTGTAAGCTCCAGGAGGGCAGGACTGTGTCTGCCTTGATCACTGCTGAATCTCCCAGTATCCAGCACACTGATGACTGAAATCACTCTGATTAGTACCTGAGTGAACATCAGACTTCATTATTGACATGATACTCCCTGAACAAGTAATATGTGCAAGGCACAGGGCCATGTGATAAGGACACAGGGGAGCAAGGGACAGTAGCTACTCTAAGATAACTCACTAGGAGTAGAACACAAAGCAGGAACGTCAGTTGTGATAGGGTAAAGCACAGGCTCACCCAGTGCTTCAGGGTTCAAGGAAGACTTCCCTGAGGAGCAGCGAAGCCCTAGTTGAGTCTCATTAAAAAGTCAATGTCATGGCTAGGCATGGTGGCTCACGCCTGTAACCCCAACACTTTGGGAGGCCAAGGCGGGCAGATCACTTGAGGTCAGGAGTTCAAGACCAGCCTGGAAAACATGGTGAAACCCTGTCTCTACTAAAAATACACAAAGTAGCTGGGCATGGTGGCATGTGCCTGTAATCCCAGCTACTCGGGAGGCTGAGGCACAAGAATCACTTGAACCTGGGAGGCAGAGGTTGCAGTGGGCCGAGATTGCACCACTGCACTCCAGCCTGGCCAATAGAGCCAGACTCTATCTTGAAAAAAAAAAAAAGTCAATGTCATAAAAACACACACACAATAAAAGGTAGGAGGACACTGTATATTAAAAGACTAAAGATGCATGAACCCTGACTGGACACTGAATTAATTTTTTAAAAACCAACCTATAAAAGATAAATGTGGACAATTGAGAAAAAATTGTGAACACAGTTTGCATATTAGATGATGGCATGATTTTTCATTTTCTTAGGTATGATGGTATCATGGTTGTGTAGGAGAATGTCCTTATTCTCAGGAGATATGTGCTGAAGGATTTAGAGATAAGTGTCAGGATGTCTGGAACTTATTTTCATGTGGTTCAGAAAAAAAAAGTGTGTGTGTGTGTAGATAAAGAACAAGAGCCAGAGAAAGGTAAAAGCAAATGTGGCAAAATGGTAACAATTGGTGAATTTAGGTGAATGGTATTGACCTGTTTTTTTCCTCTTTTTTGAATATTTGAAATTTTGCAAACTAAAAAAATGAAAGAAAAAAAACCCATCGAGATTACGTCATGTCACCCCTCTTTTCAAAACCCACCAATAGCTTCTCATTTCACCCTCAGCAACACCAGTTATTCTAAGGCTCCACAGAACCTGGCCCCTGGCTATGAGACCCTCCCTGCCACCATATCCAACACTGCACAGCCCCACCCCTGCCGACACACTCCCTATCCTTTCCTGCTTCATGTTTCTCCTTTCCTCTTATCACCATCTAACATACTCTATATTTTGCTAATTATTATGTCTCTCCCATTATAATTTAAGCCTCAGAAGGCAGAAGTTCATATCCTTTTTGTTCATTGCTGTATCCTTAGAGGCTAGAACAGCTTTGCATACAGAGGGTACTCAATAAATACCTGCTGAGTGAATGGCAGCTCCCCGCAGCCCACCCAAAATAATTAGTTGGTCCGTGTGACAAGGCCTTAGCTATGCCTGAGCCACATAGCTTCCTCTCTCCTGCCATTTTCCAAACTTCTAGCCTTCCCATGAATTCTCTGAACTTCCCAGTATCTAGCCAATAAACTCCTTTTCTGCTTAATTTAGCTGGAGTTGGTTTCTGTGGTTTCCACTCAGAACCCTGACAGGTGCTACATCTAACAGAAGCAATGTTCCAAGGAACCCGTGTGGAAACGCTGTCCTGTTGGTTCAAGCAGGACAGGCAGGGAGAGGCCAGGTTTTGGAGGGCCTTGAATGCCACTCTGAAGAGCTTGGATCTGACTCTGCAATGATGGGAACGAGGGAATGGTTTCAGAAGGCCAGACTCTGACCCATACAGAGGTTGGGTCTCTCCACAGTTAGGAGACAGGATGTTAGCACAGCCTCCGAGGGCCTGAGACATTGGTAGTTTCACAGGCACAGGTGGATACTACTCCCACAAACCTCTAGTGCAGAACTCAGCAAACTTTGGTCCACAGGCCAAATTTGGCCTGCGGCCTTTATTTTTTATTTTTTTAGACAGAGTATCGCTGTCACCCAAGCTGGAGTGCAGTGGCACAATCTCAGCTCACTGTAACCTCTATCTGCTGGGTTCAATTGATTCTCCTGCCTCAGCCTCCTGAGTAGCTGGGATTATAGGTGCCCGCCACCATGCCCAGCTAATTTTTATATTTTTAGTAGAGGCAGGGTTTCACCATGTTGGCCAGGCTGGTCTCAAATTCCTGACTTCAAATGATCGACCCACCTCAGCCTCCCAAAGTGCTGGGATTACAGGCGTGAGCCACCACACCCGGCCCTGTGGCCTGTTTTTATACAGCTTATGAGTTAAGAATGGTTTTCTTTTCTTTCTTTTTTTTTTTTTTTTTGAGACAGAATCTTGCTCTGTCACCTAGGCTGGAGTGCAATTGCACAATCATGGTTCACTGCCTCGACCTCCTGGCCCAAGCAATACTCACACCTCACACCGTAGCCTCCTCAGTAGCTGGGACTACAGGCATGTGCCACCATGCCTAGCTAATTTTTCTATTTTTTGTAGAGATGGGGTTTTGCCATGTTGCCCAGGCTAATCTCAAACTCCTGGGCTCCAGCAATCTGCCTACCTCAGCCTCCCAAAGTGCTGAAATTACAGATATGAGCCACCATGCCTGGCCTGGTTTTTACATTTTTAAATAGTTTTTTTTTTAATTAAAGAAGAATAATATTTTGTGACATGTGAAAATTATATAAGTTCAAACTTCAGTGTCCATACAGTTTTATTGGCATACAACCATACTCATTCACTTATATATTGTCTTTTCTTTTTTTGAGACAGGGTCTCACTGTCACCCAGACTGGAGTACAGTGACACAATCATGGCTCACTGCAGCCTCAATCTACTGGCTCAAGCAATCCACCTACCTCAGCCTCCCAAGAAGCTGGGACTACAGGTGAGCGCCACCATGCCAGGCTAATTATAGCTGCTTTCAAACAACAGAAGGGTTAAGTTGTTGCAACAGAGACTATATGGCTAGTGAAGTCTAACATATTTACTACTGGCCATTTACAGAAAAAGTCTGGACTGCAAGGAAGACCAAAAAAAAAAAAAAAAAGGAAAAAGAACAAGTTTGAAGACCCCTCCAACACACACACACACACATAGACACGCTAATGGATGGGTCAGGTAGGGCCACTAGGGCAAACCCATCCATCTCTGAAAGAAATAATCAGGACATTTGTCTTGAGGAGCTGGGGTCAAAATATCTTTCTGAAAAAGCAACATTTTGATTTTTTCCAAAAGAAATTAGAACTGTTTTTTATTTAGGTCCTGTGTTTAATTAAGCCTTACAGAAAATTACCTAAGTGACTATCTTTTCAATTCTCCCAAGGATGGTACTTAGCTGGTACCCCTCTAGATGCAGAGAAGAGAAATTAATTCATTACATAAAATGAATGCCTTAGGGTATCAGGACTTAATTCTGTTAAGAAACCCTGGTGGACAGGGCTGACTTAGGATGTAGCCTAAAAATCAAATTCTTCCTGCCAACCAAGATCCCTTCTGCTCCAGGATTCTGCAGGGACAGGCAGCGACTAAACCAACCCATAAGGGAAGCTGGGTCCTTTGTATGTGGAAGGGGCAGGAAGGTGCTCTCTCAGCACCAGTACCCCAGAGCCCCCGTGAAGTCCCTTGGCTGAGTGAGCCGGTGTACCTGGCCCCTGTTGCCTACTCTCTCCACCCTTATCCACGGCACCCTCTCCATCCAAGAACGCACCAGTGGGGAGCCCCAGGGTGAAGTACTTCTCTGGCCCTGGGTTAAACTGGATGATGCGGTTCCTGATGTATTTAGCCGCCCACTCGCTCGCCTGAGAATAGTGCTCCAGGATGATGAGCTTCATCTTGTCCTGCAGTGGGGGAGAGGGGATGACAGAAAGGAATCAATGGTAAGGGGCAGAGAAAGAGATGGAGGTGGTGGGAGAAGCTTCTCTTACCCAGCAACAATCCCCTTCCCAAGCTGTCTGAGCCAGGAAAAAGGCCTTTCTATTCACAGAGGAGCTAAGAGGCTAGGCCAGTCGTCTCCACCACCCACAGACCACGAGGAGGCGCCACTGGGGGCAGATCTGGGTTCTAATCTCAGCTCCTTCACTTACCACCTGCAGGACCTCGGTCAAAGGACCTAAGTTCTCTCTGAGCCGTTTCCTCCTATGTAAAAATTGGGACAATAGTACCTACTTCACAGACTTCACGACGGGTAATATGAAATGAGAGAATGCATGTAAACAACTTAGTATTTTCTACGTTGGCTGTTACCATCCAGATAGATGCTCGGCTCAGCCCCGCCTCCCTCATCCCTGCCCCTACCGGAACGGGATACCCTACCCCCTCCCCGCCGTCTACCCCAAGACTCTTCCTCCAGAAGTAGAGAGGTCATGGGATCATGCTGGGCCACTAGAGCAGGTGGGGCAATGAGCTCTGCCTGGGGAGCTGTGTGCTCTCTCTGGACTAGCGGAGGGGTCTTCCTACTGGCCCACCTTGCTTTGCGAACCCCTCTGGGTCTTCAGTTTCCCCCAAAGCACAAAAGGGAAAAGGTAATCGCTCCAGAAGGAGGACATTTTGTTCCCCCAGCACTGCGGTTAGTGGGAGTGTGAAGGAAAGAGGCGAAGGTGGCCCGCGCGGTCGTCGGTGGGGTACAGCGTGTCCCCCACCCCCATTACCACCCCATCGCCCCTCCGATCCCTCCTGGAAAATGTGTGAGGGCGGCTCCCCGGGGTCCCGACCCCGAGTGCCGTAGGGCTGGGGCAGCGCTCCGCGCTCCGGCCCGCGAGGAAGGTCCCCGCCAGCCCTGCTACCCACTTACACGGACGCCTCCCGCGGCGGCTGCAGCGACTGCGCCGGCGGCCCGGCCCCGCGCGGGTCACGTGGCTGCGGGTCACGCGGCGCCGCGTGCGCCGCCCGCCGGGCTGACTCAGCTTGGCCGCAGCTACCCGGACCGACTCTCCCAGGTGGAGGAGTTCCGGCCACTCAGTCCCACCTCGGTCCCTGGCCCCGGCAGGCCCTGGAACAGACCTTAAAAAACACTTTCCCTTGGGAGGCGGGGATTCGAGTCTGGTTTGTGTGTGTGTGTGTGCAAGAGGAGGGAGACTTGAGGGGCGCCGGGTCGCCCCCAGGAATACAACCCCCTGGACCTTGGGGCTGGGGCCGGGGGGTTTTAGTGCAGGGGTTGAGCTGGGGGCAGGCAAAGCAGAATCGCTTCCTCAGTCTCCTAGGGTTGGGCCTGGCTCTGCCTTCAGTTTCTTTCTTTGTTTAGATGCCATTTATTTACCCAAGTATTAAAACTTGTGTTGTTTAAAGTACAATTGGGCTTTTTAATGTCCTTTTTTAAAGATCAAACTTTGCAGCATTATATAATAGAGAAAAAGGCAGGCCCCTGGTTTCCCCAACTCCCCACACCAAGATAACCATTGCTTAGTTTAAGAGTACATTCTGAATTGCTTTCTTTGAATATGCTTACACTGTTATTTTACATAAATGGGAACACATACACATGAGGCTTATATATATCAAGGCTCGGATATTTGACCTGCATTATTTCACTTAATCCTTATTAAGCTCCAGTGAGGTAGGTTTGCCGTTACTTTTTAACAGGTGGAGAAACTGACGCTTGGAGAGAAAAATTAACTTGGCCAGAGGCACAAGTGGTTTCCCTTGTGCCTTCAATTCAGGGGGATCTGTCCAAATCCAAAATCCATGCTTTTTACCGCTAGCGGGCACTGCCTCCCAGCTGGTATGACTGGATTTGGGACGCTTCCATATCAGAAAAAGAGATCCATCTTATTCTTTCCAGTCAACATTAGAGTGTTCCAGACTTCTAGGGACACTTGGGAACTTTCCATGCGGAGGCTGGAGGAAGGACTTGAGTGCTGGTCATCAGTAACATCTTCCATTACATAGGGTTTTGCCAGAGCTTTGTGCGCATTATTTCATAGAATCCCGCCCAATCGTCAGATATGATTACCGCCATTTTATTGATGTGGAAACTGGGGATCAAAGGCGTACAGAGACTTGTGATATATGACCTCATAGTCTGACATCCCGGACTTTAGTCAGTGCTAGGGAGCAGTGGTGAGACCTTCTGAATCAGCCTAGTTTTCCTCCAGCAGCAAAAGGCCAAAGGAATCCTGGCTTTATGCCCACGGGACAGGGCCTTCCTCAGTCAGCCGGGTGGCCACGTTCTGCAATTCTGCTGAATCTGCTCACTGTGGACAGCCCCAGGCGCTCACCCAGCCCTTGGGCCCAACTGCAGCTCCAGACCAGCTTGCTAGGGGTAGGCTTCATCTGGTGAGGCCCTGATGAGACCAGATGGTGGAGCTGATACCTTTACAGTGTGGGGGACTTGCTCTTTGCCTCAGTGTTATTTTGTTTTGTTTTGTTTTGTTTTCCAAATCCTGAGAGGCTGTGAATGGCTCGGTGTTGGTGTAGTTTTTGTTTATTTTTAAATTCAGTCAGAAATCTTTTTTTTTTTTTTTTTGAGATGGAGTCTCGCTCTGTTGCCCAGGCTGGAGTACAGTGGTGTGATCTCTGCTCACTGCAACCTCCGCCTCCCGGGTTCAAGCAGTTCTCCTGCCTCAGCCTCCCGGGTAGCTGGGATTACAGATGCCCACCACCATGCCCAGCTAATTTTTGTACTTTTAATAGAGATGGGGTTTCACCATGCTGGCCAGGCTAGTCGTGAACTCCTGACCTCAGGTGATCTGCCCGCCTTGGCCTCCTAAAGTGCTGGGATTACAGGCATGAGCCACCGCCCCCAGCCAGAAATGTTGTCTCAGCTTGAGGACTGCAGATGTTTCACAATGAAGCTCCAACTCCAATCTCCGATCACGTCTGATAACATGGGCCAGGTCTGCAGCATCTGCATCCAGACCTTTCCAGGAGGAGAGTGACTGACTTCTGGTGACTAAGCCCATTTCCCCTGAGTTACCCCTTCTGCAGGGAACCAGTGCAGGGTCTCTGCGAAGCCTGGAGGCTCTTGGATCAGCGTGGGGACTAATCGGAAAGACCTGCATTTCAATTCTGGTCTGGCTAATTTCTGGTTATTTAGTGAGTAATTCAAGCAAATGACTCAACTTCTCCAGGTCTCAGTTTTCTTACCTGAAACATAAGAATTGAGTGGAAATTAAGTAATACTGCCCTCGTGTGGCTGTTGTGACTATTAAATGAAATATTAGCATAGCATGGCATTCACAGCCAGCTGTTATTACTTACCCCTTATTTCCTCCTAACCCTCCTTACAGCCCACTCTCTAACCATACTGAAATGCTCTCTAGCCCTAACCTCCTGACTCCCTGTACTCCTCCTACTCCACATCTGTGTTTAAACTATTACCCACACCTATCCTCCCATCCTCTTGTCTTGGAACTAAAGTTGCCAAATTAAAAGAATTGTGAGTTTATCCATGCAATGGAACACTCTGCAACTCTTGTATGGTCAGATATTTTTATACCTTCTAATGCACCCTTGCTTTGGGCAAACAACCTGACCAGATGTTACCTCCCAAATTCTGCTCAATTCATAGAGTTTGTGTGGTGCTGGCCCTACCCTTTGACTTAGGAGCAAACCAATTAGAGACTCCATGGCTCTGGCCATGATTAGTTCAAGGCCAGGCAGGCATGGAAGACACTAACCCAGCAGCCATTCAGAGACTCCTTCTCCCTTGCTGCTTCCCACTGGAGAAACTGGAAAGTCAACGACTCTCACAGCTTCTCCCACAGCTACGGGGTGGCCAAGTAACTTCATTCTGCCCAATGAGGGAGGAGGATGGCTTCTGGTTAGATATTTTACTTCCTGAGAAAAGTGCTGTGCTTGAGAAACAAACTGGCGGTTTCTGGTTCCTTCCCTTTCCTTCCTGCCTTGAAGGCAGTTGTGATGACTGAAGCTGGGGAGGCCACGTTGTAACTGTGAGGCACCAAGCATAAGGATAGAGTGGAGGAGGGAAAACACTTATGTCCTTGATATCTGACTAGTGCTGGGACCTCCTACTTCTGGACTTCTTCTAAGTAAATGGTAAATGTCCTTATGGCTTAAACTTTAAATCATTGTTAGGAGAATTTCCTGTGACTTGAAATTGAAAACATGACTCACTGCTAGAGCAGGTGATTCAGATCTTCCTTAGGGTTTATGCCACTACTGGGGGAAAATACACTTCTCCTGAGATCTTGAGCCGTAAAACAGAGGAAAGCTTAGAGCTACAGAAAGGTACAACAAATAGAAGAGAGACACAGAACTCTGATGACATCATTTGAGCCCCCTAGAATAGCATGTCTGAAGCCAAATATACCCTTTTGGGTTTCGTGGTTGAGTGAGTGAATGAGTGAATACATAATTAAATATCATTTTCCCCTGAAGCTAGTTAGAGGAAATTCTGGAAGGATATTTTATTAGTTATCTATTGCTGTGTAACAGATTACCCCAAAACTTAGTGGCTTAAAACAACAATAATGACTTATTTCTCACAGTTTCTGTGGGCTAGAAATTCAGACAGGATACAGTGGCGATGATATCTTGCCCCTCAACTGAAAGACTCAAATTCTGGGGCTGGAATCGTATGAAAGCTCATTGACTCACATGTCTTGACAACAGGTGCTCACTGTCAGTGGAACACTCACACATGGCTCTCCTTGTTGCCTGGGCTTCCTCACAACATAGCGGTGGGTTCCAAGGGCAAGCGTATCAAGAGACAAAGATGGGCTAAGGCTGTATCCTTCTTCTGACCTAGTCTCAGAAGTCATATAGCATCACTTCTGCTGAGCTCTGTGGGTTGGAGAAATCACAAGCCCCTATCCAGATTTAAAAAGAGAAAACATAGACCCCCATCTCTCTGTGTAAGAAGTTCAGTAATATTATAAGAAGAGCATGTTGGACGGGATACATGTACAAGTATGGCCATGTTTAAAAAATACAATCTGCCACAGACACACACTAACTTGTTATTAAGATGTGATCTGGCCAGGAGTGGTGGGTCACACCTGTAATCCCAACACTTTGGGAGGCAGAGGCGGGCAGATCACTTGAACCCAGGAGTTTAAGACCAGCCTGGCCAACATGGTAAAACCCTGTCTCCACTAAAAATACAAAAATTACCCGGGTGTGGTGGCACGTGCCTGTAATCCTAGCTACTCAGGAGGCTGACGCGTGAGAATCGCTTGAACCTGGGAGGTGAAGGTTGCAGTAAGCTGAGATCGCACCACTGCACTGCAGCCTGGGTGACAGAGCAAGACTCTGTCTCAAACAAAACCCCCTGCCCCATTTGGCAAAAAAAAAAAAAAAAAAAAAAAAAATTTAATAAAAAGATTTGATCAAAGTAATTGACCATCTACTCTGTGCTGGTCACTGTGCTAAAAGTTTTTAAAGCATCGTCTCATTGACTCATCATATTTTTTCAAAGTGGGTGCTGCGGGTTGGATACATTCTGCCTAATATTTGTATGAAATGAATGATTTTGTCTTGAAGGAAAAACAACAACAAAACCTTGAAAACTTAATGAATCTTATGCTTCCATCCAAGCCAAGTAAATTGCCACCTGCCCTGCAGTCTTCTTTTTCATTCATTTATAAAATATTTATTGAGCCTTTACCATGTGCCCAGCACTATTTTAGGTTCTGGGGACACAACAATGAACAAAGCAAAGTCCATACCCTTGTGGACCTCCAGGCTCTAGGAATTACATTTTTATGAATTTTAGTAACTCGGTGTGACAGCCAGCCTCCAAGACGGCTCCTAGTGATTCACACGCTTATGTAGTCCCATTCCACAGTGGATGGGGTGACCTGTGTAACCCAACAGGATAGTGCAGAAATGATGGGTGTGTCTTCTAGGGTTAGGTCATAAAAGCCATTGCAGCTTCTTCTTTGTTTTCTCTCTGGGATCACCTTCTCAGTGATGTCAGCTGCTCCATTTCCACACTGGAGCAGCCTTATGGAAAAGCCCAGGTGGCGAGGAAACAAGACAACAGCCATGGGAGCCATCTTGGAAGCAGATCCTCCAGTCCCAGTCAAGACTGCAAATGACTGCAACCCTGGCCAGTAGCCTCACTGAAATCTCATGAGAGACCCTTAACCACAACCACAACCACAACCACTCAACTAAGTCATTCTTGATTTCTTGACCCACAGAAGCTGTGAGATAATAAACACTTGTGGTTTTAAGCTGCTAAATTGAGAATGATTTGTTATGCAGCAATATATCTAATACGCTCAGAAAAAAAATCCACAAATGGGGAGGGTGGCAAACAAGAGATTCAACCTTTGTAGCCAGTCCCTTGTGTCTGGAGGTGCAATGTCTGACCCATCAGAGACTCCCCACTCCCCACCCCTATACTCCAACATCCTGCCCCCTTCCACATGTTTGTGGAATCCCCTGCCAAGGCTTTTGCTGAGCCTTTCTTTCTGCTACTTGCTGTTTTCCACCTTTTCATTTTCTGAGGCCCTGTCTTACCTCCTATAATGATAGCCATATGTCACTACTCCCTGCATTTCCCATACTCCCTGTAGCTCAGTGGTACCTTGCACATAAAAGCCAAAGCCCCAAGTGGCTCAGAACACTGGCTCTGAAGCCCATTGGATTCAGATTCTGGATCAATCACTAATTAGCTGGGACACTTTTCTTAACCTTCCTGTAGTTCAGCTCCCTCAATTGTAAAATGGGGATAATCATAATGGCCACTCATAGGATAGTTGTGAGGATGAAATGAATTGACACGTGTAGAGCATTTGGAACTGCTCTACACAGTCTGTCACCCAGGCTGGAGTGCAGTGGCACTATCTCAGCTCACTACAACCTCCACCTCCCAGGTTCAAGCGATTCTCCTGCCTCAGCCTCCCAAGTAGCTGGGACTACAGGCACATGCCACCACACCCAGCTAATTTTTGTATTTTTAGTAGAGACGGGGTTTTGCCATGTTGGCCAGGCTGGTCTTGAACTCCTGACCTCAAGGGATCTGCCTGCCTCAGCCTCCCAAAGTGCTGGGATTACAGGCATGAGCCACTGCGCCCAGCCAACCACTAATTCTTTTTTTTTTGAGACGGAGTCTCGCTCTGTCGCCCAGGCTGGAGTGCAGTGGCGCAATCTTGGCTCACTGCAAGCTCTGCCTCCCGGGTTCACGCCATTCTCCTGCCTCAGCCTCCCGAGTAGCTGGGACTACAGGTGCCCGCCACCAGGCCTGGCTAATTTTTTGTATTTTTAGTAGAGATGGGGTTTCACCGTGTTAGCCAGGATGGTCTCGATCTCCTGACCTCGTGATCCGCCCGCCTCAGCCTCCCAAAGTGCTGGGATACTAATTCTTAATTCTAACTAAAAAATCTCTTTGCCCCAACAGCACACCCACATGACCAGCCAAAGTGGGGTTCTACCTTGCTTTCCTTTCAATTTAGCTCTGTTCTTCTCTTCCTTGTAGTAAACTTCTGTCAGTCCTTTTGGCTTCTCAGTTGTTTCTCCCTTCTTCTCTCTCATCTCAAAAGCCCAGATGTGAAACCACCAAAAACTGGCTTCTTAGAGGGCAGAAGAGAGGGGAGAAGCCTAGAAGGCAAAGGAATAATTTCTTTTTTCTTTTTCTTTCTTTCTTTCTTTTTTTTTTTTTTTTTTTTTGAGACAGAGTCTTGCTCTGTTGCCAGGCTGGAGTGCAGTGGCGTGATCTTGGCTCATTGCAGCCTCCGCCTCCCAGGTTCAAGCGATTCTCCTGCCTCAGCCTCCCAAGTAGCTGGGACTACAGGTGTGCGCCACCATGCCCAGCTAATTTTTGTATTTTTAGTAGAGATTGCGTTTCACCATGTTGGCCAATATGGTCTCGATCTCTTGACCTCATGATCTGCCTGCCTCGGCCTTCCAAAGTGCTGGGATTACAGGCATGAGCCACCATGCCTGGCCTTTCTTTTTCTTTTTAATTTGGTAAAACACACACACACACACACACACACACACACACACACACCATTAAGCTTACCATCTTAACCATTTCTAAGTCTATAGTTTGGTAGTATTAAATATATTCACATTGTTGTGTGACCAATCTCCAGAACTTTTTCATTTTGAAAAACTGAAACTTTGTAGCCATTAAACAATTTTTTGACTTAACATAATGTCCTCAAGATTCATCCATGTTGTAGCATGTGACAAGATTTCCTTCTTTTTCAAGGCTGAATAATATTCCATTGTATGCATATACCACATTTTCCCCTACTATCTGCCATCCATTTACTTAATTGATTTCAGTACACATGTATAGCAGTACCAGGATTGTAACCCTCACTCCCGTGTGAAACAACTTTATCAAATAGAGCACAGTGCTTATGTACAGCTTCTTTTGCCTTTCATCTGACAGGTTCCACTAATTTCCAAAGTTACTTGTCAGCATCTTTCCCCCTCTATAACTTTCAGTGAGGTTGTTTAATACATTTTAATGCAGTTATATTGTTTTGTCACATTCTACATTCTGTCCTGGGATCCTTCTCCTAAATGATTTTTTAAAAATTGGTATACTCTTTGTGCTATAAAATTCTATGGGTTTTGAGACATGCATAGTGTCAAAAATCCCCGAAAATATAGGGGATTTTTTTAGGACAGTGAAACTATTCTATATGACACTATGATTTAGGACCTATTTAACTCTCTGAACCCCTTGGCAATCATTAAACTTTTTATTCATTTATTTATTTATTTTTGAGACAGGGTCTTGCTCTCTTGCCCAGGCTGGACTGCAGTGGTGTGATCACAGCTCACTGCAGCCTCCACTGCCCAGGCTTAAACAATCCTCCCACCTCAGACTCCTGAGTAACTGGGACTACAGGCATAAGCCAACATACCTAGCTAATTTTTAAATTTTTTTGTAGAGATGGGGTCTCACTATGTTGCTCAGGTTAGTCTCAAACTCCTGGGCTCAAGCAATCCTGCTGCCCTGGGCTCTCAAAATGCTGGGCTTACAGTCACACACCACCATGCCCAGCTTTTTTTTTTTTTTTTTTCTGTGGAGATGGAGTTCTGCCATGTTGCCCAGGCTGGTCTTGAACTCCTGAGTTCAACTGATCCACCGGCCTCAGCCTCCCAAAGTGCTGGGATTATAGGCATGAGCCACCGCAACTGGCCTCACTGAGCTTTTTATCATCACGGTAGTTATGCCTCTTCCTACCACATTTTGATTATCCATTCATCTGTTGATGGATGTTTGAGTTGATTCCACCTCTTGTCTATGGCAGATTCCTTTTAAAGGGAGAAATGAGAACAAATTTAGTAATTTTAGACTCCATCACAAGAAAAAAACTATATAATAAATTGTGTGGCTCCAACATTAAATGAGAAAGCGGGTCATAGCTTGAAGAGTCTCACAGGGCAGAGCAGGGTACATGCAAGTCAGGGTTCAGAAATGGACTCCATGGCCACACTATCTGGCTTCGAATCCCAGCTCTACCACTTTTGGGCTGTGTAACTTCTGTGTAAGTTATGACATGTCTTTGTTCCCTAATGGCTTCACCCATAAAATAGGAAAAATAAGATCTACCTTACAGTATGTACTATTATTATCAAGAGCAGTTGCCTCACGAAGGGTAAATGATGTAATGCGTCTAAGGCAAATAATAGCTGCCACATTGTATGTAGTATTATTCTCAAGAATAATAATCTTGCCTGTAATCCCAGCACTTTGGGAGGCCGAGGCAGGCAGATCATGAGGGCAGGAGATTGAGACCATCCTAGCTAACATGGTGAAACCCCGTCTCTACTAAAAATACAAAAAATTAGCCAGGCGTGGTGATGGGCGCCTGTGGTCCCAGCTACTCGGGAGGCTGAGGCAGAATGGTGTGAACCCAGGAAATACAGCTTGCAGTGAGCCGAGATTGCGCCACTGCACTCCAGACTGGGCGACAGAGCGAGACTCCATCTCAAAAAAAAAAAAAAAAAAAAAAAAAAAAAGAAGAATCTCAGGGAGGAGCAAATGATTTGACAAATATAAAGCCCTTAGAACAGTGCCCGGCACAGAGTTAGCCCTCACTAAGGGACCATTACCATTATTACTAGGGTTTTGAGATGGGCTCAAAAGAGCCAGGATTTGATCATTTAAGAGGAGGAGGAAGGCATTATAGGCAGGCACAAACAAAGGCACAGTGGCACGGAGGCTGAGGGAGTAGATTTAACAAATAAAAGTACAGAACATCAGTGAAATCTGAATTATTTATAATTGCCTGTGCATATGTACACTGAGATAGAAAAATATTGCATGCACTGACTTATACTTTTAGTAAATTACTTTTAGTAACATATTCATTGCTTATCTGAAATAAATTGTAAATATCTAAATTACATACCTCTTTAATTATATTTCCCTGGAGATTTTGTGCTCCCTAATAGTTCTTCATTTTGCAGAATTTATGTATAAAATTCCTTACTATTAGTCTGTGTTCCATTTACATTTTATCATGACTTCTGCAGTGGTTGCATCCAATTTATTTTGTTCTTTTGGCCACTGAACATTCATTAATGAGAAATCATGCTTGACATTAGCTTTACAAGCCAGTGTATTGAACATACATAGGCATAAAGTTACCAACTCTGAGAATTACTCTTCAAATTTGATTGGCTGAAGCACATGTGTCATCTTTCATGCATAACTTGCTTTTCCGTTCTTCAGGATCACATTGCATCTTTTGATCAATGACTCTTTAAAATGTTGTCCACTGACAAGAAGGAGCACTGTCATCAGTTTTTATTCCTTCTTTTCATTACACTACATGTAGATTACAATAGAACTTTTGATGGATGTATGCAAACAGGTACAATGTTTATCCAAAGTTGAAGCAAAGCCTGAATGATCCTATGAAAGATATTGGCTGTCCTGCCCATGTTCTCATAATGCTGCTTAAATAGCACTGGATGTTTTCTATTGAGACTGAAGTAATTATCATGAAATTTTTCACGTAATGTAATCATTTAGGTTTTGCTTCAACTTTGAATAATCATTGTACCTGTATGCATAACATATAATGTAGTGTAATGAAAAGAAGGAATAAAAACTCATGTAATAAATTAAAAAACACATGTAATATAATGTAGTATAGATTTTATTCTTTCTTTTTCATCACACCACACATGGTGATTCCACTTGTACCCACACTGGAAAAGTATTTAGTAACATCCATGTAAAAAACTGAATTTTTCAAGGGATGAAATCCATCTTGAAAGATGGTCATAACAAGTGTTGTAATAATTGTCCACTCTGAGCTAAAATGTATTTTCCTGTTCATATGTAATGTCCCTTTTAACAATAGTTTTGATAATTCAAGGGATGCATTTTTCATCAATTCTCCTTCAACACATTCAACAAATACATTTAGCAATGGAGTAGTACTTCCATAACACTATTTGCTCTTTCAATTTGCAGAATCCTATAGCAGAATTGACACTGAAAACTATGAATGAGAAATAACTAGGCACCATTCAATGGATTATTTTAAAAGTCAAGAATTTTGGGGGCCTTTTCTTCATAATTAAAGTATAATTTCAGTGCTTGAAATAAATGGAAGATTCTCTCAACTATGTTTGTTAAAGAGATCCAATGGATTTTTGAATGCAAGAGAAATGAATAATTCCGAATGCCAAAATCATAAAAATCCTTAAAATGTTCAGTTAGAACCCTATAAATACTAAAGTAAGAGAACAATTTCATGATAATTACTTCAGTTTCAATAGAAGAGATCCATCCAATGCTATTTACGCAGCATTATGAGAACACGAGCAGGACTGCCAATACCTTCCATAGGATCATTGAGGCTTTGCTTCAACTCAAATAAATAGTGTACTTGTAAGCATACATCCAACAAAAGTTCTATTTGTATTATTTCCAACGAAAGCAGTAAAAACGTTTTCATTAACTGCCAACTCAAGAGGCTCTGCAAATATTTGCTATTGTTTCTGAAGTCTCACCTGGAAGGGATTCTACCTGCAATTGCCTTGTTGCAAGTGTTTTTATGAGAAAACTAGTGCGCGCAGGAAAAGTTGTACCTGTATTGTGATACTTGTATTGTGGCTATGCCACAAAAAGATGAGGCATTTAGATATTTGATAATCTCTGTAATAATAAATGAAGCTATTATATTTTTTATTAGGGCAGTCGATTTTATCCTAGCATTTGAAATTTTGCTTGCAATTTTGGAACCAGAAAATACTTTGTCAGTAGTATGTTCAAATAGTTATTTGAGCAGAAAGACTGATAATGATATAGTGTGGAAGGCCATTACAACTTCTATTACAACTATTTTTGTCTTAATCTGAGTTTCTCTTAATCAAAAAACTTTGTTGGTGTATCACTTTTCTTAGTACTGGTTGAGAAAATCTTACATCTCTTTTATGTTTAGCCATTCATATATGCTAGTTTCCATCTAACTTTCTATCATTTTTATACTAAATGAACAATTACTGCACAAAGAGCTTCAAAAGGACTTTTCCTTGTTTAATAAATGTCCACTGGTCAGAAATTTCATCACAAAATTTACACTTGCTTTTTGACAATCAGTGGTTCAAATATACGCAAATAAAAAACAGATCATATAAACTACTGCAAAAATGGAAGACTGACTTTGCTAAGCTCAGCCGCTTCAGTACATCTGTCACTCGTAAGTCCAAACTCATAACAAACCATAAACAAGGTCCAACTGTTAAAAGAGTTGCGTTACATTGAACCTGACATCTGATGCCAAAAGAAAAAAAAAGTGAACTTCCGGTTTGCTTGCAAGAGAGAACCGTACCTCTATGGGAAAGTCTCCCAACCCCCAGGGCTGATTTAGTGTAAGGTTTAGGGAAGCGGGTCATGCAGGGTCTGGTGGCGCTTCTGAAGCCTAAGTATTTAGGAATCTAAGGCCTTTCAGCTGTGTTAGCAAATCACAGGCGGAGGCTGCCTTTCGCCTCCGACTTCCGGGAGCGCCGGCGCTAGAGCGAGACACTTGCTCATTGGCTGCTGTCGAGCAGCGGAGGGGACCGAGGGGCCGGCCCTGATGCGCTGCCTTTCGGGCTGTAGTGGATCCGCTTACTTTTAGGAGTGCAGTTACTGCAGCGATGCTGTCGCCGACTGGCTGATTTTCAGAACGTGTGTATGATTAGAAGTTATCTCTAATTAACGGTGGCTCCTGTTCATGACTTTGGGCTTCTGCAAAGAACAGTGTTTTCCTTTCCCGAATAAAAAAATAAGTACCCTTAATTCTCAGTCTTCCCTTCTGTTCTTCCCTCAGCCGAACCTGCATGAAACCAAGAAGGTATTGTCCAAATCTTTATGGAGATACGCTTTTCAGCTAGTGTTGCCATTTAGGTGATTTAATTTAGGTGCCAGTTACTGTCGAGGAAAAGTAGCTCTGATGATTTTTGAATGTATTGAAAAAAGCTGAACACAGGACATTCAAGGAGTCTTGACAAAGTCAAGTAGACAAAATACAGGATGTGCCCCACATACACAGCCAACTCTATGGGGAAAGTGAGACGGGAAGGGAGGGAAAGCCCCATATCCGACAGAAAGAAATCTAAGTCCTTTGTCTTTCTGGAAGGGCATCCATGGCATCCCGGCTTGTTAAAGAAAAATATTAGAACAACCTAAATATCCGTCAATCAGGGACTGATTGAATAGTTTTGCACACTTGTAAAATGGAATACAATGCAGCTACTAAAAAGGAGCCAGTTCCATGAGCTGATAGGAAGACTACCACAATAGTTAAATAAATTTTTAAAAGCAAGATACAGAACTCCGTATAACATGTGTGCTAAAACATGCATGAGGGTAAGGAGGTAAGAATAAATATATGTTCCTGCGCGCATAGACAATTTCTAGAAGGATGCTAAAGAAACAGGTCGCAGAGATCTCTTTGGGGGAAGGGAACTAAAAGGCAGCAAGCGGAGGGAGTCTTCCTTTTTATGGCATATCCTTTGATACTGTTTTCATTTCTTTATTCTCTGTGATGCATTATGTCTATATATACACATATATAATAACAATATATATCATATCATATATATGATATATTGTATATAATATATATCATATATAATATATGATATATGATATATAATATATAATATATACATATTATATATAGTCTATATGTATATATATACATATATGTATATACATATACATGTATATGTATATACACATATACATATATATGTATATATACACATATACATATATATGTATATATACATATACACATATATATACATATATGTGTGTATATATATACATATATATGTGTGTGTATATATATATACATATATATATATATATACAGAGTCTCTCTCTATCGCCCAGGCTGGAGTGCAGTGGCGCGATCTCGGCTCACTGCAAGTTCCGCCTCCCGGGTTCACGCCATTCTCCTGCTTCAGCCTCCCGAGTAGCTGGAACTACAGGCGCCCGCCACCGCGCCCGGCTAATTTTTTTTTGTATTTTTAGTAGAGACGGGGTTTCACGGTGTTAGCCAGGATGGTCTCGATCTCCTGACCTTGTGATCCGCCCGTCTCGGCCTCCCAAAGTGCTGGGATTACAGGCGTGAGCCAACGCGCCAGGCGCATTATGTATATTAAACAATTTTAATTATATATTTTATATATATATATAGAGAGAGAGAGAGAGAGACATTTATTGCAAGGAATTGGCTGATACTGTTGTGGGAGTTGGCGAGGGAGTTCTGAAATCCATATGTCAGGCTGTGAGGAAGGCATGCAGGAACTCTTGGGCATGAACTGAAACTGTTGTCCAATTTCTTCTTCTGGAAACCCTCAACTCCTCTCTTCTAAGGCCTTTCAACTGATTGAATCGGGCCCACCCAGATTATTTTGGACAATCTCTTATTTCTCCTTCCTTCCTTCCTTCTTTCTTCTTTTTCCTTTCTTCTTTCTTCTCTTTTTTTGAGACAGAGTCTCACTCTGTCGCCCAGGCTGGGGTGCAGTGTTGTGATCTTGGCTCGCTGCAACCTCCGCCTCCTGGGTTCAAGCAGTCCTCCCACCTCAGCCTCCCAAGTAGCTGGGACCACAGGCATGTGCCACCACGCCCGGCTAATTTTTTGTATTTTTTCTAGAGACAGAGTTTCACCATGTTACCCAGGCTGGTGTCGAACTCCTGGACTCCAGCGATCCACCTGCCTTGGCCTCCCAAAGTGCTGGGATTACAGGTGTGAGCCACTACGCTTGGCCTCTATTTCCTGAAGTTAACTGACTATGGACTTTAATCATATCTACAAAATAACCTTCACAGCAACAACTAAATTGCTATTTGATTGACTGAGGACTGTATCCTAGACAAGTTAACATATAAAACTGACCCTCAACCTATATTAGTCATTCTTCACTGCATGACAAATTACTCTAAAATGTAGTGCCTTAAAACAACAACATTATCTTAAAGTTGCTGGAGGTCAGGAATCTAGGTGCAGCTTAGCTGGGTCTTTTTTTGTTTCCTTAAATTTTTTTTTTTTTTTTTTTTTTTTGTGGAGACAGGATCTTGCTTCGTTGCCCAGGCTGATCTCCTGGTTTCAAGCAATCTTCCTGCCTCAGTCTCTCAGTCTTCTGGCCTCAGCCTCCCGAAGTACTGGGATTACAGGATTGAGCTGCCACACCTGGCCCCTATCTAGGTCTTTTTTTTTTTTTTTTTTTTTTTTGAGATGGAGTTTTGCTCTTGTTGCCCAGGCTAGAGTGCAGTGGCACTCTCTCGGCTCACTGCAACCTCCACCTCCTGGGTTCAAGCGATTCTCCTGCCTCAGCCTCCCAAGTAGCTGGGATTACAGGCACGCACCACCACACCTGGCTAATTTTGTCTCCTGGTTTCTACTTTATTTGTTATCCCTAGTGTAAGAAAAAAGCAACCTTGATGTTATTGCACACTTTATAGGCTAGGACACACACAGCCTTCTTGACTGTTCTGGAGGGCTGCTTTTAACTGTCTTGCCAGAGCATATTTACTATTTCCCCATAGTATATAATCCTTGGGTGTGGGGAGTAACACATCTACCTGTCTTGTGGCCATGCAAGACCACACTTCTAAGTTACCTTAACAAATAATCCTCTACCAACAAGCTGGATTTGTCAGCCTCCTTTGATTTCTTGGCTCTGGCATTTGGGGGTCGCTCTGCATATCCAGCCCCTTTGCGGAACACTGGCTCACTCACATGCTTATTGGTAGGATTCAGTTGCTCATGAGCTGTCAGCTGGAGGCTTCCCTTGGTCCTTGCCACGTAGGCCTCTCCGCAGAACATCTCACAACATGGCAGCTTATTTTGTCAGAGTGAGCAAGAGACTTTTAATTATTTTGAAAACAATGAATTTTTAAAAATCGAATGTATGGGCTGGGCATGAACAGGAGGCATGGATAGATTTGCAGGTGTGGACAGGATGTTTCTGAGCCTGGTGACCCTTCTGCAGGTGGGTGGACCTCCGCGCCTGGCTGATCAGCTGTGTGGGACACTTCCCACGTCTCCAAGTCTCTTCCATATCACGGAGCACAAGAAACAGCCTGGGTGGAAATGGGGGAAGTCCTAATCCCAGAGGGGAACAGCTTCATCCCACATAGCGAATGACTGAGAAGAAGAGCTCATGATAAATGTGCTTAACTGCACAAGCAGCCAAAGGGCACAGGAACCATCTGATTATTCTGTATAGAATTCATTTCCTAGGCCGGGCACTGTGGCTCACGCCTGTAATCCCAGCACTTTGGGAAGCCGAGGTGGGAGGACTATGAGGTCAGGAGATCGAGACCATCCTGGCCAACATGGTGAAACCCCGTTTCAACTAAAAATACAAAAATTAGCCAGGCGTGGTGGTGTGCACCTGTAGTCCCAGCTACTTGGGAGGCTGAGGCAGGAGAATCGCTTGAACCTGGGAGGCGGAGGTTGCAGTGAGCCGAGATCGCACCACTGCACTCCAGCCTGGGTGACAGAGCAAGACTCCGTCTCAATAAAAAAAAAAAAGAGAAATTCATTTCCTGAGAGCTCCCTACTGCTGATGGACAGAAACACCAAGGAGGGAGTCTCTGGAGCTTCCTTGGAATTTCATCACAAAAAGTCTCCTCTTTGGGGAGTCAGCTTGCTTTGAAGGTAATAACTCCTTTCCTGCCAAAAACAGTTATCTGCAGCACGAAATGTATTACAGAGAGGTAGTATGGTAAACATTGGTGAAAATGGAGGGGTTGGGAGCAGCAGAACTCACTGTAGTGTATAATCACCCTTGTGCCAGCTGCTGATACTTACTGAACACTTACTGTGTCTTAGGGATGGTTCCAAGTGCTTTTCACACATTATCATTTCACTTAGTCCTTAGAACAACCCCCTGAGGTAGGCATTGTTTTTCCAATTTTACTGATGAGAAAACTTGCATAGACAGGTTTATAAGTCACCCAAAGTCACCAAGCTGATAAGTGGCTGACCTGGGGTTTGAACTCCGGTGTCTGTACTCCTAGCCATTCGACCGTACTGCCTCCAGGAGAAGGCTTCTCTCCAGCACAGCCTAAAAATGAGTTAAAAACGTCAGCATTCATTGAGTCCTTATTGTGTTCCTCAGGGCTAGGAGAGATGCCATGGGCAACATTTGGTGTTTCTGAGTGCCAGGGTGGCTCCTAGAGTGTGAATGTTGTGTGTGTGTAAAATATACATAACATCAAATTTACCATTTAATTCATTTTAAATGTACAGTTCAGTGGCTTTAAGATTTTTGTATTATTATTATTATTATTATTATTATTTTTTTGATACGGAGTTTTGCTCTCGTTGCCCAGGCTGGAGTGCAATGGTGCGATCTCGGCTCACCATAACCTCTGCCTCCTGGGTTCAAGTGATTCTCCTGCCTCAGCCTCCCGAGTAGCTGGGATTACAGGCATGCACCACCACGTCCAGCTAATTTTGTATTTTTAGTAGAGACGGGGTTTCTGCATGTTAGCCAGGCTGGTCTCGAACTCCCAACCTCAGGTGATCGGTACTCCTCAGCCTCCCAAAGTGCTGGGATTACAGACGTGAGCCACTATGCCTGGCCTTCTACCACTTGTTAATAGCATGTGCATAAGCTTAGTTATGAGTCTGTTTGAGGCTCAGTTTTCCTATCTGTAGAAATGGAGATGTTGATAACTTCCATTCATTTATTCATTAATTCATTCAGTGAATCTGTTGAGGGCTTACTGTGGGCCAGGCACTGGGGATATAGTGAGAATTCATAGAATTTACAGAATGAGGGGTTAGGAGAGAAAGGGAAGGACCCAGGGGTGAATTACTTTGCAAAGGGAAGAATCATTTGTCTTGGGAGTAATCACTCCCTTACATCATAGGTACACAGTGAGTATACCACTGTGAGCCTGCACTTTATTCCTCTCTATCCCACTATCCAACAGAAGACCTACAAAAACAGATAACGTTATTTAGGGTTCTGGGGTTGTAAGCAACAGAAACTGACTAGCTCAGTTTAACAAGGATTACTGGGAAATGATTGGGATTGCTCCAGAATCAAAAGAAGAGATAAACAATCAGTCCTCAGGGAGGCCCCGAAGAGCCCAGGCAGTGACAGGAATCTCAGCGGCAACTGTTTGTGGCCCAGCCTCCCTTGGGGCTCTTCCTTAGATGGCCTGCTCCAACCTTTGCCTCCCATCTGAGAGTCTCCTGCCCCAACTCCCAATGCCTGATTGCCCCAGCTCAGGGCACGTGGGGCAGGGCTGCTGCCTACAATTACAATTAGGCTTTGTAAACTTCAGGGGTTACCCATCATAGTCATCAGAGGTTTGAACACTCATTATGACAATTGTCTAGCAAATAGCAGTAAAATGTCGTGAGGAATGGTGTCTTTGTTCAAAGTCACCACTGAGGCAAAAAGAGTAAAACTTTATCTAGGACTGAGAGTGAAAATCAACTTGTCCTGGAAAAGAAAACAGCAGGTTAAGAGGACAGAAAAGTTAAAGCCAGCTACAAAGCCGGCAAGAAACATTGTTCCTCCCAATGTCGTAGTGGCTGTGAAATGCTGTAAGGACCCTCTGCAAGTGGCCACTGCTCTCTTACCTATGACCAAAGACAAAGGCAGAAGCGTGCTTTGCTATTCTCATTTAATACTGGGGATAACCAACTGCTCAGCTGCCCTGGCCTCATGACAATGCTCAATCCGTAGTTAATCCTTGCTCTTCTTAATCCCTCATCCAAAACAGCATCCAATCCAGACTGATGCCTGCTTCCCTTCAACCCTCCTTAGAATCCTTGAGCAGGAACCCAAATCTTGCAAGACAGCTGCCCTCCTTCCGGAGATCCTCTGGAGTGCTCCACCTTACTGCTCGGAGGAAAGAAATCTGAATTCCTCAGACTGTAGGCTCATTTCTGGTGGTCTCTGGCTGATCAGGTTTTAAAGAAACTGTCAGGGACTGGAATAGAGGACTGTAATTGGCAGTCCCACCAGAACCATGGGAGAGGGGTAGGCAATTCCCCAAAGGAAAATGGAGTGCTGTCATCAGAAAAAGGTGAAGGTATTGAGCATCCAGACCCAATGGATGGCTCTTGGAGTAGGTGCTCAATTAATCCTAGTTGTTATTCGTGAGGTTGTCTTTTAGAGACACTACAGCAAATTATATAAAGTTATAGATTATAATAATGCATAATAATGATTATTTGCTGCGTGGCAGGCATGATATATCTACTACCTCATTTAATTCTTAAAGCAAACTCACACTTACTTTATAGGTCTCCACAGTTTCTAGGACATGCTTTCTGTATAGGGAGCATCTTCCAGTGTGAGTACTGGTGATGTTCCACTCGTCAGAGGGACACAAGGAAAAGATGGCAGTTGCTATCATCTCAGGATACCATCTCAGTATCTAGGCCAGCCTGACAGCGCTCCTTGGATCCCTGTGGATCTCCGTGGGGCTGTGTGTGAAGTCCAAAGCGGCTTCAGACCCAACTTACTCTGCTGTGGGGCAGGGGACTTGTGCTCTGCTCCAGCAGCACTGACAATAACAATAACTAAAAACACTTAGAGGCTGTTTTACTACATGCCAAGGACTGTGCTAAGAGCTTTACGTGTGTCATCTTATTTAACAGATGAGGAAACCAAGGCCTGAAGATGTTCCTTATGAAGGTCACACAGTTGATAAATAACAGAGCCAGGACTTGAACCAGAAGCTGTCTAGAGCTCATGGGCTAAACTACAGGCTGTATTGCTTGGCTGATCTGCGACCATCTGTAAATGCAGCCTCTTTATAGTTTTTACTTGTTAATTTATGTGCACATTTCATATGTGAATATATTTTTAAGTGAATTAATGTATAAAGCATAATTAGCACAAGGACTTGCTCATGAGACTGTCATTATTATTATGGTTATTTTGAGATGGGATCTCACTCTGTCACCCAGGCTGGTGTGCAGTGGCACAATCATGGCTCACTGTAGCCTGGACCTTCTGGGCTCAAGTGATCCTCCTGCCATAGCCTCCCAAGTAGCTAAGACCACAGGCATGCACCACCACACCTGGCTAATTTTTTTTTCTTTTTTTACTTTTGTAGAGACAGAAGTCTCACTATGTTACTTATGCTGGTCTTGAACTCCTGGGCTCAAGCAGTCCTTCCACCTTGCTTCCCAAAGTGCTGGGATTATAGGCGTGAGCCACGGCACCTAGACAAGACTGTCATTATTATTTCAATTGCAAATGGATGTGTTCTCGACAAATATATAAGCCAAATCCTATTCCGTTTGTAACTTTAGCTTGTGATTCCCGTTTTATCTTCATTGCTCAGCAATGCACTGTTCACCACAGCTCTTAAATGCCCTCTATCTCTTCCCTGAACATCTGCCAAACTGCTCCCTCGCGCTCTTAACGTGGCAAACACTTACAGGCGAGTTCCTGAAAAATAAGAGCACCTCTTAGCAATTCTTTTGGGAAAGGAAGAATCCTGTTGTCACGGGATAGATGTCCTCACCCTCTAATTTTTCCGTTCATAATTTCAGGAATCCTCTCCAGGATTTGAAGAGGAAAAGGTGGAACGGAGTCTGTGATCACTGTTCCACAGACTGGGGAAAGCCCAGGGGAGCCTTTGTCACTGACAGTAGCCAGCATGGCTCAGACTGTAGGCTCCGGCCACCAGCAACACCTTCCCTGTAGGCATCTGGGTAAAGATGCGGGCTCCTTGGCCCACCTTGACTTACCAGAGCCGTATCTCAAGGATGGTGCCCATGACCCTGCATTTTTAGCACATTTCCTAAGCTATAGTCTTATTCTAACATTAATGGGGAGGAGCCTGGGGCAGGACTGCAATCACTGTTAAAGGAGCGAGTATGTTTACAAAGCGCCTCATAGATTACTGCCTTTTTGTAACTGGACCCGCGTTTGTCTGCTCTGCTCTGCTCTGCCATTCAAAAGCCAAACACAAGAGGTGAGGTTTGGTGGGAGGAAAAGCAGGTTTTAATCAGACAGCCAGCAAACCAAAAAGATGGTGAGCTAGTGTTCTAAAATACCATCTTAAATTTTAACATTTACCTTAGGGTTCTTAAGGGGAAACTTGGTGTGGGAGGCATGAGGGAGCGGTGCAGGGTACAGCATCTGTGTGTCTTGTTCCTATGGCTATCTTGGGTAATTGCCTGTTTGGAGGTCTGGTTGGTGTTATCTTGATTTTGGCCTGATGGTGGTGGACTAATTGTTCATGACTCCTCCTAAACAGGAGGATTCCAAAAAGAAAACACAGTGCCTGGTTTCAAGATTAGCCTTTGGGATTTAAGCAAGAGCACAATTAGATAAGCACGTGTAACCAGATGGGGAAGAAACGAAGAGGTGAGAGGGGAAGGAAGGAGGAAAAAGAAAGTGGGTGTTTCAATAGCAAAGACATGGAATCAACCCAAATGCCCATCAACGATAGACAGGATAAAGAATGTGGTACATATAGACCACGGAATACTATGCAGCCATGAGAAGGAATGAGATCATGTCCTTTGCAGGGACATGGATGAAGCTGGAAGCCATTATCTTCAGCAAACTAACACAGGAACAGAAAACCAAACACTGCATGTTCTCACTTGTAAGTGGGAGTTGAACAATGAGGACACATGGACACAGGGAGGGGAACAACACACACCGGGCCTGTTGCGGGAGCGCGGTAGCAGGGAGAGCATTAGGAAAAATAGCTAATGCATGCAGGGCTTAATACCTAGGTGATGGGTTGATAGGTGCCGCAAACCACCGTGGCATACATTCACCTAGGTAACAAACCTGCACATCCTGCTCATGTACCTCAGAACTAAAAAAATTAAAAAAGAAAAGAAAGTGAGCGTTTCGTTTTTTGTTTTTTTGTTTTGTTTCGTTTTCTTGAGACAGGGTCTCCCTCTGTCACCCAGGTTGGAATGCAGTGGTGCAATCTCAGCTCACTGCAACCTTGACTTCCCAGGCTCAAGCGATCCTGCCATCTCAGCCTCCCAAGTAGCTGGGACTACAGGTGCACACCACCACATCTGGCTAATTTTTGTATTTTTTTGTAGAGACAGGGTTTCACCCTGTTGCCCAGGCCGGGAGAGTGGGTGATTTTTAAAACTGAGGTCTCTGGTTACATTTTCTAGGGGTCTGTGATTTCACTCTCACATATCTTCCCTGCACAACTTATTGTCATGGCTTCGTTTATTTTGTTACTGTCAACTTCCTTATTACACTGTGGTTCTAAGACTCCCCCTCTGAAGAATATGGTAGGGGAGCAAGCACTCTCTCTGTTTCTCCTTCCAGAAGGCTGTTTGCACATTATCTAACATCTTCCCAGGCCTCTCAGCCTTTTTCTTACTTCTGGTCTTTGCTGCAGGTGTTCAATTATTGAGCAGGTTGGGAAGGTACCTCTAGAATGTGCAAAAGACCCATACCCCTTGTGAAGCTCAAAGATGAAATTTATATGAAATCAGTTTGTCTTTGGATTTGAGGCACTGATAATTTGTAGCTAATTTAATATGAACTGGACTGAGAGAACTAGAGCCTGTTTGTTTCATCTCCCTGGCTGGCCTTCCCCTCCCTCCTTCCTGTTTGTGTACTTCTTGTCTCTAGCTACTATTGCAGACTTCATTTATCATCTGAGGGTGCCTGAGGTGCCCTGGAGGATGTCACTCCTTCTAGGTGGAGGAGTGAATGCAGAGGGGACCTGTATCTGTGCCTGGCTGTGGGTGGGGGATTAATAAGAGATGCCATATGCATGTGGGAAGAAAGAAAGAAATGCATGTAAAACACCTTGCTACAACTCAACAACAATAACAAAAAACAACCAATTAAAAAATGGGCAAAGTACTTGAGTTGAAGTACTTTGATACACAAATGGCTAGCTAATAAGCACACGAAAAGATACCCAGCATCACTAATCTTTTTAAAAATTTTTTAAAATGTGTTTATTTTTTGAGACGGAGTTTCACTCTTGTTGCCCAGGCTGGAGTGCAATGGCACGATCTCGGCTCACCACAACCTCTGCCTCCCGGGTTCAAGCAATTCTCCTGCCTCAGCCTCCTGAGTAGCTGGGATTACAGGCATGCACCACCATGCCCGGCTAATTTTGTATTTTTAGTAGAGACAGGGTTTCTCCATGTTGGTTAAGCTGATCTCGAACTCCCGACCTAAGGTGATCCACCCGCCTCGGCCTGCCAAAGTGCTGGGATTACAGGCAGGAGCCACTGTGCCCAGCCCTACTAATCTTTACGTAAACGCAAATCCAAACTGCAATGAGATACAAGTCACACCCATTAGGATGGCTACTATCAAAACAACAGCACAGAACAAGTGTTGGCAAGGGTGTGGAGAAATTGGAACCCTTGTGCACTGTTGGTAAGAATGTAAAATGGTGCGGCCATTATGGAAAACAGTATAGCGGTTTGTCAAAAATCAAACAGGTAGCTGGGTGTGGTGGCTCATGCTTGTAATCCTAGCACTTTGGGAGGCTGAGGTGGGTGGCTCACTGGAGCGCAGGAGTTTGAGACCAGCCTGGGCAACGTAGTGAGGCCTTGTCTCTTTTTATTTTATTTTTTATTTTTGAAATGAGTTTCGCTTTTGTTGCCCAGGCTGGAGTGCAATGGCATGATCTCAGCTCACTGCAACCTCCGCCTCCCAGATTCAAGCAATTCTCCTGCCTCAGCCTCCCAAGTAGCTGGGATTACAAGCGTTAGCCACCACGCCTGGCTAATTTTTGTACTTTTACTAGAGATGGGGTTTCACCATGTTGGTCAGGCTGGTCTCGAACTCCTGACCTCTTCTGCCTGCCTCAGCCTCCCAAAGTGCTAGGATTACAGGCGTGAGCCACTGTGCCCAGCCTCTTTTTATTTTTTTTAAGTTAAAAAATAAAAACAAACAAACAGACTTGCCATATGATCTATCAATATAACTTCCTTTTTTTTTCTTTTTTTTTAGAAAAGATGTTTATTCAGGCCTGATGTCTCGATACAGCTAGATGTACAAAAATATATCATTCAAAGTCACGAAAACCATCATCATATTGGTGTGACCTCCTTCCTCCCCTTGGGCACAGCCTTTGCAACTGGCCCCTTCCCAGCTGCCTCCTTTGAAATCTAGGAGTTGGGGGAAAGGGTCACTTCTTGGCAGCTTCCTCCTGGGTGGCCAAATCTGCCTTCTTCTGAGCAGCCAGGAAGATGGCTTGTTCCTTCTGGAAAGCTGCAAACTCTTCTGAACTGAGGCTGTTGGCCGGGCCCCCTTTTCAATCCCAGCTGCTGCCTTCACGAAGTAGGAAACAGTGGGTTGTCCAATCTTGATTTCAAATGTCCCGTCAGGCTTCAGAAAAATCTTGGTAAGCAGAGGAATGCCTTCCTTGATGTCCTTTGTCCTCTCATTGAACTCCTTGCAAAATTGGTTGATGGAAGCCCTTCTCTGACCCAGCACTGGGCCTAGTGGGGGCCCGGGCATGGCCAGGCCTGCCCGCACGATGGTCCGGATCACATCGCCGACCTCGGGCTTCCTGAGGCCCCGGGTGGCCCGGCCGAACTTTGACATGATGTGGGGCTGCTGGCTTTAGTTCACCTCAGGGCCGATCTATCAACATAACTTCTGGGTGCATGTCCAAAAGAATTGAAAGCAGAATCTTGAAGAGGTATTTGTACACTGTTAAAAGAAAAACTTCAGCCGAATTAAATTTAAAGGAGTTTAACTGACCAATGAAGGATTCACGAATTGGGCAGCCCCCAGAATCACAGCCAATTCAGAGAGACTCCAGCACAGCCACGTGGTAGAAGATTTATAGACAAAAAAGGGAAACGATGTAGGGAAATTGGAAGTGAGGTATAAAAACAGCTGGATTGGTTACAGGTTGGCGTTGCCTTATTTGAACACAATTTTAACACTTAGCAGTCTATGAGTGGTTGAAGTTTGGCTGCTGGGACTTGCCAAGACTCAGCTATTGTTACAGGTGCACACTCCTAAGTTAGGTTTTCAATCTTGTCTGCCTATTAAGCTAGGTTACAGTTCATCCACAAGGACTCAAATAGAGAAGTACGGAGTCCTTCTCAGGCCATATTTAGTTTGCTTTAACAACACCTATATTCCTGGCAGCATTATTTACAATACAGGTAGTTAAAACATGGAACTAACCCAAGCGTCCATCAACAGATGAATGGATAGATAAGCAAAATGTGGTACATACATACAATGGAATATTATTCAGCCTTAAAAAGGAAGAAAATTCTGACACATGCTATAACATGAATGAACCTTGAACAGACTATGCTAAGTGAAATAAGCCAGTCACGAAAGGACAAATACTGTTTGATTCATATAGCTGTAGGTCTATGTGTACCTGGAGTAGTCAAATTCATAGAGACAGAAAGTAGAAGGGTGGCTGCTGGGGGCTGAGGGAGGAGAACAGGAGTTATTGTTTAATGATACAGAGTTTTAGTTTGGGAAAATGAAAAAAATTCTAGAGATGGATGGTGGTGGTGATGGTTGCACATCAATGTGAATGTACTTCACCAACTGTGCACCTAAAAATGGTTAAAATGGCTGGGCGCTGTGGCTCACACCTGTAATCCCAGCACTTTGGGAGGCCAAGGCGGGAGGATCACGAGGTCAGGAGATCAAGACCATCCTGGCCAACATGGTGAAACCCCATCTCTACTAAAAATACAAAAATTAGCTGGGCATGGTGGCCGCGTACCTGTAATCCCAGCTACTCTGAAGGCTGAGGCAGGAGAATTGCTTGAACCAGGGAGTCAGAGGTTGCAGTGAGCCGAGTTCACGCTACTGCACTCCAGCCTGGTGACAGAGAGAGACTCCGTCTCAAAAAAAAAAAAAAAAACAGTTAAAATGGTAAATTTTATGTTATGTATATTTTACCACAATTTTTAAAAGTGGAGGCAATAAGAGTACCTACCTCAAGCATTGTAAGTAGTTGCCAGTATTTATTAAGCATTTACTGTGTTGTCAGCACTGTTCCAAGAACTTTAGGCACATATTTATCTCACTTAATCCTTGCACAAACCTTTAAGGTGAATTTATATAGATAAGATATATATCTGTTATATATGATATATAGATATGCTATATCAATATCTCTCTCACATTTTTTTTTTTTTTGCTGTTTCACAAATGGAGAGGCTGAAGTCTAGTGGCACTAATTGTCACTCATCTAGTAAAAGGCGGAGTCAGATATGATACCCAGACCTGGTCTCTGGTGTAGTTTCTTCCTCTTCTTTTTTTTTTTTTTTTTTAACAGCAATAACTTCAGCATCTCTTGTAATTTCTTCCCTTCCTTTCTTCCTTTCTCTTTCTTTCTTTCTTTTCTTTCTTTCTCTCTCTCCCTTTCTCTTTCTTTCTTTTTCTTTTCTTTCTTTCTTTCTTTTTCTCTCTCTTTCTTTCTTTTTTCCCTCTCTCCCTTCCTTCCTTCCTTCTTTCCTTCCTTCCTTCCTTTCCTCCCCTCTCCCCACTCCCCTCCTTTCCCCTCCCCTCCCTTTCCTTTCGCCTCCCAGGTTCAAGTGATTCTCCTACCTCAGGCTCCTGAGTAGCTGGGATTACAGGTGCATGCCACCATGCCCAGATAATTTTTGTATTTTAGTAGAAATGGAGTTTCTCCATCTTGGCCAGGCTAGCCTTGAACTTCTGACCTCAGGTGATCCACCCGCCATGGCCTCCCAAAGTGCTGGGATTACAGACATGAACCACCATGCCTGGCCATTTCTTAGACTAGGGACTTGGCCTTGGCACTGCTGTTTCCCCAGTACCTAAAACTGTGCCTGACACATAGTAGGCTCTTAAAACAATTTGCTGACTGAAAAAGAAACTCCAGAGTGTATTATTGTCTCTCTGCCAAATGGGATAATGCATGGAAAGCACTCTGAGTGGTGCCTGGCTCGTGGTGAATGGTCAGTATATGGAAGTAATGGTCACTGCTGTGATGGACCCATCTGTATAGCAGGGAGCTCTGAGAAGGGATATAAAATTCACCCTCCTCCAGCCCTGTCTTATGAGCCAGGGTGTGGCCCTGGGGGTGACTCTTCCATCCTCAGCCTGGCCCTATGTGTTCCTCCTTCTCAGCCTCCTTCTGCCTTTGTATTGTTTGTTTGCCTCTCTGCTCCCAGTTGCACAGAGTTCCAGTAAGAACAAGGTGGTGGCATCTTTTGGTCCTCCTCTACAGCACCCTGTGTACAGGGCTGGGGGACAGGGCTTCTCTTCCCAGTGAGTTCTGAGAGTGCCCAGAGGAACTAAAGTCTGGGGCAACACCGTTACTTGCTCCGTTTCTTGCATGACCTTGACCTTGACAGCTAGCCTTGGTATCTGACGGTAACTTTATCCAAGTTAGGAAGCATTTCACTCAGAAACAAGAAGAAAAAGAACAAAGAAAAAAAGAAAAGAAAAGATTTCAGAATATTGAAAGGCAATCTAAATTCTTGTTTTTGTTTTGTTTTGTTTTTTGATACTGAGTTTCGCTCTTGTTGCCCAGGCTGGAGTGCAATGGCGTGACCTAGGCTCACTGCAACCTCTGCCTCCTGGGTGCAAGCGATTCTCCTGCTTCAGCCTCCCAAGTAGCTGGGATTACAGGCACCTGCCACCATGCCTGGCTAATTTTTTGTATTTTTAGAAGAGATGGGGTTTCACCATGTTGGCTAGGCTGGTCTCAAACTACTGATGTCAGGTAATCCACCCACCTTGGCCTCCTAAAGTGCTGGGATTACAGGCGTAAGCCACTGCACCCAGCCTGGCAACCTAAATTCTTAAAATGGATTTATGATAGGATTTAAAAAAGAGACTGTCCACTCAAAGTTAGAGTACTGTTCCATGTCTTTTTTTGTTTAACCGTTTAGTATATGTACTTTCCCATGGCTGATGGTCAGCCCTGTGGGCAGCCATTTTGTCTGTGGTCTCAACAAACAGGAAGTTCCCATGTGGGGAGATGCCTGAACTGGGAAGAGCATGGCTCTGGGGATATCACCTGGGTGAGGAGTGGGAGCCTTTGCCCTTTGCCCTAGGAAAACAAAAAGGAAATCTCTACTGTGACTACAAAATAAGCTCTTCTAGAGAAATCTGCACCATTTGCTGTCTTTAAGGTGTTGGGTCTCAGAAAATAACACCCCAAAATGAAGGCCTCAGAAACAACATCAGGAACAAAAGTTTTTCTCTGACCTTCTCCTGCCGTCCTGTCTCCCCAGTCCCATTCTAGCCTTAGAAACTAGGATCCCTCTTCCCTAATGTGATTCATAGCAACCAGAGTCCCTTTTCCCTAAAGCCAGCCATAAAACTTGAAAATATTATTCTAACTTTCTCCCCACTTTTCTGTGTAAAAAACTGGCCGTAAAGAAATGGTCTGACCTACCTTGTTTGATTGCAGGTCATAAGACCCCCATTGTAGAGAGGGTCCTGCCTCACACCAGAAGGAAAGAATGCTGCTCAGAGACGCCAAGAAGAATCTAGACAGACAAGCCTGGCTGGATTATCCCATTCAGTCTAGAGTGTTTATTTATTTATTTATTTATTTTGAGACAGAGTCTCCCCCTGTCACCCAGGCTGGAATGCAGTGGCACGATCTCTGCTCACCGCAAACTATGCCTCCTGGGTTCAAGTGATTCTCATGACTCAGCCTCCCAAGTAGCTGGGACTACAGGCACGCGCCACCATGCCTGGCTTATTTTTGTATTTTTAGTATAGACAGGGTTTCACCATGTTGGTCAGGTTGGTCTCAAACTCCTGACCTTGAGTGATCTGCCCTTCTAGGCCTCCTAAAGTGCTGGGATTACAGCACGAGCCACCATGCCCAGCCAGAGCATATCTTTTTGGTCCAATCGTATTTCTTTTTTTTTTTAATTTTTTTTATTTAATTATTATTATACTTTAAGGTTTAGGGTACATGTGCACAATGTGCAGGTTAGTTACATATGTATACATGTGCCATGCTGGTGTGCTGCACCCATTAACTCATCATTTAGCATTAGGTATATCTCCTAAAGCTATCCCTCCCCCCTCCCCCCACCCCACAACAGTCCCCAGAGTGTGATGTTCCCCTTCCTGTGTCCATGTGTTCTCATTGTTCAATTCCCACCTATGAGTGAGAATATGCGGTGTTTGGTTTTTTGTTCTTGCGATAGTTTACTGAGAATGATGATTTCCAATTTCATCCATGTCCCTACAAAGGACATGAACTCATCATTTTTTATGGCCGCATAGTATTCCATGGTGTATATGTGCCACATTTTCTTAATCCAGTCTATCATTGTTGGACATTTGGGTTGGTTCCAAGTCTTTGCTATTGTGAATAGTGCCACAATAAACATACGTGTGCATGTGTCTTTATAGCAGCATGATTTATAGTCCTTTGGGTATATACCCAGTAATGGGATGGCTGGGTCAAATGGTATTTCTAGTTCTAGATCCCTGAGGAATCGCCACACTGACTTCCACAAGGGTTGAACTAGTTTACAGTCCCACCAACAGTGTAAAAGTGTTCCTATTTCTCCACATCCTCTCCAGCACCTGTTGTTTCCTGACTTTTTAATGATTGCCATTCTAACTGGTGTGAGATGGTATCTCATTGTGGTTTTGATTTGCATTTCTCTGATGGCCAGTGATGGTGAGCATTTTTTCATGTGTTTTTTGGCTGCATAAATGTCTTCTTTTGAGAAGTGTCTGTTCATGTCCTTTGCCCACTTTTTGATGGAGTTGTTTGTTTTTTTCTTGTAAATTTGTTTGAGTTCTTTGTAGATTCTGGATATTAGCCCTTTGTCAGATGAGTAGGTTGCGAAAATTTTCTCTCATTTTGTAGGTTGCCTGTTCACTCTGATGGTAGTTTCTTTTGCTGTGCAGAAGCTCTTTAGTTTAATTAGATCCCATTTGTCAATTTTGGCTTTTGTTGCCATTGCTTTTGGTGTTTTAGACATGAAGTCCTTGCCCATGCCTATGTCCTGAATGGTAATGCCTAGGTTTTCTTCTAGGATTTTTATGGTTTTAGGTCTAACGTTTAAGTCTTTAATCCATCTTGAATTAATTTTTGTATAAAGTATAAGGAAGGGATCCAGTTTCAGCTTTCTACATATGGCAAACTGTCTCTCAGACCACAGTGCAATCAAACTAGAACTCAGGATTAAGAAACTCACTCAGAACTGCTCAACTACGTGGAAACTGAACAACCTGCTCCTGAATGACTGCTGGGTACATAAAGAAATGAAGGCAGAAATAAAGATGTTCTTTGAAACCAATGAGAACAAAGACACAACATACCAGAATCTCTGGGACACATTCAAAGCAGTGTGTAGAGGGAAATTTATAGCACTAAATGCCCACAAGAGAAAGCAGAAAAGATCCAAAATTGACACCCTAACATCACAATTAAAAGAACTAGAAAAGCAAGAGCAAACACATTCAAAAGCTAGCAGAAGGCAAGAAATAACTAAAATCAGAGCAGAACTGAAGGAAATAGAGACACAAAAAAACCTTCAAAAAATTAATGAATCCAGGAGCTGGTTTTTTGAAAGGATCAACAAAGTTGATAGACCACTATCAAGACTAATAAAGAAGAAAAGAGAGAAGAATCAAATAGACGCAATAAAAAATGATAAAGGGGATATCACCACCGATCCCACAGAAATACAAACTACCATCAGAGAATACTACAAACACCTCTACGCAAATAAACTAGAAAATCTAGAAGAAATGGATAAATTCCTCGACACATACACCCTCCCAAGACTAAACCAGGGAGAAGTTGACTCTCTGAATAGACCAATAACAGGCTCTGAAATTGTGGCAATAATCAATAGCTTACCAACCAAAAAGAGTCCAGGACCAGATGGATTCACAGCCAAATTCTACCAGAGGTACAAGGAGGAACTGGTACCATTCCTTCTGAAACTATTCCAATCAATAGAAAAAGAGGGAATCCTCCCTAACTCATTTTATGAGGCCAGCATCATCCTGATACCAAAGCCAGGCAGAGACACAACCAAAAAAGAGAATTTTAGACCAATATCCTTGATGAACACTGATGCAAAAATCCTCAATAAAATACTGGCAAACCGAATCCAGCAGCACATCAAAAAGCTTATCCACCGTGATCAAGTGGGCTTCATCCCTGGGATGCAAGGCTGGTTCAATATATGCAAATCAATAAACGTAATCCAGCATATAGACAGAACCAAAGACAAAAACCACATGATTATCTCAATAGATGCAGAAAAGGCCTTTGACAAAATTCAACAACCCTTCATGCTAAAAACTCTCAATAAATTAGGTATTGATGGGACGTATCTCAAAATAATAAGAGCTATCTATGACAAACCCACAGCCAATATCATACTGAATGGGCAAAAACTGGAAGCATTCCCTTTGAAAACTGGCACAAGACAGGGATGCCCTCTCTCACCACTCCTATTCAACATAGTGTTGGAAGTTCTGGCCAGGGCAATTAGGCAGGAGAAGGAAATAAAGGGTATTCAATTAGGAAAAGAGGAAGTCAAATTGTCCCTGTTTGCAGATGACATGATTGTATATCTAGAAAACCCCATTGTCTCAGCGCAAAATCTCCTTAAGCTGATAAGCAACTTCAGCAAAGTCTCAGGATACAAAATCAATGTACAAAAATCACAAGCATTCTTATACACCAATAACAGACAAACAGAGAGCCAAATCATGAGTGAACTCCCATTCACAATTGCTTCAAAGAGAATAAAATACCTAGGAATCCAACTTACAAGGGATGTGAAGGACCTCTTCAAGGAGACCTACAAACCACTGCTCAATGAAATAAAAGAGGATACAAACAAATGGAAGAACATTCCATGCTCATGGGTAGGAAGAATCAATATCGTGAAAATGGCCATACTGCCCATGGTAATTTATAGATTCAATGCCATCCCCATCAAGCTACCAATGACTTTCTTCACAGAATTGGAAAAAACTACTTTAAAGTTCATATGGAACCAAAAAAGAGCCCGCATCGCCAAGTCAATCCTAAGCCAAAAGAACAAAGCTGGAGGCATCACGCTACCTGACTTCAAACTATACTACAAGGCTACAGTAACCAAAACAGCATGGTACTGGTACCAAAACAGAGATACAGATCAATGGAACAGAACAGAGCCCTCAGAAATAATGCCGCATATCTACAACTATCTGATCTTTGACAAACTTGAGAAAAACAAGCAATGGGGAAAGGATTCCTTATTTAGTAAATGGTGCTGGGAAAACTGGTCCAATCATATTTCAACACAGCTGTCCATAATTTGTTGAAGCTAAGCATAAAAATGCACAATTTCCTCTGTATCTTTGGGTCTTCTTTATGAAAGCTCCTGTGTATACATGTTAAATAAATTGGTACACCTTTTCTCCAATTAATCTGCCTTTTGTGAGTTGATTTTTCAGTGAATCTTCAGAGCCAAAGGTCCTCCTGGTCCCTACAAAGGTCTTCGTTTTTCTAGCAAGTGGCCTATTAGCTTCTAACTTCCAACATGCAGTTTCTGATAGCTGTTAGATTCTGAACAAATTGCTGATTCAATTTTGCTCCTGATTCACCCACATGGAGTAGCCCCTTATGTGCTTCCCCTTCCCCCACCCCCAAAATCCTGGGTCTCCAGGATCAGTTCACAGAGGGAGAGTGGCATAAACCACTTTTTTTGAAACCTCAAAGATTTGCATACTTCATGATATTTTTTCTCTATGTACCATTTGTGTCATTATTTACTCAATATTTTTCTTTACGGATTTTTTTGTTTTTGTTTTTGTTTTTGTTTTTTTGGTTTTTGTTTTTAGACAAGGTCTCTCTGTGTTGCCCAGGCTGAAGCGCACTGGCACAATTATAGCTCACTGTAGCCTTGTCTTCCTGAGCCAAGGGATCTTCCCATCTCAACCTGCCAAGTAGCTGGGACTGCTGGCATGTGTCACCACGTCCAGCCAATTTTTAAAAGTTTTTTTTGTAGAAATGGGGTCTCACTATGTTGCCCAGGCTGGTCTCAAACCCCTGAGTTCAACTGATCTTTCTGCCTTGGCTTCTCAAAGTGCTGGCACTATAGGTGTGTGCCATTGAACCCAGCCTTACAATCATCTTTTAAACTTTAACATTACCCTAATCAGTTGCTGCCTATACAGTCATGGATTTTATGTTTCATTATATATACACACAAACTTATATATGTATAATTTTTTTTTTTTGAGACAGAGTCTCACTCTGTCACCCAGGCTGGAGTGCAGTGGCACGATCTCAGCTCACTGCAACCTCTGCCTCCCAGGTTCAAGCGATTCTCCTGCCTCAGCCTCCCCAGTAGCTGGGATTACAGGTGTGCACCACCACGCCCAGCTTATCTTTAGTAGAGATGGGGCTTCACCATGTTAGCCAGGCTGATCTCGAACTCCTAACCTCAGGTGATTTGCCTGCCTCAGCGCCCCAAAACACTGGGATTATAGGTGTGAGCCACTGCACTTGGCCTTATAATTTTAAATAAATACATAACTAGTAAAAAAAAAATGTACTGTTATACCACTAAAATCATCTGATATGTGCACTCCATCTCAGGAACACTGGCCTCAATTGTGGGGCTCAGAGTAGATCTATGGAGGTGGATTTTCTCAGGCTTGAGTGGAACAAGGACCAGCTGTTACCATGAGGACCTTCTCGGGATCTCCCCTGCCTTTCTTCTGCATGAGTCTCCGATCATTGTCTTCAACTGTGGGGCAAACAGTAATAAAGTGCTGAGTGCAGACCTTTAGAATCGCTGCACAGCTCTATTAGCAGTAGGCCATTCTCCCCAAGTTTCTGTTCTTCCTTTTTTTAGTGGAACTGGTTTCTGCTCTACCACACCCTGGGTGGAGTCTCTGTCATTCGAGCAAGTCAGCTGACCTGAGGGGTTGCCCTTGGAATGCTGAACCATGTTGGTCCTGGAGCAGCTGGTCTTCTTTGCTTGATATAACTTTTAAACCTCTACAGAGTCTCCGTCCGTTGCCAAGGTTGGAGTGCAGTGGTGCGATCTCAGCTCACTGCAACCTCCACCTCCCGGGTTCAAGAGATTCTCCTGCCTCAGCCTCCAGAGTAGCTCCCCCCACTATGCCCGGCTAATTTTTGTATTTTTAGTAGAGACAGGGTTTCGCCATGTTGTCCAGGCTGGTCTCAAACTCCTGACCTTGGGTGATCCGCTTGTCTCAGCCTCTCAAACTTCTTTTTAAAAAGGGTTTTAAGGCCCAGTGCAGTGGCTCATGCCTGTAATCCCAGCACTTTGGGAGGCCGAGGTGGGAGGATCACCTGAGGTCAGAAGTTTGAGACCAGCCTGACCAACATGAAGAAACTCCATCTCTACTAAAAATACAAAATTAGCCGGGCATGGTGGCGCATGCCTGTAGTCCCAGCTGCTCGGGAGTCTGAGGCAGGAGAATCGCTTGAACCTGGGAGGCGAGGTTGCAGTGAGCTGAGATGGTGCCATTGCACTCCAGCCTGGGCAACAAGAGCGAAACGCCATCTCAAAAAAAAAAAAGCGTTTAAAAATTTTTTTTAATTATTTTATTGAGATATAACTTTTATAAGTGTACAGCTTGATGAATTTTTATATGTAAGTATATACCATTAAAGCCACCACTCAAGATATAGTCCTGTGCTATTCAATACAGAAGCCATCGGCCAGGTGCAGTGGCTCACACCTGTAATCCCAGTACTTTGGGAGGCTGAGGTGGACGGATCACCTGAGGTTAGGAGTTGGAGACCAGCCTGGCCAACATTTCGAAACCCCATCTGTAATCCCAGGTACTTGGGAGGCTGAGGCAGGAGAGTCACTTGAACCTAGAGGCGGAGGTTTCCAAAGTGGTTGTTACAATTTACACTCCCATCAGCCATGGATGAGTCTTGGTTGCTCCACATCCTCACCAACAGTTGGTATTGTCAGTCCTTTTGATTTTATCCAGTCTGACTGGGAGGCAGTGTAGTTTTTTCATTTTTGTTTTTTGGGTTTTTGTTTTTGTTTGTTTGTTTGTTTGTTTTGAAACAGTCTCACTCCATCACCCAGGCTGGAGTGCAGTGGCACGATATTGGCTATCGACAACTTCCGCCTACTGGGTTCAAGCATTCTCGTGCCTCAGCCTCCCGAGTAGGGAGGGATTACAGGTGCCTGCCACCACGCTGGGCTAATTTTTGTATCTTTAATAGAGACAGGGTTTTGCCATGTTGGCCAGGTGAACTGCTGACCTCAAGTGATTCACCCGCCTTGGCCTCCCAAAGTGCTGGGATTACAGGCGAGAGCGACCGTGCCCAGCCAGCAGTATAGTTTTGAATTGCAAATAATTCTAATCATTTTCTTCCCTTTGCAAGGTAACAAACACCCACCTAGAAGATACACATAGGCAAAAAGAAGACAGTAAAAATACTCATCATCTCAAGCAAATCACTGTTAACATTTGATATATATCCATCTGCATGTGTATCAGTGTGTAAACTGACAAAAATGGCAACATACTACAATATTTTTTCTAACAATCTACCATGACCATCTTTCCATGTCTATGAATATTTATATACAGCATAATTTTTTAAAGCCAAATAATGTTCCGTCATATGGCTGTCCATAATTTAATCCTCTTATTCTTGAGCATTTAGACTATTGCCAATTTTTCACTATTATAAACACATTTATAATGAGTATCTTGCCACTAAATCTTTGCTTATGTCCTTTAAAATTTCCAGGAGTGGAGCTGCTTGTTAAACGGCTGGTATGCATGATTTGAAGGCTGCCAAGCTGTCCTCCCAAGCAGCTGCCTCCCCACCCTTGAGACAAAAACCTATTTCTAACCAACAATTGCCAGTTTGAAGAGGATCCTCTCTAGAACACAGGATTGCTCCTTCTCACGTGCAGGAGGCACTCCTTCCCCAAGAATGCGAAGTAAATCTATAACACAAAAGCACAGTCAGGCCAGGTGTCTTTGGGGCCGAGCAGGAGCTGTTGGGTTTCCGGAGAAGTCTAGGAAGGGAAATGTGGATCTGTGAGAGGGCAGATGCTAACCAAGTAAGTCGAAGACGCCAGAGGGGTCTCTCAGGTGAGGTCTACAGAGAGAGGTCAGGGAATAATAGTACATTGTGACTTGGCAGCTGTTGGTTCTGACAATCCATATTCCCAACAGCTCTCCTTGATCTCTATCCATTTATGTGGGAAGTTTTGCTGTATGAAAGGGGGAAGAAATGTCTGGAAGTAGATGGAAGTACTTGTGCCCCCTACTCACTCCTTCAGACTCGACATAAGCACTCTATAAAGAGAGGGACTTAGAGCAAGAATAAGCTGATGGAACAATTCAAGATGGGACTTCCCAAAATTCAGGGCCAGGCAGAGCTGCTTGAGAGCCCAGGCAAGCTGGTGTAGCTCAGAGGGAGCCAATCCAGTCCCCAGCTCTGCATGAAATGCTCTGCCTTGGGGCCCAGAAAAGCCACAGGCCCCTCATGATGGTTAAGGCAGAGGTGATGCCTTTCCAAGGGGATTCAGGGGCACAGACATGCAGAAATGGGGCCAAAGATTAAAAAAAGGCTAGAGGCTGCCTGGTGACTCCAGGGATAGACTGGTTTTGCGTGCCCTTGTGAGGCTCCTCTCAGGGACTCACAGAAAGAAATGGGACACTCTGAGGAAGGCAGAGGTCCCACTGTTGCACAGGTGGGGGCTGTGGAGCCAGCAGCCTAATGGGCTGCAGGAAGAAACGTGCATGCTGCATGAGAACACGTGGTGACTCCTGGAGGAACATGACTGGGCAGACCCTGCTAATGGTTCCCCAATGTCCATTCTCTGAGTCTTCCTTCCAGGGAGAGGCTGTCTCACCTTGAGGTTAGCCACTCTCCAGGAGGCAATATCTTTCTGCTTCTCTTTAGCTAGGTGTGGCCACGTGACTAGATCTGGCCAATGGGATGTGAGCGCAGAAGTGACGCATTCACCCTCTGGGTCATGGCACTGAAAGGAAACTGGGCCAGGCGTGGTGGCTCACACCTGTAATCCCAGCACTTTGGGAGGCCAAGGCAGGTGGATGACAAGGTCAAGAGATCGAGACCATCCTGGCCAACATGGTGAAACCCCGTCTCTACTAAAAATACAAAAATTAGCCGAGTGTGGTGGCACATGCCTGTAATCTCAGCTACTCAGGAGGCTGAGGCAGGAGAATCTCTGAACCCGGGAGGCGGAGGTTGCAGTGAGCCGGGATTAGGCCACTGCACTCCAGCCTGGCAACAGAGTGAGACTCCGTCTCAAAAAAAAAAGGAAGGAAACTGTTTATACTTTATTTTATCTCTTTCTATAAATTAGAATGTGGACATGGTAGAGCAGAATTGTCTACCTTGTGAATGAAGGTAACACTCTAGAGCAGAGTGATGATGGAAATACTACATATCTTATACATCTGCACTATCCAACATAGAACCACTAGCCACATGTGACTATTAAGCACTTGAAATATGACAAGTGCAACTGATAACTTGAATCTTTCATTTTATTTAATTTTAAATAAGTAAAAGAGCTACCTGTGGCTAGTGTCTGCAGATTTGGATAGCGTGGCTCTTGGAGATGGCAGAGCAACAAGATAGGAGGCATCTGGGTGCCTGAGGCCCCCTCAGGAAACAGAGCCTCACCTTTCCTCTAGGCTTCCTAGGCTCAGACTTTTACATGGCAGAGATATAAATATCTTTTTTTTTATAAAGATATATAAAAATAACTTTTTTTTTTTTTTTTGACAGAGTCTCGCTCTGTCACCCAGGCTGGAGTGCAGTGTGTGATCTCGCCTCACTACAACCTCCACCTCCTGGGTTCAAGCAATTCTCCTGTCTCAGTCTCCCAGGTAGCTAGGATTACAGGTGCCCAGCTAATTTTTGTATTTTTAGTAGAGACAGGGTTTCGCCATGTTGGCCAGGCTGGTCTCGAACTCCTGACCTCAGGTGATCCACCCCCCTCGGCCTTCCAAAGTGCTGGGATTACAGTTGTGAGCCACCGCACCTGGCCATATCTACCTCTTCAAAACTGTTTTTATTTGGTCTTATTAAAACAGCTGAACAAACGTCTCAACTAATATGACTTACTGCAGATCAGGGAGATTTTACAGAATGGTCTAACTAGAATTTTTAGGTGATGCAAATAGCACAAGGAGAATGTAATGAAAGGTAGGAGGTGAGAAAAATAAGAGATAGACGGAAACTCACCACAGACTAATTGATTCATTCAACGAATATCCTATAACCATTGTATTGACTATTGTTTCATAGCAAACTGTCCCACCACTTAGCAGCTTAAAATAACAAACACGTATTATTTCATAATTTCTCTGGGCCAGGAATTCAGGAGTGGTTTAGCTGGGTAATTACAGCCCAAGGTCTTTATTTTATTTTATTTTATTTTATTTTATTTTATTTTATTTTATTTTATTTTTTGAGACAGCATCTGGCTCAGGCCAGAGTGTAGTGGCATGATCACGGCTCACTGCAGCCTCAACCTCGCTGGGATCAGGTGATCCTCCAGGCTCAGGTGATCCTCCAGTCTCAGCCTCCTGAGTAGCTGGGACTATAGGTACATGACACCATGCCTTTCTAATTTTTGTATTTCTTTTTTTTTTTTTTTTTTTTTTTTGAGACGGAGTCTCGCTCTGTCGCCCAGGCTGGAGTGCAGTGGCGCGATCTCGGCTCACTGCGAGCTCCGCCTCCCGGGTTCACGCCATTCTCCTGCCTCAGCCTCCCGAGTAGCTGGGACTACAGGCGCCCGCTACCACGCCCGGCTAATTTTTTGTATTTTTAGTAGAGACGGGGTTTCACCTTGTTAGCCAGGATGGTCTCGATCTCCTGACCTCGTGATCCGCCCGCCTCGGCCTCCCAAAGTGCTGGGATTACAGGCGTGAGCCACCGCGCCCGGCCTAATTTTTGTATTTCTTGTAGAGATGGGTTTTCGCCATGTTGCCCAGGCTGGTCTCGAACTCCTGGGCTCAGGTGATCCTCCAGCCTCAGCCTCCCAAAGTGCTAGGATTACAGGGATGAGCCACTGTGCCCAGTCCCCAGGGTCTCTTATGAACTTATGCTCAAGGCATTGACTGGGGCTGCAGTCATCTGAAAGCTTGACAAGGGCTACAGATCCACTTATAAAAGGTGCACTTTCATGGCTGTTGGCTGGGGGGCCTCAGTTCCTCCTATATGGATCTTTCCCATAGGACTGCTTGAGTGTCCCCAGGGGTGGGTGATTCAAGACAGCAAGAAGCAAGTTGCATGCCTTTTATAATATGACTTAGTCTCAGAAATCACACATCACTTACACAATCCATAATATTTTAGTCATTAAAATTTACTAAGTCCAGGCCAGACATGGTGGCGCATGCCTATAATCCCAGCACTTTGGGAGGCTAAGGTGGGAGGATCACTTGAGGCCAGGAGTTTGAGACCAGGCTGGGCAACATAGTAAGACCCTGTCTCTAAAAAAAAAAAAAAAAAATTTTAATTAGCTGGGTGTGGTGGTGCACACCTGTAGTGCTAGCTACTTGGGAGGCTGAGGTGGGAGGATTTCTTGAGCTTGGGAATTTGAAGCTACAGTGAGCTATGATTGTGCCACTATACTTCAGCCTGAGTAACAGAGAGGAGATCTGTCTCTAAAAAAAAAAAAAAAAAGAGAGAGAGAGAGAGGAACTTACTAAGTCCAGTTGACACTCAAGGAAAGGGAAATTAAATTGCACCCTTTGAAAAAAGTGTCATGAAAGTTGTGCACATACTTTAAAAAAAAAAAAAAAACCACCGGGTTCGGTGCTTCATGCCTGTAATCCTAGCACTTTGGGAGGCCGAGGCGGGTGGATCACCTGAGGTCAGGAGTTTGAGATCAGCCTGGCCAACATGGTGAAACCCCGTCTCTACTAAAAGTACAAAAATTAGCCAGGTGTGATGGCACTCGCCTGTAATCCCAGCTACTTGGGAGGCTGAGGCAGGAGAATTGCTTGAACCCGGGAGGCAGAGGTTGCAGTGAGCTGAGATTGTGCCATTGCACTCCAGCCTGGGTGACAAGAGCGAAACTCTGTCTCAAAAAAAAAAAAAAACAAGTATACATTTTCTCTCTGTACCTCTATAAAACATTACTGGCAAGTGAGGAGAATTATTAGTCAATAAATATTACTGTGATAACTGATGAACCATTGGAAAAACAAAAAAAACAAAAACAAAAACAAAAACACCTTAGATTTCTACCTCACATTTTACGCCAAAATAAATTCCAGATGGTTTAAATATTTAAGTGTTTAAAACTACTGGAAAAAATTTTGATAAAGAAAATTGAAGTAGAATCCAGGTACAGTGGCTCATGTCTGTAATCCCAGGACTTTGGGAGGCCAAGGTGGGAAAATCACTGGAGGTCAGTAGTTCAAGACCAGCCTAGGCAACATAAGGAGATCTTGATTATACTACAAGAAAAAAAAAAAAAAAAAAAAAAAAAGCTGGGTGGGCATGGTGGCATGTGCCTATTGTCTCAGTTACTCAGGAGGCTGAAGAGGGAGGATCACTTGAGCTCAGGGGATCAAGGCTTCAGTGAGCTGTGATTGCACCACTGCACTCCAGCCTGGCCAGCCTAGGTGACAGAGTGAGACCCTGTTTAAAAAAAAAAGAAAAAAATTGAAGTAGAAAGGATATTAAAATATGACACTGAAGCTTAGGCAACACCAAAGAAAAGACTGATAGACGTGATTACATATGCAAATTAAATACTTCAGAAGAGAAAAAAACAAGTCAAAAGACAAATGAAAACTGAAGAGAAATATTTGCAACCTATAAGACAGACAAGAACTAAACCCTTAAATAAAGAACTTTTACAATTTCATGCAAAAACAACAACAACAAAAGGACTCCAAAACATGTCCCAGCAGTATGTCTCCTTCCCTGGGTAACTAGATTGTAACTGTGGAAGACAGCATTGTGTCTGAAATGTCTTCCTACTGCTCACAGAATGTTACACATTGTCAGTACTCAGATCGAGTCTGTTGATTGCAGCTCTTTATACCACTTCCAAAAATTCCTGTGCTTGTTTCTGTTCCTCCCCTCAAGTACTCTCCTCTTGTCTCTCTCAGAGCAATGTCATTAAGATGCTTCCTGTGCAATCTGTGACTCACAGCTAGATTATGGCACAGGCAGTGCTGATTTCAGCAAGAAACTGTCCCCAAGGCATAGATTGCGTTCCTGCAATGATGCCCAAAGAGAAAATTAAAACAGGAAAGTCTTTGCATTCATTCAGCACCTCATTCTTAGACCCTTACTATGTATCTGGAGCTGTATTTTTTATCTGAGTTGGTGCTCATGAGGGAGAGTGCAGCCAAGAGACCTGGTCGGGGGGAAAGGATGCTGGGCCAGGAGATCTGGATATAAGTGCTGGCTCTGCCGCCTGTGCTCTGGAGGACCAGATGGGTCCCTTCCAGCACTTGGCCTCAGTTTCTCCCTCTGTAGAACAACTGAGGGAACTAAGTGGTCCCATGGGCTCCTCCAGCTCTGACATCTGAGGATTCAGCTCATTTCCTCTTTTTAAAGTGTAGACTCTAATATCTGGTTTAATCATAATTGAGAAGTGTTTTGAAGTCCCTTAAGAGTCCTTGTCAGATTTTGGAACCCACTGAGAGTAAGGAAAATGTTTTCAATTACTGAAGTTATTCCTCCATTTTCTAAAAAAGACTGCTCTACTCACTTGGAAAAAGTAAAATTGCACAGATTGTAATGACTAGGGAGGCGGTAATGCGGTTAAGTGCTGGGCCTGCCCTGGTCTTCAGGTTCGCTGTGGTGGTGCATGTTGCACTGTAATTTGGAAAGTGCCTGTTGGGTTTTCAGGGGCTCAGTATTCTCTACTACTCCAGGAGTCTGTCCAGAGCAGGGCTGCCTCCAGACCTAGACAGAGTAAGCTCTGGAGTTGATTTCCAGCTCTTCCTGTCCCCAAATATCCTTCTACCTGTCTGCCATGGTGTCTGAAGTTCCTATCATTGGAGCTTCTCCTTTAAATTAAGATTTTTGGCAGCAATTAATTCTGGCTCCCCAGTGTGTAACTCCCACCACCTACTTCCACACATCCATTCCTCTTCTTCTGATCTGACCACAGAGACAGGCATGGGAGCCAGCTTGGGCCAAACATTAGACTTCATTTTCCTGGACACATGATTGGTCCAGGGATGGGCATGGCATAACCAATGCAGGGAGAGAGAGGGTCCCTGTCCCTGTGTTACTAAGCTGGGAGGGTGTTAGTCTGAGTCTTCTGCCAGCCATCATTCTTACAAGGAAAGAAACTGACTATGGAATGAGGCCAGGCAGAGGCAACAGAGATGAGTGGTGGAGAGAGAGCCATAGAAAGAGGGCACCAGGCTGGGCGTGGTGGTCCATGCCTGTAATCCTAGCACTTTGGGAGGCTGAGGCCAGCAGTCACTTGAACTCAGGAGTCTGAGAACAGCCTGGGTAACAGGGTGAAGCCCTGCCTCTACAAAAAATATAAAAATTAGCAGAGCGAGCTGGTGTGCGCATATAGTCCCAGCTACTCAGGAGGCTGAGGTAGGAGGATTGCTTGAGCCTGGGGGGCAGAGGTTGCAGTGAGCTGAGATTGTGTCACTGTACTCCGGCCTGGGTGACCAAATGAGACATCGTCTAAAAAAAAAAAAAAAAAGAAGAAGAACAACAACAACAACAAAAGGGGCACCCAAAGAAACAAGAGAGGGAGGGAAGGGAGGGGTTGGGGGGTGGAGTGGGGGGGGGAGAGAGAGAGAGGGAGAGAGAAATTTACCCTGAAGTCTTTGTTCCTATAACTCCCCCTTAAAGTCTATAAGCTACCCCATTATCCTTCTAGCTACATAAGTAAATAAATTCTCTTTTTGCTTCAGACCACTTGGATTTGAGAGAGTCCTGATTAATTGTCTCTCCAGGAGGCTCTTCTTGAACTGCAAATGTGTTATCTAGAAGGGATGACACATGGAATCAGTAATGTTGATGAGCTTTTCATATAAGCTGTGAATAGTACATAGAACAGATAAGTTTTGACAAGGAAGATAAAGTAAGGGCATTGCTAGAGAAATCAGGCATTGTAGAGAAGGGCAGAACCCCTGAACACTGCTGGTAGAAATGTAGAGTGGCGCAGCCACTGTAGAAAAGAGTCTGGCAGTTCCCCAAAAGATTATACATATGTTACCATATGCCCAGCAATTCTACTCCTAGGTGTATACTCAAGAGAACGGAAAACATATTTTCTTTAATTTTTTTTTTTTTTTGTAGGGCTGGGGCTCTTGCTGTGTTGCCCAGGCTGGTCTCAAAAGCCTGGGTTTAAGCGATCCTTCCACCTCGGTCTCCCAAAGTGCTGGGATTACAGGTATAAGCCACAGCATCTACCCTGGAAACATATTTTCATACAAAAACCTGTGCATAAATGTTCACAGCAACATTACGTATAATAGCCAAAACAGTAGAAACAATCCAATTGCTCATCAGTGAATGAATGTATAAACAAAATATGGTTTATCCATACAACAGAATGTTATTCAGCAATAAAAAGGAATGAAGTTTTGATACATGCCATGACACAGATGAACTTTAAGAATATCATGCTAAGCAAAAGAAGCCAGTAACAAAAGGCAACAAATTGCATGATTCCATGTATATGACATGTCTAGAATGGGCAAATCCATAGAGACAGAAAGTAGATTAGTGGTTGCTGGGGCTAGAGAGAGAGAGGAATGGAGAGTAGCTGCTAATGGATATACAGTTTCTTTTGGGACATTAAAATGTTCTGGAATTAGATAGTAGTGATGGTTGTACAATCTTGTGAATATACTAAAAAACAGTGGCATGTATACTTGAAAAGGATGAATTTTGGGTACATGAGTTACATCTAATCCAACTCTTTTTTTTTTTTTTTTTTTTTTTTTTTGAGACAGGGTTCAACTCTGTTGCCCTGGCTGGAGTGCAGTGTTGCAATCACAGCTCACTGTAGCCTCAATCTCCTGGGCTCAAGTGATCCTCCCACCTCAGCCTCCTGGATAACTGGGACTACAGGCATGTGCCACCATGCCCAGCTAATTTTTCTATTTTTGTAGAGACAGAGTTTCACCATTTTGCCCAGGCTGGTCTTGAACTCCTGAATGCAAGTGATCCGCCCGCCTCAGCCTCCCAAAGTGCTGGGATTATAGGCGTGAGCCACGGAGCCTGGCCTAATTCAATTTTTTTTTTTTTTAAGTATCATTGCTCTTCTTATTCTGATCATTCCCTTTTTTATATCACAGTATCCAGAGTACATTTTGTGGTTTGACTCTGATTCTCCTTTAGACATCCCTCCCCCAGCCCCACTTCCACACTTAGTCCTCCAAAATACTTAGAATCTTTGGGACACTGCCTGGTATGAATAAGATCTGGGGCTAATTTCCCTTTCAAAGGAGCTGGACCCTTTTTTACTCGCTCAGCTATTTTGCTGGGGGTAAAGGACCGGTCTTATCAACTCAAAAGGGACAGGCAGCAGTGGACTGAAACTAATCCACAATTTTGTTTAAATTTACTTGTCAAAAGCAGAAATATTCAATTTCATGGATACTCCCAATTCCCTGCACTGGGAGCAGACTTCCAGGAAGCAATTATGTAGTATAAAACGTAATGGGCAACAGGGGGTGCCTGGTGAATTATTCATAATCTGATAATGATTTTAACCCATTTTTAACATGACCTGCTATTGGTGTTAGCTTCTGGAAAGTTCTCAAAGTAAACAACACAGAGGTTTTCTTTAGTTATGTTTATATAACCATAAACCTCCTGCCTCTCCCTGAAACTACCTGAATAATTAAAATCAAAAGAGGCCTGGGGACCCTTTTCCTGCCCAAGTCTACAAGGCAGAGGTAAAGGCTGCTTTACGGCCTTCATCTAGCACAGCCATCACTGCTCACTGCAGCCTTCTCAGGGAGGTTGGTGTGGCATCATGCCCAGCATAGTGCCTGGCACCAAGAAGGCACACAATACTCATCTGTTTTTGATTGCTGAATGAATGAATGAATGAATGAATGATAGAAAGAATGAGATATTTGTGCTAAGGAAGAGTTGGGCCAGTCGTTTTGCTGCTTACCAGCTGATCTGAGCAAATGTCTTGCCCTCAATTTCTTTATCTACAAAATGAAGACAATAATACCTGCCCTGCTGAGTTACTGGAAGAATTTGAGAAGATAAATGCTCAATAAGCAATAGATGTTATTATGGTCTCTCTTTCTAATAGCAGCCCTATAACTTCCCCACATTTGATTAACTATGAGTCAGCAGAAGCTTACTTAGGAGCCAAAGTTTCCCCAACCTGGCTGTGTATCTGAAACACCTGGGGAGGTTTGTAAGACATAAATTTGCAGGTTTTTCCTCCAGGGATTCTGATTCAGTATGGATTCAGTAGGGTGGGGCCAGAGAATGTATTTTTTTAGTTTTGTTTTTAAAATTAAGGTAAAATTGCAAACCATGAAATGCAAAAATCTTCAGAGTATAACTGGATGAATTTAAACAAATGTATACACTTGCATGTCCAACACCCCAATGAAATATAGAACATTTCCGTGACCCCAGAAGATTTCCCCTTCTGCTCAACCCCTATCCTGCATAGACAACCACTGTTCTGATTTCTGACACCACAGAGTACTTTTGCCTGTTCTTTAAAGTAGTATTAATGGAATCATACAATATGCATTCTTTTCTGTTCACAGTTTCACTTACATCAAAAAAAAAAAAAAGAAAAAAATCATTTTTCTATGTGCCTGGTTTCTTTTGCTTCTCTTATGTTTCTGGGAATCAGCCATGTTGCTGCGTGTGTCATATCAACAGTACAGTCCTTGTTACTGCCAAATCATATTCAGCTATCTGGCTATTTCTCAATTTGTTTATCTCTTCATCTATATGGGCCTTTGAGGTTTGTTTCAGGCTATCATGAATAAAGCTACTATAAATATGTTTTCATTTATCATGAGTAAATACCTAGGAGTGGCTGGGCGCAGTGGCTCATGCCTGTAATCCCAGCACTTTGGGAGGCCGAGGCGGGTGAATCACCTGAGGTCAGGAGTTCGAGCCCAGCCTGACTAACATGGTGAAATCCTGTCTCTACTAAAAATACAAAAATTAGCTGGGTGTGGTGGCAGGCACCTGTAATCCCAGATACTCAAGAGACTGAAGGAATTCTGTGGTGCTTCCAAGGGAAAGTGGGCAGGGCCCAGGAGACTCCTCAGACTCAGGAAATGGGAAAATGGGAGTCAGAGTTAGGTCCCATACCTGTGATGGGAGACAAAAAGTTGTCAAAATACAACCATTTTATTCCAAGGGTCATGCTGGCTGTTGGCTCAGGAATTATATATATATACACACACACACATATATATATACACACACACATATACATATTTTTTTTCCTTTTTTCTTTCTGAAATTGCATTTCCTTTTGGGACTATTACAATTTCTCAGTAGGGGAGAAGACATTGGGTAATCAAAGTGATGCTGTGGTCCAGTATTTCCCAAAGGGTGATACAGGATGGTTTCAGAGGTTATAGAGATAAATATGATTAAAAGTAAGTGTTATAAGCTGGGCGTGGTGGCTCACGCCTGTAATCCTAGCACTTCGGGAGGCTGAGGCAGGCAGATCACTTGAGGTCAAGAGTTCAAGACAAGCCTGGCCAACATGATGAAACCCTGTCTCTACTAAAAATACAAAAAAATTAGCCAGGCATGGTGACACGTGACTGTAATCCCAGTTACTCAGGAGGCTGAGGCTGGAGAATCACTTGAACCCAGGAGGCAGAGGTTGCAGTGAACCAAGATTGTGCCACTGCACTCCAGCCTGGGTGACAGAATGAGACTCTGTCTCCTAAAATAAAAAAGTGTTCTAGTACATAGTGGTAAAAATAAAACTAGTACATTAAATATGTGATTTCTTGGACATACTGCCTGGCATGAAGCCAAGTTGAAAAGCGAATTCAATTTTCAGAAGCATACTAAGTATATAAAAAATACAGGTGACACCCAGGTATGACAAAAATTATGATGGTGGATATGAGTGGCTGAGATGATAGAAAATTACACCAGTCAAACCATGCATTTAACAGATGAGGAATCTGAGGCCCTGCCATGCAAGAGACTTACTCAAGGTCAGACCTCATCAGGGCTAAAAACAGATGACAAAATTCCCTGGTTCCTGGCCCAGTGCTTACTCCAATATGCCTGCTACTGCCCTCTTGTGAGAAGGGGAAGAGATCTCAACACCCATGCAGCCTAGCCCCTAGATTCAAAGTCAAATGCATTTTCAGAAATAGCCTGCAGTTTGCTTAGAGTTAATAAGGTAGAAGGAGATTTCTAAGGAATGAACACCAAGATCTTGGTAATTCTCTTCATATGAATTCTCTGGGGGAGCAAAGTGTGCATCTGGGTTCCTACCACTGCCTCCCATCCCTCCAGAAGACTGCAAATGGCCCCTCGGACAAAGCCAGCAGACCCATGCTTGAGTGCCCCGGGCAGAGCGTCTACCCCTGCATAGGCCCTGGGAGGCCACATAGAGGGCCTTGATTGTTCATAGAAACCACTTCAAGCAGCTGGAAAGGTGTAAGGGCACACCTTCTCAGATGCCTGTCTCAAATTCTTTTTCTTTTCTTTTTTTAAAAATTATTATTTTTTTAGAGTTGGGGGTCTTACTGTGTTGGCTAGGCTGGTCTTGAACTCCTGGGCTCAAGTGATCCTTGCCCTTGATCTCCCAAAGTGCTGGGCTTATAGGCGTGAACCATCATGCCCAGCCTCAGATGCCTGTCATCTTTGAATCTTTATGGATCCAATAGGGAGACTCAGAGGAGATGACTCTTAGAATTTTAGCATTTTCAGATCCCATAGCTCTGAGAGGCAAAAGGGTAGGCTCTGGAAATGCAAGCATGCACTTGAACTTCTTCAGCTGGAAAATAGAACCCACAATGGGAGTGACTCTCTCCATGTTTCATAAGTCTTTCTCTTCTCCCATCTGTGTCTCTTGCTGAGGTGTCCCCCACCTCTACAGTCTGGGAGCCATTCATTCTTCCTTTGTGTTACTGTCAGGGTTTGGGCTGGTATGTAGCTTGTTGAACCCATCCCTCAAAGGAAGGCTAAGGGATCTGAGCATGCAGCACTGATCTAACCCCAAAGGATATATAGTGAGTTATACCACATACAAGTTTTTCCCAATCAACCTTACAAAAGCTCAGCATTGAGGGGAGCAGCCCTTTATCCTGGGGCCACATCAGGATATATGAACTCTCCCACTCCCACTCCTGTCCTTGCCATGGTTTGCATGTGTCTCCCCAAAAAGCATTGTATTGGAAACTTAATCCACGGTGCCACAGTGTTGGGAGATGGGGCCTAATGGGAGATGTTTAGGTCATGAAGGCTCCACCCCCATGAATGAATGAATGCCAATTATAAAAGGGCTTGAGGCTGCAAGTTCCATCTCTTGCTCTTTGGCTCTCTCCCACACTTTCTTGCTTTCCACCTTTTGCCATGGGAACAAGAAGGCCTTTGCTACACTCAGGACCCTTGACCTTGGACTTCCCAGAACAGTAGAAATAAACCTATGTTCTTTATAAATTACTCAATCTTAAGTATTCTATTGTAGTAGCACACAACAGACTAAGATAGGAGACATAGTAAAATATAACACATCTAAGTTTCCCCAATCAACCTTACAAGAGGGGGAAAGCACTTTATTGAATATTGAGTGGGACAGCACTTTATCCTGGGGCCACATCAGAGTGCATGTGTGAACCCTGCTCCATCCCACCTCCTGTGTTTGCTGTGGTCTTTGGGAATAGGACCCCTAAGAATTTGAGAGCAGATAAATTTTAAAAAATAACTACAGCTCCAAAGCTTCTCCTGTCCTTTGGAGGCTCACAATGAAGATTCCTTTGTTTAGCAAAGCACTTAATGTATTTTGAGACTATGCCAAGGTAGGCTCAGGAGTTTGATTTGGATGGAAGCTGAAAACTGAATACTTCTGCATTAGAAAGTAACAAGGAATTTCAGGGTGCACCCTGGGGGAGAAGTCAATGAGCAAACAATGCAACATCCTTAGTCTGAGCCCTGGAAGACTGAGAAATGATTCTGTTGGAGCATAAGTTGGTCTTGTGAGCTATGGGATGTTCCCCATCTGTCACCCCCAGACCTTCAGTAAAACCTGCTGTATACAGTAGCCTGGTGTTGGTGGTGACTTGGGGTCATGCATGAAGTGAGTGGGACTCACTTGAGGTCAACCTCAAAGACTGACCTTAAGAGTCGGGACTGAGGCTGGGTGCAGTGGCTCACACCTGTAATTCCGACACTTTGGGAGGCTATGGTGGGAGGATGGCTTGAGCCCAGGAGTTCAAGACCAGGCTGGACAAGGTGATGTGACCCTGTTTCTACAAAAAAAAAAAAAAAAAAAAAAAAAAAGCCAGGCATGGTGGTGCATGCCTGTAGTCACAGCTACTCCGGAGACTGAGGTGGGAGGATCACTTGAGCCTAGGAGTTCAAGGCTGCAGTGAGCTATGATCCCGCCACTGCACTCCAGTCTGGGCAACAGAGCAAGACTCTATCCCCACAAAAATTTTGTTTTAATTTTTAATTTTAATTTTTTGCATGTTCTCACTTATTTTTGGGATCTAAAAATCAAAACAAACTCATGGACATAGTAGGTAGTAGGGGGAAGGCGGGGGTTGGGTAATGGGTACAAAAATAGAAAGAATGAATAAGACATACTATTTGATAGCACAACAGGGTGACTCTAGTCAATAATATAAATTTTTAAAAATTATATATTTATTTATTTATTTATTTTAAAGAGTTGGGACTGAGCTGGAGCATAGGCCATAAGATTGCCTCTCAGGAGCAGAAGTGAGACTGTGAAAGTAAGAAAGCAGGGGTAGGGCTGGGTGGGATGAGGTGAGGGAGTGAAGGGCACATACCTAGGGGAGTTTCACTTTGCAAGGGTGTTCTAGATGCTGGGATTGTCTGCCTTCTGCAACCACAGAGGGCTAGCCAGAAACCAGGGAGCCTCCTTGTCTGTACTCTGATCCCATCCTTGGGCTTAGTTGATTAGTCCAGGTATGGGAACCTCTGACCTGGGCCATTAAGCCTCTTCCCTTGGTTTCTGTCTCTTAGACTTCAAGAATGCTTGAGGTCAGGCTGTCTCCCATGACTGAGGCAGTGAAAGGTAAAATTCATAGGATCTGTCCACAGCCATGCTTTCTGTCATGTGGGAAAAGCTAGCCGGGCATGGTGGCTCAAGCCTGTAATCTCAGCACTTTGGGAGGCCGAGGTGGGTGGATCACCTGAGGTCAGGAGTTCGAGACCAACTCAGCCAACATGGTGAAACCCTGTCTCTACCAAAAATATAAAAATTAGCCAGGTGTGGCAGCGGGCGCCTATAGTCCCAGCTACTTTGGGAGGCTGAGGCAGGAGAATCGCTTGAACCCGGGAGGTGGAGGTTGCAGTGACCCGAAATCATGCCGTTGCACTCCAGCCTGGGTGACAGAGTAAGACTCTGTGTCAAAAATAGTAATAATAGTAATAAAATTTAAAAATTAAAAGAAAAGAAAAGCTGCTGCAAGGAGAGGAAAGGAAGCTGACGTCTGAGAGGGATGCAGAGAGAAGAGACGATAACTGAGTCTTGGTGACTTTCAGGCCTCAGAGCTCCAGCTGCAGCTCTGCCCAGAGCACCCTTTTCCCTAAGCTGCTGAACTTTGGTCTCTGCCACTTGCATCCAAAGTGCCCAATGGACACCAAGCACCTCCTCCTCACCCCCTTCATCTGGTGAACCCCTCTGGCTGGAAGTGGGGAGCTTGAGTGAGGACAGAAGCAAGTGTCCATCCCAGAATTGGGGTCCCTCATTTCTTTCTCTTCACCGTGCTTAACATGATCCAAAATTACATGTATTTACTTAATTGCTTACGTGTTTACATTGATCACCCCTGCACCCCCCAAAAATGTAAAGTTCCATTTTGTCTTGTTTAACTTGGTATCCCTAGTGCCTGGCACATCATAGGTGCTCATGAGTCATTGAATGAACAAATGAATGTACAAAGAAGATGGCTTGAAATCAGACCACTGAGACCCCCAACGAGGTCACAATTGCAGGAGAAACATCTCAGTGCCAGGCACTGAGCCTGGGATGTTTGAAATTTCTGTGCCCAAGCTGTGTGCCCTTTGGGGCGTGTGTGTATGCTGGGTACAAGGCCAGATACACAATCAATGCTATAGAAACCACAGATAAAGGGCCAGGGAGCTGAGTGTGACAATGGGCTGTTGGGAGAAGTTCCATGCAGATTACAAAGGGTTCAGAAAGGACAGGGGCATTGAAAGGCAGCTGTAATTAGAAAGCATAGGCATTCAAAGCTGCCTGGAGGTCAGAGGGGCTGGGCTGGCAGGCTGGGGAGATCGGGCAGGAAATGGGCACGGAAGCCCTGCAGTTCAGGGCTGACATAATTGGACAGAGAGCGGCAGCCAGTTACCATGGTAACAGCCAATCCGAGTGGCCGCGTATGTGGCAAGGAGTCAAGGTTTCTAAAGAAGGGGCTAAAAATGCTGCCTTTGTTCCCACTTTGAGCGAGTTGCCATCAGATCCCTGTGGGGGTGACGTGGCATGGGGACAGAGCCAACAACTGCTAGCCACCATGGCTGGGAGGGAGCCACGTGAGGACCCAGGGGACTGGCTGGGGCTGGGGAAGCTAAATATGTCATTCCATGGAGCTGGCTGTGCCTCCCAACATAAAGCAGCGGCCAATGGCCTGGGATTCAGAGTCTGAGAGTCCAGGGCTCAGATTGCAGCGTGGCCTCTTAGCAGCTATGTGACCTCAGTTTCCTTACATACAAAATGGGACTACTAACACCTTTTTCGCAGGGCGGTTGTAAGGATGGAGAGAAGTGATGCATGTCACACATTCACTTAGTGAGTGGTAGATGCTGTTGTTGTTATTCTGACAGACAACAACAGCAGCTCCTCCAAAAGGCTCTTAGCTTCTGGGGAGTAAAAGGCAGGTTTTGCTTCTTCAGGAGTTTCTTTAGGGGTACCAAAAAGGCAGTTGATAGAAACTAAAAAACTCCAGGAGGTGACCAGCTAGACTAACCAAGTGGTATTTAAAAAGAAAACATTCTTTAGGCAGGCTTGAGAGCTGTGAGATATCAGAGAATCCTGCTCCTTTGTTCTTTTGTCCAATTTGTGGGCCTGGACAGGACACAAAGACAAGGCCATCCCTCCCCTCTCCTTCCACAGTGCGGAGAGAAAGCAGAGAAGATCCTGACATGAGTGCTTCCTGAGACTTTTTTTTTTAATTTTTTTTTTTTTTTTTTTTTTTGAGACAGAGTCTCTCTCTGTCCCTCAAGCTGGAGTGCAGTGGCGCGATCTTGACTCACTGCAACCTCCACTTCCTGGGTTCAAGCAATTCTCCTGCCTCAGCCTCCCAGGTAGCTGGGATTACAGGTGCAGGCTGCCACGCCCAGCTAATTTTTTGTATTTTTAGTAAAGACGGGGTTTCATTATTTTGGCCAGGCCAGTCTCGAACTCCTGACCTCAGGTGATCCACCTGCCTCGGCCTCCCAAAGTGCCGGGATTACAGGCGTAAGCCACCACGCCCGGCCTTTTTTTTTTTCTTTAACTTTTAAGTTCAAGGGTGCATGTGCTGGTTTGTTGCATAGGTAAACATGTGTCATGGGGGTTTGTTGTTCAGATTATTTCATCACCCAGGTATTAAGCCTAGTACCTGTTAGTTATTTTTCCAGATCCTCTTCTTAAGATTTTCAAGTGAGGAAGTGAAATGAGGGTGGAAAGGCAGAGGAGGGTGCTTTGCTTAGAGACCAGGACAGGTCAGAGACAGGGCATAGGCACAGCTGTGGACTGACCACCCCCTGCCTCCCCAGCCAGAAGTGCCGGGAAATGCAGACATCCCTATTTGGACTCTGGTGCAGTCCTCTGTTGCTATGGCAACTCAGGGGCTCTGTGGTTGGTGGAAGAAGGCAGTGGCTGTGTGGAAATCGGCATTGGAGGCAGCAGCTGTGCCCTTTTGCTCCAGCAGTCTGGGTATTTCTGATGGGGGCAGGGTGGGGATACTCCCTCTGCCATCTCAGGAAGCCACACAGGAGACCCCTGGACTCCACGGCCAATGCCTCTGGCTCAGATCAGCTCCCACCCAGACTCCCTCACAGGGAGGAACCAGGCTTCTGTATGGAGTGGCAATTCCCTTGGCACCCCTACCTTGAGTATCTCCTCAGACCATATATTCCCCTGGGATTTCCTCTTCATTTTCCTCATTGATTCATTCATTCATTTGTTCATTCATTCAGCAAGTATATACCGCACAAAATGCTGGGCCAGAGCAGTGAAAAAGACAGACGAGGCTCCTGCCTTCAGGGAGCCTCCAGTTTAGTTGGGGAGAACACAGCACACAAATAAGTAGAAAGAGAGAGAGACTCAGATGCTAATAAACAGGCGACATGATCCAGAGAAATTAAGGCTGGACTGATTTAGAATGAATGGTCAGGAAAGGTCTTTCTGAAGTTGAGAAGGAGCTACAGGTGTTGGGAGTGGTCCAAGGAAGAGCAAGTGCAAAGGCTCAGAGCGGCGGGCCATGGCATTAGGGGCAGAGAAATGAGGGGGTCAGGGGCAGCAGCAGAAGCCAGGGCTGGAGAAAGGCGGGCTGGGATAAGCAGAGCCTTGTCATGGAGTCTGGTTTTCACTCTGAAGGCAATAGGAAGCACTGGTTGCCTTTAAGCACAAGAGGGGAGTGATCCCACTGATGCTTTTAAATGCTCCCTCTGCTAGCCTAGGGGACAATGGACTTCCTGCAGGAAGGCAAGAGTTGAAGCAGGGGACCCATGAGGAAACCACTGCGCTGGCCCAGGTGAGAGCTGAAGGGCTGCCTGTGCTGGTATGGATGGAGACAGAGGATTTGCAGGTAAGCCCAGCAGGACTTGCTGAGGGACCGAGGGTGGAGGACAAGGAAAAGGGGACTCAAGGATGACTCCCAGAGTCTGATTGAAACTTGGGTGAGTGGAGGTGCCATCTGTGAAGGGAGGGATGATAGCAGAGGCGGGGGAGAAATTGCACTGCATCTCAGCTCTGTTGGCCTGGATGACACATTCAAGTTATCCAAGAGCATCTTTCATTTTCACCATGAAATCCCTGAGAACTGAAGCATTTTATAAGCAACATTTCTAAAGTGTTAAGTCGAAAGGAAGCTTTCTTACAACACACTAACAGGGAAGAAAGTAATTATGTTAAAAGCTAACTGTTGGATGTCCTAGGTTGGTGGCACAACTCACTTAGGGCAATACCTGCTCTTTTGTAAGATAAACACCTTGATGGGTCATTTTCCGGTGTGGAAGGTGAGATCCTCTTGGACATGATGTGAACTAACTTACTACCTGCCAATCTCTGTGTTCACTGTTTTCAATACATTCTAATTTAACCTCTGTTTTTTATATATTATAATAATAATAATTGTTATTATTATTGTTATTACAGGTGTGAGCCACTGCACCCAGCCAAGAGGAAAATGTCTAAATAAATTATAGTATGTCCATACAATAAAATAGTAATGTGATCATTGTAGAGAATGAAATAGATCTATATACTTTAAGTGGGATTATGTCTAAAACAAAATGTTAAATGAAAAAAGCAAGTTGTAGAGTACACAGAATATGGTCTCATGTAGGAAAACAACAAAAATGACCTCTCCATTAAAAAAATAGTCTCAAGGCTGGGAGCGGTGGCTCGTGCCTATAATCCCAGAACTTTGGGAGGCCAACGCAGGCGGATTGCTTGAGCTTAGGAGTTCGAGACTAGCCTGGGTGACATGGGGAAACCCCATCTGTACACTTGATCTTATCCAAAAGGCCAAGAAGCATTGGGAATCCCATCTCTAAAAAATATTAGCTGGGCATGGTAGCATGCACCTGTGATCCCAGGTGCTTGGGAGGCTGTGGCGGGAGGATTGCTTGAGCCTGAAAGGCGAAGGTTGCAGTGAGCCTGCACTCCAGCCTGGGTGACAGAGTGAGACTGCCTCTCAAAAATAAATAAATAAATAAAAATAAAAAATAAAAAAGTCTCAAAACACACAAAATATCAAATGGCTACAGTGCGTACTTTTTTTTTTTTCTTTTTTGAGTCGCCCAGGCTGGAGTGCAGTGGCGCTATCTCTGCTCACTGCAACCTCCGCCACACAGGTTCAAGCAATTCTCCTGCCTCAGTCTCTCAAGTAGCTGGGATTACAGGCATGCGCCACCACTCCTGGTTAATTTTTGTATTTTTAGTAGAGATGGAGTTTCACCATGTTGGCAAGGCTGGTCTTGAACTCCTGACCTCAGGTAATCCGCCCACTTCAACCTCCCAAAGTGCTGGGATTACAGGCGTAGGCCACTGCACCCGGCTTACAGTGAATACTTCTGAATAGAGAGAGTAAACTTGGGTTTGGGAATTCAAATGGGCTTTTACTTTAATTGTATTGTTTGACGTTTTTATCCAGCAGGAATACATTTGTGTGTTTCCTGTGTAATTTAAAAACTCTAAAAATAAATGCATCCCCAAGTGATGTGCAGAAGGCTGGCACTGGTTGACCCCAGACCTGCCCTTCCTGCAGGTGATGAGCTTCCGAATCAGCCTGAGTAGACATGGGCCGAAGCCCTCCCACCCCAAGTCAGACAGTTTCAGTTTGGCGGGATCCAAATCCCTCCTGCCCTTTAAGGATCTCAAGCACACAGGTCCGTCATAGTTCAGAACAGTCACATAGTGAAGCTGGGCTTCAAGATAAACTGTTGACTGAAAAAGCAAGGTGGGGAAACATACAAGGCACAAGACATTGTGAATAGAATTCCACTATTTGAATGAAAATAAAAACCACAAACTTGCAGACTTGTATATGCACAGACTATTTCTAGAAACCAGTAACAGTGATTGCTGTGGCTGGAAGATGAGTGGGAAGGAGCAGCTTTATCTTAAGCACTCTTGTACCTTTGGAATTTTGAAATATTTTGTGTTACCTAATTCAAAATAAGTAACTTCAAAGAAAATGTTTAAAAAATTGGTCCACCAAGGGCCCTTTTCTATTAATAAATTGTGAAAAACATGGTTGAGGGAATGGCCCCCATGACTTAGGGACCCGGGGCCACTGCCAGGATGATATTAATACAAGAGGAGCCCAGGGGCAGTGGCTCTCGCCTGTAATCCCAACACTTTGGGAGGCCGAGGCGGACGGATCACTTGAGATCAGGAGTTCGAGACAAGCTTGGCCAAAATGGTGAAACCCTGTCTCTACTAAAAATACAAAAATTAGCCAGGTGTGGTGGCGGGTGCCTGTAATCCCAGCTACTCAGGAGGCTAAGGCAAGAGAATCACTTGAACCCAGGAGGCGGAGGTTGCAGTGAGCCAAGATTGCACCACTGCACTCCAGCCTGGGCGAAAGAGAGAGACTCTGTCTCAAAAAAAACAAAACAAAACAAAACCAACAAACAAAAAACCAAGAGGATACTATCTTAGGTAATGACAGTTTCTCCCAATGCACATTGGAATGCCCTTTCAGTGATCCAGAAATAACCTTGATGCTGTGAGAGAGCACCTCTGCAGGCATCTCATCCCTTATTTTCCCTTCAGGACTTCTAGGATAATGGAATATTAATTTATTATTATTTTAGACTGTAGGTGGTTCGTACAATGGGATTGACATTTCCAAAATGTAGCTGAGAAAGCTTCCTGTTGTTGCCTGCCCAGGAAACATAATATCATCATTATCATTATATTATTATTATTATTTAGAGATGGGGTCTCGCTCTTTGCTCTTTTGCCCAGGCTGGAGTGCAGAGGTACAATCATGGTTCTCTACAGCCTCAACTTCCCAGGCTCAAGCCACACCCAGCTTTTTTTTTTTTTTTAGAGACAGGATCTGGCTATGTTGCCCAGGTTGATCTCAATCTCCTGGGCTCAAGCAATCCTTCCCACTCAGCTTGCCAAAGTGCTGGGATTACAGTGGTGAGCCACCATGCCTGGTGGGAACAGTATTATATACCCAGTCACTCCAATTCTTTTGTGGATGAGCCAGGACCTAAATAAATATACATAAGTAAATAAATATACCCTACCATGTATCAAATGAAGCTTATACTAATGTCATGTTCCAGTTTAAATATCATAAACCACCATCCTTTGAGAGAGTATACATGCACACACACACACACACCCCCACACATGATTCTTCACAAGTAACTGCTCTTCCAGCCGGGTACTAAGGAAAATAGGAAGCTCTTGAAGGGTTTTAAGCAAGGCAGTGACCCAGTCAGATCTGCATTATTAAATGACCTCTCTGCCTGCCATGCAGAAAATGGAAGTGATCATAGTGAGACCAGAGTGGGTAAGGGGAGAAGACCGGAGGCTGCTGCAGTGGTCCAGGCTACATATGACGGTGGCGAGGATGCGAGAGTGGGTTGATGGGGTAATAAACGTGCTTTACAATTTGTAAAATGCCTTACTATGGACTCACTGTGACCACCCTGTCCCTGGAACCACCCTTTGCAGCTCCACCCCATGCTCCAGTCCAGGCAGAGATGACAGGTTCTCCTTCAAACAGCTGAGGAAAGAGGTGGAGGCTGATGCTCAGGTTGCTGCAGTTCCTGCAAGTCACATGGAGTGTGGAGGAAACTTCAGCCTGTGCAGGAGTCTGGAGCTGCTCAAGATTGCATATCTCTAATGTGTCAATGATAAAGGAGCTTTTGAAAATGATATGTAGTTGAAGGCAGAGTGAGGCAGAGTTTCAGACAGAAGGGCAGGACTATCTCCTTTTTCACTGCATTTATTTCAACCCAAACTCAGCTCTCTTCCAAAGTCCCTGGTGTTCAGCCCCAAGACAAGCTCCGATGGAGCTGCAGGGCCAGAGACCAGTAGCATCCTAGCTCGTGTAAGAGGGAGAAGACCTGGCTTCTAGTCCTTGACTTCTTCACTAACCATCTTTCATGAGCCTGGGGCTTATCACTTCACCTCTTTGGACCTCAGTTTCTGCATCTGTAAAATGGTGATTATCATCCCTCTTGTAGAAATCAACATAAACAAATTATCACATGCTTTTCTTCTTGTCACATGAAAAGCAACAATCTCATAAAGCGGCAGTTTTTCAGGGAGTGTTCTGGGTGCCCTGTAGTGAATGATGAGGAGGGTCGGTGGTGAGACCCTTGACCCTTCCATTCTCTGCTTCAAGGAGGACAGCTCCACTCTTTAATAGATTGGGATTCTGAGTAAGATTTCATTGAAACAATGGGTTCTGCTGCAAAGAACAAAAACAAAAACAATTTGAAAACCACTGTTACAGAGCACTTTTCACTAGGCAATTCAGACATCTGACCTTAATCCAAGGATGGCAAATAGAGCCACTGCCACATCCTGTGCCTGTTTCTGACATTAGTAATCAATCACAGACTCTTTTTAGTAAAGCCTCAGAATTATTTGCAACACACAATACTTCTAGCAGTCTGTTCCTCAGATGGCATATGAAATAAAACCAATTTTCCACTCTTTGCATTTATTTATTTTTAAGAAATGGGGTCTCCCTATGTTGCCCAGGCTATAGTGCAATAGCTATTCCTGAATGTGATCATGGCACGCCACAGCCTCCAACTCCTGGGTTCAAGTGATCCTCCTGTCTCAGCCTTCCTAGTAGCTGTTACTACAGGTTTGCATCACCAGCAAGGGCTCAATTTTTAACTCTTTCAATTATTCATTGTAGATAGACCTTGAGTGTTCAGTTGAACTGAGAGCAACAGCTGCTTTAAAACTTCATTTGGATAAATAAGTTTTAAGGAAAGATTCAAGTCTGTTTTCAATGTGTTTTACTAACATATACATTATAAAACAAGATTGATTACTTTTGATCAGTTACAGATTGTCCTTTGTGCTAATATGCCCCACCTACCTCCATTTTACATATGCAAATCATACTCATCCTTTAAAGTCCAACTCCAGCACCACCTAGCTACTTCCTCCATGAAGGTGAATTTTCTTCTCTGAGTTTTCACAGCTTTATCTACTTTGCTCATGGCTTTTATTTTATTTATTATTATTATTTTTTCCAGGACGGAGTCTCACTCTGTCAACCAGGCTGGAGTGCAGTGGTGAGATCTCGGCTACTGGCACTGCACCTGTAGTCCCATCTCCTGGGTTCCAGCAATTCTCCTGCCTCAGCCCCCCAAGTAGCTGGGACTACAGGCGCATGCCACCACGCCTGGCTAATTTTTGTATTTTTAGTAGTGATGGGGTTTCACCATGTTGGCCAGGCTGTTCTTGAACTCCTGACCTTGTGATCCACCTGCCTCAGTCTTCCAAAGTCCTAGGATTACAGGCATGAGTCACTGAGCCCGGCCTGCTCATGGCATTTAATGCTTTGTATTATTGTTTTCTTGTTTTTTTGAGACGGAGTTTTGCTCTTGTTGCCCAGGCTGGAGTGCAGTGGCACGATCTCGACTGACTGCAACCTCCGCCTCCCGGGTTCAAGCGATTCTCCTGCCTCAGCCTTCCGAGTAGCTGGGATTACACGTACCTGCCACCACACCCCAGCTATTTTTTTTTTTTTTTTTTTTTTTTTAGTAGAGACGGGGTTTCATCATGTTGGACAGGCTGGTCTCGAACTCTCGACCTCAGGTGATCCACCTGCCTTGGCCTCCCAAAGTGCTGGGATTACAGGCATGAGCCACTGCGCCTGGCCTGTTTTCTTGTCTTAATAAATGCTATATGTTTCTGAAGGGTAGCAGAATATGCCACCCCACAATATACCACTTTAGGCCTAAGAATTATTTTGAGCTGAAGACAAATGAGAAGTAGTTACAAGAAAAGCTCTCTGTCCCTCCTCTATGCTATGATTTGAATGTTTGTCCCCTCCAAAACTCATGTTGAAATTTAATTGCCATTGTAACAGTATTAAGAGGTGAGACCTTTAAGAGGTGATTTGATTATTGTATTATTTCGTTTTCACTTTGCTATAAATAACTACCTGAGACTGGGTAGTTTATGAAGAAAAGAGGTTTAATTGACTCAGAGTTCCACATGGCTGGGGAAACTTACAATCATGGCAGAAGGTGAAGAGGAAGCAAGGCACATTACTCCCATGGTGGAGCAGGAGAGAGAGAGTGCACGTGAAGGGGGAAGTGCCACACACTTTTAAACCAGCAGATCTCATGCGATCTCACTCACTATTATGAGAACAGTAGGGGGGAAATCTGCCCCCATTATCCAATCACCTCCTACCAGACCCTTCCTTCAATTCAACATGAGATTTGGGCAGGGACACAAATCTAAACCATATTAGTCATAAAGGCTCCACCCTCATGGTTGGGATTCGTGCCATTAATAAAAAGATGAATTTGACCCTCTCTTGCCCTCTTGTCTTCCTCCATGTGATGACACAGCAAGAAGGTTCTTGCTAGATGCCAGTACCTTGATATTGGATTTCCCAGCCTCCAAGAACTGTAAGCCAATAAATTTCTGTTCATAGTAAATTATCCAGTCTCAGATATTCTGTTATAGCAGCACAAAACAGACTACAACACCCTATTTGCCTAAAAGCAGGACATATATTTTCTTTTTATTTATTTTTAGGTAAGCTCTCCCTATGTTGCCCAGGCTGGTCTCAAACTCCTGTGCTCAAGTGATCCTCTTCCCTTCAGTGTCTGGAGTAGCTGGGATTACAGGCAAACACTATGGTACCCAGCTATGGACATAAATTTATAAAGCTGTCCCCCATCCCTTCTCTATCAGGAAGGGAAGAAGTTAATCACCAGAGGCAATTCTAGACCCTTACCAGCCTGGAGACTAAACCAGAAGAATCTATATAGCAAACCTTACTGACTAGCCCTTATCTGCCATTAGTTAACCCATATATTTACTTTCCCACAATTTGCTACCCTAGAAACTAAAAGCCCTTTTCCTTCATCTTGTCACTTCTCTAAGTCTAATCTTTGTTGATTAAGATGCTGTGTAAGCCCCTATTCTAACCCCCACTTTGAATTACTCATCATTCATTGCTCATGTGTATATGTTGATACATGTGTTAATAAACTTCAGTTTATTCTCCTCTTGTTAACATTTTATCAGTTTGATTTAGGGGTCCCAGTCATTGAACCTAGGCGGGTGGAGGGAAAAGGCTTTTTCCTTTCCTACATCTCCAAGGAGATAGCTCTGGGAAAGCATGATACCCATCTTCATACACATTTGTATTGCTACAAAGTAGCTCAGTAGCTACTCAGTAAATATTTGTGGAAAGAATGAATCAACATAAGCCAATCTGAGTACTAGCCCAAAAGGCTGTTTCATTTTGTTAAACTACGACCTGAAGTGTAATCAGTTCTGTTGGTTCTGTTGGCAAATGGAAAGTAGTTGCTAAAATGTAAATTCTAGGACAGCAAGTAATCTTTGTTTGGTTCCTGCTTCACTGATGCCTAGAACAGTGCCTGGCATACAGTAGGCCCTTAATTTATCTTAGTTGAATGAATGGAAAAATGAATGAATAAATTATGGTTGGAGAGAATACTTCAGCCTGGCAATGATTTGTCTTGTGTTTATCCCGTGTGAAGTTAAGACATTAAATGACTAACAGGGTCTAGCCATTTTTGAAATCTGCTGGACAATCTGCTGCCTGGTTATTTCTGCAGAAACCTGCACATTCACATTTTCCTAAACAGTTAAGAGTTGAGGGCGTGGTATGTGATCAAAGCATGACTTGTACCTCTAATTGGGAGTTTACTTATCCTTGCCTTGTAGAAATTTGAATAGATTTGATCCTTCAAAGATGAAAATACTCTGCAAAATTTTTCTGTTTTCATTTGTTAAAACAACTCCTGAAATTGTGTTATTTATGCTGAATCTGGCAAATGACTATTGCTATCTTCCAGGGTCATCCTGCCAAGAGAGTTATTGTCAGAGTTTCAATTTGTCTTTGTTGTGAGCAACTATTTGACAGTTTGCTATCAAGCAGGATTGTTCAATGATTTGATACTTTGCTGTATTGTTGGTTGTGCACTGGCTGATGGAGAAATCCACATTCAGAGTGTGTGATAACATTCCCAATCTCCAGACAAAATAATCACATTAGAGGGGTGGCTTTTTTTTTTTTTTTTTTAATTTATTTTTTTATTGATAATTCTTGGGTGTTTCTCACAGAGGGGGATTTGGCAGGGTCATGGGACAATAGTGGAGGGAAGGTCAGCAGATAAACAAGTGAACAAAGGTCTCTGGTTTTCCTAGGCAGGGGACCCTGCGGCCTTCCGCAGTGTTTGTGTCCCTGATTACTTGAGATTAGGGAGTGGTGATGACTCTTAACCAGCATGCTGCCTTCAAGCATCTGTTTAACAAAGCACATCTTGCACCGCCCTTAATCCATTTAACCCTGAGTGGACATAGCACATGTTTCAGAGAGCACAGGGTTGGGGGTAAGGATCCCAAGGCAGAGGAATTTTTCTTAGTGCAGAACAAAATGAAAAGTCTCCCATGTCTACTTCTTTCTACACAGACACGGCAACCATCCGATTTCTCAATCTTTTCCCCACCTTTCCCGCCTTTCTATTCCACAAAGCCGCCATTGTCATCCTGGCCCGTTCTCAATGAGCTGTTGGGCACACCTCCCAGACGGGGTGGTGGCCGGGCAGAGGGGCTCCTCACCTCCCAGTAGGGGCGGCCGGGCAGAGGCGCCCCTCACCTCCCGGACGGGGCGGCTGGCCAGGCAGGGGGGCTGACCCCCCCCCCCCGCCTCCCTCCCGGACGGGGCGGCTGGCCGGGCGGGGGGCTGACCCCCCCACCTCCCTCCCGAACGGGGCGGCTGGCCGGGCAGAGGGGCTCCTCACTTCCCAGTAGGGGCGGCCGGGCAGAGGCGCCCCTCACCTCCCGGACGGGGCGGCTGGCCGGGCGGGGGGGCTGACCCCCCCCACCTCCCTCCCGGACGGGGCGGCTGGCCGGGCGGGGGGCTGACACCCCCACCTCCCTCCCGGACGGGGCGGCTGGCCGGGCGGGGGGGCTGGCCCCCCCTAACCTCCCTCCCGGACGGGGCGGCTGGCCGGGCGGGGGGGCTGACCCCCCCACCTCCCTCCCGGACGGGGCGGCTGGCCGGGCGGGGGGGCTGACCCCCCCCACCTCCCTCCCGGACGGGGCGGCTGGCCGGGCGGGGGGCCGACCCCCCACCTCCCTCCCGGACGGGGCGGCTGGCCGGGCAGGGGGCCGGCCCCCCCACCTCCCTTTCGGATGGGGCGGCTGGCCGGGCGGGGGGCCGACCCCCCCACCTCCCTCCCGGACGGGGCGGCTGGCCGGGCAGAGGGGCTCCTCACTTCCCAGTAGGGGCGGCCGGGCAGAGGCGCCCCTCACCTCCCAGACGGGGCGGCTGGCCGGGCGGAGGGCTGACCCCCCCACCTCCCTCCCGGACAGGGCGGCTGGCCGGGCGGGGGGCCGACCCCCCCACCTCCCTCCCGGACGGGGCGGCTGGCCGGGCAGAGGGGCTCCTCACTTCCCAGTAGGGGCGGCCGGGCAGAGGCGCCCCTCACCTCCCAGACGGGGCGGCTGGCCGGGCGGAGGGCTGACCCCCCCACCTCCCTCCCGGACGGGGCGGCTGGCCAGGCGGGGGGGGCTGACCCCCCCATCTCCCTCCCGGACGGGGTGGCTGGCCAGGTGGGGGGGCTGACCCCCCCATCTCCCTCCCGGACGGGGCGGCTGGCCGGGCCGAGGGGCTCCTCACTTCCCAGTAGGGGCGGCCGGGCAGAGGCGCCCCTCACCTCCCGGACGGGGCGGCTGGCCGGGCGGGGGGCTGACCCCCCCACCTCCCTCCCGGACGGCACGGCTGGCCGGGCGGGGGGGCTGACCCCCCACCTCCCTCCCGGATGGGGCGGCTGGCCAGGGGGGGGGCTGACCCCCCCCACCTCCCTCCCGGACGGGGTGGCTGCCGGGCGGAGACGCTCCTCACTTCCCAGATGGGGTGGCTGCCAGGCGGAGAGGCTCCTCACTTCTCAGACGGGGCAGCTGCCCGGCGGAGGGGCTCCTCACTTCTCAGACGGGGTGGTTGCCAGGCAGAGGGTCTCCTCACTTCTCAGACGGGGCGGCCGGGCAGAGACGCTCCTCACCTCCCAGACGGGGTCTCGGCCGGGCTGAGGCGCTCCTCACATCCCAGATGGGGCGGCGGGGCAGAGGCGCTCCCCACATCTCAGACGATGGGCGGCCGGGCAGAGACGCTCCTCACTTCCTAGATGTGATGGCGGCTGGGAAGAGGCGCTCCTCACTTCCTAGATGGGATGGCGGCCGGGCGGAGACGCTCCTCACTTTCCAGACTGGGCAGCCAGGCAGAGGGGCTCCTCACATCCCAGATGATGGGCGGCCAGGCAGAGACACTCCTCACTTCCCAGACGGGGTGGCGGCCGGGCAGAGGCTGCAATCTCGGCACTTTGGGAGGCCAAGACAGGCGGCTGGGAGGTGTAGGTTGTAGTGAGCCGAGATCACGCCACTGCACTCCAGCCTGGGCACCATTGAGCACTGAGTGAACGAGACTCCATCTGCAATCCCGGCACCTCGGGAGGCCGAGGTTGGCGGATCACTCGCGGTTAGGGGCTGGAGACCGGCCCGGCCAACACAGTGAAACCCCGTCTCCACCAAAACCAGTCAGGCGTGGCGGCGCGTGCCTGCAATCGCAGGCATTCGGCAGACTGAGGCAGGAGAATCAGGCAGGGAGGTTGCAGTGAGCCGAGATGGCAGCAGTACAGTCCAGCTTCGGCTCCGCATGAGAGGGAGACCGTGGAGAGGGAGAGGGAGAGGGAGAGGGAGAGGGGTGGCTTTTAAAGCTTGTTATTTGTGGCCGAGTGTGATGGCTCACACCTATAATCCTAGCACTTTGTGGGGCTGAGGCAGATGGATCACTTCAGGCCAGGAGTTCGAGACCAGCTTGGCCAACACGGTGAAACCCTGTCTCTACTAAAAATACAAAAATTAGCCAGGTGTGGTGGCAGACACCTGTAGTCCCAGCTACTCAGGAGGCTGAGTCAGGAGAATCGCTTGAACCCAGGAGGCGGAGGTTACAGTTAAGATAGCACCACTGCACTCCAGCCTGGGCAACAGAGAAAGACTCTGTCTCAAAAAAAACCTTGGTATTTGTAATCCACTGTCTGGCGCATAATAAGTGCTTAAGTAAATGTCAAATTCTTTTTTTGTTTGTTTGTTTGTTTTGAGACAGAGTCTCACTCTGTCACCCAGGCTGGAGTACAATGGTGCAATCTCAGCTCACTGCAACCTCCATCTCCTGGGTTCAAGTGATTTTCCTACCTCAGCCTCCCGAGTAGCTGGGATTATAGGCGCCTGCCACCATGCCCAGCTAATTTTTGTATTTTTAGTAGAGACAGCGTTTCGCCACATTGGCCAGGCTGATCTCAAACTCCTGACCTCAGGTGATCCGCCCGCCTCAGCCTCCCAAAGTGTTGGTATTACAGGGATAAGCCACGGCGCCTGGCCCCAAATTCTTGCATTTAGTTTTTCAACAAATATTTATATAAGGCCTGCCCTCCACCTGAGGTTGCCAAGATTAAATTCAGGATCTAAGAATATGGCTGGCATTGTCTGTCAGAGTCAAGTTGGCTAATTAATGTGGGCATGCTATTGTTTTCCTGTCTGGCCTAGTATTGCCAAATGGCTCGATTAATGCAATAAAACTCAAGAGGGCTTGATCTTCCTTTAACATTTATAATTAACAGGGGCTCAGTTCTGTGCTAAAAAGGTCTGAGTAGAGAATTTATTGGGCCCTTTGCCTATTCAAACTAGTATATAACCATTAACTAGTTAATCCAAATAGCCCCTTAGGGAGGCTTGGTGGAGCCATTATCTGTACATTACTGAAAGCCAGGTGGCCTGCTCATGTCGGAGCTGGTTTACAATGGCTGCCAACTGGAGGCCAGCCCTTCTTCGCTAGGATTGGTCAACTGCTTCCCTCCCAGGCACTCACACATCTGTCTGCATTTTTTCTGACATAAGAGGAACCCCATTTTGCTGCCTTCCAGCCCTACTTGCGAGTGACCTTATTCCCACTACCCTCTCTTCTCAGACACCCCGCCCCAAAAACCATCTGGTGGAAGTGCTAGCCCTTTGAAGCGAGGCTTGGTGACCTTATATTTCAGAAATTATCCCAACTTGCATGCCGACCTCAGCAATTAAGGCTTTGGAGTCAGGCAACTCAGGTTCAAATCTTGCTTCTGATGCTTAGTAGCTGTGTGACTTTGCACAAATTATTCAATCCTTCTTTAACCTCCATTTCCTTCTCTGTGATATGGGGGTTCACAATACTTACCTATGGCATTGTTGCAAGAATTAATGACATCATGTCTGTAATCACTTGGCATGATGCTGGCACATAGTAAGTGCTCAATTTATTGTAGCTATCAAATTAGTAGGCCTTGTTACAAATTGCCTCCAGAAGGAAAAATAAGACACTTCTAAACCATTACATCTGGTCTTTTGAACAAAACTCACCTGAAAAATCTATAGACAGACTAGAAACAAGGCTCTCAAAGTGAGATGGAGCAGGTCTGACCTGTAAATATCCATGTTGTCAAGCTCAGAATATACATATATAATGAGAAAGGAGTATGCCTCATAGAACTTATGCACCTGGATACAGCAAATTGAAGAGAAAGCAGACACACTTTGGAGAAATGCATTTAGTACCCTTGGGAGGCCGAGCTGAAGTATAGCTGAGTAACCAGTATTTTGAAATTTATCTGCTTTCCTGATGCTTTATAGCCTCCATATAAAACCAGTCTAATGACCTCCTTACCGCGCCTGAACAATTTGCTGATGGAGCTGCAGGTTTCTGTGGGCGTGTGTGTGTGTGTGTGTGGGGCGGTGGGGGGGGCTTTTATTTCATTTCTGGAATAAAGGAAGTACAAAGACATTAACTCTGAATCCATCAAAGAAAGAACTCTGTAATTGCAATTTGGCAGTGAGTGTGTTTTTGCTGTGTGCACTGTGAAAGCCAATGATGATTAATCCTGCACATTTATCAGAGCCCAAGAGTAGAGACACAATAATGACAAACGGCATCAGGCAAGATAATGGTTGCGTTTGATCACTACAGACTTGGGCCTGCTGTGATGTACAGGGGTGGTAGCATCAACCAGATCTCAGCCAAGAAATGAAAACCTGCATGTCCACTGTGGTAGCCACCTGCCATCTGTGGCTACTGAGCACTTGAAATGTGATTAGCCCAAATTGAGATGTGCTGTAAGTGTAAAACACACACTGGATTTTGAAGACAGTATGTAAAAAAGAACATAGCAGGCTGGGCACGGTGGCTCACGCCTGTAATCCCAGCACTTTGGGAGGCCAAGGTGGGCAGATCACTTGAGGTTAGGAGTTTGAGACCAGCCTGGCCAATATGGTGAAACCCCATCTCTACTAAAACAACAAAAATTTAGCTGGGCATGGTGGCTCGTACATGTAATCCCAGCTACTAGGAAGGCTGAGGCAGGAGAATCACTGAACCTGGGAGGTGGGGGTTGCAGTGAGCCGAGATTGTGCCACTGCACTCCAGCCTGGTGACAGAGCAAGACTCCGTCTCAAAAAAAAAAAAAAGAACATAACATACCTAATTTTTTATTGAGTACATGTTAAAGTTATAATATTGACTAAATAAAATATATTACTAAAATTTATCTCATATGTTTCTTTGTACTTCTTTAATGTGTCTGCTAGAAAATTGAAAATGATGTGTGACCTACATTTGTGGCTTGCATTATATTTCTTTTGGGCAGAGCTGTTCTACAGTCAGACGTTAACAGGTGAGGCAGACACCGCTTGAGTTTGCTTCTTGGCACACAGTGATTCCTCTTTTTCAGATGACTGCTTTTGTCTTGATTCCAGGGTTGAGTGGTCTCCTAGGTGCTGGTTTTTGACCAGAGGATGAAATGTGACTCAAACCTGTCAGAGTGCTTCCGTGAGAATGCTGGAAGTCGTAACATGGCAGTTGGAGCCGTAACACGTAAAGTGAAGTGATCTAGACCAGGGGTCCCCAACCCCTGGGTCGTGGACCTGTACCAGTCCATGGCCTATTAGGAACTGGGCTGCATAGCAGGAGGTGAGTAGCAGGTGAGCAAGCATTACTGCCTGAGCTCCGCCTGCTCTCAGATCAGCAGTGACATTAGATTCTCATAGGAGCAGGAACTCTATTGTGAACTGTGCATGTGAGGGATCTAGGGTATGCACTCAGCACCACTTATGAAAATCTAACTAATGCCTGATGATCTGAGGTGGAACAGTTTCATCCCAAAAGCATCCCTCCATCCCCTGTCCACGGAAATTGTCTTCCATGAAACCAGTCCCTGGTGCCAAAATGGTTGGGGACTGCTGCTCTAGACGGCCATGATTTTCTATCCTATGGGTCAGGAAAGCAGATGGAGGTTATCTGCAAAGATAAGATAGAGACAAAGCACATGTGTAGGTTTAGAGAGGTACAGGTGAAAGATGGGGAGTGCTGCTGGTGTTTGAGTCTCTGGTTGCAACATATATTTGCCCCAGCTAAATTATCATGCTTTGTCCTGTGAGATACCCTGGATTGCTACTATACATGTCCACTTTTTTTCACTTAATCTAGCACAAATGGGTTTCTCACTGCTAAAAGAGTCTGAATAATTCTGAATAATTCATACTTCAAATCTAGTTTTTGTCATCAGATCAGGTCTAAATAGATTTTCTAGGAAGTTCATAAAGCTGAAGCTTAAGCTTCGGGGCCATTCACTTGCAAAGGTCCCTTCCAAAGCTCCATTTTGTATTTGGAATTTTGTATGCTTTTTCTGTTTTTTCTTTTCCTTCTTTTTCTTTTTCTTTCTTTTTTCTTTTTTTTTTTTTTTGAGTTGGGGTCTCACTGTGTCACCCAGGCTGGAGTGCAGTGGTGCCATCTGGGCTCACTGCAACCTCCGCCTCCCGGGTTCAAGAGATTCTCCTGCCTCAGCCTCCTGAGTAGCTGGGATTACAGGCACATGCCACCACGCCCGGCTAATTTTTGTATTTTTAGTAGAGACGGGGTCTCACCATGTTGGTCAGGCTTGTCTGGAACTCCTGACCTCAAGTGATCCTCCTGCCTCGACCTCCCAAAGTGCTGGGATTACTGGCATGAGCCACCACGCCCGGCTGCATTCTTTTTCTTAAAGAGGGTTATCCAAATTGTATAAACCTCAGGCTCCACAAAATGTGAATTTTCCCTGTATACCCATTCCTCTCTGTGGTTGCAGATACAAACTTTTGGTAATTTCAGAAAGACTATTCCTCCATAACTCCAAATTTATAACTTCTTTAGGTCCTTTGACGAGCCTCCCTCTGCCTGCAATGTTCTGCCTCCAGACTTTTCAGGAGTTGGCTCCTTCTTACAAATCAGGTCTTACTTTCAATGTGTCAAAGAGTAACAGAGCCACTTGTTACAGGTGGTAAGACAAAAAAAATTTATTCAGTACTACTGCCACAAGGGAGAGAGACTTCAGTGTAAAGGCAGCTCAACTCCACCAAAACAAAAGCTTGAAAGCCTTTTAAATCCCGGAGTGTGCTAAAGGAAAGATACTAAAGGACATTAAGGGGGCTTTAGTCTACCTGATTGGGCTATCTGGGTTTGTTAACTGGAACTTCTGTGGAGGAGAAACAAACTGCTCCTATCATTAGGGCAGGAGGTAGTTTTGTAAATTGGAGCAAGGCACCCACAGAAGTTAGGCTCTTACTCTCCCAAAGGAACTGGGAGACAGAAGTACTACCTCCCTGGATGTCTGCCTTTCAAAGAGATGGCTCCTATGTCCTTGAGGAAACTTTTCTGAATGGTAACATATTTACATCTTAAAGGGGCAGGGAAAGGATTCATAATGGCAAGCTTTCTAAAGTAAAGGCTCTAAGAGTAAAGAAATCAGGAACCTATTGTCAGGTCTTGGTGGGAACAGTACATTTTTTTGGCAGTGTTGAGCTTTCTCAAGCAGGCACTTAAAGTGGGGCTGGGGCCAGAAGTCATGCTAGAGTTTAGTCAAGTCTCTTAGTGCAGCAAGGTTGGGAGGGTGGTCAATGGTATTGGATGGAGTCATTTGTGCCAAGGGTTTTGTAGTTCTCAAATGTCACCACCTTCAGAAGGCATTCTCTCTATAACTCACCCAAGGAGTTCCTTCACATCATCTTGTTTTCTTGACAACTTCTTGACCTTTATTTTCTTACATATGCCACCTCCTACTTTTTCTAAAATGAAAGTACCATAAGAGCAGGAATACTGTCTTGCTCGCTGCTGTAGCCCCAGCATCTAGAACAGTGCCTGGCACATAAGAGGCATTCAATAAACATCTGTTAGAATTATATTTACAAATATTTATAAAGTGTTTGTGTGCTGGGCATTATTCTAACACCTTAACAAATAAAGTTCCCAAGTTTCTATTATTGTCTATACTCTGGATCAGATTTTCAATTCCTTTTTTTTTTTTTTTTTTTTTTTTTGAGATGGAGTTTCACTCTTGTTGCCCAGGCTGGAGTGCAACGGCTTGATCTTGACTCACTGCAACCTCTTCCTCCTGGGTTCAAGCTATTCTCCTGCCTCAGCCTCCCGAGTAGCTGGGATTACAGGCATACGCCACCACGCCCAGCTGATTTTGTATTTTTAGTAGAGACGGGGTTTCACCATGTTGGCCAGGCTGGTCTTGAACTCCTGACCTCAGATGATCCACCCACCTTGGCCTCCCAAAGTGATGGTATTACAGGCATGAGCCACTGCGCTTGGCTCAATTCCTTTTTTTTTTTTTTTTTTTTTTTTGAGACAGAGTCTTGCTCTGTCACCCAGGCTAGAGTGCAGTGGCATGATCTCGCCTCACTGCAACCTCTGCCTCCCGGGTTCCAGCAATTCTCCTGCCTCAGACTCCCTAGTAGCTGGGATTACAGGCACGTGCCACCACGCCTGGCTAATTTTTGTATTTTTAGTAGAGATGGGGTTTCACCATGTTGGCCAGGCTGGTCTTGAACTCCTGACCTCAAGTGATCCGCCCACCTCACCCCCGCAAAGTGCTGGGATTATAGGCGTGAGCCGCCATGTCCAGCACTTAATTCTTTTTTATAAGGAAGAAAACTGCAACTCATCAGCAAATATTTATTAGGCTATGCCTGTGTTCCAGGTACTGGGCTAAGTGTTTCACAAACATTATCTCAAACGAATCCTCACAGCAACCTTTTAAGGTAGGCTATTCACTCAAGACTGCATTTGGCTGCGTGTAACCAAATCCTGACAACAGTGGCTTAACCCACTAAGAGTTAATTTCATCATGTAACAAGAAGTCTGGGGCATGTGGTCCAGGATTTATCACGAACCCACCAAGGCCTGGGTTTCCTGTTTTCCTGCTGTCTCGTTCCTAGAATGTGGCTCTTATGAGACGATTGCAACCATTCTAGGTGTCATTTTCTTTCTTCAGGCAGGAACAGGGGAAGAATAAAGTTCAAAGAGTATGTATCAGCTGAATCTCTCCCTTCTGATGAGGGATACAATTGTCTTGGAAGCTCCTTATATGATAATACTGTTTATACCTTGATACAGTTAGGCTTTGTGTCCCCACCCAAATCTTATTGTGAATTGTAATCCCCATAATCCCCAGGTGTCAAGGGAAAGACCAGGTGTAGGTAACTGAATCATGGGGAAAATCAGTTTTCTCCATGCTGTTCTCCCGACAGTAAGTCCTCACAAGATCTGATGGTTTTATAAGGGGCTCTTTCCCCTTCACTCAGCACCTTTCCTTCCTGCTGCCGTGTGAAGGTGCCTTGCTTCCCCTTCATCTTCTGCCATGATTGTAAGTTTCCTGAGGCCTCCTCAGCCATGCTGAACTGTGAGTCAATTAAGCCTCTTTCCTTTATAAATTACCCAGGCTTGGGCAGTTGTTTACAGCAATGTGAAAACAGACTAATACATACCTCATACTGCTTATATACCTCCCAGTGGTCAAACTGAGCCACTCTGAGTGGCAAGTAAGTCTGGAAGGTGAGTATCTTAACTTTTATTTACTTCAGGTATGGGGTCGGCTGGGCTGGTCTTAAACTCCTGGCCTTAAGCAATCCTCCTGCCTTATACCCCCTAGTAGCTGGGATTGCAGGCAGCAGCCACCACACATGGCTGAGTATTTTTAACTGGGCACATTGCTGCCCTGCATAAAATTCAAGTTCTGTTGGTAAAGAGAAAGAGAAGAGTAGATATTACATAGAGAATTAGCTGTGTTGGCCATGACTACGTTTTGTTATTATATCCAGGGCCCTGAAGAGTAACCAGGCTTGCAAGTACTCTAGGAATTCCAAGTGTTTGGGACAGCTGGAAACACTGAAAGTTCTGAAGGCTGTGTAGGATTTGGGTTATTGGATAGAGGAGAAAAGCATTTTATTTTACAGAGGAAGAACCAAGGCTACAAATGGTGAAGTGTTTTCCTCAAAGTGTAGCATCTAAAAAGACGTAGCGTGGCTGGGCATGGTGGCTCCTGCCTGTAATCCCAGTACTTTGGGAGGCTGAGGTGCACAGATCGCTTGAGCTCAGGAGTTTCAGACCCAACCTGGGCAACATGGTGAGGCCCCATCTCTACCAAAAATACAAAAAAAATTGTCAGGTGTGGAGGCACACCTGTAGTCCCAGCTACTCGGAAAGCTGAGGTTCAAGGATTGCTTGAGCCCAGAGGACAGAGGTTGCAGTGAGCCGAGATGACACCACTGTACTCCAGCCTGGGTAACGAAGTGAGACCCTGTCTCAAAAACAAAACAAACAAACAAAAAAAGCACCGGGCGCGGTGGCTCGTGCCTGTAATCTCAGCACTTTGGGAGGCCAAGGAGGGCAGATCACAAGATCAGGAGTTCAAGACCAGCCTGGCCAACATTTGAAACCCCATCTCCACTAAAAATACAAAAGTTAGCTGGGCGTGGTGTTGTGTGCCTATAATCCCAGGTACTCAGGAGGGTGAAGCAGGAGAATCGTTTGAACCTGCGAGGCGGAGGTTGCAGTGAGCGGAGCTTGCGCCACTGCCCTCCAGCCTGGGTGACAGAGCGAGACTCCGTCTTGAGAGAAAAAAAAAAAAAGATGTAGGGAGGAAAAACAAAGATTAAGAACTGTAATTCAAAGCCAGGACTACCTGATTCCAAAGCCCATATTCTTAAGAATTGGGGCCAGGCATGCTGGCTTACAGCTGTAATACCAGCACTTTGGGAAGCCGAGGTAGGAGGATCACTTGAGGCCAGGAGTTCAAGAGCAGCTTGGGTAATATACCAAGACGTTGTCTCTAGGAAAAAAAAAATTTTTTTAATTAGCAGGGTGTGGTGAATGGTGGTATGCACCTATAGTCCTAACTACTTGAGAGGCTGATGTGGGAGGATTGTGGAGCCCAGGAGTTTGAGGTTACAGTGAGCCATGATCATGCCATTGCACTACGGCCTGAGTGACAGAGTGAGATCCTGTCTCTAAAAACAAACAAACAAAAAAACCCCAAAGAATTGGGCTTTGGTGGGTCTTAAATATAGTTAAATCGTGATTTTTCTGGTATAGAGTGAGTGGTCTTTTCCTGATAGCTTTTAACAGTAACAACGTTGATTGAGTACTTATGTGTGATTTTCCTTATAAACATTATCTCATTTTGAAAACGGCTTTTTAAAAAAATGTAAAAATCACTCTTAATCATTGTATAAACAAAACAAACAAATCCAATCAACATGGAAAAGAACTAAGAAAAAAGTAAAATCTTCAGAAATCTCACACCCAGAGAAAACCAAGCTTAACATTTTGATAAACATCTTTCCAGACATCTCTCTTTGTAAATAAACAGAGATAGCTGTTTAACTACATAAGTGGAGGCACACCATATATGTTTCTCTGTAGATATAAATTATCCTAGTTAATCATCCCATCAACCCTATGGGGTAGGCATCATTACCTTCATTTTATAGGCTTAGAATGGTTAGATCACAGGCTCCAGGACACAGAACTAACAAGTAGTCAATAAGTTTCAGCATTATCTGAACTGACTACTTCAATTCCCTGGCACAATTAGAGTTAGACAAAGTAAAGATGTTCTTCCATGGAGAATTTTTAAATATGTGTATATTAAGATGGCATCAAGGCATCTTGGTGACAGGAAAACACAGCTGGCTTAGCAGACTCAGCATCTATAGTGAATATATCCATTATGAATAAAATACAGTGAAGCATTTTCAGTGCTGTAAGGCTTCTGGGAGACACTGTTAGTTTGAAGTCTCTGTGTGAAGCAATGCTGCCTTCATGTTACTCCGGGCAATGCTACCTGGTCTATCACATGACCAAGTCTTCTAGGACTGTCAGTGCTTACAGCTCGTGATCATTGCAAGGGATCTTTATTCTGGTGCATTGCAAATGACTTTATTCATACCACACCCCAGCCCCAGCTCTGCTGATGCTTTCCTTTGTAGTTGTATTTGCCAGAAGTTGTGGACCAAGTTGAATAATCTTTAGAGCTGCAGGATTTTGAGTGAATGAATGAAATAGGTGTCCTTCCTCCTTTGTTGATGAATAACAGTTCAAGTGGGTCAATGAGCCCCCTGAAGTCTTCAAAAGATGTTTTACCATTAACAGAGTACTGATTAAGTTATGGTACATCCATATTATGGATTATGGCACATCCATATGCTGGAAGACCATGTGAATGAATGAATGAGGTGGATCAGGAAAGAATGCCAGTTGTATAATTCAGTTAGAAGAAAAAAAACCAAGCTGCAGAACATATTGTAGAGTACGCTTCACCCTTTTCCCCCTTTTTGGTAACTTTTAGAAAAGAATATAAACATACATGTACTTTTTCTGGTAGAACCCATGAAAAACTATTAATAATCAATAGCTGTTATCATTAGGAAGGAAGGAATAGAAGTTAGCACTTGTCGTGTTATGCTTTCATGTTTAAAATTTCTACTCGTATGCATGTGTAACTATTATAATGTCATAATTATTATCTAATACAGTCAGGAGTGAGCTGGGCAATAAGAATGTGGGTCATCAAATGTTTTCTTCTCTGTACTTCTCCATGCTTAAACAACATTAAAATTTAAGTTTAAATGATGCTTTAAGAGACATTTCCTTTCTCTTTGAAAGAACAAGGGGCCCTCTCACCTTATAGACTCTTGTTGTTAGAAGAAATTCACAGAATAGCACTGTAAGCGCAGGGCTCCAAGTGATACAATAGATCCGAGCAATAGTGTGATAACTGAATCCAGTTTGGAGGACAGATTTATCTTTTCTTTTTCAATTGTTATTATAAGTCAGGCTAGACTACCAAATAGTGCCAATTCAGTTCAGTTGGTGGTGTCTGACTGGGGAGCTGTGTTGAGAAGAACCAAGAGGCCAAGTCCGGCTTCGCTGTGGTTGGTGAGCCAGGCTGCCATGGGGTGAGGGTGGGGAGTGGAGTAAGAGTCAATTTCCCTTGTCTGAAGTTCAAGCTCAGTGTGGGTGGGTGTCACCAAGGGACAAGTTCTCCCAAGTCAGCTGTGGCCTCCCCCACCCCAGCATGCCAACATATCACAATATGCTCCCCACAATGTCCCAACATCCCAGAGGGAGAAGCAAGGTCTAATGGACATGGGAGACTACAAAACTTAATGGTGCATGAAATTAGCAATGAACACTGGGAAACGTAAGTCACAGTCCTGTTTGATCGGGGATGGGGTGAAAATCACTATCATTTCTTCAGAATAGGAGCTAAAAGCAGAGAAAAACACAGTACCCACTCATCAAAAGGAGCAGCACATTTCAGATGGTGGCCCTCCCACTCACTACTGCCCGTCACCGGTAGTGCGCTTCTGCAGCAGAAAAGGAGATAGCTAGGGCACTGCGTCGTGCCAGCCTGGCTTGGCCATTCAACTTTTGTGGTCTCTTGGCCTTTATGAGGCACCAGGGGAGGCCCTTCAGGGACAGTGACATCTGAAATCTAAACTGACTATCAACTAATGCAGAAGAACCAGCACGAGCAGATCTGAAAATGCTGCTTCCGGTTGAGTGTGTGGGAGCACCGTGGGGTTTTCCAGGTACTTACACATAGGGTATGTCATTCCTGCCCAGCATGTCTGCCAAGGTTTAACTAACAAGGGGCAAAGAGTCCTCTCCCTGAAAACGGCTTTTGGACCTCCTTCCGGCGTATCTGCAGTGGGGCTGACCGAGTACATGGCTGTCTGGTCCATAAAGGTGCTTCTTCCACCAATGTTGGGGACCAGCCTCAACACCACCCGTAGGGTACCTGAAGTCCAGTGGCGACAAAGGAATGAGAAGAGACAGGTTTAGAGTTCATAAAAGTGGGAGCCAGGGGGCCAGAGCAAATCAGAGACTGCAAAGGCCCAGAGCTCTGGTCTACACACTATTGATTACCATCACTTAGATCTAAGAAGCAGATGTTCAGTGCGAAACAGTGAAAGGGAGGCAGTGCGTCATAGGCATAATCTATAGCAATAGCGGTTTAAATGAATCTCCTTTGTGCTCAAACTGCGTATCTTTAACTTATCGGAGAGTAGCTAGTGGGAGCGGGCTTAACTAGGAGCCTGCACGTCTGTCTACATTCCAATGCTTCAAAGGAGTGTCTTTCTCCTTGAACACAGTGTTTACAGATAAGAGAGCGGGTCTTGCCCTGAGCATGGGAACATGATGGCAATTAGGCTTTCCTCCTCAGAGGCCTCTTGTGGCTTTCCACAACTTATTGTCCCATATTTTTATGGCCAGTTTATACAGGCACCCCTCAAGCCCTTCTCCCAACACACCAACCCCAGTGTCTGCCGCCCACATCGACTAACCAGACTAACCGCCCACATCGACTAACTGCCTAAAATAGCAGCATTGAACCGCCTGCTTATTCGTTTCTCCCAGAGCTACAGTTACAGGTCATCGAGGGGTCAGTGAGCCTTGGAAGGAGGGATAGAGACCTCCACAGCCACCTTTGAGCTTTTTTCTTTTGTTTCTCAATACAAACTCCAGTGTTTCAAGGTATTAAAAAAATTGCTGTCTCTCCAAAACTGGCAAATGAGGTGCACAGGAAGGAACAAGATCATTTGGTTTTCCATTGTTGATGCTACTCCCTTCCTTCCCCACAAAGATAAATACCATCTTCCAACTACACCTGCCTTCGATACATTGTGATCTGAGACTCTATCTTGTCCCTTGGAATTAGGTGGAACTGGGGTCTGGGGAAAGAGCAAACAATAGGGTGGGAGTGAGTGGGTGGGGCAAAGGCTAGGAAATCTGATTCTGGACACAGCTTTCCTTATTTTTTTGTTGAACAAATATTTCTGGTGTGCCCACCACAAACAAGATGCAATCTTTGCTCTCAAGAACTTAGAATCTAGTGGGGGACTGGGTCCCTTAAAAAACTTCGTCCTGTGTTTTGCTTCTTTGATTTTACTGAACCACGTATGTTGCAATCCTGTTAATGGCAGGATTCATAGGCAAACTCTATTAGATGTTTATGTTAATATTAAAAATTGAACCTCAAGTACATAAATAAATGAATGGAGTTGCCCCTAGTACATAAAGAAAGACATGAATAGAGTTGCTTGAGCATCACTTCCATCGTCATTGGGTCCTTCTGAGCACCCACCTAGATATAATTCCCCCAGATTACAGTTTTAACTAAATTCTTAAATTTCTTTTTTTTTTCTTTGTTATAGAGACAGGGTCCCACTATGTTGCCCAGGCTGGTCTCGAACTTTTGGACGCAAAAGATCCTCCTGCCTCAATCTCCCAAAGTGCTGGGATTATAGGCGTAAGCCACCATGCCCAGCTTAAATTTCTTAATTTAGTTTTCTCCTTGGTGGTTTAAATTAGCATAGACTAATAGGATTAAGGCCTTCACAAATGAAATTACATTTGGCTTTAAAGAAACAAGGTTGTGGCCTGGCTTGGTGACTCACGCTGGTAGTCCCAGCATTTTGGGAGGCTGAGGTGGGTGGATCACTTGAGGTCAGGAGTTCAAGACCAGCCATGGCCAACGTGGTGAAACCCCATCTCTACTAAAAGTACAAAAAAATTAGCCAGGCATGGTGGCGCATGCCTGTAATCCCAGCTACTCAGGAGGCTGAGGCAGGAGAATCACTTGAACCCGGGAGATGGAGGTTGCAGTGAGCCGTGATCGTGCCACTGCAATCTAGCCTGGGCGACAGAATGAGACTCCGTCTCAAAAAAATAAAAGAAGGTTGTGGGCAAATAAACTTTTTAATCATCCTGAAAAGATGGCTTACAGGACTGATACTGCAGATAAGTATATGATTTTATGCAAAACATAAAGTTATTTTTAAGAGAAGTATATAGTATACGTAAAAACTTGTACAAGAAGGTTCATAGCAGCATTATTCATAGTAGGCAAAAGTGTAAATGATGAAAATGTCCATCAACTGATGAATGAATAAACAAAGTGTGGTATATCCATAGAAAAGAATATTTGACAATAAGAAGAAATGAAGTATATCTACATGCTATAATATGAATGAACTTGGAAAACATGCTAAATGAAAGAATCTAGTCACAAAAGGTTACATACTATGTAATCCCGTTTACATGAAATGTCCAAAACATGCAAACCCACATAGAGACAGAAAGTAGATTAGTGGTTGCCAGGGGCTGGAGGGGAGGAATGGGGAGTGACTGCTTAATGAACATATGTTTTGTTTTTTGGATGATGAAAATGCTTTGGAATTAGATAGAGGTGATGATTGCACAACATAATGAAGGTGCTAAATGGCACTGAATTAAACACTTTAAAATGATTAATTTCATGGTATATGAACCTTACCTCAATTTAAAAAAAGAAAGAAATTAAATGTGGATATATACTGTACTGTAGATGAATTTTGAAAACATCCTAAGTGAGAGAAGCCAGATACAAAAGGCTGCATATTGTATGATTCCATGTATATGAAATGTTCTTTGTGGGGTGATGGAAATGTTCCGTCAAAGAACAAAATTTCAACAAATTTAATTTTAAAGATCTAATTGGCTTTTATTAGTAATTCATGAACTGAGCAGCATCCAGTCTAAAACAAAGAAGGCTGGGCATGGTGGCTCACACTTATACTCCCTGTGCTTTGGGAGGCTGAGGTGGGAGGATTGCTTGAGGCCAAGAGTTCAAGACCAGCCTGAGCAACAAACAAAGCAACAGCCCACGCCCCCGCACTGCCACCAAAACAATTAGCCAGCCATGTAGGTATGGCAGCATGTATCTATAGTCCTGGCTACTCAGGACACTAAAGCTGGAGGATCACTTGAGCTCACGAGTTTGAGACTACAGGGAACTATATCATGCCACTGCATTCCAGCCTGGGCAAAAAAGACCCTGTTTCAATAAATAAATAAATAAAGTAAAACACAGAAAAGAGCTCTCACAAGCTACACAGAATGGGTGAATTTCACACGTAGAAAAAAATGCAGGAAAGAAGAAACAATGAACCAACAGTATGTTAATCATTTCAAGATTACTTTCCTTGTAGAGGTGTATAGGAAATCCTGTTGGCTTTATGGGATTTGGCCATTGCCTTTCTCCTGGTTTCTCAGAAGGTCAAATCTTATAAATAAACAACTTAGGTTTCAGTTTGGTGGCATAGAACCTTAGCATGAGTGACACCATGTTGGACCTGCTGTCTTTTAATAGTTCTAAAATTGATTGTGGTGAAGGTTACACAACTGTGAATATATTTAAAGCCACTGAATTGTATATTTTAAGTGAGTGAATTGTATGGTATACGAATTATATGTTAATAAAGCTGATATAAGAATATGTAAAAATTTCAGCTTTTAAAAAATTGAATAATTTCAGGGGTAATTAGGACAGCTTACTATCTGTAGCCTGAACAGTTCTATTTCCTTACGTTATCTAGTTTGTATGTTGAAGTCTTTGTGAATTGTCTTCTAAAAAACAGGACACTAATAAACATATGGAGAGGTGAGTGAAAAAGAAGTGGGGGGCCAAGCACAGTGGCTCACGCCTGTAATCTCAGCACTTTGGGAGGCTGAGGTGGGTGTATCACTTGAGGTCAGAAGTTTGAGACCAGCCTAGGCAACATGATGAAACCGCGTTGCTACTAAAAATACAAAAATTAGCCGGGCATGGTGGCACGCGCCTGTAGTCCCAGCTACTGGGAGGGGGTGGGGGTGCTGAGGCAGGAGAATCGCTTGAACCTGGAAGGCAGAGGTTGCAGTGAGCTGAGATTGTGTCACTGTACTCCAGCCTGGGCAACAAAGCAAGACTTCTTCTCAAAAAAAAAAAAAAAAAAAAAAAAAAAAAGGAAAGAAAGAAAAGAAAAAAGGTGGGATTCCAGAAATAAAGGAGACTTTTAAAATGGTCATTTAACAAATGGTATGGAATCCAGCTAACCATTAAAAAAAAAAAATCTGGATTACTAGCTTCCTTACCCCTAAATAAATTACTTGATCAGATATGTCCGTGTAAAAAAGAAACCATAAAAACACTAAGGAAAATAGAGCTAAGTATTTTTGTGATTTTGGGGGTGAAGACCTTCCTAAGCCTAAAAAAGAAAAAAAAAAAAAAAAAAAGGAGGGATACATTTGACTACATTTTAAAAATGTTCCCAGGTGCGGTGGCTCATGCCTGTTATTCAAGCACTTTGGAAGGCTGAGGCGGGTGGATCACTTGAGGTCAGGATTTCGAGACCAGCCTGGCCAACATGGTGAAACCGTGTCTTTATTAAAAATACAAAAATCAGCCAGGCATTGTGGCACATGCCTGTAATCCCAGCTACTTGGGAGGCTGAGGCAGGTGAATTGCTTGAACCCAGGAGGTGGAGGTTGCAGTGAGCTGAGATTGTGCCACTGCACTCTAGCCTGGGCGACAGAGTGAGACTTTGTCTCAGAAAGAAAAAAAAAAAAAAGCGAAAGAACTTCAATATGGCAAATAATGCTGCCGAGTAGACTCAAAGACAAATGATAAGCTGTGAAAAATATTTGCAATAAACAAAGGGTAATATTCCTAATATATAGAGAATGCTTATAGATCAAAGACTAATTATAAAAAGATATAAATAGGCGTGTGCATTGGATTAGCAAAGATTTTTCTCTCTTTTCTTTTTCTCTTTTTTTTAAATTTTTTTTGAGACGGAGTCTTGCTCTGTCACCCAGGCTAGAGTGCAGTGGCGTGATCTCAGCTCACTGCAAGCTCTGCCTCCTGGGTGAAAGGGATTCTCCTGCCTCAACCTCCTGAGTAGCTGGAACTACAGGCGCCCGCCACCACGCCTGGCTAATTTTTTAAATATTTTCAGTAGAAAACACGGGTTTCACTGTGTTAGCCAGGATGGTCTCAATCTCCTGACTTCGTGATCCACCCTCCTCGGCCTCCCAAAGTGCTAGGATTACAGGCATGAGCCACTACACCCGGCCCCTTTCTTTTCTTTAAAATAGAGACAGGGTCTGTGTTGTCCTGGCTCATCACAAACTCCTGAGCTCAAATAATCCTCCCACCTTGGCCTCCCAAAATGCTGGGATTATAGGCATTAGCCACCACACTCGATCAGATTAGCAAAGACTTTTTTAAAATTGCCAATAACCAATGTTGGTAAGAGTGTGGAAAAATGAGTACTGGTGTGCCCTGCTGGTGGGAATATTAATCAGTACAATCTCCCTGGAGAGCACTTTAGCAATGTAGATCAAGAATCTAAAAAAGTACTATATCTGAAAAACAGTAATTTCATTTATAGATATCCATTTTAAGGAAATAATCAAAGATGGACAAAAAAAATTTATATATAAGGAGGCCGGGTACAGTGGCTCATGCCTGTAATAACAGCACTTTGGGAGGCTGAGGTGGGCAGATGATTTGAGCCCAGGAGTTTGAGACCAGCCTGGGCAACTTGGCAAAACCCCATCTCTACTAAAAATGCAAAAAATTAATCGGCCATGGTGGTGTGCACCTGTAGTCCCAGCTACTCAGCAGGCTGAGGTGGAAGGATCACCTGATGAGCCCAGGAAAGTCGGGGCTGCAGTGAGCCGTGTCTCACTACTCACTCCAGCCTCGACCATGGGAGTGAGACTCTGTCTCAAAAAAAAAAAAAAAAAAAAAAGAGTACTCTGGCCTTCTAAAAATAGTGCTTTTCAGGAGCACAGTGATTCCCAGGAACAGAAACTATCACCAAAGTGACCTCTAGTTTATGGTTGGGGGAAAGGAGGGTGGCAGAGAGTGAGCACAATAGAAATGGGCCCATCTTTATTTTTTGTATTCAAACAATTGTTTACCTTCAAACTATATTCACTATATGTGGACAGCAAATGGAGTCTTTTAAACAGAGAAAGCTGCCAATGGAGTAAGAATTAAATATCTATTTATTGAAGGAGTGAATACATGAATAAAATAAAGATAACTGAAACACTTCTAACATGACAAAGTGTTCAGTGGAGCTCAAGCATTGCATGGTACTGGCGAGAAGCTAGCAAACACGTCTTTTCTTAGTGTTGAGACCAACTCCAGGTTAACAAGGTACAGAATCAACTGGGAGAGACTCCCATGGGTGAACAGGCTCTTTTTCTTTGTCTCCTCAATTCTGCTGGCTTGCTTCAAACTCAATTTTAGCTGGTGTGAGCCCAGCCCAGCTTCAGGCCTGCTCTCTGCAATCATTCTAATGTCATCTCAGCACACAAGGAGTTACCCACGGAAAGCCCACACCAGGAAAAACTTCCCCGAGTTTCTGTGGCCGGAAAATCTGTGTCACCAGAGGTATCACTAGAGAAGTCTCCCTTCCACCCACTGCAATTTTGAAGAATCAGGGAACACATGCAGAGACACATGATAGTTCCTGGTATCTGCAATTTATAAAACACATTTATATACATTGTCCCATTTTGCCGATCTTTAGGAGGTGAAAGACCAGGACAAGACCCACATCCTTTTCCCTGAAGTCATTCTGCTTTAGAGAAAGCAATTTTTGTCAAAGCTGATATGAAAGGTCTTTCCTTCCTGGCAAGAGACACTATTGTCCCTTCCTGAAGAAGGAAGTCTAGTCTTCAGGTAAGAGGAAGGTATATTCTTAGGCAGCTGCTGGGTTGGAAGGAAGGAACAGTGAAGTCTGTGTTTTGGAAGGGAGGAGGGAGTGACATTTTTAAGTTACAAGCCTCTTCTGGGAGAGCTGGGGACAGATCTATTTTTAGATGTGTTCCCTGACACCCAGGAAGAACTCAAAAGGTAACCAAGCACTTGGCAGGTTTCCTGAAAAGAAAGTTGTTAAGGGCTAGAGGGACTCTGTGTGTTCTGAGGCACGAAGTTTGACTTCAATCTGATGCAGTGTGTTGCCCGCCCCGCCTTTTAGCATAGTTTGGTTGCAGGATGACAGAATACTTGGGGGTGGCACAAACCCTCAAATCATGAAAGGCTAGGCCGCAGACTCACAGAGAGCTGGATGATGTGTGCCACCCTAAAACCACTTCCTGGGTGCGTGATTATGGGCATGTGACTTAACTCCTTTGAGCTCAGTTTCCTCATCTGTAAAATGAAGACTCAAACCAAATAAAGTCCTCTTAGCCCTAATCTTCTAACAACACACACACAGGCCAGGCGTGGTGAGTAATCCGTGCACTTTGGGAGGCCAAGGTGGGTGGATCACCTGAGGTCAGGAGTTCGAGACCATCTTGGCCAACATAGTGAAACCCCATCTCTACTAAAACTACAAAAATTAGCTGGGTGTGCTGGTGGACACCTGTAATCCTAGCTACTCAGGAGGCTGAGGCAGGAGAATCACTTGAACCCAAGAGGTGGAGGTTGCAGTGAGCCAAGATTGTGCCACTGCCCTCCAGCCTGGGTGACAGAGTGAGATTCCATCTCAAAAAATAAAAATAATAAAACATAATAATAACAAACACAAAATAACCTCCATATGACCTGTTCTTTCACTCATAGAACAGAGATAGAAGTAGACACTACCTCATGTGTTTATTTTAATAAAAAAAGATGATAAATATAAAATTGTTCGGCACAGTCCCTCACTTAAAGTAACTGCTCAAGTCATGTGTTATTCAAACAGCATTCTTGGGACTCATGACGTCAGAGGCCCCTTGTTAGGGCATTGAACAATAAAAAATGTGCCTTACAACTTTTTATGGTGAAATACATCAAGGAGAATGTAACCTGGTGTTCTGGAGCAGCTATAAACTAATCTGACCATGCTTGCTGATGAAGTGATACTGGCTCACCAGGTAAAGGCAAGAGGGTGTTTGGTGTGTCGAGAGCCAAAAACACAGCCTCCCTCAGCCATGAAGCAGGTGGCCTATTATTCTGCTAGAAATGGAAATCCAAGGTTTTGTGGCCTGTTTTGCCATAAGGAACTCAGGAAAGGCCTCATTGCCAGGTGGTGTCTTACCTTGTACCCCGATTCTTTTTTTTTTTTTTTGAGATGGCGTTTTGCTCTTGTTGCCCAGGCTGGAGTGCAATGGCTCGATCTTGGCTCACTGCAACCTCCGCCTCCTGGGTTCAAGCAATTCTCCTGCCTCAGCCTCCCAAGTAGCTGGGATTACCGGCATGGGCCACCATGCCTGGCTAATTTTGTATTTTTAGTAGAGACGGGGTTTCTCCATGTTAGTCAGGCTGGTCTCGAACACCTGACCTCAGGTGATCCGCCCACCTCGGCCTCCCAAAGTGGTGGGATTACAGGTGTGAGCCACTGCGCCCAGCCACCTTGTACCCCGATTCTTTCATAACAGTGCTCACTCCAGGGGAGGAAGTTGACACGGAGAGGGGCTTGTCTTTGCTGCTCTCTGTGGGTTTTAGTTACTGAAGATGTGACAAAGGACTGTCCCAACTTGGGGATAAGGTTAGGGAGAAGTTATGAATAACTGGGCCAGGATTTCTATTGTACTTAAAAAAACTCAGCAGCCAGGCATGGTGGCTCACGCCTCTAATTCCAGCACTTTGGGAGGCCAAGGCAGGTGGATCACCTGAGGTCAGGAGTTCGAGACCAGCCTAGCCAAAATGATGAAACCTGTCTCTGCTAAAAATACAAAAATCAGCTGGGCGTGGTGGCTCACGCCTGTAATCCCAGCTACTAGGGAGGCTGAGGCAGGAGAATTGCTTGAACCTGGGAGGCGGAGGTTGCAGCGAGCCAAGCTCGTGCCACTGCACTTCCAGCCTGGGCAACAGAGCAAGACTCTGTCTAAAAACAAAACAAAACAAACAAAACAAAAACTCAGGTATTATTTTCTGGTCCTCGTGTAATCTTATTTAGAACTAGAGATTCTCTTGTACTTTGCCTGAGGCCTGCTGAGTCACCTGAGCAGAGCTCCCTGAAGACTTGTAGTAACCAGCGTGCATGCCCACAAGCTGCTGCTGAGTGCAAGCCAACACGGCTTCTTCCACTAAGGGCCCCTGAGGGTCACTTCTCTTCTGCGTCATAATTAACACATATGCGTCTCCCCTGACACACTGCAGAGCTCCTAGCTTTAGCATTTCCCGTGTGCAATCGTGTTTCTGCTGATACTCTCTAAATACAGTGAGAAAACTACCGTCCTAGGAAATGTGAGAACCCCTTGACTTATCTTACGAATCAGTGTGGGAGCTTGGAGAAGTGAAGCACCTTCTCTACTCACCTTGTTCTCTTTTCAAGGCACTTGGTTAAGACAACTGGTTGGAACATTGTGTCCAAAGATGAGGTTCAGAGACTTCATTTCCTTGTAGATGAACACTACGCTGTTCCTCATTTCTTGGCCACCCACAACACCTTGTAAGGGAGGAAAAAATAATTTTCCTTCCACCCTTCTAAGTTATCTGCTGGGGCTCCTGTAACAAAAGACAGATTAACAAGAGAAAAAACAAACAGAAGTTTACTAACGTGTATCTTGGCTCATTCCTGTAATCTCAGCACTTTGGAAAGCCAAGGTGGGTAAATCACTTAAGTCCAGCAATTTGAAACCAGCCTAGGCAACATAGCGAAACTCCATCTCTTAAAAAAAAAAAAAAACAAAAAACAGAGAAAGAAATATTTTTTTAAAAAAAAGAAGAAGAAGAAAAACAAAAGAAGTTTACTAACAGGTATATCTCATATAAACCTGGGCAGTCAGGGAAATGAGTAACTCTCAGAGAGGTGGCTTAGAATTCAGGCTTAAATACCATCTTCAGCTAAATCAGTGAAAGAATTGTGTGGTGGAGGTAAATTATGAGAAGGCAACCAGGAAATGTACAGTAAACAAGGGTAAGCTTTGTTATGCAGATATAAGTTGGTGCCTTCTCCACTGATAAGAATTTCTTGTGATTTAGAATATCTTTCTCTTCCTAGTACAGAGAAAGACATCCCTACACATGGAGATTTCCTTTATAAATGTAAATTTCCCTTTCAAATGGGAAACTTCTCTGTTTTCAGAGATTCTCCCATGTCTGCTATTTCCTAAAATAATTGGTTCAAAATAATCCTTATGCCAAAGAAGTATATTTTGGGGTAGCATATTCTGTTCTTTTACAATCCCTAAATATACAGTGAACACTAAGCCATTTGTCAGAGGAGGAATCACTTAAAGATTTTATGGAGTCACTCTTATAGGAGCCTAGGTTGTATATTACCCAATGCAGAGTGTGTGGTTGGGGAGAGGGTGTTGTTTGCATAGACTGCAATGTGATGGATAACCTGGAGTTGGACAGTACACAATTTGCACAATCAGATGTGGCAGCCCATGGGGACTAACTATAGCATCACTCCTGGGAAGGGGAAATTCCCAAACTTAAAGCATATATTCTGTTTAGGATGGAGGAGTTTGTTTGGCATATTTATAATTGAATGTTAGTGACAACCCTTGGAAGGAATTTCTCTATTGTTCTTGGTATCATCTCTTGTTTTATTTAGCTCAGGGTCACTATCAATTGTATAACCAATCAGGTCTCCATTTTAATTGGATGCCAAGTTTACGGTACACTTGTAATGTATAAATTCATTTTTGTGTTAACCTTATTCTTGGTGTTATTTTAATTCTATGAAGAACTATTATGGGACAGGCCCTGTTCACATGGCAACAAAAGTGAACAAGAAGACAAAGTCTATTTTATGTTGCTACTCTTGTTTTGCTTTTTCTTTCTCATCTACTTCTAATTTGTGATTTCTTGCTATACAGTAACCTCCTAAATCCTTTCAGGATCAAGTGCATAAAATAAGTGGATATTATAAATATATATACACCTAAAAATAGAGCAGCAAAATACACAAATCAAAACTGACACAATTGAAGGGACAAATAGACAATCAATAGCAGTAGTTGGAGACTTCAACAAACTGCTTTCAATACAGTGAGAACAACTAAGTAGAAGATCAATAAAAAGATAGAAGTCTTTTTTTTTTTTTTTTGAGACAGAGTATTGCTCTGTCGCCCAGGCTGGAGTGCAGTGGCATGATCTCAGCTCGCTGCAACCTCTGCCTCCCGGGTTCAAGCAATTCTTCTGTCTCAGCCTCCCGAGTAGCTGGGACTACACATGTGTGCCACCACTCCCGGCTAATTTTTGTATTTTTAGTAGAGAAGAGGTTTCACCATTTTGGCCAGGCTGGTCTCGAACTCTTGACCTCATGATCTGCCCGCCTCAGACTCCCAAGGAAATAGAAGTCTTACACCATACTATAAGCCAGCTAAAGCTAATAGATACCTATAGAACTGTTGGGGCTCAGAAAATAATACACCAAAATATGGCGTATTATTTGAATACTGAGCACTTTGAATTAAAGGAAATTGAAAGCCTTAGAAGTGACCTCAGAATCAGTGTCTCTCTGACCTTCTCTTGTTTCTCCCCACAAGGGTGGGGACAGGCTCTCTCTGAAGGTCCCTTATCTCATTGAGGGAAGTTCTTTCAAAATAAACACAATTGTCTTTAATCCACTGTTTAAAATCTCATTGCCAGCTGGGGCACAGTGGCTCATGCCTGTAATCCCAGCATTTTGGAAGGCTGAGGTGGGCGGATCACTTGAGGTCAGGAGTTCAAGACCAGCCTGGCCAACAGGGCAAAACGCCATCTCTACTAATAATACAAAAATTCACCAGGCATGGTGTTGGGCGTCTATAATCCCAGCTACTCGGGAGCCTAAGGCATGAGAATGGCTTGAACTCGGGAGGCGGAAGTTGCAGTGAGCCGAGATCATCCCACTGTACTCCAGCATGGGTGACAGACTGAAACTGCATCTCAAAAAAATAAAAATAAAAATAAATAAATAAATAAATCTCATTGCCTAGGGAAGATAAATCAGGAAGAAGAAACAAAAGGTTGTCACTACACCCACCCAAGCAAACTTATCATATTGCCTGAGAGACCTTATTTGCATACTAAGACAATATTTGCATTGCAGTTCTGTCCCCTCACCTTCCCATAACTTGTCACCACCTTCCCCAGAGCTCAGAGGACCTTTGTCCCAGGCTATTGTCTTTTCTTTGGGCCCATTCATCTCCCCTAAAAATTACTTATTCTTTGTATTAGTCCATTTTCACATGGCTGTAAAGAACTGCCCATGACTGGGTAATTTGTAAAAGAAAGAGGCTTAATTGACACACAATTCAGCATGGTTGGGAAGTCCTCAGGAAACTTACAATCATGGCAGAAGGCAAAGGGGAAGCAAGGCAATGCTTCCCCACAAGGCAGCAGGAAGGAGAAGTGCTGAGCAAAGGGGGAAGAGCCCCTTATAAAACCATCAGATCTCACGAGATCTCACTCACCATCATGAGAACAGCCTGGAGGAAACTGCCCCCAAGAATCAATTACCTCCACTTGGTCTCTCCCTTGACACATGGGGATTAGAATTCAAGATGAGATTTGGGTGGGGACGCAAAGCCTAACCATATGAAGAGTGATAACTCTTCCTCTAAAATTGCCTTCATCTCCCCTGTGAAGAGGGTATTTAAACTCCATCTGTCAGGTCCTTCTTTGAGTTTCATACTTGGTGTGACTCCCATTGGCTTGCAAGTTAATAGCCTCTTCTCCTGTTAATCTTTTGTCCATTTATTTCAACAGACTCAGTTATTGAACCCTCAGAGGGAAAGTTTAAACTTCCCTAACAAACACTCCACCCAACAACAGCAGAATATATATTCTTCTCTAGCGTGCATGGAACATTCTCCAGGGTAGATTTGATAATCTAGGCCATAAAACAAACGTCAATAAATTTAAAAGGATTGAAATGATGCAAAGTATGTTCTCCAAATACAATGGGATAAAATTAGAAATAAATAACAGAAATTTGGGGGATTTGCAGATATATGGAAATCAAACCACAGTCTTAAATAACCAATGGGTGAAAGAAGAAATCACAAGAGAAATTAGAAAATACTTTGAGGCCGGGCATGGTGGCTCATGCCTGTAATCCCAGCACTTTGGGAGGGGGAGGTGGGTGGATAACTTGAGGTCAGGAGTTCAAGACCAATTAGCTGGGCGTGGTGGTGCACACCTGTAATCCCAGATACTCAGGAGGCTGAGGGGGGAGAATCACTTGAACCCGGGAGGCAGAGGTTACTGTGAGCCATTACTGCACCACTGCACTCCAGCCTGGGTGACAGAGCGAGACTCCCTCTCAAAAAAAAAAAAGAAAGAAAAAAGAAAAAAAAGAAAATATTTTGAGATGAAATTAGTTAAAGACACAACATACATGGCTGGGCACAGTGGCTCATGCCTGTAATCCCAGTACTTTGGGAGGCCAAGGCGTTTGAGGCCAGGAGTTTGATACCAGCCTGACCAACATGATGAAACCCTGTCTCTACTAAAAATACAAAAACTAGCCAGGCGTGACGGCACATGCCTGTAATCCCAGCTATTCGGGAGGCTGAGACAGGAAAATCACTTGAACCCAGGAGGCGGAGGTTGCAGTGAGCCAAGATGGTGCCACTGCACTCCAGCAGCCTGGGTGACAGAGTGAGACTCTGCCTCACACAAAAAAAGAAAGACACAACATACTGAAGCTTACGCATATGTAGCTAGAATACATAAATAACCACTTTCAGCATTTCTTAATTTCATTTTGTAGAATAAATGAGAGACCATTTTTTAAATAGTTTCAGGTTCTAGGCATAAAGTCACAGTGTTTATCTATAGTGGTGCTAAATTAATATTTGCTGAATAAATGAATCTGTGGAATTCCAGTGTCAGGAAGGTAAACCAAGGAATCAGGAGTCCCATGTTGGATTCTTATTTGACGAACCCCTTTCCTCTGACTCACCTTTTCTTTTCTTTTTTTTTTGAGACGGAGTCTTGCTCTATCCCCCAGGCTAGAGTGCAGTGGCGTGATCTGGGCTCGCTGCAAACTCTGCCTCCCAGGTTCAAGCAATTCTCCTGCCTCAGCCTCCCAAGTAGCTGGGATTGCAGGCTTGGGCCACCACACCCAGTTAATTTTTGTATTTTTAGTAGAGACAGGGTTTCGTCATGTTGGCCAGGCTGGTCTGGAACTCCTGGCCTCAGGTGATCCATCCGCCTTGGCCTCCCAAAGTGTTGGGATTACAGGTGTGAGCCAAAGCATCTGGCCTCTGACTCACTGTTTCATAAAAGCCACTTACCTGTTTATATTTTAGGATCTTTCATAAATTCTTATCTTCCTCTCTCTTTCCTTTCCTTTTCCAGTAGGTGTTCTGCATTAGTCTCTGGCTTAAACTCTCTATTTAATCTCATAGCAAATAACTTCTTTTGTCTTGCTACTAAACTAGGGGTTGGCAAACTACTGCTCAGGAGCCAAGTCCAGCCTACTGCCTGTCTTTGTTTGACCTGAGAGTTGAGAAGAGTTTTTACTTTTGTTTTTTTTTTTAATTCTATTGTGTAGAGCTGGTGTGCAGTGACGTGATCACAGCTCACTGCAGCCTCAAACTCCTATGTTCAAGTGATCCTACTGCCTCAACCTCCTGAGTAGCTGGGACCACAAGCGTTTGCTACCATGTTTGGCTAATGGCTTATTTATTTATTTATTTATTTTTGGAAAGATAGAGTTTTGCTATATTTCCCAGGCTGGTCTCAATCTCCTGGCCTCAAGTGATCCTCTGGCCTCGGCTTCACAAAGTACTGGGATTACGGGCATAAGCCACTGTGCCTGGCCAGTTTTTACTTTTTTTTTTTTTTTTTTTTATTTAAACAGAGTCTCACTCTGTCGGGCAGGCTGAAGTGCAGTGGCATGATCTCAGCTCACTACAACCTCTGCCTCCCGGGTTCAAGCGATTCTCCTGCCTCAGCCTCTGAGTAGCTGGGACTATAGGCTTGTGCCACCACACCCAGCTAATTTTTGTATTTTTAGTAAAGACGGGGTTTCACCATGTTGGCCAGGATGGTCTCGATCTCTTGACCTTGTGATCTGCCCACCTCCGCCTCCCAAAGTGCTGGGATTACAGGCGTGAGCCACCGTGCCCAGCCCAGTTTTTACATTTTTAACTAATTGGAAAAAAAAATCAAAAGAAGAATACTATTTCATGACACATAAAAATCATATGTTGAGGCTGGGCACGGTGGCTCACGCCTGTAATCCCAGCTCCTTGGGAGGCTGAGGCGGGTGGATTGCTTTAGGTCAGGAGTTTGAGACCAGCCTGGCCAACATAGCGAAACCCTGTCTCTACTAAAAATACAAAAATTAGCTGGGCGTGGTGGCAGGTGCCTGTAATCCCAGCTACTCGGGAGGCTAAGGCAGGAGAATCTCTTGAACCCAGGAGGCGAAGTTTGTGGTAAGCCAAGAACATGCCACTGCACTCCATCCAGCCTGGGCGATAGAGTGAGACTCCATCTCAAAAATAAAAAAAATAAAAAAATAAATCATACGTAATTCACATTTCAATGATCATAAATAAGACTTTATTGGAACACAGTCTTGCCACTTTGGCATTGTTTATGGCTGTGTTCACAATACAATGGCAAAGTGGAGTAGCTGCAACAGAGCTTATGGTTCACAAAGCCTAAAATATTTCTATCTATTCCTTAACATTAAAAGTTTGCTAAGTTCTAAGATTTTGTTCTAAACTAAGTTCTAAGCTTTTGTACAATTATACTCATGAGTTTGTGAAAGTTGTAAGAATCAAAATGGAGTCACTTATTCTATACCCCGACAAATAGGAGTCGGGAGGCCATAAAGGAGGGGCTCTCATGCACACATGTCTACGTTAAAATCTATTTTTAGGTTACACTTTCTGAAAACCACAACCTTGAACAAGGCCACCACAACTTTACACAAAGACGTCTGCCTAGGAACTGTCTGTTCAGCCTTGGAGTGATACCACCCTTGTTATTGATCCTTGTAGCCAAGGTTAATAGTTTCAAAACAACTTATGTAACCTTGCTCATTTTGCCTTTAAAACCTTTGCCTTCCTTTCCCTCTCTGGGTACATCCATGGCCCTTCATGAGGTGCATACATATCCCAGATTGCAATCTTGAGGATTCACAAATAAACTCACTGTCTTTGGAGAATCTCTCTGTTGTTATTTCAGGTTGACAACTTTCTCTCTTCCCATGACAGCAAAGCCCTTTTATTTCTTTCTGTTTTTTTTTTTTAGATGAAGTTTCACTCTTGTTGCCCAGGCTGGAGTGCAATGGCGCGATCTCGGCTCACTGCAACCTCCGCCTCTCAGGTTCAAGTGATTCTCCTGCCTTAGCCTCCCAAGTAGCTGGGATTACAGGCATGTACCACCACGCCCGGCTAAGTTTTTTGTATTTTTAGTAGAGATGGGGTTTCTCCATGATGGTCAGGCTGGTCTCCAACTCCCAACCTCAGGTGATCCTCCCGCCTCGGCCTCCCAAAGTGCTGGGATTACAGGCGTGAGCCACCACACCTGGCCAACAAAGCCCTTTTCTCGTTCAAAACCCTTTCTTCCCAATCCTTACCTGATTATCCCAGCTGGCCACATAATTCTCTTCACTATCTCTCAGCATTAGTTAATATAGCTCAACACAGTTGTAAATAACTTGTAAGTTTTATATTTTAAAAATGTCTCAAATAAGTGTTTACTATCATCTCTATTTCATCATGAAGACTCCAAAGGTTAGAACTTTCTATCTCCTGTCTATTTATGTCCCGTATTTCTCTCCACACCCAAAGCAGTGCATACATTTTGGAGCCAGACAAATCCCAGTTTGCGTTTCGACTCCACCGCTCACAAAGCTGAGTAGGTTATGTAAATTTCCTGAGTCTCTTCAAGAATCTGCAGAATGGGTTTGTTATGAAGATTAAGCAGATGATGTACCATCAGGTCCAAGATTCTGGAAGTGCTCCATAACAGTAGTAATTATCAGTGGATAATTTCTTTATTTGTAATATGAAGATATTACCTTTTGCTCTTAATGAACCTTGTGGTAATGTAGTGAGAATTAAAAGAAGTAGTAAGTCATAGAAATAAAACTTCATGGTTTAATTGGAGCCCTGTGAAGACTAGCTGGAGAAGTTCAAGGCCTCAAATGAGATATTAGACTAATGAGGCTTTTGTCTAAATTTAACACATTTAACAAACCCTTCTTGGTTACTTACTGAGCTCTGCACTACCTAGGTCAAGCCTCATGTGGATATGAAAGACAGAAGGTCACATTTATCCTAGAGATTTGTATCTATATTGCAGGGGGAAAGGGATACGGACATGAGTTATGCTTATACTTGTCCATGTTTCTTTTCTCTCTCAGGAGGGATGATTCAGAGTCAGCAATTCACATATGCAGTACTGCACATGGAAAGTATTACTGTTATTCTGTGGGGAAATAAGTTTCTAAGTGCAGCAATCTGAAATTAATAACTTTCTCTGTGGAAACTCTCTTGACAACATCTCGAGATGAAGCCAAAGAGCACAATTTTTATGGCTTTGGATTATCTTCTCTGTCTGCTTGGCTTGCACCAGGCATGGATCTGTGAGCCAGAAATTCAGTTTTCCCCTTCGTTGTACAATTTGCCTGCCAGCTGGAGGCCTAATATAGCAGTGACTCAATTTCTCAATTCTCCAATTTATCCACCCATCAAATCAAGGCAAATAATCTCAATTTACTTATTAGAGGCTTTGGGGAACTCAAGAAAAAAAAGACCAAAATCTTTACCGTGACTACAAAACATTTTGGTTGAGGACATAGGAAAAGGAGATTAGAAGTTGGAGATCAATTTTCTTTTACTTTCAATGCAAAATATTTCTATGATAAAGCCTGTTATTTATATTATGATAAATATTTGTGTCCACATGCAGGGAGTATATAGATATTGAGGGAGAAAGTAATTTAGGAAAGAAATAGAAGGGTAGCAACATCTTTTCCACAAAAGCCACAGCACTGCAGACATGCATAAAGATTGCAGTTGTTGCTCCAATAGCCTTATGTGGTAGGCCGACAAATTCTTTTTTCTTTTTCTTTTTTTTTTTCAGAGATTGTGTCTCACTATGTTGCCCAGGTTGGTCTCGAACTCCTGGCTCCTGGGCTCACGTGATCCTCGAGTCTCAGGCTCTCAAAGTGCTGAGATTACAGATGTGAGCCACTGTGCCCAGTGGACATTCTTTTTTATTCTTTCTTACACGTAAATGTAGACAATCTGGACAAAGAAGTCTGGATTTCTACTTTCCACTGCTGACATTTTAAAAAATTTCAAATTAGATTTTTGCACCCTTTATACAAGACTACATGGCAGGACATTATGTTTGATTCACTGTACCTGATTACATTTAAATGTTGTTTTTCTGGATTATAAACAACAACTGAGGGACAGAGTAAGGAGGCTCTAAATAGACTTGAGAGCTTGGAATGTTGCTACATTTGTTCGCTCTCCCAGCATGTTAATATGTGAGACTAATACTTGGAAATAGCGACAGATATAGAGGAGTTTGGATGCTGAGAGAGAACTCAAAGTGAAGATGGTAAACATCTAGAGTTTTTATTGATTACAATTTTCTCATATATACAGAAACCTCAGGGTGTGTTCTAAACACAGTTCTCTTTTAAAATACATAATTAACTAAACTTCAAAATTAGAAGCTAAGACAATAATCATATTAATATAACCTCTACACTGCCAACTTGGAAAGGCAATGAAGAAGAAATGGGAATTGCAACAAGCTTCAGAGATGGAAGATTTTGTTTTTCTCTGTAGGACATGTGGGTAGAAGCAATTGCAGATGGCTGGGTGTGAAAGAAACAGACCTTGCAAGCCTGCTATATAGCTATACTGTGCTACATGGCATTGGGAGGTAATAAGATTTAAAAGACAAATACTCTTGTCTTCACAAAGCTTATAATTTAGTTGTGCAATACTGGGTAAGAAAGCTGGCTTAATGGAGTTGTATTCCAGCTTCACCCCTTAGTAGCTCTGTGTCATTGGGTGAGATATTTAATTTCTTTGGGCATAACTTCCTCATCTGTGAAACACTGATAATTGTATCTCCTATATGGCAGCTATGCCAGCCTCCTTTCTGTTCTTCCACAAGACAATCTCTCTCTGGACCGCCCTTTGCACCTGTTCCTGTGGTCGGGAAAGCCTTTAGCATGGCCAAACCCTTCAAGTTTTGACTTCATGTCACCGAGTCAGGGAGCTTTTTTGGAAAATATTGTTTCCGATTCCGCAGATGAGGCTGTTAAAATACTAAAGGATGGCATAAACATGAGGATGCTATTATAATCATCCACCCTAAGTAGGATTTGAGATCCAAGCAGTTCTCAAGGATTTAGGGTTAGCAAACTTTTTCTGTAAAATGTCAGATAGCAAGTATTATAGGGTTTGCAGGCCATACCAAACAAATGGGTGCTGCTGTGTTCCAATAAAACTTTATTTATGGACACTGAAACTTGAATTTCATGTACTTTTCACAGTCATGGTGGCAGACCGGATTTGGCCCCCTCCCTGTCGCTGGCTGACCCCTGGTTTATGAGTACGGCAGATAAAAGAAGGGAGTGAATAAGAACCACGATTCTGCTGCCAGACACGAGGGATCAGGTCGCTGCTGTGAAGATTGTCAACCTCTCTGGTTGCCAACGACCTCGAGAATGGGGTTGTGGTCCCTGCGTCAGGGCGGTTGTGCTGAAGGCTGGATGAGGGCACGTAGGTGAAGCTCAGTGCTTGGCACGAGGTGCTCATCAGCAGCATCGCCCTTGCTTTGGGCTGGCCTGTTAGTAATTCGTTTTTAGTGGAATCGAATACAACACTTGAGCCTCGGAGGCTCAGGTCGTCGGAGCAACTACACCAGGGCCGGTGCACCTCGGGGCGGCGGCGCAGGACTAGGCTAGGCCGGGCCGGGCCGGGCAGGGCGGCGCGAGTCGGGGGTGGGGCGGCGGCGCAGCGCCGTCGTCGTAGTCCCCGCCTCTTCCCCAGGGGCCGCGTCGGAGCCTCGGCGGCGGCGGCGGTGCTTACAGCCTGAGAAGAGCGTCTCGCCCGGGAGCGGCGGCGGCCATCGAGACCCACCCAAGGCGCGTCCCCCTCGGCCTCCCAGCGCTCCCAAGCCGCAGCGGCCGCGCCCCTTCAGCTAGCTCGCTCGCTCGCTCTGCTTCCCTGCTGCCGGCTGCGCCATGGCGTTGGCGTTGGCGGCGCTGGCGGCGGTCGAGCCGGCCTGCGGCAGCCGGTACCAGCAGGTAAGCGGCGCCCGACTCCAGCCCCGAACTCCGGTCCCTGGCTCTGCCCTGCCCGCTGGCCGCCTCAGGCCTCTCTGGCCGGCCCGCGGCCAACTCGACGCCGGGGCTTGGCAGGCCGCGCTGGGCCTGGAGGGGCGGGTCGGGCCCCGGGCTCGGATTCGAGGCTGCCACGGGCCCGGCCTGCCCGTCTGCGACCCCAGGTGGGACTCCGGCGGTGGAAAGTCCTCCTCCCGGCCTCGTTTCCCGCATTTCCCAGGGCGGGCGGGTCCCTGAGTCAGAACCCGCGACCCACAGGCGGCATCGATCTGAGGCATTCGTTTTTCATTTTTCCACCTTTGGTTTGATGTCATTGGAAAAGAAAGAAAGAAAAAAGCATGAAACGGAAACTGGGTGGAGAGAAAAGATTAAAATCTCTGCTGCTGCCGATAGCTCCCCACAGCAAGATGCTATTGCTCAGGGTTTCAGAGCCTAGTTTGTCGAAACCCATCCCCCTCGCCTCCGTTTTAAGACAAAAGTAAAAAATGAAGCAAGAGACAAGCCCGCAGTTTGCAGTAGATTTGGAAGAGGCGATGTTTGGCTGTGGTGATGCCCCAAAAGGGAGAGCTACGATGAAGTCTGCAGGGCGTGTGCCGGGTGTATTTTAAATGCTTGGAAGTGACGTTTTAAGAGATTTGATGGCATAGCTGGGGAGGAAATGTATAGGAAATGATTGGATCATTTTCTCGGGTTTGATTTAATACATTGAGGCCCCAGGGAAAAGAGCTGCTTGTTTCACTCCGCGTCTGTAGCTAAGTTCCCCCAGGAAATTTAGAGACCTTCTGCAGGGTTTTTGGAAGTGTTAATCTAACATACAGTAATGGTGGGAATTGAGCCAGGTGGTAAACTGATGTTGATTGGAACCGCAAATAACGGCTTGTGTTTGTCATGTTTCAGATGCTTTCGGTGCATACAGATGTCAATCCTCCTTTTATCAAATAAAATGTCCTATCTTAGACGATCTACAATTTTATATTTTAGAAGTAAGGAAAGCCAGCCAGTACGATGAAAACGTAGATTAACCCTGGTGCGGCCGGCCGGTTACTGGTTTGTTTTGCTATCATCAGCCATGTGTTGCAATCCGTCCCCACTCAGGCTTGGACTCCCAAAATGACTAGTTAAGAATTTCACTTCTTGGTTTTATAAACACGGCCCAAATTGTGGCAATGCAGTTAATCCTTAGATCTCTTCAGAGCACATGGATCTAGCACATGCTTTTTTTCTATGACCTTGGGCAGCCTGCGGGTTCCTTACTGCTTTAATAAAATGGGAATAACAGATGCCACTTAACTGTCACCACAGTGTTTGCAAATCACCCCTACTGTATACTGTCATCTGATTTCATCCTTTTCATCCTGACTTGGATAAGGCTAACGAGCAAAAGAGCTGTGGTTTTTCTTTGTACTGCCATCTTCTTGAGCTATTAGGTAATGCTGACATACTGCTAGAATATAAAAAATTTGCTGGAGTATCAAAATCATGTATTCCTTAGTGTGGCATTTAATATTTTTTAATTATGCAGAATTGAAGTATAAAAAAAAGAGAAAAAAATCTTCCTAGAAAAATTGTAAAAGATGAAAGCCCAAAAAACTGCAAAACCCTCCCTAAACAAAAACCAAATAGATAACCAAAGGTAATATTTTAATGTGCATTCTTGTGGGTTTATAGCTATGTAAATATACATAGTTATAGATCAGTATATGTGTGTACAGATAAGGAATGCAGGAAAGCTAATATTGATTTTTTTATGCAACAATCACAGTATTAAGTAATTTACATCCATTTTTTTTTTCTTTTAATTCATACCAAACCCTTATGAACCAGGGTTTGTTCTCATTGTCAAAGACTCAAAGTGGCTCAGTAACTTGCCTCAAGGTCACAGGCTGCTAAGTAGTGATTATAAGGATATACACACACTCACCTACTTAAAACACAGGCTCACAGTCCAGATATAGGTGTATGCATTAGCAGATATATACACATGCATATGTATTCTCTTATGTACCCATATATACGTATACAGACATATCTTTGTACATTTGTGTGCAGTTTTATGAGCCCCGATCATACTTGCACATACTTTTGCACGTGTCCATGTGTATCTTGTTCTCAGACATGTGCATTCATACATTTGCACATGTGTATCATGCACATGTATCTACAAAGGCATGCTAGATAAATAATGAAATAGGTTCATAATTCTATTTTGTAATGTTCTTCACACAATGTTATTAATGTCTTCTATATAAAATATTTTTAATGTCTGCATGGCATGTAATTGTATGGCTGAATCATAATTTAACTAATTGCTTATCTTTGGTCACTAAGAATGTTTACAGTTTTTTTCATTGAAATTTATTTCACATACGTCTTCAACCGTTTCCTTAGCATAAATTACTAGCCATGGAAATGCCTGGTCAGCGAATATGCATTTTTAAAAGGCTTTTGAATTATAGAATGATGGTGAATTGTCCAGGCAACTTGATAGGAGCATGATACTCTTTGGTTGTCACACAGGGCTGTTCTGACTTCTATTTGATCTGGTTAATCAAATTGAGCTAGTTTTCTCACCAAGTAAATGTAATGGAAAACTGTATGATTCATTCATAAATGCAAACACAGTTTTGTCTTTATGGTCTTTTTATTGGTAGTGTAATATGTGGACAACTTGAATTTAGCATAGTGACAGACTATGCAGAAAGGGTAGGCTCAACCAGGTGTGGTGGCTCACACCTGTAATCACAGCACTTTGGGAGGCCGAGGTGGGCGGATCACTTGAGGTCAGGAGTTCGAGACCAGCCTGGCCAACATGGCAAAACCTTGCCTCTACTAAAAATACAAAAATTAGCCAGGTGTGGTGGCACTCACCTGTAATCCCAGCTACTTGGGAGGCTGAGGCAGGAGAATTGCTTGAACCTGGGAGGCAGAAGTTGCAGTGAGCCAAGATTGTGCCACTGAACCCCAGCCTGGGTGACAGAGTGGGACTGTCTCAAAAAAAACCAAAACAAAACAAAACAAAAAATGGCCAGGCAAGGTGGCTCATGCCTGTAATCCCAGCACTTTGGGAGGCCAAGGCAGGCAGATCACAAAGATCACGAGGTCAAGAGATTGAGACCATCCTGGCCAACATGTGAAACCCCATCTCTATTAAAAATACAAAAATTAGCTGGGCGTGGTGGCGTGCACCTGTAGTCCCAGCTACTCAGGAGGCTGAGGCAGGAGAATCGCTTGAACCTGGGAGGCAGATGTTTCAGTGAACTGAGATCGTGCCACTGCACTCCTGCCTGGCGACAGAGCAAGACTCTGTTTAAAAAAAAAAGCACGGTGTGGTGGTGCACATCTGTAACTCCAGCTACTTGGGAGGCTGAGGCAGGAAAATCACTTGAACCCAGGAGGCAGAGTTTGCAGTAGGCTGGGATCGCGCCACTGTACTCCAGGTTGGGTGAGCAAGACTGTCTTAAAAAAAAAAAAAAAAAAAGGCACCGAGGTGGGCGGATCACAAGGTCAGGAGATCGAGACCATCCTGGCTAACATGGTGAAACCCCATCTCTACTAAAAATACAAAAAATTAGTTGGGCGTGGTGGCACGTGCCTGTAGTAGTCCCAGCTACTCGGGAGGCTGAGGCAGGAGAAACCCGGGAGGTGAAGATTGCAGTGAGCCGAGATCGCGCCACTGCACTCCAGGCTGGGCGACGAAGTGAGACTCTGTCCAAAAAAAAAAAAAAGAGGCTAGGCTTATAGGTTCCCCTGGCATTATTTTATTTTTTTTTTCATTTTTGCCTTTTGAAACTGAGACTGTCTCAGACAGTATGGAAGCACTATTTTAGAAAGACCTAAGTAGGCCCATACTGAGTGCTGAGAAACCTGTTGCGTGTTTCTCTCTCTGAGGACGTTAACTCCCGTTCATCCATAGATGAACGCAGATCTTCTGCGGTAGATGTGTGCATGAATTTTGCCAATTCATTTCAAGTATTTTGGGATACTTGGATTTGAATTCAATGTAAGTGGGTGATGATGACACTGCCATGTAGGTTCAAACAGATTACAGAATGTTTAGTTCTGGACTTGCCTCATTACCTGCTAAAGAAGTTGCCCACTTGTGAGCATCACCAATACTCTGTATGATAGTTTGATGACATTATAGTGCAGATTTTGGAATGGTATACTTTTGGATAAATTCTCTCAGGATTATGGAGGAATATTTTGATGAGCATAAGAATTTCATCTCTGATAGGTCAAACCATATTCATGTTAAATTATTAGATGAAGTAATGATCCTGGAGGAAGGAATGAATAGTGCTTATGTGGCTTTTTTGCTTATTTTTCAGTTTCAAAAGAAGTTATATCACAGAATGCCAACATAACCTAAATGTCAAAGTTTCTTAAGTTATATGCTGTATTTGTGGCCTACATGGTCAGTGATCAAAGAAAATTTATAAAAATATTAGGAAGATGGGTAAATTATTCCTTTGAAAACTTTAATTGTGGTAAAATACACATAAAATTTACCATGTTAACCACTTTTAAGTATACAGTTTAGTGGCATTAAGTACATTCACATTGTTGTGGAACCAGTCCATCTCCAGAACTTTGTCACCTTGCAGAACTGAAACTCCATATCCATTAAACAATAACTCTCCATTCCCCCTCCTCCAGCCCCTGGAAGCCACCATTCTACTTTCTATGTATTTGACTACCGTAGGTACCTCTCATAAGTGGAATTAGACAGGATTTGTCCTTTTGTGACTGGCATATGTCACTTAGCATAATGTCTTCAGAGTTCATCCATGTTGTAGCATGTGTCAGAATTTCCTGCCTCTTTAAGGCTGAATAATAGTCCATTTTATATATGTACCACATTTTGTTTATGCATTCATTTGTTGACGGATGCTTGGTTTGCTTCTACCTTTTGGTCATTGTGAGTAATGCTGCTATAAAAAACATGAGTCTACAAATATCTTTCAAGTCCCTGCTTTCAGTTCTTTTGGATATACCCAGAAATGGAATTGCTGGGTCATACGGCAATTCTATTTTTAAGTTTTCGAGAAACTCCCATACTGTTTTCCATGGCAGCTTCACCATTTTATTTTCCCACCAACAATGCATAAGGATTCCAATTTCTCCATATCCTCAACATACTTGTTATGTTCTCTTTTTTGTTTTTGTTTTTTTGATAGTAGCCATCTAATGGGTGTGAAGTGGTATCTCATTGCAGTATTGATCCCTATTTCCCTAATAATTAGCGATGTTGAGCATCTTTTCATGTGCTTATTGGCCATTGATATTTTCTTTAGAGAAAATGTGTATTCATGTTCTTTGTTCATTTTTGAATTGAGTTTTTTGTTGTCGAGTTGTAGGAGTAATTTCTTCATGATGTTTACATTTTCAACTTTTTACTATGGAAATTTCAAACACATACAATAATAAAGTAGTGTAAGAAATTTTATGTACCATCACCCAGCTTCAGCAATTGTGAATGAATGGCCAATATTATTTCACTTATACTCACCACATTATTTTGAAACGAATCCTAGAAATCATATATTGATAAATATTTCTATGTGTAACGCTAAAAGAAAACAAATGGTATGATATTTCAAGAAGATATCACATGAGGAATATATCATGAGAGCTCTCTTGTAATCTGTGAGGAGTATGGAAACAGGATTTGTCAGTGTCGGGCTGTGGATCCATAACTAACTGTCCTTTGTATTGATTGGGCTCACTCTTGCCAAGCCTCATGCTTTGTTTTTGTAGCAGTGATAGATTCCTGTTAATCTATCCTTGTTTTCTTACCTGATCCCATGGGTGACCACTTGTTAGGCAAGATTTATTTGGCTTAATCATACTATCTGTGTCCTGAAAATAGGGCAGTGCTTCCTGGTTTGGGCAGAAACCAAGGCCCAGTTGAACTGCTCTAGGGAATTTTGCTCTAAGCTGATGCCACCAGTAGTTTAACTGCACATAACTTCAAATTGTTTTATCCTAGACATTAATTATATTTCATAATTTTATGGTAGATTATAAAGTAAATCCTACCATGAGAATAACTTCATATTTTTATTAAGAAAGAAAAAAAGTCTCCAAGAGATTCAAGTGACATCCTCAGATTTATTTGTTTTTAGGGCTTTAAAATAATTATTTTGGTTTCTTAAAATGTTCTTGTTTTACCTTTAAGCAAGTACAACAGCTTAGAAGAATTATATTCTTTTTTGTTTGTTTGTTTTGAGATGGAGTGTCTTTCTTCTTGCTCAGGCTGGAAGGCAATGGCGCGATCTCGGCTCACTGCAACCTCCGCCTCCCAGGTTCAAGCGATTCTCCTGCCTCAGCCTCCTGAGTAGCTGGGATTACAGGTGCCCACCACCACGCCCAGCTAATTTTTTGTATTTTTCGTAGAGATGGGGTTTCACCATGTTGGCCAGGCTGGTCTTGAACTCCTGACCTCAAGTGATCTGCCCGCCTCGGTCTCCCAAAGTGCTGGGATTACAGGTGTGAGCCACTGCGCCCGGCCTATATTCTTATAATAATGGACAATTTAGATAAAGCAACTTTAATACTTCTGTTCCATTCATACTGAAAATTGGCATGATGGTTTATCTTTTTTTCAAGTCATTGTTGCCAATAAGCTAGGCAACTGGCAAACATCATGTATGAAATTTTTTGGGCTTGACATACTTTCCAGTGGTAATTGCTTCTAGTGGTTGGCTAGGTGGGGGTATGAGTTAGAGTAGGCTCTGGGTATCCACAGGTTCTACATTCGCAGATTCAACCAACTGCAGATTGAAAATAGGGGAAAATAACCATACAATAATAAATAATAGTGCAAGTAAAATATACACTATAACAGCTATTTTACATAGCATTTACATTGTATTAAGTGTTATAAGTAAAGATGATTTAAAGTACATGAGGTAGGTTATGTGTAAATACTATACCATTTTATGTCAGAGGCTTGTGCATCCTCCCATTTTGGTATCTGTGGGGAGTCCTGGAACCAATTCCCAGTGGATACTGAGGGATGACTGTATGATATGTCTTGTTAACTTGACCAAGAGTGGTAGTAAAGCAAGTGTAACTTGATATCACTTAGCACATCCTGCTGTTACAATAAGGCTTACTCATGATTTTTCTGAATAACATAATTTATATTAAATGTCCTAAATACTAGCACTGATCAAGTTTAAGAGCATTCCTAGTGAAATATTTTCTTATTAATGCAGTTCCCTTCATATGTATATTTATTTATTTATTTCCTTCCTTCCTTCCTTCCTTCCTTCTTTCTCTCTCTCTCTCTCTCTCTTTCTTTCTTTCTTTCAACAGAGTCTTGCTCTGTTCCCCAGGCTGGAGTGCAGTGGCGCAATCTTGGCACACTGCAACCCCTGCCTTCCAGTTTGAAGCCATTCTCCTGCCTCAGCCTCTGGAGTAGCTGGGACTACAGGTGCCCGCCAGCAGGCCCGGCTAATTTTTGTATTTTTAGTAGAGGTGGGGTTTCACCATGTTGGCCAGGCTAGTCTCGAACTCCTGACTTCAAATGATCTACCCACCTTGGCTTACAGAGATTACAGGTGTGAGCCACCATGCCCAGGCTACCTTCATATGTATTTTTCTTTTCTCTTCTCTCCTCTTCTTTTTTATTTATTTATTTATTTATTTTTGAGACAGGGTCTGGTTCTGTCACCTAGGCTGTAGTGCAGTGGTGAGAGCTCTGCTCACTGCAATCTCCGCCTCCTGGGTTCAAGAGATTCTCGTGCCTCAGCTTCCCAAGTAGCTGGTGTTACAGGTGCATGCCACCACGCCTGGCTAATTTTTGTATTTTTAGTAGAGATGGGGTTTCACCACGTTGCCCAGGCTGGTCTCGAACTCCTGGCCTTAAGTGATCTGCCCATCTCTGCCTCCCAAAGTGCTGGGATTACAGGCATGAGCCACCGTGCCCGGCCCATATGTATAATATATTTCTTATCCCCCTCCCCGAGCAATTTAGCATAATCTTTGACCATTTTTCTGTTTTTGTCTTTTAAATTAGTTTATCTCAGCAATATTAATTAGTACTTACCATAATCAAAGGCTTGAATACAATTTGGAGGTCTATCTGGAGACTGGACAATTTATGAATAGAGATATAAGGGTTTAGGGAGTGGTGCCTGTTTAATAATGATTTCATTTTCTTTTTTTGCTTTTTTTTTTTTTTTGAGACGGAGTCTCACTCTGTCGCCAGGCTGGAGTGCAGTGGCGAAATCTCAGCTCACTGCAACCTCCGCCTCCTGGGCTCAAGTGATTCTCCTGCCTCAGTCTCCTGAGTAGCTGGGACTACAGGCGCCCGCTATCACGCCCAGCTAATTTTTTCTATTTTTAGCAGAGGGGGTTTCACCATGTTGGCCAAGATGGTCTCGATCTCTTGACCTCGTGATCCACCCGCCTCCATCTCCCAAAGTGCTGGGATTACAGGTGTGAGCCACTGCGCCTGGCCGATTTCATTTTATCATTCGATGCTTAAATGTGATATTTAAAATTAAGCATTTTGTATTAAATAGTAATACATTCTTCATGTGCTAGATTCAAACAGTAACTTTCTAAAGAAAAACTTGATTTCCCTTTCCTCCCTATCTCTTTGCAGAGCTGTAACTGCTCCTCAAGTTTGGTGTGTGTTCTACAGGCTTTTTTTTTTTTTTTTTTGAGACAGGGCCTCACTCTGCACCCAGGCTGGAGTGCAGCCACATAGTCTCGGCTCACTGCAACCCTCCATCTTCAGGCTTTCTTCTTAACCTTTCCTTGGCTTTAAATGTTTTTTAAATAAATCTGTACTTTCAAATAGACTTTACTTTTTGGAACTTTTTTCCCCCTAAGATGGGTTCCTGCTATGTTGCTACCCAGGCTGGCGTCAAACTCCTTGGCTCAAGCGATCATTCCCCCACTGACCTCCCAAGTAGCTGGGACCACAGGCACACGCCAGCACACCCAGCTGAAACATTTTTAATTTTTCAGAAACACTGAGAAGACAGTAGAGAGTTTCCATATGCCCTATGCCCAGCTTTCCCTATTAGCATCTTATATCAGTATGGTACGGTTTTCACAATTATTGAACCAATATTAGTACATTGTTATCAATTAAAGTCTGTACTTTGTTCAGATTTTCTAAGTTTTTACCTAATGTCCTTTTTCTGTTCCAGGATCCCATCCAGGATCCAGGATGATATAATGTGGTAATGTTACATTTAGTCGTCCTGTCTCCTTAGGCTCTTCTTGGCTGTGAGTTTCTCAAACTTTCCTTGTTTTTGATGAGCTTGACAGTTTTGAGGAGTATTGGTCAGGTCTTTGTAGAATGTCCCTCAATTGGGGTTTGTTTGATGTTTTTCTCATGATTAGACTGGGGCTGTGGATTTGGGGGAAGACCACAGGTAAAGTGCTGTTCTCATCACATCATATCAAGAATGCACACTTTCAACATGACTTATCATTGTTGACATTGACCTTGATCACCTGGCTGAGGTAGTGTTTCTCAGGTTTCTCTTCTGTAAAGATACGTTTTACCCCACTTTCCATACTTACTCTTGGGAAGGAAGTCACTATGCATGGTCCACACATAAGGAGTGGGGAGTTATGTAACACCTCGCTGAGGGCCAAGTATTGACATGAATTATTTGGAATTTCCTGCATGGGGCATTTGTCTCTGCTCTGATAATTTGTTTAGTATTTATATCTGTATAGACTCATAAATATTTATTTTATTCTTCCAATTATCCAATAACTGCTTTATTTTATTGCTTAAATTGCATACCTCCATCATTGTGGATTTTTTTTTAACCACTTCCATACTTTTTGGCACTAGGCTCATCTTATATATTTCCTGCACTATCCTAGAATCAGGCATTTTTCCAAGGAGCCTAGGTTCCTTTTATTGAAAAATAATACTACAAACCAAGATCTGTGCTCCTTGCTACTAGGGTGTCATTGCTTTTAGGCCTTCTAAGCTGACAGAGCAAGGAACTATATATGTCTGTATATTAACCTGTGGGTATACACATCTGTAACTATTTCTGTATGTACCATCTATCTATATTAAGCTAAACATAAGTTCATACTAATATCTCCACCTCTAATTTGTTACCATATGGGTCACTCTAGCCTACTCCCCTTATCTATAAACTCCCACTCCAACATGGAGAAACCTGGCTCACTTCCACCATCCATTTACATCATTCTTCAGTTCTGATATACATGTGTAAGTTGTATCAGAATTATTAACCCACACCCCTGTGGGAAATAGTATTATAACCACTACAGGACAAAGCATATGTACAGTTCCTTTGCCTTTAGTCTTAAAAACTCTACTTATTTCCAAATGTTACTTAGGTCAGCACCTTTTCCTCCACCCACTTGAGTGAGGTTGTTTCAAACATTTATAATACAGTTATCTTGTTTTGTCACATTTTGCATACATCCTCCAGCCACCTAAGTGGATTTTTAAAATTTGCATACCTTGAGATTCTTTCTTTGTGCTATCAAGTTCTATAAATTTTCACAAATGCATAGTGTCTTTTTTTTTCTTTTTAAACAACACGTTTTAAGAAAAATGGTAGGACTGATTTTTCTTTATTTTCCAAACTTTCTGCTAATGATCATGTTTGCTTTCTTTTTAAAGTACCTTTAAAGAAAATTTTATTTAGAAATAATTTTAAACTTAGAGAAGGTTGCAAGAATAGTATAACATAACACTCATATATCTATTACCAAATTCATCTTAGACTTATTGTTAAATTTTGATTAACAATGAATACAATCCTATAAAAATTGAAAGCGCTACAGATAAAACCCAAGTCCCTTTAATCATCACAGTCCTTTCTCTATAGAATTCAGTGTTGATTTAGCTACTTGTTGTCAAATTATTATTATTATTATTTTTGAGACGGAGTCTCGCTCTGTTGTCCAGGCTGGAGTGCAGTGGTGCCATCTCAGCTCACTGCAATCTCTGCCTCCCGGGTTGAAGCAATTCTCCTGCCTCAGCCTCCCGAGTAGTTGGGATTACAGGCACGCACCACAATGTCCAGCTAATTCTTGTATTTTTAGTAGAGACGGGGTTTCACTATGTTGGTCAGGCTGGTCTCAAACTCCTGACCTCAGGCAATCTGCCCACCTCAGCCTCCCAAAGTGCTGGGATTACAGGCATGAGCCACTGCACCCGGCCCAAACTTTCTTTCTGTTTATAAATCTCGTCTACAGCCATACCACTCTGAACATGCCCAATCTCGTCTGTTTATAAATCTCATTTTCACTTGTACTTCTACCAGTACCTGGTGCCACCAGTTCTTGAGCTTTTGGGGGATACAAAACAGGTTGTTTTTTGGCTTTCTGGTTTAGGATTTAGCTTTCTTGGGTCTGCTGAGTCAGTTACCACTTGTCATCCTGCTTCTAGCTTTCAGAAATTTATTGCTGCTTCCTTTCCTGTTGCTTGTAAGTTTTTTTGCCTTTAAACAAACAACATTTTACTCACATTTATATTTAAGAGGGTTTCAGGAGGAATAAGAGGCAACTGTCTAATCTTTAATTGGACATTATACAGTAAGTGTAATTCTTTGTGTTTCATTTGCTAAACTTGCAGACTTAGTGAGGCCAAAAACACCAGCCATGTCACTGTTCTGTCCCCAGACCCCACATCAGTTGTGGCCTGACACATTTAATGAGAGTTGTTAAATTAACCTAGCAGTTGAATACTTGTAGAATGAAACATTCTGTGATGATAGTGTAACAGGAAAGGTATTAAATGCTTGATGCACCTACTTTTTGGCTCTCTTTGTTCTTGAAGGAAGAGGGGACCTCATGACCAGGCCTGAATCAAGGTGGACTCTCCTGAATAGAATACCTTTTCCCACCCATAATGTCTACCTGAGTATGCTCTACTCCAGGCTAATGAGCAAGCATAGCTTTTGGAACTTCTCACTATCAGAGCTGAGCAGGCTGCAGTCAACATGCAAGCCTGGGTTCTAGGCATGGCTCTGTCACTGTCTTTCAGTGTCTACATTTGATTTCACTGTCTTTTCAATGTGGAATATTCCATTCTTGGGATATACTAATTGGTTGTTTTTAGAAGAAACAATATTGTAGGAATTACATTGTGATCAAGATAAGTTTTCCTTCATATATAATACAAACTTTAATTGAACACCTGAGCACTTAATGCTAAGTGCTGTAGGTTGAATACTAAATGTTAAACATTTCTCATTTCTAAAGAGATAAAGGTTGGAGATGCCTGTTTCTCCTTTGTGTTTCTTTTCTGTTATTTCTTTCTAAAATTGGTAACTATAAAGCCATACTATTCTTTTCATTTTTATTGTGAAATTATGGATACATATGAAAGGAATACATAGTATAGATATACCTTGTGCAAAATAACAATAATAAATCAGAGACCTGTGACTGCCATCCAAATCATAGCAATCTTTTTTGAAAGTTTGTTTGTTTCACACGTATTCTTTTAGACCAGTCAGTAGGAGAGAGCTGCTTTTGCCTTAGTTGCTTTGTAAGGCCATGTTTCTCCTCAACTCTTCCATGTTTAAAATGCACTCCTTGTGCTGAGTACTGATGGGGATACCATACCTGCTGTTCTCCTCTCCTGAAACCATCATCACTGTCCTCTCTACAGTTATAGCAGTCATCTGTGTATGGCTACATGCATAGCCTGTGAATTTATTTGGAGATTTGTAAAGTAATATGAATACTTTTCATAGATGCGAACTGGTAAGTTAAAATGGTATTAAGATTAGCTGCTATTTCTTCAGCTAAGTTTCTGTTAGAAATCCACCTCCATGCCTGTTTTGGCCAACACTCACTAATGTATCCATGCTGTGCCACTCACTGGTAAGTGCTGGGGTGAACGCAGTGATAAACCATGCAAAGGTCTCAGTCCACAGAGGGCTCACAGTCTGCATCACTATTCCTCGTACAGTCTTTTTCTTCTCCCATTTCTGAATTGTTAGTGAAGTATGATTTATGTATAAAAACATGTACAATCACAAATGTGCAGCTCAATGAATTTTCACAAACTGAACATGCACAGCTAACTAGTACTTAAATCCAGAAACAGCATTGCCAGCACTCCAAAAGATCCCTTCAGTGCCTTTCCAGTCACTCTCCTCCCGGGACATACTCACTGGTATGTTTAGTTTGCCTGTTCTTTAAAAAAATCTTTATATGAATCTAATCATACAGTAAATACTGTTTTGAGTCTGGCTTCTTTTGCTCAACATGATGTTGCAAAATTTACCCATGTGGGTTACAGTTTATTCATGCACACTGCTGTCTCATTATGTGAAAATACCACAATTTATTTACCTATTCTACTGTAGATAGGCATTTGAATAATTTCCAGTTTTATGAATACTGTTGCTTTTTCCCTCCTTATGTGTCTTTTGGTATCATATGTAAATGTTTCTGTTGGACATATAACTAGGAGTGGAATTGCTGGATATGTGTAAATTCATTTTTTGTTGATATTAGCAAACAGTTTTCTAAAGTAGTTGTACAGGTTTATACTCCCATCAGTAGTGTAGTGCGAGAATTCTGGTTATTATATATTCTCAACAACATTTGGTATTTTCTGTTTTTTATTTTGGTCATCATCTGTGGTTTTAATTTTCATTTCTATAATGACTAATGAAATAGAGCACCTTTTTGTAAGTTTATTGGCCATTTAGATATCTTTTTTTGTGAAATGTCTATTCAAGTCTTGTCCCTTTTTTTATTGAATGGCTTCCTTATTGATTTTAAGAAGTTCTTTATATATTTTGGATATAAGTCCATTGTCTGAAAAATATATCCTCCCGCTCTTTGGATTTTCTTTTCACTTTCCTAATGGTGTCTTCTGAATGAATAGTAGAGTTCTCGTGTGTGTGTTTTGGTTTTGTTTTGTGTTTTAGGCAGAGTCTCGCTCTGTTGCCCAGGCTGGAGTGCAGTGGGGTAATCTCGGCTCACTGCAACCTCTACCTCCCAGGTTGCAGTGATTCTCGTGCCTCAGCCTCCCAAGTAGCTGGGACTACAGGGGCATGCCACCACACCCAGCTAATTTTTCTATTTTTAGTAGAGATGGGGTTTCACCATGTTGGCCAGGCTGGTCTCAAACTCCTGATCTCAAGTGATCGTCCCACCTCGGCCTCCCAAAGTGCTGGTATTACAGGCATGAGCCACTGTGCCTGGCCCAAACAAGTGATTTTTAAAATTGTTCTTGAAATCTAAAAGAATTATTTTTTTTAAGAGGCAGGGTCTTGCTATGTTGCCCAGGCTGGTCTTGAACTCCTGGGCTCAAGCAGTCCTTCCACCTCAGCCTCCCAAAGTGCTGGGATTACAGGTGAGATCCACCATGTCCAGCCATAAAATAATTCTTGAATAGATGCCAGTTGTAGTCCATGGTCTTTTGTGACTTTTTTTTCTCCTTTGGAAGGAGCTGCTTAATGTATCATTTTAAATGACAAATAATTAGGAGCTTGTTTGTGCTTCCATGTTTCTATTTTAGAGCTTTAACATATCTTAGATGAAATCTATATACGGGGTCTTGAGAGGTTAAAACAGAATGTATTTACCACCTTTGCATTTAAATTATGGACTAGATTTTATATAAATTATTTTAAAATGAGTCTGATACAGCCATTATTTTTAGTATTGTTTACTCTGTAAACAAAAGATGACCAGTTCCTGCTATTCTGTCAAAGTCAGGGAGCCAGGTGTGTAGTCTCCTTTTCAACTTGTCTTTCTCTAGGGCTTTAAATCCTTCTCAAATGGGCCCTGGAGCTCTGAGCTAAGCCTGAATTTTCTTATGGAACCAAGAAGTGGAGAAAAAGAACTCACATTACTGAGGATATGGACTGGTTATAAATAGTGTAGATGCTACTTCTTAATTTAAAATGCTATATGTTCATGAGCAGCTAGACTTGCTATTAACTATTTGGAAATATTGAACAATTGTCGCTCCTTATTTCCGTAGTCTTTGTAAGATCATGACCCATCAAGGACCTACCGTTAACCTCAAAGGCTCTTGGCTGTAGGTTTTCCTCAAGCTGGGTGCCAGAAAACAGAGGATTATTTGCTTGATAATATCTTGGTGGAGCCATCAGTACTAGAAATATTTGGATGTCAGACACAGATCCCAGGGGTTGGCAGGTTGATGATAATTTTCTGGTGCCACCCCAAAACCTTGCAGTGCTACTACCATAACCATGGTTGGCTAATTAGTGCCTTCGGGGATGAGGGTTGATTTCTGCTAGTTCCTTGCCTTTCTCTTTGGATGGCATGCCTTCACTTGTTACTTGGACCTATGTAAAGAATAGGAAGATCAGAAGAAAACCATAAAATTGATGATCATAGGTCACAGTATTTGTGCTTTCATTTCTAAGGACTCATTCTAACATAAATAATTTTCTCTTTCAAAACCAAGGTGTACTCATCAGTTATATTGATACATATTAACAGTGATGATAACCACAAAAATTTTAAATAGAAAGCTTTACAAACGGTTAGCTTTGTGAGGGGATTTACTGCAAAATTAGGGTATTCTTTTCATCTGTTATTGTATTGACTTTTTAAAACATTATTCTGATTACTTAGTTTTTCCTTTGGCAAATTTTGATTTTTAAATGTGTTTTCATTTTGCTATTGAGAGGATTTTCATTTATCTTTTCCATGGGAGATATTGAGGATAGTCTAACTCTGGTAATTGGTTTGGTGGGTTTTTCTTTTCTTTTTTTTGGCTCCCTATGAGCAACTTGAAGATTTTTTTTTTTTTGAGACGGAGTCTCGCCTCTGTCGCCCAGGCGGGAGTGCAGTGGCGCAATCTCGGCTCACTGCAAGCTCCACCTCCCGGGTTCACACCATTCTCCTGCCTCAGCCTCCCAAGTAGCTGGGACTACAGGTGCCCACCATCACGCCCAGCTAATTTTTTTGTATTTTTAGTAGAGATGGGGTTTCACCTTGTTAGCCAGGATGGTCTCGATCTCCTAACCTCGTGATCTGCCTGCCTCGGCCTCCCAAAGTGCTGGGATTACCCACACCCGGCCTCTTGTACTGTAATGTTTTTAAGGTTCATCCATATTTCAGCATGTGTCAGTATCTCATTTTTTCTGGGTGAATAATATTTCATTGTACAGATAAGCCACATTTTGTCGATCCCTTCGTAAGTTGATGAACATTGTTGGCTATTATGGATAATGCTACTGTGAAGATTCATGTACCAGTTTTTGTGTGAACTTGTTTTCAGTTCTCTTGGGTATATACCTTGGAGTGGAATTGCTTGATGTTAATATAAATCTGTGTTGCTGTTTTTGTTTGAGACAGGATCTCACTCTGTTGCTCAGACTGAGCAACAGACTAGACTGGACTCACTGCAGCCTTGAACTCCTTGGCTAAAGTGATCCTCCTGTCTCAGCGTCTTGAGTAGCTGGATCACAGGTGTGCCGCCATGCCTGGCTAATTTTTAAATTTTTAGTAGAGACAGGATCTTGCTGTGTTGCCCAGGCTGGTCTCAGACTCCTGGCCTCAAGTGATCCTCCTGCCTCAGCCTCCCAAAGTGCTGGGATTGCAGGCTGAGCCACTGTGTTTTCAGCCTATGTTTAACTTATTTTGAGGAACTGCCAAACTTTTCCACAGCAGCTGTACCATTTTACATTCCCACCAGCAGTGTATTAGAGTTCCCGTTTCTCCACATACTCAGCACTTGTTATTGTCTGTCTTTTTTATTATAGCCATCCTAGTAAGCATGAAGTGGTATTGAGTCTTGGTTTTGATTTGCGTTTTCCTGCTGACTTAATGATGTTGAGCATTTTGTGTCTACTGGCCTTTTGTATATCTTCTTTGGAGAAATGTCTGTTCAAATCATTTGCCCATTTTATAATTGGGTTGCCTTTTTATTGTTTAGTCTCTCTTATCTTGTCAGAATTATTTAAAATATCTTCCCCTAATTAATAACAATTAGATAGAGAATTTTTCTTGAATGTAAATAATTTGGTGATGTTAGAATAACAGAGTTTATATTTACAATATATAAAGTAAATGTACAGGCCACACAAACTTAATGATTATTTCTGAACAGCAGTAAAATAGCATACTCAGCTGTTTACCAAAAGAAATGTGCTTGTTTACTTTTTGTAATTATACTGCCTTGTTTTGGTAGGATTTAGGGACTATGCAGAAGTAGTGGGTTGGTAATGAGAGCTTTAAAAATTGCATTTTAAGGTAAAAGTTTTAGCAATTAACTCTAAGATAGAAGTAGTAAATAACATTCAAAACTAGAGTTCAAGCATTGACCCAGAATTTTCTGATATTTATTTTTAATAACTTAAAGAAGGGACTTGAAACTTACAAGAATTTTCTTGCTGTTTAAATATGACCAAACCAAGAAAAAATTAAGTAGTGAAAATACTTGCAACTTTATGGACTTACTGGATACTTCAGCATTATTTTTCACGTGCTTTGTTTGTTTGTTTGTATGAATTCTGAGGTGTATGTTGATACCTTTTCTCATATATAAGGATTTATGGGTTTTGTTTAGTGTAGGGTTTTTTGTTGTTCTCTCATTCTTAGTAAATATAGATAATCCAAGAATGACTTTTAAGTGCCTTTAGGTCCTGCCATTTGCTACAGTTATAAATGTTGCCCCTTGCTTAGCCCTAATCCTAGCCCCAGCTCTGCTATTGCTTAAAAACAACTCATTTTAGAACTGCTTAGTGAGGAGGGCGGTGGTGAAGCTTTCTTGCTGATTGGGAACTCAAATAATAGTTTAAATCTGTAGGGTATAATGTCTTAAACGTGTTAAATTCAAGTTTGTTTCTATTAGAATTAGAACTATATATGATTTCTGTGTTGGAGATTCATAAAAATGTCATATTTATTTTTAATAACAATAGGACCTAGATACAGAGGAAGGTGATAAGGAGGGAAAAAAAAACGCTCTATTTTATTTTATTTATTTATTTATTTTTGAGACAGAATCTCACTTTGTCGCCCAGGCTGAAGTGCAGTGGCTTGATCTCAGCTTACTGTAACCTCCACCTCCCCGGATCAAGTGATTCTCGTGCCTAAGCCTCCCGAGTAGTTGGGACTACAGGTGCATGCCACCACACCTGGTTGATTTTTGTATTTTTAGTAGAGACGAGATTTTACCATGTTGGCCAGGCTGGTCTCAAACTCCTGACCTCAAGTGATCCGCCCACCTCAGCCTCCCAAAGTGCTGGGATTACAGGTGTGACTTGAGAACAAAACCTTAGTAGCACCTATTTGTAAATAAATGTTTTCTTAAAATTGAAGGTCATCAAGGCCAAAGGCACCATGGCAGATTGTGACATATCTGAAGTAGGAAGAGTTTTAGGGTTCTTCTGGGGAGCCATTCTAGTCTGCTCAGCACATAGAAGGGAGCAAAGGTAATCAGGAAAAGAGTAATGGCACACTCTGGGTGTGAGAAAGTGAAAGGTCATCTGAATTCTCAGGTGATTGGATTATTTATTTCTTAGCGATGGAGGCATAGGTAGTTATAGGTAGTTCTGTATTAAACTCTACTTTGTATGGCCTGTGTAGGTAATTGTATAGCTGTATTTGGAAAAAATGCCATTTAAATCATATTTCAGCCGGGTATGGTGGCTCACGCCTATAATCCCAGCGCTTTGGGAGGCTGAGGCAGGCGGATCACTTGAGGTCAGGAGTTTGGTACCAACCTGGCCAACATGGCACAACCCCATCTCTACTAAAAATACAAAAATTAGCCAGGTATGGTGGTGCATGCCTGTAATCCCAACTACTTGGGAGGCTGAGGCGGAAGAATCACTTGAACCCAGGAGGCAGAGGTTGCAGTGAGCCAAGATGGTACCACTGCACTCCAGCCTGGGTGACAGAGTGAGATTCTGTCTCAAAAAAATAAATCATATTTGAAGTTTAGTAAAATTGGTCAGAAATTATATGACAGGAAAAAAAATCCAGTGTCCAACAGCTATTTATTATCTATCACAGTCACTCAAAGGATATCCCCCCTACCCTTGCCCAACATCTCTGTGCACTGAGAGCAGAAGTTCCCAGATCTGTCCCAGTTTTCAGATCTGTCTCTCTGAGTATCCCCTACAACCCAGATTCTGTGACAGTTAAATTGGACTCGGGCTTCCACTGACCCAGTTGATGGAAGAGACTGAGCATCTTTCCAACTCTAACCCAAACGTGACAATGCCGCGTATTCTTTCAGAAAGTGTCAGGAAAGAGCCCGAAGATCCCTGAGCTCCAGGGACATGGCAGGGAGGCTGCACAGAAGGGTTCCCAGGGGTGGAAAAGGGGAATCTTAAAAATAAATTTTGGAACCAAGTAATCAATTTTATAGCACACTCTAGTTCTAGCGCACATGGTTCCTCCACTTGTTAGTGAATGCCTGACTTGTTGCCCCTGAAGTGTAAAAAGATGTATATTTAAGGATTCCATTGTTCAGCAAGTTATTATGCATGCAGATGGCAGGCACTAAGTGCTTACTCTTTTTGAAGGTGATTGCCTCTCCCCGCGATCCCCCTACATTGCAGTGTTTTGTTTTAAACAGCTTTCTTGATGGAGCCTAATCTTATCACCAGCATTATAGAAATAAGCCAGAGTGAGAAGCCTGTACAGTGAGGTCTTGGGATTATACCATAGTCATAATGGTGTTTTAAATTGTTTTTATTTTTCAATTGAAAAAAGTACACTATTCTAAAGTAGTGAATTTTAGTGGAGCAAACTCTTCACCTGGAAGTGTTTTTTTCCTTACCAAAGTGAAAATTGGTGGTTCTAAGAAGGCTGGAATTTATTTGCACTGTCATCTTTTACTATGGTGGGGGATGATCAAATTTAACATTTCCAAGTTTCCAGGAGACAGGCAGCCTATCTTATAAATATTGTCATAGAAGACCTCTTAACCTCTTTGTTCTTTGGATTTCTGTATTTCTTAGAATTGTCATGCTTCCTTTCTGAGACCTAAATTATGCAGGGGTAACGTGATTACTTTGACACCAAGCTCAGGAAATATAAAACGGGTTAAGTATAAACCAAGCTAGGTTTAAATGAAGTTCATTACTGGCTACAGTATATTAAGGGAACATATTCGAAAAGTCTGTATTTGCCTTTGTTCTTGCTGCTGACTCTTCTGCTTCTTTTGGTGACCTTCCCACAGCACAAGAGTGGTTAGGTGTGAGGAGGCTAAGAATACCTTGCCAAGAGCTTCAAATAATGTTAAAACCAGTATTTTAGGTGAACCATGGTCCCAAGAACTCTATTTAAGTAATTCCTAGTTCGGTGTCCCAGGAGCATTTGGCTTTACTGCACCTATTTTGGCCACATGTCTTTGTTTAAAAGGAAAAATTATCTTAGGTTATAATACAGCTATTTTGGGAGTACCTTAAGTTTAACATTAGATTACTAGGATTCGAAAAAATGTACCCAGATGGTAGATGCTGATGAGAATTTGACACAAGAATTCATTTGAAATTGAAGCTTTTGTAGTATTAGTCAGAAAAATTTATTGACATCTGGTTTTGAACAGCATAGTGAGTGGAGATTGAGATGATCAGTTAAAATTTAATGGATTGTGGCCGGGCACAATGGCTCACGCCTGTAATTCCAGCACTTTGGGAGGCTAAGGCAGGCATATCACCTGAGGTCGGGAGTTTGAGACGAGCCTGGCCCACGTCTACTAAAAATACAAAAATTAGCCAGGTCTGGTGGCATACGCCTGTAGTCCCAGCTACTTGGAGTCTGAGGCAACAGAATTGCTTGAACCTGGGAGGTGGAGGTTTCAGTGAGCCGAGATCCCACCATTGCTCTCCAGCCTGGGCAACAAAAGCGAAACTACATCTCAAAAAAAAAAAAAAAAAAAGAAAGAAAGAAAATTTAATGGATTATGGAGCTCTACTTCACATTAGTACACCTCGGTCTCTCTGTTTTTCTGTCTCAATTCAAGATAGAGTTCTTTGTAGCGGTATGGTTTAGAGGTGGTATGTATTTTACAAGTATGTCAGTTGGCTCTGTATATCCTGATGATACCGAAGCCAGGACCAGACCCCTACGTCAGTTATATCACTAAATATTCTGTTATTAATTTTCAGATTGGCTCCTAGTCCCAGCCAACTCATGTTTTAAATTAATATAGTTCATTGTCACACTGGACTGGAAAAACCAAATGAAATGTCTTTATTCTATGAAGATGACTTGTGTAGACTATACAGACTAGCAACAGCAGACACTTTCAGTGCGAGTTATTTTAAAAAATTGAAGATTTGACTGGCAGAAAAGTTGCTGAGATAGGGAAAAGGGATATCTATTGACAGATATATGTAGAATTAGGGAGAATTTTATGTTTTCATAAGTGTCTCAATTATTTAAGATTTAATTTGGTGTGCATGTGGAATATAATGGTAACATGGTTTGTCTGTGATTTGTCTTTTGTCTTAACAGATTATTTTTCTAACTTTAAAAAAGTATACATCACTTGAGGCCAGGAGTTTTAAACCAGTCTGGGCAACACAGGAAGACCCCATCTCTACAAAACATAAATTTTAAAAAAAGTTAGCCAGGGTCACAGTGTGCCATAATTGTGCCACTGCACTCCTGCCTGGACAACAAGAGTGAGATCCTGTCTCTCCAAAAAAAAAAAAGTATGCAAGTGATAAATATTCACTACAAAATATTTGAACATGCAGATACACAACAAAAAGGAAAAATTCCCCTGTACTCCTATTACCTAGAAATAACAGTGTTGAACTGTAAATGTCTCATTCTAGGCCTCCTTTCCATTATATGTCTGCCTTTTTAAAAAGGATTATATGATGCCTATTGTTTGGCAAGTTTAGCTTTTTTCATGTAATAATAGTACACTGTAAATATCTATTTGAGTAATGAAATTTAATTTTTTTTTTTTTAAAGACATGGTCTCTCTCATGCCCCAGGCTGGAGGGCAGTGGCACAATCTTAGCTCGCTGCAGCCACGACCTCCTGGGTTCAAGCCATCCTGCTGCCTCAGCCTCCTGAGTAGCTAGAACCACAGGTGCATGCCACCACTCCCGGGTAATTTTTGTATTTTTTGTAGAGACAGGGTTTGTTTTGCCATGTTGCCCAGGCTAGTCTTGAACTCCTAAACTCTCCTAATCTCAAGCGATCCCACCCACCTAGGCCTCCCAGAGTGCTAGGATTACAGGTGTGAGCCACCATGCCTGGCTGAAATTTAATGTATATTTTTTTTGACACAGAGTTTCACTCTGTTGCCCAGGCTGGAGTGCAGTGGCACCATCTCAGCTCACTGCAACCTCCGCCTCCCGGGTTAAAACGATTCTTGTGCCTCAGCCTCCTGAGCAGCTGGGACTATAGGAGTGTGCCACCATGCCTGGCTAATTTTTGTATTTTTAGTAGAGATTGGGTTTTGCCATGTTGGCCAGGATGGCAAAATTTAATTTTTAATGGCCGTTTAGTAGTCCTTTGTGTGATGTACTATAATTTATTTGTCTCCTATGATTGGAATTTAGGTTGTTTCTAATTTTTGCTGACACAACACTTATATGTACCCATTTTGCCTCTTTGAATATTTCCATAGAATAACTTCCTGGGAGTAGAATACTTTTCTTAAAGGATTTGTGCATTTCAAGGCTTTCAAAATACGTTGCCAAATAGCTTTCGAGAAAGGCTATTTATTTCAGTTTTTGGGTTCTTATCTTTCTAATTGGCTTTATGCTTACATTAAAATATGAAATTTTTATTTAGTTGCAGAATGAAGAAGAGTCTGGAGAACCTGAACAGGCTGCAGGTGATGCTCCTCCACCTTACAGCAGCATTTCTGCAGAGAGCGCAGGTAGGTAACAGGGCAAGGTGATCACGGAATCCTTAAAAACACTCTGTGCTTTGACATTACAGTTTAAAAAAAAAAAAGCTTCAGAAGCAGTTGGAAGAAAGGTTACAAAGCAAGTCTGGATTTTAAATAATTGAGAAGTGGATACATTTAAAAATCACCCCCAGTCTCTTACATTCATCTAAGAATGTCTTTTGGTTCAATTGTTATGTATGTACTCTTAAGGGAATGGCTGGGTTTTGTCTGCTAGAGTTAGTGGAACTCCTTTTATTTCAATTCAGCTAATCATCAAAAAATTGTGACTGTTAAAATTCTGCAGCATATTTTGACTACAAGGATGAGTCTGGGTTTCCAAAGCCCCCATCTTACAATGTAGCTACAACACTGCCCAGTTATGATGAAGCGGAGAGGACCAAGGCTGAAGCTACTATCCCTTTGGTTCCTGGGAGAGTGAGTATAATTTGCCATGTTACTTGATGGCTGCTCTGTGGGAATTAAGTTATTTTCATTATCCAATTTTGATTCGTTACTTATGATTGTATTGATTAGTGAAAGTAGAGCTAATTTTAAAAATCAGGTACATTTGCTTTTGGGATAATAAACTCATCTCTTCTTAAAAATGATGAGGTAAATTACTAGTCAGACCTGCTCATTTTTCCTTCATCTCTCCTATTACCACTACTTTTTCAAGTCTCCTGGGATGGCTGAAGTATCTTGAAGCAGAAGCACACTAATGTTTCCTTGATTCTGCACACTTAATATTTTGCTGTTGGGTGGATAGCTGCTAGGGAGGTCTAGGAAGAGAATAAATATATGCAAATTTGTAGAATTAAACTCATAAGAGGGATCTTCACATTGATTTAGATGAACTCCGTTCTTCCAGCAGTCCAGATCATGTCATTTGTGGGGACATAGTGAGTTCAGATTCCATCTAGCCTGATGTTGATTCATGGAGGTGGAGATTGGGATGCCATATAAACCAGTGGAGATTATTGGGCACTCTTGGTTCTTGATGTCAGATATGTGAGTGCTGCATTTGTCATTTTGTAAATATTCATCCAGATTGAGGCTGATGAAGGTAGGGCATTGTGGGAGAATGGAAGCAGGATAAGTCCCCAGAAATGCGGGGACCATCAGGCCTCTAGGCTCTATTCTAGCAAGTAACTGGAGTGAGTGATGAGCAAGTACAGAAGCCTAGTCTGGGCAGTGTGATGGCATAGGCCCAGATGTTCCCCTCTTGGCTTTAAGATAGTAGACAGTTTGCAGACCACACCTACTGTGAGGAGCGAAGCTCCTAAAATCATTGCTTGGTAGAAATAGTTTATGAGCCCAATCTAGGATGATCCTAAATGGCGATGATGTGCATTCAGTTCTTACAGGTACCAGGGAGAAACTAAAAACCCTAGTGTCTAAGGGCAAGACCATCATAATGTAACTGCCGTATATTGGAAGCAAACCACATGCTTGGTACTGTGCTTGATGCTTTTATATATTTTGTATATTGTTTCCAATCTTCATAGTAACCTTGAAAGGTAGAGATTATATTATCTCCATTTTACAGATGTGAAAATTTAGGTCCAGAGAGAAAAAGTAATTTTCCCAAAGTCATATGACTGATAAGTAGCAGAAGTGAAAGTCAAACCCAGATATTCTAGAATCCAAAGTCCTTGTTTGTTTCACTGTACTCTGCAGATCTGTTGCAATATATGGTAAATAGATCAGTATGGAAATTAGCTCTGATTAATCACATAACTCTTCAGAATACTTTCATTTGATACAAGTACATATTTAGGAACTTCTTAAAGGGCTCTAGTATTCAGCAGACATGTATAAAGCACTTTTTAAATATAAGATGCAGTATATTTTACAGTGGATAGGTAAAAAGCTTTGTATAAGGCAGTGTTCCTCATTGTTATTCAAAAGCCTAAAATCCAACTAGGGTAAAGGGCCCACAAATACTGATAACTAAGACACATAAGAGCAGTGGGCATCAAGAACTGAAACTTTTTACTGGGTGATCATAGGGGAAAATGAGATTTGATGTGGGCCCGGAGTTTTGATGGGTAAGAACATTCCAGAGGGAAAAAGGCACAGAAAGCAGGTGTGAATTCAGCCAGGTGAAGGCAGTTCTGTGGATGTAGTAATTGGCTTTGTATGAGCAAGAGTTTGTGAAGGGAGATAGAAAGTCCTGACTACAACTGTTGTTTATAGAATCTTTGGAATGTTAGATGGGCGTATTTAAACTTCATATGTAGCTTTTAGAGAATCCTTCAGAGTTTTTGAGCAGGGGTATGAGAGGACTTGTGTGGTGTTTTGGAAACATTAACTTGGCAGCAATTTCTAGGATGCATCATGGTAGAAGAGATACCAAGAGGACAGGAAGAACAGTTAGAAGGTGTTCGTAATATTATTAGATGTTACTTCCATATATTTTTTGGAGTATATCTTTGAATAGTTATGCAAAAAACAATTAGCTTTTAATTTTGGCAAAACCTTATTCTGCTGATACGAAGTAAGAATACTAGGTATTTAATGTTTTAAAAAATTAATTATAAAAATTCGTTTTTATAGAAATTTCAAACAATAGAGGAAGTATGTTAAGTTAGAAAAGGAAGCTGCCATTGCCACCGACTTCCCTTTCTCTAGTTCCCACTCCCCAGGGGAACCACTGTTAACAATTTGGGTCTTCCAGACCCTTTTCTGTGTACAACAAGTTTTGATATTCCCTAAAATATTTTTCATTTAAGGAGCCCTCATTGAACTGTGTACAAATCTATCACTTTTAAGTATATATTCAATTATTTTTAAATATCTCAACACACACCTATATCAGTTAAAAAGATAGCCCACATGTGTTGGTATTGTTCATGATCATGTTATTTCTAGTTTTGCAATATTACGTTATCAAGTTAGGATGGAAAAGATCTTATCTGCTGATAAGGTTAGAAGTGAGATTTAGATCTGTATACCAATACAAATACATGCTTATGGAGTTGAGCAGTGGGCAGTTCTGTGGACTATTCATGTATGATCGTACTATTCTTTTTTCCCCTATATCAGCCTCGTAAAGCACTTGAGCTGGTTGATTTTATCTTTTTTTTTTTGAGACGGAGTCTCACTCTGTTGCCCAGGCTGGAGTGCAGTGGTGGGATCTTGGCTCACTGCAAGCTCTGCCTCCCGGGTTCATGCCATTCTCCTGCCTTAGCCTCCCGAGTAGCTGGGACTACAGGTGCCCGCCACCACTCCCGGCTAATTTTTTTGTATTTTTAGTAGAGACGGGTTTCACCATGTTAGCCAGGATGGTCTCGATCTCCTGACCTCGTGATCTGCCTGCCTTGGCCTCCCAAAGTGCTGGGATTACAGGCATGAGCCACTGCACCTGGCTGATTTTATCTCTAATTACTAATATTTTAGGTCCTAAACAGGTCCTCGATTACTGATATTCTAGAATTTAAACCAAATGTGTAAGTAAATTTTGTCTTTTGTCTTTTCTTGAGGTATATTTTTTTAAAGGAAGAGTAAATAGTTCTTTGTGAACTATTCTTGAAGTGTATTGTTTTTGAAGTGTATTAAATTTTTGAAGTGTATTGTTAAAGAACTTGGGTTATAAGATGAAAATTTCATTTAGAACACTGGGGATAGAAGAAAGATTTGCTTCTTTTCTAATTATATATTAATAATGCAAAATGGAATTTTAAACACACATTGAGCCTTTAATGCTCATAATTTTGAACTGAACCAAAGCAATAACTTTTTTCCTTGCTACTCAAATTTAACCCTTCATTTTTCTTTATGTCTTCCCTTTGCCTAGAAATAATTCTTTTTCTTTTCATTTAGGATGAGGATTTTGTGGGTCGGGATGATTTTGATGATGCTGACCAGCTGAGGATAGGAAATGATGGGATTTTCATGTTAACTTTTTTCAGTAAGTATGTATGCATATCAGAACCACCCCCTACAAACTAGAGTGCTTTGGATTATGGGTGAATCTGACTGAATTAAAATAACTAGTTGAGCTAATATATTAATACATTATGTTTATTTGGTGCCTTTTACTGGAATATTCAAAGCTTAATATACCTTTGTTTTAATATCCCTTCTCTTTGCCTTCTATTTTCATGAATATCTGTGGAAAATATAATTAAAGCAGTTATGAGGATGCTGCATTTTTACATGAGCTAAGCCTCATCTTCCAGGTCTACGGGGCCCTTTTGCGTTGCTTCTACTCATACTTAATCTGTAGAATAGGAATTAAATGCCTTTGATGAATTTTGCTCTGAAAGCTTCTTTTTTCTGACAGATCAAAGTCAGCCTGATTTTCTCCCTTCATGTTACTTGCCATTTATCTTTTTGTGTGCCTCACATAGAAGTGAGCAACCATTTCCTTTATTTGTTGTATTAGAAAGATAAGAAAATGCAATGCTTTTAGAGGTGATGTTATATAAGTTGTCAAAATTCAGAGAACAGGAGGATGAGTGACTTGAATCAGATTATTTGGGGGCACTTATTTAATGTTGAAGGCATTTATTTTATTTACTGGACTATATATATATAACACACACAGTAAAAAGCAGAGGTCAGGCTGGGCATGGTGGCTCATGCCTATAATCCCAGCACTTTGGGAGGCCGAGGCAGGCAGATGCCCTGAGGTCAGGAGTTCGAGACCAGCCTGGCCACCATGGTGAAACCCCATCTCTACTAAAAATACAAAAATTAGCTGGGTGTGGTGGCAGGCACCTGTAATCCCAGCTACTCAGGAGGCTGAGGCAGGAGAATCGATTGAACCCGGGAGGCAGAGGTTGCCGTGAGGTGAGATCGCACCATTGCACTCTAGCCTGGGGGACAAGAGTGAGACTTCGTCTCAAAAAAAAAAAAAAAAAAAGAGGTCAAAGGCTGGGCACAGTGGCTCATGCCTGTAATCCCAGCACTTTGGAAGGCTGAGGTGGGCGAATCACCTGGGGCTAGAGGTTCAAGACCAACCTGGCCAACATGGAGAAACCCCATCTCTACTAAAAACAAAAATTAGCCGTTAGCCGGGCCTGGCGGTGCACGCCTATAGTCCCAGCCACTCGGGAGGCTGAGGCAGGAGAATCACTTGAACCTGGGAGGCAGAGATTGCAGTGAGCCAAGGTCGTGCTACTGCACTCCAGCCTGGGTGACAGAGTGAGACTCAGTCTCAAAAAAAAAAAAAAAAAAAAAAGCAGAGGTTGTAAGTATACAGTTTGGTGAATGTTAAGGTTTGCTTTTTGCTGTTTTTTGTTTTTTTTGCTTTTTCCTTTTGAGACAAGGTCTTGCTCTGTTGCCCAGGCTGAATTTGGAGTGCAGTGGTGTGATCACTTCTCAGTGTACCCTTGACTTCCTGGGCTCAAGTGATCCCCCCACCTCAGCCTCCCAAGTAGCTGGGACTTGCAGGTGTGCACCACTGTGCCCGGCTTTTGTTTGTTTGTTTGTTTGTTTTGTTTTTTTCAGTTTTTGTAGAGATGGGTCTCACTGTGGTGCTCAGGCTGGTCTCAAACTGCTGGGCTCGGGATCCTCCAACGTTGGCCTCCCAAAGTGCTAGGATTACAGATGTGAGCTATTGTGCTCAGCCTATTAAGGCGTTTTTGAAAGTGACTAGCAGTAGACATAAGTGTGTAAAACCTGATAGGGAGGAGTTTTTCTTGTTTGCTTTTTGGGGAAAGACAGAAGAATGGATGTTTTAGAGGAGGTATGGTGACGGTTGTGGAGGACAGGCTGTCTTTTATCCTTTGGAAAGTCATTTAAACAGAGGCAGGTGTAAGGCACTCTTGTTCTTGGGTAACAGGACATGTCTAACATCTTTCCCCTCCTCTGCTTTTGCAGTGGCATTCCTCTTTAACTGGATTGGGTTTTTCCTGTCTTTTTGCCTGACCACTTCAGCTGCAGGAAGGTATGGGGCCATTTCAGGATTTGGTCTCTCTCTAATTAAATGGATCCTGATTGTCAGGGTAAGTTGTATAACAGAAAAGATGGGCTCTACAGAGAGGCAATAATCAGAATATTTTTGAATATTCGATTTTTCATTTGCTTTTTTAAAAGTTATTTCAGTGTGTTAAATGATTTTTGGTTTGTCTGTGGTTTCATGATGAAGCTGAACCAAAATCATTTGCAAATGGTTCATGCACACAAGTTTTGTTGTCAAATCTATTGAAAACTGGTCTATCATTAATATTGTTCACCATCTGCTTTGTTTGTTTTTAATGTTTATAATATGATAATGTATATGTTCTGAAATTAGTTGTTTTTATAATAAAAGGAAGGATATTACCCCTTTGATATCTCATCAAAAGCAGCCATTCCTCTCATTAATTCTGTTACAGTTTTAATCTAGCTCTCTTCTTCCTTCTTTTCTTTTCTCCTTCTCTTCCCCTCTCCCTTCCAGGATTGCTTATGCCAAAATGTTTGGGGAGCCAAAACTGTTTAACAAGTATTGCTCCATTAGGAGCCTACCTCTCAAGTAAATTACAGAGATGTATGTCTTTAGTGACTTCAGAGTTACCAGTTAGTTAAATTTGCATGAAGTAATTTACAGTTGTAAAAGATCTAGGCTTTTAAAGTATCCTCTGATTTCAGATAAATTTATTGCTATCGTCAACCTTATAAACAAAACCAATTTATCCGTCATAAATTGGCATACTTAACTAACTAATGGGTGTTGCTTGACCACTGTAGTTTTTCTACGTAGTGCCACCTTATTTATTATAAAACATTTGTTAACGTTTTTAGGGTTCCAGAATCCTTTGGGAATCTGATGAAAGTTGTAAGCTTTTCCCCCACATAGCTAATATGTACTCATCTATAATAATGGACTTTAGGTTAAGAACTCGAGCCCTAAAGAGGTTTTCATTCCTTCCCTAAATTTTAATTGTTACTTTATTAACAAAGAAAATACTATATTTTACTTTTCGAACTACATTAAACTCTTGGACACCAAAGCCTCCAAGGAAAAGAGAAATAAAATTAATTCCAGTCTTTTTTTTTTTTCAAACTAAATTTTCAACTGCATTTAAAAAGTGAATCAAATGGGCCGGGTGCGGTGGCTCACGCCTGTAATCCCAGCACTTTGGGAGGCCGAGGCGGACAGATCACGAAGTCAGGAGATCGAGACCATCCTGGCTAACATGGTGAAACCCCGTCTCTACTAAAAAAATACAAAAAAAATAGCCAGACATGGTAGCGGGGGCCTGTAGTCCCAGCTACTCGGGAGGCTGAGGAAGGAGAATGGCGTGAACCCAGGAGGTGGAGCTTACAGTGAGCCGAGATCGTGCCACTGCACTCCAGCCTGGGCGACAGAGCGAGACTCCTTCTCAAAAAAAAAAAAAAAGTTAAATGAATTAACTTGTATCAGGTAGGATGCTTTTGACTGTGAGTAACAAAAACCTAGCTCAAAATGGCTTAGAAAAAAATTTTTAATTGTTTTTTTAAACGGGGAAATTTTATTTCCCCTGAAAACAAGTCCCTGACAAGGTTAGTTAAGTCAGTGGTTCTTTGACATCATCAAGGACAGCTGACATATCAGCATATTGGCACAGGTCCCCCCTCCCCTCAGGGTTAAAAGATGGCAGTTTCACGTATCAGTATTACATTGAAACACGACAGTGCTCAAGAGAAGAAAAAGAACTATTTAAAAAAAAATTTTCTACCACCTTTAGAAAGAACTGTTTTTTTCTTTGAGAAGCAAGGAAAGCTTCTCAGAAGCCCTCAATTTCCACTGGTCAGAATGGCATCCTGTGCCCATTCCTAAACCAGCAAGGGAAGGGGATTACCCTGGTATACATGATAAAGCTTCCAAAGTCAAGACAAGGCTGGAGGAGTAGGAAGAAAATCAGGCCTCATTAGAAAGAAGGCAATGGTATCATCTACTCAGGAGGCTGAGGTGAGAGGATTGCTTGAGCCCAGGAGTTCAAATGCAGCCTGGACAACATAGTGAGATCCTGTCTCTTAAAATTAATAATAATAATAATTGCTTTTGGCACTGAATAGGCAAAGTAAAACGATCATTATTGAAACACATTTCTAGAAGAGCAAATATTATGTGGGGAAAATGTTTTCTAAAAAAACCAATTTTTGTATACTTTCAAAATAAGGAGTTAATAAAGCTAAAAGCTGTCATATTTAACAATTGCTTTTCCTTGAAAGGAAATAGATTTGCATTTATTGTAACCATTTCAAGCTAGTAATATGTAAAATACTTTCACTTATATTTTAAAATTATTCTAAAGGCTAAGTGATGGCATTGGTAGAACAAATAAGTCTTGCTGGTCACGGTAGCTCACGCCTGTAATCCCAGCACTTTGGGAGGCTGATGTGGGTGGATCACCTGAGGTAGGGAGTTTGAGACCGGCTTGACCAACATGGAGAAACCCCATCTCTACTAAAAATATAAAGTTAGCCAGGCATGGTGGTATATGCCTGTAATCCCAGCTACTCGGGAGGCTGAGGCAGGAGAATCGCTTGAACCTGAGAGGCAGAGGTTGCAGTGAGCCGAGATCACGCCATTGCACTTCAGCCTGGGCAACAAGAGCGAAACTCCGTCTCAAAAAAAAAAAAAAAAAGAATAAGTCTTGCATTTTGTGATTTTGTGTACCCTTAAGTTAAAATGAGAAATTGTGTCTGTTAAGCTGCTATAAAGTGTTTTGCCTTATTTTTTAGTTTTCCACCTATTTCCCTGGATATTTTGATGGTCAGTACTGGCTCTGGTGGGTGTTCCTTGTTTTAGGTAAGTGTTTTTAATGTAAGAAAAGGCAAGAAAACATTACATTAAATTTTATAAGTAAAATTACTTGTAGTAAATGTTCATCTTGATTACTGTATAGTAATATATTAACAATTAATAATAAACATTTTTAAAATGTTGCTTTCTTAAAAATAGTCTTTCGTTACCATCAGAGTAACATGCACGTTAATAAAAAGTTTCTTTGTGGTTGTAGGTTCTTCCTAACCTATACATATATTCTTCTCCCCCATGTGATAAATGGGGTATGCTGATGACTCTGTAGTCTGTCAGTTTTTTTCCCCTTGTGAGCTATTGCCACACAGCATTCACAGACTCAAACCAGAATTGCTTATACGCTTACTGCAGCCAGTTGAACTAACTCATAAGTGCAGGTGGCCCATCTTTGGTGGGTCTGTCAGTAGAAAACAGAAAATATGTAACCTCGCTAGACATAACTTCTGAAAGAACCACCATTGGATTTCCAGAATGCTTTAGTTTACCGTTGGTGAGAATAAGAACTATTTTACAATAGGCAAGAGGACTTTTTTTTTTTTTTTTTTTTTTTTTTTTACAGAGTCTTGCTCTGTCGCACAGGCTGGAGTGCAGTGGCGTGATCTCGGCTCACTGCAAGCTCCACCTCCCGGGTTCACACCATTCTCCTGCCTCAGCCTCCCGAGTAGCTGGGACTACAGGCACCTGCCACCACGCCCGGCTAATTTTTTTGTATTTTTAGTAGAGACGGGGTTTTACCGTGTTGGCCAGGATGGTCTCGATCTCCTGACTTTGTGATCCGCCCGCCTCGGCCTCCCAAAGTGCTGGGATTACAGGCCTGAGCCACCATGCCTGGCCTGGATTATATTTTTTACTCTAAATATTTATTTTTAAATACTTTTTTCCTAGACATTAAAACAAAGAGATGAACATTGGAGTAAATTATTTCAATGTTGGCTTCTTGATTATATGTAAAGAAAATATATATGATACAGTTAGAGAGACCACCATCACTTCTGTCATTTCTACAAAAGAATAACAGGGCCATCTTGTGGCTATTAAAGATGGTGTGATTGCCTCACTGTGCTTCTGTGACATCAGTTTCTCCTATGTCCTGTTTTGCTTCTTGTTGCCCCCTTAATTAAGATCCTTGGTGGTGGTTCTGCTAATGGTTCTGGCTAGGACATCCTGGCACCCATGCCTGGCAGGTGTTTAATAAATTGAGGACCTGGGCCAGGCATGGTGGCTCACGCCTGTAATCCCAGCATTTTGGGAGACTGAGTCAGGAGGATTTCACCTTGAGGCCAGGATTTTAAGACCAGCCTGGGCAACATAGCAAGACCTCGTCTCTACAAAAAAATTTTTTTAAATTAACCAAGCATGGTGGTTTGTGCCTGTAGTCCTAGCTACTTGGGAGACTGAGCCAGGAGGACCCCTTGAGCCCAGGAGTTGGAGCCTGCAGTGAACTATGATGGCGTCACTGCACTTCAGCTTGGGTGACAGCAAGACAGTGTCTCTAAAAACAAAACAAAACAGTTCAGGACCTGTTTTGCCAAAACTGACAGAGCCTTGCATTGCTGACCCTACATTTTACTTAGAAAACATAAATCATTCATCGCACCATCTACCACCTCCTCAACAGCATCATGTACTCTATGATTGGTCATTAGAATTCTAAGGAAAGAGAAATAGTAATTTTTTTTCCTCTATTGATTATTGAGAACTTCAGTAATAAAAATGACCAACAGGAGAATAATTTAGAAGAAATAGTTCCTTGGCTTGCTTATTTTCTAAACTGTACCTTTAAGAGAAAGGCTGACCACCCGTGTTTCCCCAAGTCAAATCCTGAATGGACCAAAGAGGAGCCCTTAAGCGTATGTTCAGATTGATTGCTTATGGCATAAATAATTTAAAGAAATTTAATGGATTGATTCCCTTTTAAAGTTTCATGGGAGGAGGTTTTATAATCCTTCATCATTGATCATTCTTGCTATGTACCATTTGCTTGTAAGCAAAAAATAAGAGTTTGGCCCGGCGTGGTGGCTCATGCCTGTAATCCCAGCACTTTGGGAGGCCGAGGCAGGCAGATAACTTGAGGTCAGGAGTTCGAGACCAGCATGGCCACCGTGGTGAAACCCCGTCTCTACTAAAAATACAAAAATTAGCTGGCTGTGGTTGCTCATGCCTATGATCCCAGCTACTTGGGAGGAGAATGGCTTGAACCCGAGAGACGGAGGTTGCGGTGAGCTGAGATCGTGCCACTGCACTCCAGCCTGGGTAACAGAGCAAGATTCCATCTCAAAAAAAAAAAAAAAAAAAAAAAATATATATATATATATATATATATATATTAATAAGAGTTTGGATACACTTATGAGCATTTGTGCCCAATATTCGGGTCATTTTGGGAACTTCCCTTTTGAAGAGAACCAGTTTAATGGTGTTTTGTCTTGCAGAGCTCTGTGCAGAGCTCCCAAGCTGGCTGCTCTTGAGCTATAGTTAGCCTATAGTTTATTTGTTCCACAGTTATTTTTCAAGTTTTTTTAAATTAGTTGCCAACATTTTAAAAATCAAAATTATTTCACATAAAACGCCTGAATGTTTTTACTTTTCTTGAAAGTTGGAATATCAAGAAAAGCTAGCCTACATTTCACATGGCACCCTTTGGCTGGAGCTGAGTTGTTGCTGTCTCCTCCATACAGGTCATGTGCCTTCCAGTTCAGTAAGATCCCACCACCATACCCCAACTTAGTATTTGAAGGGGTAACCCCTGCTCAATAGTCACTTGTTGCTTTGGGTCCCAAACAGAATGATGTTCCCCAAGCTCAGAGCTGACAGCTCTTGGTTACTGCTAAAAATCAGTTCAACTGTCCAAGTACCATTTTCTACCACTGAGTATCCCAGTAAAAGTATTTAAAAAAAAAAATGTGCTAAAGGCTCAGAGACCATCTCTGAAAGAGGAAGGCCAGGAGGAGTATCTGAGTTTCCACTGGAGGGGCATATCACCTCTCTGCTGACAGTTTTAGGAGGTACAAACTTTTGTGAATGTATAGATTCTGGTGTAGTCACACAAAAAGAGTCTTACTAAGAATAGAGAAATAGGCTGGGTACAGTGGTTGACACCTATAATCCCAACTCTTTGGGAGGCTGAGACAGGAGAATCACTTGAGCCTAGGAGTTGAAGGCCAGCCTGAGCAACATAGCGAGACCCCTATCTCTACAGAAAATTAAAAAATTAGCTGGGCATGAACCTGTTATCTTAGCTACTTGGGAAGCAGAGGCAGGAGGATCATCTGGGCCCAGGAATTCAAGCTTGCAGAGGCTGTGATCATACCGCTGCACTCCAGCCTGGGCAACAGAGCAAGACCCTGTCTGTTAATAATAATAATAATAATAATAATAATAATAATAGTAGACAAAGTTTCAAGTTGAGACGATGAGAATTGCTGTAATAGATAAGGGGATCCTGACATCTAGTGGACAACATTATATACTGTCGACAGAAAAAACAGCCCATGACAAGGAAGGTTACATTTTTTCTTTTTACTTGAGAAAAACACAGTTATAACCTCTTTTTGTTGTTGTTGTTGTTGTTGTTGTTTGGAGTTCATTATCTTGGAATGCTTTTTTGGAACTCAATAGGTAGATTTTGATGTTTCTCAATGAGGCTTTCATATGTAAATGTTTGGCTCCATCTTATTTTTTATTTCCTTTTTAGACCAATTCAATTCTGAATGTGCAAAAGACACTATTGACTCTTACATTATACCTTCTCATTGAAGGATGGATAATTTGGTATGAAAATCCTCTGCAGATTCTGGAGGAAATTGCTAATGTTTTGATTACCTTTAGCAGAAAAATAACAATGTATCGCTATCAGGAGAGGGATTTCTGGGGAGGGGACTTAACATGGAAATTATAAATTCATTCATGACTTTTCTTTTTTAAATTAGGCTTTCTCCTGTTTCTCAGAGGATTTATCAATTATGCAAAAGTTCGGAAGATGCCAGAAACTTTCTCAAATCTCCCCAGGACCAGAGTTCTCTTTATTTATTAAAGGTATTAAAGAAAAAATTTATTCTAGTCCCAGTGTAACCATGTGCTACATTGTAGATTTCTGTTCAGTTTTAGAGTAAGTATCTGTGATAGGGGCATATAGAGAAAGTAAAGAAGGCACAGTCCCTGCCTTTTAGCAGTTTCTTGTCTAGTAACAGGGATTTTTACAAAAAGCTATTGATAAAGTCAAATTAGAAAAACTGCCATAGGAGAAATCATTACTTCATGCTTTGACAGTGTGAAAGAGGCAGGGGTCTTAGCAGTCATCAGAAAGCTGGGATATTTGGCTGCTTGACTGAATTCCAGCATCCTGAAGCCACTGCTTACTGTTGCACCAGTTCCAGAGGATGACATTCAGAAGGAACCCTTCAGGCCTAATCACTCATCTCTGCCCCTAAATCCCAGAACCTGGAGAGACTGTGTAGTACTTTAAGAACTCCTTTTGTCTGGGCTGCTGACAAGCCCACCAAGTCTTCCATCTTTTAAAATTGTCATTGAGGCTTTCCCCATGGCTTTCTTCAGGTTGACATTCTGATACCACTCTAATGTGAGGAAGGTCAAACTCAAGAAAAGAGGAGAAAGGACCTTTTCCCTTGCCTAGAACAGGAGGACTAAGCCCTGCCAAGGCTCTTTGATTCACACATGATTTTCCCCAGAGGCTGACACTCCATCTTACATCAATGGCTGCCTGAAGGAAGAGGTAGAGAATCTTGAGAAAGAGTACACCAGAGAGAGCTCTCTGTGGTAGCAAGTTCTAATAGGCTTTCTTGGACTTGGCTGTTTGTTCCTTGGGGCTTTGGGGACTGTGTTAATCATAGAGTGGAACCTTGAGCACCACCTAGAGGCCAGTCCAGTTGAAGGTCTTAGGCAAAGCATTATAAAGGATAGGTGGTGTAGTTCAGATAAACTTTACATGATAGTGGAGAGTGTGGGGAAGAATTTCAGAATCATCTGAGGCAGAGTGAAGAGCAAAAATAGGGAAGTATGGGGCTTGTTCAGAGGATAGCAGCTTGATTGGGGCATAAAGGAGTATTGAGGGTCAAGGCTAAAAAGTCAGGTTGAAACAAGTTTCTCAGATACCTTGAGCACCAAGCCCATTTGCAGTAGAACCATGAAATTGATAGAGCCAGCGACATGTTGGGTCAATGCAAGACTAAGCCCACGTGGAGCACGAATTTGTTCTGTACTCGCAGAGTGTCAGTTTATATAGGCAATCATATACTAATCGTGAGGTTCTCAATTTTGAAGACTTGTGGTGGTCTCAGGAGGTATGCTTCAAGAAAATAAAGCATCTACCATAGTTGATTTTCCAGGTGATAGAACAGCATTGAAAGCTTTTAGGCAACAGAATCATATAATGAGACCCTCTTGAATATAACAAACATTTTTTCAAGCATAGTATAGTAAACTAAAATTAACACTCATGGAGTTTTCCATGTGTCAGATAATATATTAAGCATTTTACATGGATAATTAAATGTATGTAGGTAAAGAAGGCTTAAACTGCTTTTAAAGTTAGTTTCATTATTAAAAAAACTAGTATTCATTATTAAAAAACAGGAATCTTTGATTGCATGTCTGAAAATGTGTAGCATGTCATGAATTTGAATTCAGTCACACAGTCTGGACACAGATGGATATTCATACCACTGGCCTGGGCCTTAATGCCTACAATGTGTCTTTGTTTATGTCTAGAACATAAGAGACTTATTAGATATTCTTTGCAGTTTTATTTAGTTACCATTGTCATCTTTCATCTATATATCAGATTGGAATTTATAGTTAGCCTTAGGTTTAACTTTTACCTATCAAGGATTCCAAAGCTAGTACTGTTGGGTTGCTACAAGTCCTCCTTATGAAGGGTGCTGAAATCACCTAATATTTTCCCTCTAATACATTGACACCCAAGATATACTGAGGGGACAGATTTCTTTCTCTTTTTAAAAAAAGTCATCAATTCTGTAGGTGTAGTCTAATGTTAGCTCTGAATTTCTAAATGGACTGAGATCACACCTCTGTCTATTCTCTTTGTTCTTCAGTTAGAAAGAAATCTGAATCTTTATTAGGGGATTGCATACCTTCTTCATCTTGGTTCTAAGCATAAGAAATAGCAGCCCAGTTGACAGAAAGCCTGAACGTCTCAGTTTTCCTGTGTTGTTTGGTGCTTTACTGAAAATTTTGTTGTTATTGTTTGGATTTTCTAAAATTTCTGAAATGTTTTTTGATATTCTAAATTTAAAACTATGTATGTGGGGTTGTGATTTGAAGTAGGCAGTCCTTAGTAATAATAATGTTGTAGGAAGTACTAAGGGAGATTCAAGTGTTGAGCCTGCTGGTGCTTCAGGAGTGTACGTTAAGAGTTGTCAGAAACTTTCTCAGAGGTAAATGAATGCACACCATTGGAGGGCATAATAGAGTTTATTTGCTTTTCTATTTAACTGTGATACCCTGGTTTATTTGAAATCATTCCTGACACACCCAGAGAATTCAGAGCTCTAAATTAAGGGTTTGAGGAACTTACAGCAGAATTTAGAATTCTAATGACTTCACTAATTTTCCAGGGATCCCCAGAGGGAACCTGAAAAGCCATAATATCCTATGGGACTGAGTTCCCTTTGTCCACTGAAAGGGTAAGAACTCTGTCCAGATCCAGATGTAGAATCCCTTCTTTCTCTAGTTCAGAGGACATTTAGTTTAATTTTGTTAGAAGACATACTAGAAAACCGTCATGTGAAGTAAGAAAGCTTTATTTTTTTCCTCCCTATCGATTCTTTATTATGCTTATCACAGTTTTTAAAAAGTAATTATCTGCTAATTCCAACATCAGGTTAGATAAGTCTATTTGTATTGATGGATTTTTCTCTTGACTCTGGGTTACATTTTCCTGTTTTTACACACCTGGCCAGTTATTTCTTTGTTGCAGCATTGTTAATTATCATGTTGTAGAGATTATGAGCTCTGAATTTTGTCAGAAGGTTGTTGAGTTTTTGCCTAGCAGGCAGTCAAATTACTAAAGGATAAATTTGATCTTATTTCTAACTGTCATGTACAGTGATTCTTCTAGGGAGATAGGGATAGGGGAGAGGGAAAATGTAGTTTAAAAATCCTAGGCTAACTCCTGCTGAGGAAAATCACTGGTAAACTAGTGACTACTCTGCTAAATTGCCTCTCTTGACATTGTCAACCTGAAGCCATCAAAAGGATCAGAATACAGAGTTTATGCAAGTAGAAAGCTGGGAATGGCCAATCAGAGAACACAAACTTTAGAAAATGGGGTCAGTGTTCCCAAAAGCTTTATTTTCTTTTATGGACTTCTACTTCTTTGATGGAGATGTCACCAATTAAAAGGTAGCTGAAGAAAGACACAGGTAGGGAATTTTTAAAATAACTTTGCCAGAAAGATACAGATACAGAATTTTTAAAATAACTTTACCAAAACAGAAAAATAATATACTTTCCATATTGTACTAAGATTTGGCATTTTACTAGAAAAGGGCATAAGAATAGTGACTTTTCTAGTCAGGCTACCTGAAATATAGTACAAATAAACCAATCTTGAAGTGATCCCAAAACACCTCCTTCTAATCAGTCAAAGTAGATATTACAAAAGCTAAACATTAAAGCTCATGTACTACTATCATAGGGGCAGCTCTCAGGTTCCTTTTCAGAGTCCATTTAAGCTTAAGGGAGGGAAAAATGTATTAATAAGCTGTTATCTGTTTTCCTACTTCATAACAAAATGCCAGAAGGAACTGCTAAAGGTGTGCACAGTGGCCATCAAGAAGTATGTGACTGGGCCGGGCGCAGTGGCTCACGCCTGTAATCCCAGCACTTTGGGAGGCCGAGGTGGGCAGGTCACCTGAGGTTAGAAGTTTGAGACCAGCCTGGGCAACATGACAAAACCCCGTCTCTACTAAAGATACAAAAATTATCTGGGTGTGGTGGTGTGCACCTGTAATCCCAGCTACTTGGGAGGCTGAGGCAGAAGAATCGCTTGAACCCAGGAGGTGGAGGTTGCAGTGAGCCAAGATCACACCACTGCACTCCAGCCTGGGCGACAGAGCGAGACTCTGTCTCAAAAAAAAAAAAAAAAAAAAAAAAAAAGTATGTGACTGAGGAAGCAGAAGAAACAGATACCTGTTATAAACATCTGTACCTGAAATGGTAAAAAATGTAAAGTGTTTATACTTTTCTTATTTACCAGTTCACTGGAAAATACATTTTTATGGATTACCACCTCCTCTGATGCTGCCAGGTGAATGAGGAGTTAGCTACAGTAATAAGGTGGTAACACAGTTGATTGGTTATATCTAACACTATTTGTGTGGTACCAAAAGCACTTGTACATATGAAGCATAATATATTTTAAAATTATTTATTTTAACTGCATCTGAAATAGAAGGAAAAAAGGAGGTTTTTGAGCCCTAGCATTAATGAGCTAGGGCCTTCATAATTAAAAAAGTGACCTAGTGAGCTGTACCTATTAGGCATCAAATATTTTAATTTTTTTCCATGTGATAACAGACACTTTCATTTCTCCTTTTCTGTAATTTTTCTCCTGTTCCTTAATACTTCTTTTATTTTATTAAAGGAAATTCATCTCAAGGTAAAGGTTTACTTATTGGACTATGTTATAAGATAGCAAGATAATAGGGAAATGGTGTTTCCAGTAGAATTTTTGCTAAACAAAATTTACATGTCTCCAAGAAGAACTGGTTGTCTTCCTCTTGGAATTAAATGATCTGTAGGCTATTGGATTCCTTTTTTTTTTTTTTTTTTTTTACAAAGTGATCTGATCTATAATTTAGTAATACGGTCCAGAGTCCCTAAGATCTGTTTGTTCTTCAGTTTGTGTACTGCCAGCATTTCTGTAACACTGCCACTCAAGCCTCCAAGTCTCAGACAGCAGTGCCCTCTAGCAGTCTTTCATTTGGAGATTGTGTGGTGATTGAGATTACCCACTGGTGACCTCTCTAGGTCCTCTTGAGATATTTTATTTTAATTTAATTTTTACTTCTCTTACTGAACAAGCAAAGGGATTTTTAATGTTTGTTGGGTGTCAGGCTTTGACTTTGAGGGATCTATTAAAGCTGTTTACCTATGCTAAAGCATCATAAACTAAGGAAGTGGCCAGGTAATTGTCCGTACCATATTGTATATTCTTGCAAACTCTGTTTTGACCTACTAGTCACTGTTTCATCAGTTTTCATCTATTAAAAGAAACTGGGCCAGGCATGGTGGCTCACGCCTGTAATCCCAGCACTTTGGGAAGCCAAGGCGGGCAGATCACGAGGTCAGGAGATCAAGACCATCCTGGCTAACACAGTGAAACCCCGTCTCTACTAAAAATACAAAAAATCAGCTGGGTGTGGTGGCGGGCGCCTGTAGTCCCAGCTACTCGGGAGGCTGAGGCAGGAGAACAGCATGAACCCGGGGGGCGGAGCTTGCAGTGAGCCGAAATTGTGCCACTGCACTCCAGCCTGGGTGATAGAGCGGGACTCCGTCTCAAAAAAAAAAAAAAAAAAAATATATAGAAACTGATAAAACAAATTATTTATGTTTATAATGAGTCTGGCCTCATTGCAAAAACATTCATTTAATATTCATCTGCCAATTTTCTTTTTTGCTTCTGCTTGGCTTTTAGAGTTCCTCATATTTTTGTGTCTCTGTCTCTGTGCTTTCCGAGGTCTTTCAATCTCTTATGTCTCTCAATCTAAAGAAAAGATGTCCTTGTATCAGTTTCAGTGGTTTACTTCAAATCACAACACAAATGAATTTATAGTTTGGAAAAATGTTGATAATATTAAAATATGTTCATTTCCTCCAGTGTGTTTGTAGTCTCTCTCCATTTTGGCAGCCTTTTAAATACTTACGCAGTAATCTAATCAGAAAAGATACAGAAGACACCGGGCATAGTGGTGCACGCCTGTTAGTGCCAGTCACTTGCGGGGCTGAGGCAGAAGGTTGGCTTGAGCCCTGGAGGTGTAGGTTGCAGTGAGCCGAGCTCGCGCCACTGCACTCCAGCCTGAGTGACAGACTCTTGTCTCCAAAAAAAAAAAAAAGAAAAGAAAAGAAAGAAAAGACATAGAAGAGTTTCTTGTGGCTTTTATAGTAATTTGGAGGATAGAAAAGTAAGTTATAGGCCGATATTTGAGCCCATCCAACTCTCACTTCTTGCTGAGTACCACAAAATAGTTTCTCAATAAATGTTTATTAAGCAGTAAATGTATCTCTTTAGTGTTTCTTCTTTTATTCTTAATAGTTCTTCTTTTATTGTTAATATAGGGAATTACTTGTAGTTTTTCCCAAGTTATTTTCATGAGAACCAAAACAATATACTAGTACAGAAATGCCTCAAAGTATTAGATGAAAACTGCATTTAGTAAAATGCGTAGGCATTATTTCGAGAGCATTTATTTCAGTCAGATATATTCCTTTCTTAAAATTTAGTTTGAAAGTACATGTATTATTTTAAGAGAAACATGCCCCAAATACAATGACTTTTTAGGAAAACTTGTTTTTTAAAAGTATTTGTGGTACCTGTGAGTTTATCCTTGTTTTCTAATTTTGCCATGCTCGGTTGAGGTATAGCATGACATGGTTGGCATCCTTACTGGAAAGCTTCCTTGTGCAATATCTAGTGGAATTGTTAGGGTAAACAGTATCTTCAGGTATATTAGGAAAATTACTTGTGCACTTGGATTATGCTCTCTGTCCCAAGTTTCAGTCATTGCTGACAGCGTTCAGTGTGGGATGCGCAGTAGCACTGCTTCCATTGTATTCTTTTGTTAAGAGGTTTGGAAAGAGAGACTCCTGACTTCAGGAGTTTTTAGAAAAAGCATTCCAGTTTTTTCTAGTTCTAGAGGCCTTGATAACTTTAAGAACTGAAATTTTAATGTTTATTGAATACCGTGATGTCAGTATACAGTAATCTTAAAACTATGTTAAAATGCACTTGTGTCTCCAAACATCCTGCCTTCTTTTGTGACTACATCCTTCTCTTAGCCAAAATAACAAGCTAACTAGAGTTTCAATATTCAATATCCTTCTCTGGCAGATGTTTTCTGGCAAAGGCCTTCCTGCATTTATGAATTCTCTCTCAAGAAGCAAGAGAACACCTGCAGGAAGTGAATCAAGATGCAGAACACAGAGGAATAATCACCTGCTTTAAAAAAATAAAGTACTGTTGAAAAGATCATTTCTCTCTATTTGTTCCTAGGTGTAAAATTTTAATAGTTAATGCAGAATTCTGTAATCATTGAATCATTAGTGGTTAATGTTTGAAAAAGCTCTTGCAATCAAGTCTGTGATGTATTAATAATGCCTTATATATTGTTTGTAGTCATTTTAAGTAGCATGAGCCATGTCCCTGTAGTCGGTAGGGGGCAGTCTTGCTTTATTCATCCTCCATCTCAAAATGAACTTGGAATTAAATATTGTAAGATATGTATAATGCTGGCCATTTTAAAGGGGTTTTCTCAAAAGTTAAACTTTTGCTATGACTGTGTTTTTGCACATAATCCATATTTGCTGTTCAAGTTAATCTAGAAATTTATTCAATTCTGTATGAACACCTGGAAGCAAAATCATAGTGCAAAAATACATTTAAGGTGTGGTCAAAAATAAGTCTTTAATTGGTAAATAATAAGCATTAATTTTTTATAGCCTGTATTCACAATTCTGCGGTACCTTATTGTACCTAAGGGATTCTAAAGGTGTTGTCACTGTATAAAACAGAAAGCACTAGGATACAAATGAAGCTTAATTACTAAAATGTAATTCTTGACACTCTTTCTATAATTAGCGTTCTTCACCCCCACCCCCACCCCCACCCCCCTTATTTTCCTTTTGTCTCCTGGTGATTAGGCCAAAGTCTGGGAGTAAGGAGAGGATTAGGTACTTAGGAGCAAAGAAAGAAGTAGCTTGGAACTTTTGAGATGATCCCTAACATACTGTACTACTTGCTTTTACAATGTGTTAGCAGAAACCAGTGGGTTATAATGTAGAATGATGTGCTTTCTGCCCAAGTGGTAATTCATCTTGGTTTGCTATGTTAAAACTGTAAATACAACAGAACATTAATAAATATCTCTTGTGTAGCACCTTTTACTGTAGATTAGTGCTTAATTTCTTGGCTTGCATTTGTTGATTGCTAAGGCAATTTTTTCTAATCTTAGGGAATCATTCAGTAGATGCGATTAAAAAACTAATGTTGGGTCAATTTTTTTCTTCATTTTCAGCACAAGAAGTCCTCTTATATCCTACTAAATACATTCCTAAAAATGTATTTGAACATTGGTTCTGTAAAAGATAATGGACTAAAAAAGTAGAGAGGAGTTGTAGAGATCTTAAATCATTCTGGAATTCCTAATTATGCTTCAATTTTTAGACATAATTTTAGATAATTTATTTCCAGTGTTTTCTGCATGTTCTCATTTGTTCTTTTTCTCAGTTGAATGCACCAACTGGTTTGAGTCCTGTGAGCATTCAGTCAGTTGAAATTAAAGATTCCTCATTTCTCCTGATTTCTATTCTTGTCTCAATCTTAAATTTAGAGACCAGTTGTTTTTATGATATCAGCCATTTGATTTTTTTCATTTTCTATTTAAGAAATATGAAGAAAAAATACACCAAGATGGTCAAATTACTACACAAATCAGCACCAGCACAGTCTGATAGCTGCAAATGTCCATTCATCTGCTGTGTATGTATATCCAGAATCAGCATAGGAAGTCGTTCAGGATATCAGTATATAATGCACAGAAGTGTGGGTTGTTTGAAAGCCAAACAGGAAAATTAGGAGCCTCCTGGATTGACATTTCAATGATCCCTCTAACCAGTTTATGGATTATTATGAATAATAGTGTAGTGTGTTCTTTTTCAGAAGTTATATTTGATAATAGAGAAGGGAGTTTTATGGAAGTTTCTTTGAAGATTTTTTTTTTTCCATTTCGAATCAGATTATAGCAACAATGGAGTTTGGAAGTTTGTATGGCCTATAATGTTCTAAGTTCCAGAATGAAAAGATCTGTAACAATCTGAATAGATGTGGACACATATAGCAGAGAGAACTATGTAAATTATCTTGCAGAACAAAATAGAAGGGTCCTAAATCACGTTAACTCAAACATTGTAGACTAGCTTTGTGTTTATTCTTCAGGTCCTTGCGCCTTATTTGGTTTTGTATATTCAACGAACTGAAATATTTGGAATTCCTATTTCTACGTATTTGGTGGTCCATAAGACTTTGTCAAATGTAAACCTACAGTTTGATACGCTTTAAAATACCTAGTTAAGAGGATGATTTCTCTTTAATCGTTTAAATGTTCTGAAAATTAAAATCTTTTGAGGCACATGAAGTGGGCACCATATATCATCTAGAGTCCTTACTGGTATTCAGGATGAAAATGTTCACGCTGCATTAATTGTCATTTTTCTCTCCCATGTTCTTTCTCACTTTGATACGTTAATACTGATAATGGATAAAGAGTGAGTTTTTATAATAAATGGTTTTGGAAAGGTATTCATAGGAACCGCGGTTATTTACTTAAGGTTATGGAGTAAACTAGCTTGGACCTTGGGCTGCAGGACGACTAGGATTCACCCATAACGACACAGTGCCCTATGTTTCTTAACTTCTTGTTGCCATTTGAAACTCTGTACTCTTATGTTTAAAGGGTTCTGTATAGCCATTTTTTTTTTCAGAAAGTTACATTGCTTTGTATAGAAATAAAAGGCATTATTAAAATTTGCTTGTTAAAAAATGATAAGAATGAATATCTTTACTTATAGGGTCAATTTTGTTTAGAGTTTTAAAGAAACAACAGAAGTTTTAGTGAAGTAAATGATTTTTTTTTTCCCTTTGCTTTCTTATTACATACTGACTTGAGCTCTGGCCCACCGTGAGTCATTATTAGTACAGATGAAATTTTGTTTGGTCTTCACTATGTGTTTTTTGTTTGTTTGTTTTTTGAGACGGAGTCTCGCCCTGTCGCCCAGGCTGGAATGCAGTGTTGCGATCTCCACTCACTGCAACCTCCGCCTCCCAGGTTCAAGCGATTCTCCTGCCCCAGCCTCCCAAGTAGCTGGGATTACAGGCGCGCGCCACTACGCCCAGCTAATTTTTATATTTTTAGTAGAGACGGGGTTTCACTATGTTGGTCAGGCTGGTCTCGAGCTCTTGACCTCGTGATCCGCCCGCCTCGGCCTCCCAAAGTGCTGGGATTACAGGTGTGAGCCACCGCACCCAGCCTTCACTGTGTTCTTATACTAAAATATACTCTACTTAGCTATAAATGGTTTACATTCAAAGGAAGAAGTAAGATAACTACTGAAGTAGAGTATCAGGACCAATAGAAGTGATATTTCAATTTGAGTGATTGCCTGAGGGGGTAAGATTCTGGGGTGAGAATCTAGACCCTAACAAAACTAGACCCCTGGCCTCAGGCTTTACATCCAGTCCAATGCCCTCTTCCCATTGTCCCAACCTTCTGGAGGGTTGGCGTGTAAACATTGACATAAAATGAAAAAAATCATTTGACCGTGCTTCTTGTAAACATCAGTAATCTAATTTTAACTGAAAACATGCTAAGAATAGACATGGAATTGTACATTTATGTAAAGTAGGAGGATGTGTGTTTGTATAGATAGATGGATGCATAGATTTTTTTTTTTTTTTTTTTTTTTTTTTTGAGACAGGGTCTCGCTCTGTTGCCCAGACTTAAGTACAAAGTCGTGATCTTGGCTCACTGCAACCTTCACCTTCCAGGCTCAAGCCATCCCACCTCAGCCTCCCCAAGTAGCTGGGACTACAGGCATGTGCCACCACACCCAGTTAATTTTTGTATTTTTAGTAGAGACAGGGTTTTGCCATGTTGCCCAGACTGGTCTTGAATTCCTGGGCTCAAGCAATCTGAAGTGCTGGAATTACAGGCGTGAGCCACCTCACCTGGCCAGTAGGAGGGTATATTTTATGAAAAAGTAGTTGTGACCCCTATTACCTATGTGAATCTGGTTCTTGGTTAAACCTCAGTGGTGAATATAGGTTAATCATGTGCAAAATGTATAATAATTTTCAGGTTCTGTGGGTGGTTCAGCTGTTCAGAAGATTTTCACCTCTCAGGCTTTTAGAATATGAGTTGAGGAATGATGAGGGTCATAACAGAAGGCAAAATATGCTTCCATAGATGGTTTATATATTTAAAAAAAATGTTTTTTTGCGTATTTTAAACCCTAAATAGTGTTTCTATCCTGTAAGATGGATAAGGTGGATTGGGTGAGAGCATTTGTTAAAGCAGTAGTACAGTACTCTTGCATCTCCTTTTCCCTTTTGCGTATACCTGTACACGTTTGTGTATGTGTATAATTGTGTTCTTTTAGACTACCTACAGAAAGTGCCCTTTGACAAGTAGCCTCTGCATGTTGGTTCTTTGTAGGCTCTACTGTTAATGTGGAAGACATCTCAAAGAAATACACTGGGAATTCCCAAAGGGGAGAGTAAGTTTAGGTTGAAAGTGAAAGAGGTGTTCAGGAGGAAATGATGGTTGTAGAAATTGATTTTTGTATCATCTCCATTCTAAAAAGAAGCTATTTTATAACCCAGTTGATTGTATCACCTACAACTTTATGGCCTATAGAAAGAACTGCTCTTACGTAAAGTACATGAATTGAGAGCTGTCCTCCCGAAGCCAGTTTCCCTGACTATAAAATCTGAAATAGTCCATCTACTGCGTGGCATTTTAATCCCCTCAGTCCTCCATTATTCTCAGAATTTTCCGCTTATAGGATAAATACATTACTCAAAGGTTTTGTGTTAATTTTTATACCTGTTTTTACTTATAGCCTGTTTCTTTTTTTCTTTACCAAAAAGCATCGTCTTCTGATTTTGAGAGTTTTAATTCTTAAGTATCAGTTGATGAATTAATAAAATGTAAATGTAAATGCACATCTCTTAAACCTGAATACAGAACATATTAATATAGAGGATTCTCCTACATTTATGCAGGATTTTACCTAGGTCAGAAACTGAGATGCAATTGTGTGAAATAGATGTCGTCCAACCTGCTTTGTATGTTGTTCATTCTGCTCTAAAAACAGCTAATTTTAATCATTGATGTAGGAAATAAATGTTTCACAGACTTTTCCCCATTCATTAGTGATTGCAGATTCATAGACATCAAAACTGAGAAAAGTGGTTTCCTCTAAGCCTTAACAAAGATTAGTGCTGGAGCTCTGGGAAGATGGCAGTATTCATTGTTATTCTTCAGTTGTCTGGAAGGTTCGCGAGTGATATACGCAGCCTGGGAAACAAGAAAACAGGTCAAAAATCTAAAAGAAATCTCTAAAATAGAGAAGATGATTTCCCTGACAAAGCATTATTAGAAAAAGTATAAAACTAAGGAAGTTCTGCCTTCTGGTTATGAAACCCAGCCTGATTCTAATGAAATTCAACCAAAATGCCAAAGCTAGAGTGATTTTCACCTTGCATAGTTGGGTTTGCATTCGTGTCCCCTGCTGAGAGCTGCTTTGCCTCCCACTTCCCCTCCCCCATTTAAGCCAGATACTTCCTGAGCCAAGTTGGAGAGGACTGGTGCAACCTATCATCATAACTGGGCTAGAGTTACTCTTGATGAAACATCCCTCTTTTCATTTGCAGAACTGTCAGAAATGCCTAAAATGCTGCTTAAGTGAGGTTTTAGAAAGAATTTTGCCATCTGCTTCCTGATTCCACATCTTTATTTTGACAGAACATTTCATAGGCCGTATTTGGCAGTTCCTCTGTTTGGATGTCATTTTAATATGTTGCTTTTTTCTCTGATTATCAACACTGAGGATTTTCATGTATATGATTTATTTCCAGTTTATATTTTAACAGATTGCAGATAAATCAGTGATTGCAGAGAAATCAGATGGATCAACATTTTCACTATTTATTACTTTTTATGTATTTATTACTATTTATTTATTACTAGTATGCTTTGGTACTATATAGTTGATGAAAATAGTGGGCACTGGTGACCTGAAGAAGCAAAATTAGCAGTCCATATTTTTATAGGTTTGATTCAGTGACTCTCAAGCCCTAGATCTGTATATGCATGGTCATGTGTAGGACAAAAATCATCTTTTTTTCTCTTTTTGGTTAATTATATATTTTGTCCCTGAGACTGTGAAGTGAGTTGAATCTGTATAACCTATTTTTGTCCGTAAGCTCTTCTCTGGTTTAGCAGTTCTCTAGATTTAGGTATTGGACTTATATATATATTTTTCCAATATCCACCTCATTGAATTATAGACTTAGTTCCTACAGTAGTTCCACAGAGCTTCCAAATAAGGGTAAGGATAATGGGTAAGTAAGTACTTACCTCTCATCTTCACTTCCATAGAAGAAGGCTGAGTGCAGTACATTTGTATCTACACTTTATAAATTATGAACTAGTTTTTCATCAAAAAATTTCATGGATGCCAGGCACGGTGGATCTCGCCTGTAATCCCAATACTTTGGGAGGCCAAGGTGGGCAGATCACCTGAGGTCAGGAGTTCGAGACCAGCCTGGCCAACATGGTGAAACCTCTGCTCTACTAAAAATACAAAAATTAGCCGGGTGTGGTGGTGCGTGCCTGTAATCCCCAGCTACTTGGGAGGCCGAGGCAGGAGAATCACTTGAACTCAGAGGCGGAGGTTGCAGTGAGCCGAGATTGTGCCACTCCAGCCTGGACAACAGAGTGAAACTCCATCTTTAAAAAAAAAAAAAAAAAAAAATTGATGGTTGGGTAGATTAAGAATTATTTTGTCTTTATATAGGTCTCAAAGCTCATGGCCACAATATTTTCCTCTTCAGAATGGCAGGACTATGGGAAGGAATGTGCATTCAGAACAACGGGGAAAGGCTATAGGGAAATTAATTTCAAAATATTTGGCTGAGTGATTGTGGACTCTTCCTTGGAAGTCTTTAAACACAGAATAGATCCTCCTATTTGGAATGACTTAAGGGTAAAGGAAAAGGAATGGATTAGCAGGCGCCTTAAAGACCCCAAGAACTTTAGAGATTTGTATGTGGCCCATGTCAGTGACAGATGGAACAGTAAGTTCAATAGACGTCATGTCTGCCGCTCCCAGGCTATGCTTCCTTTAATGTAGTGACCTTCTGGGAGCATTGTCCTCAATTGTCTGCAAGAGGGAAAGGAGTACATCTAAATTTCTGGTAAACTTAATTTGGGTGGCTTATTACCTACTGTTATGTATCTTTTAAAGATCCAGTGATCCAAAAAGCTGTGCTTTGCCCAAAATTCCAAAATGAGAAAACCATAAAAACCACCCTCTAGTTTCTGGAGCCATTTTCAAATCTGTGTTGATTCTGAAGGAATTTCATTTACGTAGCATTTTCACATGTTAACAGTCCTTCCCCTAAGGGATTATGGGTAGAGGAAAGAAGATGAGGTGGTAAGGAGGCACTGGAGGAGATGAAGTCTGATTTGTTTAGAAAGGACCGATGGAGGAGTGTAGCAGACACTCCTTTTGTTCTTTGCTCCTGCTTTAATCCTTCAGACCCACAGGACAAGATTGCCAGCTAATTGCAAGGAGCCCGTAAAAGAGAATTGGCCTAAATTGAAGAATAAATATATTTTTTTTTTAATTCTTCCTTTATTTGGGTCACTTTGCTTTACATATGTTTATGTCTCCAAAAAGTGGTTGGATACCCTCTTGAGAGGTTTTCTTTACAAAAAAGAAAGAAAAAAAAATCTGAAATTCCAAAGCCTCTTTCCCTGCCATTGTAGCACTTAGGCAAAAGCATGAAGAACTAAATCCACTAGACTGTAGTTTAAACTTGAAAAAACAAAAACAAAAAACCCCAAAAAGACTATAATGTGCTTTAGAGTGGCATTTTTATACAAGTGACTCATTGCTAGCAGTATATTGACCATTTTAAAGTGCAATCTGATCTTTCATGGGTAGACATTTAAATTCTCTGAGTACAGACACTGTACTTGGGACAAATTATTATATTTGTACCTTGGTGCCAATCTTAATCATGTACTCATTGGGTGCTTATTTTCAAATACCTGATCCTTCTAAAAACAGTATACTAAAACCTGTTGTTAAACATATATCAAGTTTAATAGCAAGCCATGGATACTTTTTACTGCCTTTTATTTATTGCTGGGTGTATTTTATTAGAAGGAAAGGTAAGTAAATGTGTTTTGCAGAAAATATGTAGTATAAGTCAGCTCCAGTAGCAGTTATTATTTTTTAACTAGATGGCGGAGCATTTACACACTTAGTTTATTAGTGACCTTCCCATAAAATTTTTAGGAACACAGGGCCAAACAGAGGTCATAAGTTTATCCAAGCCAACCCACTTCTTTGGTGACATCAGACAACTGAAGAGAAGCCAAGAAAACGTTCCCTCCATCTTCAAATTCTATGTGTCCTTGGCTTTGCCTCCATCCATAGTGGTTTATTCCCCTCAGAAAGAATTGCAGATGGAATTTGTATAATCACCTGTGTTAGAAGTGATGATCTACTTTGAAAAATACAGTTTTTATGTATTATAAATAATTGTGCTCTGCCTTCTTGCATATAGTTGCTTTGGGCCTTTATTTGATAAAAACTATCTTATTAGCCAGTTATGACATACATGACTTTATGCTGGATGTAGTATATACAAAGATTTGTACAAGACAGCCCCTGAACACAAGGAGGTTTTAGTCTGGGAGGAGATTGGTAGGAGACAAAGTGCTTTCCTGTCCAAGAAATCTTAATATGTAATGTTTTTCTGCTTCGTTTGCATAGTGATGGAAGAAGCTTTTTACACTTTTCAAGCTTGCTGCTAACTTAATTTTCACCAGAAGGGCACTTTTAAAGATGTTCGTAAAACCAAATGCCCTCAAAGGAGAGATTACTGCCACTTGAAGAGGCCACCCCCAAAAGGGCCAAAAGGATGGGGGAACATCTCAGGGTGCTATGTGGCCAGGACCTAGAAAACCAGCTGCCAAGGGGACTTGTGACTGTTAGCCTAGGGCTTGAGCCCTCGCTCCCCATTTACTGGCTGTGTAATCTTGGGTCATTTGCATGTCCTATCCAAGCTTTGGTTTTCTAATCTGTGTGCTGGAATATTTTCTCACAGGGCCATTTTTAGGGAGGTAAAGTGCCCAGCATCTAGCAAACAGCTCTTCACAGCTGATCAGCTATAGTATTGGGTCTAAGGGCAGGACATGAAAAGCCCAAACCTATAATTCAAACCGAGGGAATTCATTTCCTTTTCAGGACCGTATAGCTCTCATAAACCCTGCCTTTCCTCATTCCTTCTTTCCTAAATGTCATTAGGCCATCCCTGATAAATCAGATCATTCTTATCCTCCTAAATTCCTGCAGCCCAGATGAGAATATGATTTACTATTGCTTTTCTGGTAATATTATCATATGTTTATGTGGGAACTTATATACATGTTCATTTGATCTTCACAGATTACTATAAAAGGGATTATTTTGCGTTCTTTACCACCAAGCAACCAAAGCCTCCCTCCCCCGGCAAATAATTTTCCAACACTCACTAACATCAAAACACTCTACAGATTCAATAAACTTTGATTCTCATTTCCTTTCCTGAGTTCTATAGGCTGAAACTCTGGCCTCTTTTTTGCTTAGTCCATTTGTATTACATTACAAGACTTGCCGTATACTATCTTTGTATGGATTTAGGTATTCGAAGCAGCCTTTGAACTTCTTATCCTTTGCTTTGTTTCTTTCTGCACTGGCCTTACATTCTCTGCTCTTTTCCCTGCCCTTTCCATGTCTTCTTTGCCGCCCTCTCGACACCTCCCCCTTCCCCTACGTTTCCAGTGCTGCTTAGATCACTCTTGTTACTTCTCTGTCCTAAATTCCTACACAACTGTAGATAGGGCCATTTTCTCAGTGGCCGCTCTCCCTTTCCTTTCTCCAAATCTTAACCCTGGGCCATTTGAACCCTAGTTACTTCTTTTTTTTGTTTTGTTTTGGTTTTTTGGTTTGTTTGTTTTGAGACGAAGTCTCACTCTTGTCCCCAGGCTGGAGTGCAATGGCGTGATCTTGACTCACTGCAACCTCCGACTCCTGGGTTCACGTGGTTCTCCTGCCTCAGCCTCCCGAGTAGCTGGGATTACAGGCGCCTGCCACCGTGCCCGGCTAACTTTTGTATTTTTAGTAGAGATGGGGGTTTCACCATGTTGGTGAGGCTGGTCTCGAACTCCTGACCTCAGGTGATCTGCCCGCCTTGGCCTCCCAAAGTGCTAGGATTACAGGCGTGAGCTACCGCGCCCGGCCTAACCCTAGTTGCTTTCTATCTTCCCATTCCATCTAGCCGCATCCAACAAGAAAACCACATGCCTGCTTTCTCTTCCTGAAGCTCTCCAAGGAACGTTCCTGTATGCCCCTGGATAGATGGTTCCAGCCTGTGTCTGTGCCCCCCAACCCAGTCCTGCCAATCCAAGCCTGCCCAGATAGGGCCTGCCTGTTTTCCCCTTTATTGGGGGATCTGGGGAGCTTTTCACAGTGGTGGCATTTGTCACAGTGTTCACAGGCTCACCTCTTCATGCCCCTTCAGTACTAGTTTGGCTTGGCCATTAAACAGAAAGCATTGGGGTGTCCTCTGCTCTTTGTTCTCTCTCACTATATAGATCACCTCCAATGGCATCTGCATGAATCTATGACAACTCTCGGGCCTCCATGGAGAAGCACCTGGCTAGTCCCAAATTTCATAATCCTTCTGATGCTTCTGAATTACCTTCCACAAAACACTAGGATTCTATAAACTTTTAATTGGAATTTTATCTTTTAAAAACAGCCTTAATCATGTAATAAGATGTATTTTCAAATATGTGTTCAATTGTGTGGTTATTTGTGATCTCATTTACAGACATGAACAAATACTAAAACAATATATAAATAAATTTACTCAGAGTATTTGGGATCTCAGATTTTGTTTTACAAAAAGGGTTCTGCAGCTGAAAAAAAAATGGCTTGAAAACCACTGCCCTAAGTAAACACTCATCTCTTACTTTGCCTAAAACTGTTAGACCGTTATACATTTTTTTTCCTCCGTCAATCTTACAGGGGTTTCAAAATGCCCTGATTTTGCAAAACTTATGAGCACATCTAAAAAGTCACTTTCTAAGCCTACTATCTCCAAAAATCAACTGTTTGTTCTTTTTCAGACTTGTTTTTGTGAATTTATTATTTTTACATAGGTAGTACTAGCATACTGGCACAGCCCAGTGAGATGAGGTCTCTTAAGCCATTCTGTTTATATCAGATGTTAAATTTTTTAAATAGTCTTTGCTGCAGTGTAGATTATCTTGTCTTTTTCTGCTTTTCAGCTCGTTCTGACAAATGCCCCATGATGTTTTTGTTTTTGTTTTTTGAGACTGAGTTTCACTCTTGTTGCCCAGGCTGGAATGCAATGGTGCCTTCTCGGCTCACTGCAACCTCCACTTCCCTGGTTCAAGTGATTCTTCTGCCTCAGTCTCCCGTGTAGCTGGGATTATAGGCGCCCGTCACCACACTCGGCTAATTTTTATATGTTTAGTAGAGACGGAGCTTCACCATTTTGGCCAGGTTGGTCTCGAACTCCTGACCTCAAGCGATCCGCCCTCCTCGGCCTCCCCAAGTGCTGGGATTACAGGTGTGAGCCACCACAACTGGCCTCGATGATTTTTTTTTTTTTTTTTTTTGAGAAGGAGTTTCGCTCTGTCGTCCAGGCTGGAGTGCAGTGGCGCAATCTCGGCTCACTGCAAGCTCCGCCTCCCGAGTTCACGCCATTCTCCTGCCTCAGCCTCCTGAGTAGCTGGGACTACAGGCGCCCGCTACCACACTCGGCTAATTTTTTGTATTTTTAGTAGAGACGGGGTTTCACCGTGGTCTCAATCTCCTGACCTCGTGATCCGCCCGCCTCGGCGTCCCAAAGTGCTAGGATTACAGGCTTGAGCCACCGCGCCCAGCCGATGATGGTGTTTTTAAAGCCAACTTCTAATACCTCTTTTTTCCATTGCTTCATTGCCAAGAGGAATAATTAGACTGTTGCAACAATTATGACAAAGGCGTCCTATACCCTTGGTCTTCTTTCATCCATAGGGCATCCAGAAGAGACCTGGTTTCTCTGTTGATTGGAAGTTCACATCAAATTCCTTGACCCTGGGATTAAACCTACAGTAAACATGTGTATTTTTGTGTTGCAGATGCGTATCATAGATGGATAGTAATGAATACCATTTATTGAGCATTTATCATGTGCGAAGTACTCTGCTTTCTTCTTCACAGGTAGATTTAATCATCTCCCCAACCCTTTGAGGTAGGGAATACTGTGATCCTTGTTGTATATTTTTAAAAAAATGGAGACTCATGTTAACTGACTTGCCCCTTACCGTCCTTAAGTGGGGAGGCTGGGATTAATTTGGTTTGTGTTGTTAGAGCATGAACTCTTTAACAACAATAGAACACTCATCATCTTTCCTGTGTGTGCACCTGCTTCCATTTCTTTTTATTCTCCTGTCCCTTCTTGATCTACACTTTAACACATTCCTTTCTCTTCCCACAGGATTCCCTTTATTGAAGGTGGGAATGAGGGGGATTCTGGACTGCAGGCACAGGACATCTGCCCTCCCACAGCAGCCTGAGATGTTTTCTTCTTTGTGCATGTTCCCCATGAAGTGGGCTCATACCCCTCCATCAGTGTGCCTCCCCACCTCACCTGGAGCGTGGCTTCAGTGCCCCCACCGCCACCCCCAGCTTGTACTGCAGGGTTTTTTTTTATCCTTTCTCTAAGCCAGTGAGATAGGCACAGCTGATAGTATGAACCTTTCTAGCTAAGAGTCAGATCAAGTGCTGGACAGAGACATGACAAGTTCTCTCAATTAAGCAAAATGGTATCTCGAGACAGGATTTCAATTCTAATTTCATATTAATAGCTTACATTTATTCAACATTTATTGTGTTCAAGTGCTGCTACAGTCCTTTTCACGCAGAATCTTTTAACCCTCCAGAATTGAACAGCAACAGCGCTATTATCCCTATTTTACACTAAAGGAGCTGGCTCCCAGAGAGGTCAGGTCACCCGGTGGACGGAGCAAGAATCCAAATCAAGGCATTCTTGACCACTAACCAATACTTCTCCCCCTACCATCATCCCTGCCCCCACCCCTTTTTATTTTACAAAGTTAACCCGTGTTTATTATGGAACATCTTAACTCTGATTTTTAGAAATCTGCCTTCTGTCAATAGCGCAAAATAGAGTGTTTCATTAGCCTCTTAAAATGCCAGCAATTGTAATGTATACAGATGTGAACCTTCATGGGAAGAGCGTGTCTTTATGTTAGAGAAGAGTGAGTAAAGCTGCCCAGTTGAGGTCATATATATTGACTTATCTGCAGGAAATATTCATTTAGATTTGAGAAGTTATGATTGTTATCAGTCTCATCCTTTAAATTTAACTTTTATTTTTTATACTCAATATTTAGATCAAAATCTGTTGCAAATCTGAAAGGAAGCTATAATCATTTACTGTTATCAATATACCTTTCTAGTAGCCTTATACATAAATGCTCGAATCTAGTCCTTCTCACACTTTAATATGCCTACAAACTACCTGGGAAGCTTAATAAAATGCAGGTAATAGTTTAGGAGGTCTAGGCTGGGGCTTGTGATTCTGCATTTGTAAAAACTTCCCAGGTGATGACCAAACTGCCTGGCCAGAATCAAATTTTCATGAGCAAGTCTCTAATCCACATTAATATTCAAGAAAAAAAAATTAAATTCAAAAGTACAACTTTACAGCCTGGGCCTGATGGCTCACATCTGTAATCCCAGCACTTTGGGAGGCCGAGGTGGGCAGATCACCTGAGGTCAGGAGTTCGAAACCAGCCCGGCCAACATGGTGAAACCCCATCTCTACTAAAAATACAAAAATTAGTTGGGCATGGTGGCACACGTTTGTAGTCCCAGCTACTTGGGAAGCTCAGGCAGGAGAAACTTGAACCCAGGAGGTAGAGTTCGCAGTGAGTAGAGATCACACTGCTGCACTCCAAAGTGAGACTCCATCTCAAAAAAAAAAAAAAAAAAGTAGAACTTTACAAACACTACAGTGCATTTTCTAGAAAATTTTTTCTAGGCCGGGCGCGGTGGCTCACGCCTGTAATCCCAGCACTTTGGGAGGCAGAGGTGGGTGGATCACGAGGTCAGGAGATCAAGACCATCCTGGCTAACACGGTGAAACCCCGTCTCTACTAAAAATACAAAAAAAATTAGCCGGGCGTAGTGGCGGGAGCCTGTAGTCCCAGCTACTCAGGATGCTGAAGCAGAAGAATGGCCTGAACCCGGCAGGCAGAGCTTGCAGTGAGCCGAGATTGTGCCACTGCACTCCAGCCTGGGCGACAGAGCCAGACTCCGACTCAAAAAAAAAAAAAAAAGAAAAAGAAAAATTTTTCTAAATCTCCATTGTTAAGAGATCACTGTGAGGTAGGGTAGGGAGTGTGGGGAAAGATTGGGGCCCCCAGGTTTGAAGATCAGCTTGGTCTTGCCTGTGTGCATGTATCTGATAAAATGCAGGAAAAGTTTGTCTCTTCCCCACCCTCACTTCCACCCACTGTGAGGCTTGCTCATGTCCAGATTGGGCTCAGGATGGCAGTTGTGGATGCTCAGAGCACAAAAGGCTTCTTGTTTGCCCAAGGGCCTATCAGTGTTTAAATAGAACTGGCGGAAGCACAAGCACACCGTATCAGCAGCTTATCAGGGACCATGGTTTTCCACGTACATTTGCTAGGCACTTCAGTTTACCCAACTCCATCAGCACTGAGTTAAATTGCAAGGTTGGGCTGTACTACGCTGAGCCAGGGCAGGGAGAACAAGCCAGTTACTGGGGATGAGGGTGTCGGGGGGGCCCTCAAGACCTTATTTGCATTCTGCCCACATAGAGAATAAAGCTGTGATAGCCTGTGTACTAAGAGGCACCCAAAGAGAACCAGTCAGTCTTAGGAATGCACCCGGAAGGTGGGATGAGTCCAGGCCTCCCTATGGTGGAAGTAGTTGGAGATACCTCTTGTTACCCTGGTTTTCCATCTTAGTTTACCAGGTGTATAGTCAGTGCGGGTTATGGTTAAAGGAGGTGTCAATTGGGGGCCTGTTAATGTCTTAAAATTGTATGCAATTTTGGGGTTTGCAAATGCGTCTGCGTGCATATTTCTCTGGCAGCTGACCTATGAATCAAAGGACTAAATGTTCTTGTACTATTCGGGCTGCATCTTCTTTGAGGGTAATCTTCAGGGCAGATACATGGGTAGCCTACTTTAGAAATGAGGCCTTTGCAATTATAATCACTCCTACTTTCTAAGCACTTGCTATATGCCAGGTGCTGTGCTAAATGCTTTATAAATGTTATCACATTTAATTCTCAGAAAATCTTATGAGATAGGAATTTTTATTTCTAAAAGAGTTATAATTTGCCCATGATCACAGAGCTAAGTAAATGATAGAGCTATGATCGGAACTTCAACTTTCTGATTCCATGTCTGTTAGCACTGTGGAAGGCTGTCTTTGGCATTTTAATATACTTATCAAGTGTTTCATATACATTGGTTAATTTGTCCAACTGCCACAGAGTGGGATGGGTGGCTCTTTTTCCTAAACTGTAGCCATCTTTTCCCCAAAGTGTAGCCTTCATGAATTTTGCCCTATTTATATATCACCTATGCTATTAAGTTACCTACCATTTAAAATTTTTAATTAAATGTGTTATTTCTTACCCTCATTCCTAAATAATAGCCATGGAAAAACCATTGATGTGCTAATTTTTTTCTTGAATCCACACTAAAATAACTACATAACCATTAAAATGAAAAATGCATTAGCCAGGTGTGGTGGTGCGTGCCTGTAGCCTCAGCTACTCGGGTGGCAGAGGAGAAGAATCGCTTGAACCTGGAAGGCGGAGGTTGCAGTGAGCCGAGATTTGCACCGCTGTACTCCAGCCTGGGCAACAGAGGGAGACTTCATCTCAAAAAAAAAAAAAAAAAAAGCTATGTTTTAATACTACTTAATATCATGTAGAGTGCCATCAGTGTATTGGTGCCATGCTTTAAAAAACCCTAATATGTGATTTAAAGACTACATGTCTATATTGCAGCAGAATTGTGGGTAAACTAAAATACCCCCTCATGCCACCCACCCCAGACAGCCCTTCTGGCACAGGGACAGGCTAGGGTCATGGAGAGTGGTGCTAAGAGCATCAGAGAGGAGGCTGGGTTTGACTCCAGGGAAGGCACTCTTATGGTGGAGGCCATGCCCTGTATCTTTCAGGACCTGTTTTAGTTGCTCTAATGAGGCAATGATGCCAAGAAAAAGAATGTTGCTTAGCCCTCCTTGAGGGGGTTGAAGGATTCCAGCGACTGGGGCAAGAATCTGTGTTCTGTGTGCTCTTGCTGAAAGGATATTGCTGGGATATTGAGGGTTGTGGATGAAGTAACCTTCCAGGGGCAGAATTGTGCAGTAAGGTCCCTCAGCCTAGGATGAAAAAGGCCTCTAACGAAAAGCCCACTTGTTCATGTTTCCGTTTTAACTAAATGTTCCTCTCTAAATTCCATACCCTCTGGGGCATAAGCTGAAGGAAAATTTGGAATCTTATTATCTGAAATTGTACGTGCATTTGACCTATATTGCTATGTCTTTAATAAAAGCATCTGAGGAATAGTTCCTAATTTATTGACTCTCGGTTACTCCAAAATATGCCAAGACCCTCAGTAACGAAGCATCCTCATTATCCTCCCCAATAAAATTGCATTTTACATATTAAACTTTTTAATCTTGGACCTTAACCAACTTTATAATTTGACAATCCCTCTAACCAGCAAGTTAGATAAAGAAGAGCAACATACTCATGCTCTGGAGAATGTAATCCTGGAGTCTGTCTTCTTTCACTTGCCTGGGTAAATCAGAGAGGGGGAAAGGTTATTTTTGAGCACCAGCTGTAGTAGGATCTCTCTGATTAGGGCCACCTGTATCAGAAAAGTGACATTTGTCTGCTGCGCAGCTGAGCTGGTGTCTTGATAGTCCCAGAGACAGCTATTGCCTCCCTATAGTCTGTTACTATTTCACTAAGAAAAAAAAAAGAAAAGAAAAAGGAAAAAAAAGGCTGCTTTTGGACTGGGCTGGGTGGGCTGGGCTGGGCATTTAGCATTCCGACTGTCCTCATCCTTGTGTTCAGCAGTGGCTGACCCGTGACACTCTTCTGGGGACTGCAATAGTGTGGTCCAGAAAACAAAATTCTGATGCAGTTCTAATCTTCCTCTATTGTCAGGTGCAGTTCTAATCTTCCTCTATTGTCAGGAATGACAATATGACACGGCCTGGCCAAGAACTCCCAGATATGGTGGTTTTAACTCCCAGATACGTGGCCGGGCATGGTGGCTCACGCCTGTAATCCCAGCACTTTGAGAGGCCAAGGCAGGTGGATCACCTGAGGTTGGGAGTTCAATACCAGCCTGACCAACATGGAGAAACCCCATCTCTACTAAAAATACAAAATTAGCCAGGTGTGATGGCACATGCCTGTAATCCCAGCAACTCAGGAGGCTGAGGCAGGAGAATTGCTTGAAGCTGGGAGGCAGAGGTTGCAGTGAGCCAAGATTGCGCCATTGCACTCCAGCCTGGGTAACAAGAGAGAAACTCCGTCTCAAAAAAAAAAAAAAAAAAAAAAAAGTCTCTCACCAGCTTTCAACTTCATATCTCATTCTCCACAGCAGCCCCTCCTCCCCACAGGGGTTGTGGCTGGAGTTTACAGGAACATCAGGCACAAATGGAATGCTGCCAGTCGCAGGAGATTCCTAGGGAGATAAAAAGCACATCTTTGACCACTTCTTTACCAAACAGACCCAACATGTGTAATTAAAGGCCCTGGGACTCTGCTGGAAATAGGTTTAAACTTGAGGTAATCCCTTCTGGCACTTCCTCTTCCTAATAACCATCAACAAAAATCAAACAAATCCACCTGGCTCCAGTCGGTAAGTCTGCAACCAGCAAAGGTCACAGGAGGAGTGATAAGAGAAGAAAGCGGCCACAAACAGAGTTACTGGAAACACATGTCGTGATGTGTTAGAGAACGACTGCTGCCAGGACCATCCTGGCCCTGAGAAGGGCCCGCTCTGCTGTCTGGAAACTCATTCTCTTCCTCGGAGAAAGGATGCCAGCACGACATGGGAGGGGAAGCATGACTTCGGGGAGCTCATTGGTGCAGCGTGCCTTGGTCTTTCTCTCTGTGAGATGTGACTCAAGCCAAAGAAGACGTGAGGGGAGAGGCAAGCTTTAATGTTCTTCTAGAGTTAATTCCCCCCATCTCTAAAAGTAATGCATGGCCATTATTGAAAATACTGACAGGCAAAATGAATAAAATAATTATCCCTAACTCCACCATGCACTGATTACCCCTGTGAACATTTTGGTGTATCTACTTCTAGTCTGTTTTCAGTGCCTGCATATGTATACAGGTAGAAAATAGATAAACACACATGCAGGGGAAATTTTTTTTTTTAACTTTTAAATTGCATTTCACTGTCTCATTAGTCAATTTGGGCTGCCATAACAAAATACCACAGACTAGGTGCCTTAAGCAACAGAAAGTTATTTTCTCACAGTTCTGGAGGCTGAGAAGTCCAAGATCAAGGTGCCAGCTGATTTGGCTCCTGGTGAGGCCTCTCTTCCTGGCTTGCAGATGGCGGCCTTCTCACATGGCAGAGAGAGAGCTCTGATGTGTCTTCCTCTCCTTATAAGGGCACTAACCCTATGGGATTAGGATCCCAGCTCGTTTAACCTTTATCACCTTCTCACAGGCCCTGCCTCCAATTACAGTCATGTTGAGGGGGCCTGGGCTTCAACACATGAATTTGGGGGGATGCAATTCAGTCCAGAGCACCTGTGCAAACTCTTTTGACTCTGCTTTTTGTTTCACTCCTCTTGTCTTGAACATCTTTTTTCATAGTCTCTAGTCAGATTGTTTTAAGTGGCTGAGTCATATTCCATCACCTGACCGTACCATCATTTAATAATCTGTGATTAATGTCCCCTCCCCTCCCCATCAAGTTATGTTGTGGAAATATCTTGATTATTGCGGCAAGCAGGTTTTTAGCTGAAAGGGCAGATGTCAGCTGGTTTGAGCCTGCCTAGGTGAGCTCAACAGCTTTCAATGGGGAGAAGACTTCGAGTTTCTAGGTGACAGCTGAATCCTCACTGGGTGAATCCTTACTGGTGGCCCATGCCCGAGGCACCTTGAGGACAACATGGAAAGCAACCCAGGAGTAAGGGCGAATTAGGTTTCTCTCTGGTGCTGAGAAGATGTTGGCTGTGGAAGCAGAGGAAGTGAATCAGGATCATATGGCTGTGGAGTGGCAGTTTGCTGAGGGCAGTGAAGTACAGACAGAAGGACAGTTTTAAACAACAGGAAGTCTTCATTCCCTTCCTGGGTGTCTTTGGTCATCTGGGCCCTGATGGTGGAGCCATGCCAGATAGAGGAATTATGATGCTAAAATCTAGTAGGATTACTGGTGAACTTGGCCCTAGGGTTCAGCAGGCTACCTAACATTTGTTCCCTCCATGTGTTCTCCATCTGTGATGTTTGTAGCAGGGAATTGCAATTAGGGAAAGCTATAAAGTCAGGACAAACAGAAGAAACTTAGCAGTGAGCATGAAGTGAGCGCCTCCTAGGTGTGAGGCTGGTACCTGTTACCATCTCCATTTTCCAGCGGGGGTCCCCATGTGTAGGAATGTTGAGTCACTTGCTCAGGGCCGTACAGCTGAGCCAGGTAGAGCTGGGGTTCCATCCCATGTTTAACCACAGAACCTGCCCCAAACCATTGTGCAATACTGCCGCATTCTGAAGCATGTGTAAAAGCTTTCCAGTTGGGCAGGTCTGTATATAAGACTCAGTTAAAGTTAAAAGATAAAATAAGGTCATTGTTAAAAAAAAAAAGCCACTATTTAGTGGTATTTAGTCAACTATCTTTGCCAAAAGCTGGTGGGGGTGAGGGAACGTGTGAGAGCAGGTCCTGGAAACATCCTTGATCATTGTCAGAATAGTTTTGTATGAATTCATACAATAAAAAATAGAACTAATGGGGTACATTAAGTATTTGTCTCTTGGGGTAAGACACAACTTCGAAAGTTTATTATTTTGAACTGACTTTCTCAGTTTGAATGTCTTGAATGAATATTGTAGGGAAGAAAAGGGATAAGGAAAGAAAAGGGATATATATTCCTCACCTATCTCAAGGTTTATGGCCAACACCCTTATAACAAAAGACAGATTAACAATAGAAAAACAACGAATGTGTTTAACCAAAGTTTTGCGTGATGCAGGAGCATTCAAATATGAAGACCCTGCCGGGTGCAGTGGCTCACACCTGTAATCCTAGCACTTTGGGAGGCTGAGGCAAGCAGATCACCTGAGGTCGGGAGTTTGAGACCAGCCTGACCAACATGGAAAACCCCGTATCTACTAAAAATACAAAATTAGCCGGGCGTGGTGGCGGGTGCCTGTAGTCCCAGCTACTCAGGAGGCTGAGGCAGGAGAATCGCTTGAACCGGGAGGTGGAGGTTGCAGTGAGCCAAGATTGCACCATTCTAGCCTGGGCAACAAGAGTGAAACTCCATCTCATAAAAAAAAAAAAAAGAAAGAAATGAAGACCCGACCCAGGGAAAACTGTATTTTTATTTTATTTCATTATGTTTTATTTTATTTTTGAGATGGATTCTCTCTGTCGCCCAGTCTGGCATGATCTTGGCTCACTGCAACCTCCACCTCCGGGGTTGAAGCCATTCTCCTGCCTCAGCCTTCCAAGTAGCCAGGGCTACAGCATGCACCACCACACGCAGCTAAGTTTTGTATTTTTCATAGAGATGGGGCTTCACTTTGAGACCAGGCTGGTCTCAAACTCCTGATTTCAAGTGATACACCTGCCTTGACCTCCCAAAATGCTGGGATTACAGGTGTGAGCCACCGCACCTGACTGAAAACTGTATTTTTATGGACAGTTGTGCAGAAATATGATTGGAGGTCAAAAGGGTATGATCTAAAGGTAACAAACTAGCCTGTTTGTTCAGATTTCTCTTGGCCTCTCTGTGTAATAGTCCTTTCTTCCAGGTATAGGGCAGAACACTTGTCAAATAAGGCTCTTCAAGAGAAAAGGTCAGAGGCCAGGCGAGGTGGCTCATGCCTGTAATCCCAGCACTTTGGGAGGCTGAGGCGGGCAGATCATGAGGTCAGGAGATCGAGACCATCCTGGCTAACATGGTGAAACCCCGTCTCTACTAAAAATACAAAGAATTACCGGGCATGGTTGTGGGTGCCTGTAGTCCCAGCTACTTGGGAGGCTGAGGCAGGAGAATGGCCTGAACCCAGGAGGCGGAGCTTGCAGTGAGCCAAGATCGCACCACTGCACTCCAGCCTGGGGCAACGGGGCAAGACTCAGTCTCAGAAAAAAAAAAAAAGAGAGAGAAAAGGTCAGAAAGACTTCTGCTTCTGAGATTTTCTCAATTTCTTTCAGTTTAAAATACTCAGTATGCCAAAGTGCCACATTTTGGGGTAGTATTTTCTACACCCCGATCAATATAAATGTGTAACCTCATATATTAGTCCATTTTCGCATTGCTATAAAGAAATACCTGAGACTTGGGGCCGGGTGCGGTGGCTCACGCCTGTAATCCCAGCACTTTGGGAGCCTGAGGCAGGCAGATCACGAGGCAAGAGATCAAGACCAACCTGGCCAACACGGTGAAACCCTGTCTCTACTAAAAATACAAAAATTAGCTGGGTGTGGTGGTGCGTGCCTGTAGTCTCAGCTACTCAGGAGGCTGAGGCAGGAGAATCGCTTGAACCCCAGAGGTGGAGCTTGTAGTAAGCCAAGATTGCGCTACTGCACTCCAGCCTGGTGACAGAGTGAGACTCCGTCTCAAAAGAAAAAAGAAAAAAGAAAAAAAGAGAAATACCTGAGACTGAGTAATTTATAAAGAAAAGAGGTTTAATTGGCTCACAGTTCCGCAGGCTGTACAGGAAGCATAGCAGCCTCTGCTTCTGGGGAGGCCTCAGGAGGCTTCCAATCATGGTGGAAGGCAAAGGGGGAGCAGACGTCTTAACATGGCAGGAGCAGGAGAAGGTGTTGGAGAATGGGGGTGGGGGGAGGGAGAGGGGAGGTGCCGCACACTTTTAAACAACTAGATCTTTCGAGAACTCACTCACCATCAGGAGAACAGCACCAAGGGGATGGTGCCAACCCATTCATGAGAAACACTCCTATAATCCAATCACCTCCCACCGGGTCTCACCTTCAACATTGGATACCACAATTCAACATGAGATTTGGTGAGGACACAGATCCAGACTGTATCACCTCAGAATTGTTCAGCCTCAAACTCAAGTACACATTCCAGAAAGTTGGAGTACAGCTTTAGGCTGGGTGCAGTGGCTCATGCCTATAATCCCAGCACTTTGGGAGGCTGAGATGGGAGGATAGCTTGAGCCCAGGAGTTCAAGAGCAGCCTGGGCAACATAGTGAGACCCCATCTCTACAAAACATTTTTAAAAACTTAGTGGGCCATGGTGGTGCACACCTATAGTTCCAGCTACTCGGGAGGCTGAGGTGGGAGGACTGCCTGAGCTCAGAAAGTTGAGGCTGCAGTGAGCCATGATTGTGCCACTGTACTCCAGCCTGGATGACAGGGTGAGATCCTGTTTTGTTTAAAAAAAAAAAATTCAACAAAAACAACAAAAAATACAAAGACCAGAAATTTGTAGTATAGCTTTAAAAACAAGGACAGAGGCTGGGCGTGGTGGCTCACGCCTGTAATCCCAGCACTTTGGGAGTCCGAGGCAGGCAGATCACTTGAGGCCAGGAGTTTGAGACTAGCCTGGCCAACATAGGGAAACCCTGTCTCTAGTAAAAACACAAAAATTAGCTAGGTGTGGTGGTGCACGCCTGTAATCACAGCTACGTGGGAGGCTGAGGCAGGGGAATTGCTTAAACCTGGCAGGCAGAGTTTGCAGTGAGCTGAGAGATTGTGCTAGTGCACTCCCAGCCTGGGAGACAGAGCGAGACTCTGTCTCAGAAAAAAAAAAGGATAGAATTCAGGTTTTGTGCTTTTCAAATTTTTTCAGCTTTAACTTTTCAGATACTCTTTTGATTGTGATACTAATAATTTTGACCTGATTGATCAAAATTTGAAAAAGCTTTGGAAGGCAAGATTGGATTTTGGCAATATGTGCAGGTTATAGGACACCAAAAAGGTGACAATGAGAATATGCAGTGAAAAAACACATGGAGTCACTGCAGCCATGTGGGAGCCTGCAAATCATGCGTTTTCACCACCATCCCTGGGGAGGAAGGAGGAAAACGTGGCACTGAGCAGCCTGCCCACACTGAAAATGAAATCCCAGCCAGCAGGAGCGCCAACGGTGGGGGAGGGGGGGGTTTTTCCTTGGGAACAGGTGCTGCCTCTAAGGTTTCAATTTGCTCATTTGCCCCCTCAATCAGAATAACAGTTGCACCAGGACTTCAAGAGGTTATTTGGCTGCTAGGGAGAGTCAGGGGAAACCCAGGTCTTTGGGGCTTGTGTACCAAGAAACTGGCCCAGCCATTGTCATGCTCTTATCCTGCCAGAGCCCAGAGGACATGTGGAGGGAGCAGGCCTGACCCAAGAAAGTCTTGGCAGCACTGCTGTGTCCCCAAATGAGGCTTTATCCTGATTTGGGGGCCTCTACTGCTCTCTCTGACCCCTTGTCTGGGTCTTGGGGCTGAATCCCATCGGCCTGGCAACTCATTGCCCCATCACCCATGGAGAAAACTGGAGAGCCTAGAAGCTGAGGGCTGGAGAAAATAGGGCATAGCACTGACAAAGTAGTAGCCTAAGGACAGAACAGCCAGGCAGGGCCAGGGACCTGAAGGTGGCCTTTGGCTGGAGCAGATTGGAGCAGAGCCCTTAGCATCTGTGCGTGTGGTTGTGTCAGAAGTAACAGCTCAGGAGGAAGTCAAGGGAACCCAGACCACCTGGAGGGAGTCAGGAACGGGTATGGTGGTGGCAGAGAGAGGAATAGGATGATAACATGATCCGTTCCCAGGACCCGGCCCAGGCAGATAAGGTGGAGAATTGGTGTGATTTCCTCTGCACACCTAGTCACTTTCTTTCCCATTCCCACCCTTTCTCCATCCCTGGCAGCATTGCAGGTGTTAAGTGGATAAAGATAAGGCAAGATCCTGAGCTTAACCAGACCATTGTCACTGTAAACATATAATTGCAGTGCAGTGTGATGAGCAGAGAAGCAGGAGGAGGAAGCCAGTGCAAAGACAGTGTCCGGGGAGGTGCCATGCAATCTCGGATATTATCCCTTCTAGTAATCTCATGTTTCTTAGTGTTGTCTTCAAATGGACTATGAGCGCTTTTAGGCCAGAGACCAGGCTTTTGCCTCTGACTCCCGCACAAGCCTCACCCAATTCAGAGTTACAGTAAGTGTTGGTCAGTGCTTTAAATGGATCAACCATCCTTGACTCCTGTGGCTGATGTGTTTGGTTGGAGATGACAGCCCCAAAGTCTTTTTAAAGCAGAAAGCAGAAAAGCTTGGATGGTCAGTTAATCCAGGCTCTACTTTCAGAGAGGCAGGTTTGAAATCTGTCCCACTTTAGCTGAGCCACTTGGGGCAGGTTATAGGACAGATTTGTTATACTCCAGCTCTCTGAGATTCTGTTTCTCTAGCTATCAGAGTGCATGCCGCTGCTGAGAGCTGACCTCGGGATTGTGCCTGGCTGCAGTCAGCACTCAGAACAGGGTGTGGCTTCTCTAGACTGGAGTGGTCTGAGTCTATTTTATTCCATCAGGCTCTAGTTTTTTCTAGAACTGCCCTTCTTAATTCTGTTCTGAGCCAGAGTCTGGAGGTCCAGGAAAGGGATTAGTCCTTGAAGTTTACTTTGCAAAAAAAAAAAAATTTTTTTTAAAAAAGCTTAGATCTCGGCCAGGCACGGTGGCTCACACCTGTAATCCCAGCACCTTGGGAGGCCGAGGTCGGTGGATCACGAGGTCAGGAGTTCGAGACCAGCCTGGCCAACATGATGAAACCCTATCTCTGCTAAAAATATAAAAAAAATTAGCTGGGTGTAGTGGTGGGTGCCTGTAATCCCAGCTACTTGGGAGGCTGAGGCAGGAGACTCGCTTGAACCCAGGAGGCAGAGGTTGCAGTGAGCCAAGATTGTGCCACTGCACCCCAGCCTGGGCGACAACAGCAAGACTCCGTCTCAAAAAAAACAAAAAAAGCTTAGATCTCCTATTGGCCTTTTGAAAGACTTAGGTATAACTAGGAGTAGCAAAAAGGTCAGGTGACAATGTGGGACCAGAGAGATCTTTAGTCTTCCAAAACATCAAAAGACTCACCTGATCCCTCCACGGCAGTTACGTGTCCATTTTCCGCCTTGCAACCAGCAAGTAATTTAAAGGGTGATATTCTGGCCTTGTGTGAATATCTGATCCCACAACGACCAATTTTACCCAAGGGCTTTCTAGCATCCATGCCTGATCAGAGTCTCACTCTTTTGCCCAGGCTGGAGTGCAGTGGCGTGATCTTGGCTCACTACAGCCTCAACTTCCCAGGTTCAAGTGATCCTCCCATCTCAACTGCCTGAGGAGCTAGGACTACAGGTGCATGCCACTATGCCCAGCTAATTTGTGTATTTTTTGTAGAGACGGGGTTTTGCCATGTTGCCCAGACTGGTCTCGAACTCCTGAGCTCAAGCAATCTGCCCTCCTCAGCCTTCCAAGGAGTAAGGAGCAAGGAGTTGGGAAAATGTGTTTGGTCTTTAGGAGGCGGAAGAGTGAATGTAACTGAAAGGTTGAGGTTTCCTCTTCCTCCCTTTCCTCTCTTTCTCCTGTGATTCTTCAGCTCTTTAGAAATGGGTCCGAGGGCCTTGCCTGGGACAGACCGTGCTCCCAAGCCTCTATATGGAATGTTTTTCATTCCGGGCTGGTGCCCTGGGTGAGGTTGGGGAGGGAGGCGAGAACAGCGAGCTTCATCTCCAGATCCTGTGTTTTTTCCATTTTTGGAATGAGCTGGAAGGGCGTTTGGAGGTGGTAGTGTCATTATCTCTCCTGCTGACACTTTGCTTGTGGAAGGCTCATTGGTGTCACCAACCTCTTCCTGAATGGAAAAATGTTTCCAGTCTTTATTTTTTCCCCTCTTCATATAATAACGATGGACCAAAGGTGCTTCAACGCACCACTCACCTGACATTCACGGAGCATTGTCTGTGGGCCGCGTCCTCAGGCTAAGCGGACAGAAGGCAACCTTAAGGTGCTCACTGTCTAGTTTGGGAGGTGAGACGGGTGCCCACAAGAAACCGAGCAGAGGACAATGCAGCCCAAAAAGACTTGTAAAAATAAGCTCCAATATATTGTCTGGCCTGATAGCAATCTTTTATTGGTCACGTATTATGCACTTATCTTTAATATCTCTGGAAGACAGACAGACATTATCATTCTATATTTCAGATGAGGAAACTGAAGCTCAGATAGGTTACACAGTTTACCCCAGGCCACACAGCTCTTCAGTCTAGGAGACTGGTTCTGTCTGTATCAAAGCCCACTCTCCATTCAACCATGCTGCTCTGTTACCAGGCGGTAAAAGAAACAGTTTAGAGAAGGTGAGAGACAAGTTAGTTACTATCTACAAGGTATGTGTTACTTTTGAAATTTTAACTTTTCCATTTTTAGGTAATCATCAAAACAATGTGTTAGCAAGGTATTAAATGTATTGCAGCAGTTAAAAAAAATCTTTGGCAGGGCACAGTGGCTCACGCCTGTAATCCTAGCACTTTGGGAGGCCGAGGCGGGCGGATTATGTGAGGTCAGGAGTTCTAGACCAGCCTAGCCAGCATGGTGAAACCCTGTCTCTACTAAAATACAAAAATTAGCCAGGCATGGTGACACATACCTATAATCCCAGCTACTTGGGAGGCTGAGGCGAGAGGATCGCTTGAGCCTGGGAGGCGGAGGTTGCAGTAAGTTAAGATGGTGCCACTGCCCTCCAGCCTGGGCGACAGAGCGAGATTCTGTCTCAATTAAAAAAAAAAAGAAGCAGCAGCAAGGAAGGGAGCAGGCACCAGGCCCCATAAGGGCTGGCATAAGGGGAGGCCTCCCTGGCAGGTGCTGTGGCTTTGAAAGAGGGACACAGCCAGCCCAGGATGACTCCGCAGGGAAGGAGCTGGGAAAGTAACTCCCCAACTCCCCAACCTCACTCTGCTCTCTCCCTCCCCTCTCCTGCTGGTGCCTGAGTTCAGATCACTATACCTATGTTTCCCAAATGGTGAGATGGTTCCGGGAGGTTCATGGATAAAGATTTTTTTTTTTCTTTGAGATGGAGTCTCACTCTGTCGCCCAGGCCAGAGTGCAGTGGTGCGATCTCGGCTCACTGCAACCTCCACCTCCCGGTTTTAAGGGATTCTCCTGCCTCAGCCTCCACAGTAGCTGGGACTACAGGCGCCCACCACCACACCTCGCTAATTTTTGGATTTTTCGTGGAGACAGGGTTTCACTATATTGGCCAGGCTGGTTTTGAACTCCTGACCTTGTGATCCGCCTGCCTCGGCCTCCCAAAGTGCTGGGATTACAGGCATGAGCCACCGTGCCCGACCGGATAAAGATTTTTTAAAGTTTAATAATTATGTATTAAAATATACACGTGTCCATATCTATCAAGTGCTTCTATCTTCTTTATGTAATAAAATATTTACAAAATCTATTATTTCACAAGTGTTTATTTTTGGTACAAAGCTAAGCTACGTATTGAAGTTAAAGGTTGACTGGATTTGATGGACTGTGGTACGGGGCCTGGCAAAACTGCCTGGAGTTCAGGGAACCAGTGCTCCCAACAGACTCCACACTTGATCCTTTGATCTCTGACTTCACACATACACCATCCTTCCTGGGAGGTCAGGGGTTTTGGTCACCCACGGACACTTGTCCCTGATTTCTCAAGGTTACAGAGGGGGTTCCTAAGGCCTCATCCCAGAAACTCGTTCACCTCACCTGAGGAGCTAGGAGAGGAACCCTGCTTCTGTGTAGGCTCACTGAGTTACACCCCAAGTAAGAGTAGGCTGCCCCTAAGTCCTGCACTGCCCTGAAACCTGTCCCTGTGCTGAAAAATAATCCCACAGCAGAGCCAGCAGGGAGGAAGAAAGGGGAACCGGGACCCTGTGCCCACATTCTGGTCTCGGGGAAGCTCGGTAAGTACCACCCCCTTACTCCAGCCCCCATCTCCCAGAGGCATGTGGGGTCAGCCCAAAAGACAAGACACAAAGGGACTCTACCCAGAGATCAGTGGCCACTGGCTCGTCCCTCCCCTCTCACACCTGGGAAAAGATGAAGGCCCTTCTCCCTTCCCCCTTACAAGGAGTGGCACTGCCAGGAATCATTCTGTACAACAGGCCATTTAGCATTATCTCTGTGCTCTCCCCTGGGAGTGTCTGCTTCACCCAGAAAATGCCCCAGGGCACGTGCCTCTGTGCAGAGCAGCTGCAGGAGAAACCAGGGTACATTAGGCAAAGGCTCTATGCTATTATGATTTATCATGTATCTTATTATGTTACTCAGAGAAGTGGGTTGTCAAACTCTCGTTGAGAAGTGGCCATTTCTTTTGGAAAAGTTTGAATGGTAATTCCAGGTTTTAATCTTGGATCTACCAAAATTTGGGTAAACATTCCCTGTCCTCAACACCTTAGGTAGAAAAGTGTTGCCTGGGGTAGGCCTGGTTTACGCCTGTGACTTCTTTATTTTAAAAGAATTTTGGGCCGGCCATGTTGGCTCATGCCTGTAATCCAGCACTTCGGGAGGCTGAGGTAGGTAGATCGCTTGAGCCCAGGAGTTTGAGACCAGCCTGGGCAACGTAGCAAGACCCTGTTTCTACAAAAAATACAAAAACTAGCCAGCCGTGGTGGTACACGCCTGTAGTCCCAGCTACTTGGGAGGCTGAGGTGGGAGGATCACTTGAGCCCACAAGGTTGAGGCTGCAGTGAGCTACGATCGCATCACTGCACTCCACCCTGAGCAACAGTTGAGCGAGACTCCGTCTCAAAAAAAAAAAAAAAAGTATTTCAGAACAATAAATTATGGCTACCCTGCCCACAGGCACATGTGACCAATCTTCAGAAAGATTCTAGAATGTGGGGCTGGAAGAGATTTCCAAGGGTCTTTAATTCATTCTGTGGCTGGAAGGCAACAAGCAGACCCCACAACCCTGCTGTCCAGGAAGAGCCCCATGCCTGCCTCAGCCCAGCCCTCAGTCCAGCCCTTCACAGGTGTCTCCATGGTACAATTTCTCCTTCGTCTGCTTCTTCTCTCCTCTGCTCAGAATTCTCTGATGAGAGATGAGCAAACAGGAAAAGCTGGGACTGCAGGGGGAACAGCCTCCTGTTCCAGCAGCAAGGAGACCCTTGGACTTGAAGATAAGCCCAGGAGGTAACTTGTTCTCCTGGCTTCCTTGTGATAAAGGCAATAACTCTCTGAGGTGGAATCAGAAACGAAGAGAGGCGGCCAGTGAGTGTGGGTGACCCAAAGGGACCGCAGGGCGTGCAGGGCTGGTGCTGCAGGCCTTGTCTGCAGGCTCAGGGCCATGACCGCCCAGAACCAAATGGCCTTTACCCAGCTGAGCTTGCCTAGCTCCTCACTATCACAAAGGCTGCTGTAGGAGCCCCACCTGGCTCTCCCTGAGCTGGACCCCTGCCAGGGCTGCTTGCGGGGCTCTCAGCCTAATTCTAAGCTTCTTTCTGCTCCCCTCTCAACCAGAGCAGTCAGCTACTTCTTAGGGAGCAGACGGGACCAGAATGTCCTGGGGTTGGAAGGTTTGCTCTCTATTTTGTTATTCTGGGAATGATATGCTTGATTTTACTTAATTATAAGACATTTATTGAATTTCTGCCGAGTGGCAGGTAGCTGACTGTGCTAGGTGCTGGAGGTGCAAAGGTGAACTGATCCTGACTCTTCCCTGCAAGCACAGTGAGTTTGTGCCCTGATGCTCTGAACTACAGGCCAAGAATGGGAGCAGCGGTTCTGCCTCAGGCTGTGAGGAGGGCTGGGGAAGTCTTTAGAGGGGAGCAGACTTTAGGCAAAGCCTTGAAAGATAAGGGGAGTGATATGGTTTGGCTCTGTGTCCCCACCCAAATCTCATCTTGAATTGTAATCCCACATGTTAAGTGAGAGAGGGACCTCTAATCCCCATGTGACAAGGGAAGGAGGTGATTGAATCACGGGGGCAGTTTCTTTCATGCTATTCTCGTGATGGTGGGTGAGTTCTCACGAGATCTGATGGTTTTACAAGTGTTTGACAGTGTCTCCTTCACACACTTGCTCTCTCGCCTGCTCCATGTAAGACGTGACTGCTTCTCCTTCTGCCAGGATTCTAAATTTCCTGAGGCCTCCCCAGACCTGAAAAACTGTGAGTCAATTAAACATCTTTTCTTTATAAATTACCCAGTCCCGGCCAGGCACAGTGGCTCACACCTGTAATCCCAGCACTTTGGGAGGCCAAGGTGAGCAGATCACTTGGGGTCAGGAGTTCAAGACCAGCCTGGCCAACATGGTGAAACCCCATCTCTACTAAAAATACAAAAATTATCCGGGCGTTGTGGCGGCCGCCTGTAATTCCAGCTACTCAGGAGGCTGAGGCAGGATAATCGCTTGAACCTGAGAAGCAGAGGTTGCAGTGAGCCAAGGTTGCGCCACTGCACTCCAGCCTGGGCAACAGAGTGAGACTCCATCTCAAAAATAAATAAATAAATAACCCAGTCTGGGGCAGTTCTTTATAGCAGTGTGAAAATAGACTAATATAGGGAGCCTTTCCATGGTTGGCAAAGATAGGAAGGACTTTCCAGACCAAGGAAAATGCTTGAACAGATGTCTGGAGGTGTTGGAGGAATGGATACTGTTGGGTGAGATTGGAATGCAGGGAAAAGCTGGGGCAGGTTGGAGAGTCAGAGCTCAGAGGTGTGATGAGAAAGCCCTCTGGAGGCACACAGACTAGCTGCACAGCCTTGGGCAAGTCATTTCACTTCTCTCAGCTACAGTTTATTTATCTGTATAATGGGGATAATATAACCTACTTCATAAGATTGTTGTGAGAATTAAAAGATATATCAGATGTAAATCAGCCAGCATGGAGTCCGGCAAATACATGCTCACAAAATGTCAATTACTGGCACTGTTTCTACTGCTACTAATAAAAAGTGGGCTGTTCTTTTCTAAACCATGCGGCTTGAGTCACTGGAGTCAGCCAGCAGTGCTGCACTCCTATACCAGGTCAGGTCTTATGATTCCATTTAGAAAGATACTATCTGGTACAGGACGCTAATGGAAGAAAATGCACATGGCTGGCTTGCTTGGGGCTCTGCTGCCGTATTTTTCTGACGGTTATATCAGGCCAGCAGTGTGGCTCTTGACATCAGTAATGCATTCATTACTTTTTATTACACACCTATTTATTACAAACCTGCTATGTGTCAGGTACTGGATCCAATGTCTTAGTAAGAGTAGGTGAATAAAGCTGACAGGGAAGAGAGAAACAAATTCTTTTCAAAACTGACTTTGTAAATGTATTGGAAGCCATAATTTAACTGCGTACTATGACCCTGTACCTGGAAACTTGTTCGGGGTCTGGGGGGAGAGTTCTTTCTGTATGTCTCTATTATTGACATGTGAGTGCCTCAGGAGTAGCCACTGTGGGGACTGGGTCACTTTGTCCATTTGGACACTCGACAGGTATTTATGCACACCTACTATGTGCCCAGCAATATTCTATGCATTAGCTGGTCATTGAGATGTGAAGAGCTCTTTCAGGATGATAACGATTATCTCTAAAATGATCATTTTTGTTTTAGAAAGAATCAAGCCCACTTTCTCCTGCCTGTTCTTTCTCAGATAGACTTGGTAAGAGGAAGGGGGAAATGCATGCACCTGCATCGCTGTCAGTAAACTGCCGTTCAAGCAGCAACTTAAGCTGGAGTCAAATGCTACTCAGGAGTGATGGGCAGGGAAAGGGTTCGGGTGGGGTGGGGCGTTAGCTCCTGTTTTAGAGCTCTGGTTGTCTTTTTCTGTAGGGCGTGGGCTGGTTTCCCTAAAGGACAACTGCTGGACTCGTCCATCCAGGATGTCACATTTCACTCTCAGCTGACACAGTGATGGTGGTGGGGGGGAGTGGCGAATCCGTTCAAGGAAAAGGCAACTACTTACTTTCCCTACCCTATCCCCACACTTTGAAATCAGTATCTACAGGAGATAGTTTATCCCCTTATATTTATTTAGAGGAAAGATTTTCCTCAAACATGGTCAGAAGAAGACTAAAGAATAATAATGAAACTAATTTAATGGCCAGGTAGTAGCCATCATTTTGGAGAATTTATAATGTTCTAAGCAAATAGGTGCTTTTCATACATATCTCATTTAATCCTAACAACAATCTTGTCAAGTTCATGCTATCATTTCCATTTCACAGACAAGGAAAATTGAAACCAAGAGGATGGGTAAGTCCATGGTTACATAGTTGGTGAACAGAAAAGCTGGGAGTCTAACCTGTCTCTCTCAGGCTTCAGAGGGCATGGCCTCCACACCAGCACTCTCCTGGTGGAGGGGTTGATGCTGCCACGAGAGTCTCTTCTCCCCTTGATTTTTTCTCTTCTCTTCTCTTCCTTTCTTCCTCCTATCCCCTCCACCCATTTCTTAATGATTCTTTAATTAACCAAGCAAGGTTAGAAAACTTTGATGAGCTTCCTCTAGCAGTGGGGCCGTTTATCTTTTTTTCTTTTTTTTTTTTTTTTGAGGCAGAGTTTCGCTCTTGCTGCCCAGGCTGGAGGGCAATGGCGCAATCTCAGGTCACTTCAACCTCCACCTCCCGGGTTCAAGTGATTCTCCTGCCTCAGCCTCCCGAGTAGCTGGGATTACAGGCATGCGTCGCCACGCCCCGCTGATTTTGTATTTTTAGTAGAGATGGGGTTTCACCATGTTGGCCAGGCTGGTCTCAAACTCCTGGCCTCAGGTGATCCATTCGCCTCGGCCTTCCAAAGTGCTGGGATTACAGGCGTGAGCCACCACTCCCGGCAGGGGCCATTTATCTTTTTTTTATTTTTTTGAGACAGAGTCTTGCCCTGTTGCCCAGACTGGAGTGCAGTGGCACAACCTTGGCTCACTGCAACCTCTGCCTCCTGGGTTCAAGCAATTCTCCTGCCGCAGCCTCCCAAGTAGCTGGGACTGCAGGCACCCACCACCATGCCCAGCTAATTTTTGTAGAGTGGGGCCATTTATAATGAGGCACCGCCCTGGAGCTGCAAGGGTTAACTCTGGCCTGGTGTTCAGAGCCGAGTGCCTTGGCCTTGGGAGGCAGCTATGAGTCCTCCTTTCTAATTAAAAATCGTCACCACTGGCTTTCATCCCATGCTAACGAGAAGAGTGTATGTGAGTTTGTGCGCAGTGTGTGCATGGGTCTTTATCTCTACTTCCTGTTTCATATTTAATTTGACAATTTTTTCCAGTTTGTGGATGTGGAACACGTGTAAGGTTGGGAGCATCGTCTGTTAGTAATCATTACCGCATTTTGGGGCTGGCTTGCTCCCACTGAGCCTGACCAAAGTCTTGTGGATTATGATCTTCCCGCCTCCTGAAATTGCTTTGTCCTGATCACCCTGGTTCCTGAAGGGACTGCCTTCAGGGCAGCAGTTTTGCCTTGGAAACTTTTCCAGAAGTGCTGGGATGATTCTTGTGTGTCAGGGAGAGGGGAGGTGGTACAGAAGCCCGATTTGGTAGATAAAGAACTGCAAGCTCTGGAAAACACAGCCTCCCACACCCTCCACAGTAGTTGTTTGGATTGGGGTGAACCGTAGCTCCAGCCTTTGGGTCATCCTTCATCCAGGCTGGATGAGGACATGGTTAGTCTGTGTTCACTTCTGCCTTTTCTCCAAAGTCTGGGGCCCAAACCCATCTGGACTGGACTCTCAGACCCAGCCTGCCCCCTGCTCAGCAGCATGGTCTTGCAGACCCCTGTTGTGGAGTATAGGGCCTGAGCATAGCCTCAGAGTGAGACCTCATGAGAACATGATGGGCACTGGGGGGTTGGAGAAGCTTCACCTTCTCAGCCTATCTGTGGGTATAAGGCAGTGGAAATCCTGTTGGCCGTAAGGGTCCTAGGGACCCTATCCTCATGTCACCAGTCTAAGTGGGGATTCAGAGCTGCTATCCAGGTGCCTGCTGCAAATGCCCTAGTCCTCCCACAGTGGTAACCGTTCTTACCCTACTAACTATTGAGCCTTAGAAACACTTCCTGGGTGTTTCTGAGCCACTGAGATTTTTTTTATCATCAGACTGATTGCTAAGGATTATCTCATGTATTGAATGGGAGCAAATCAGTTGTAGAATAAGAGCTGGAAGAAATTTACCAATCGGTCTGACCTGGGAAGTACTGTATCTGGGAAGTACTGTTCCAAGACTGAGAAGTCTTGGAACTGCTGAAATACAGTGCACAATTCTGTGTGGTGTGCATCTTTCCAGGGAGAGGGTCCATGGCCTTCATGAGCTTCCCAAATTGTCTGGGACTTCTCCAAAAAGTTAAGAATCACTGGTACAATCACCCCTTCACCCCACCGAAGAGTGCTATAGAATGGGTCCCAATGAACAGGGTTGGGGGAGGTTCAGAGGGGGTGAAGTACTCATAGACTTGTGTAAATGGTTCTAGGTCTCATACTTTCAGGTGATGAGAGTGGGTGGGGGAGGATTGAGAGAGATAAATCCTTTGTATTTCTTTGCAGTAAATCGTTTATATTTCTTTGCATCAACTTTTGGTGATGAGAGTGGGTGGGGGAGGACTGGGTAGAAATAAATAGTTTGTGTTTCTTTGCAGACAAGGATAATCCATTTTTATTATTTGCTCTTAGCTTTGTGGATGTACATTAAAGAGTCTGAAGTATAAAGAATTATAACCATCCCAGACTCCCTGACTTTGAATAATCCATTATAAAAGTACAGTTCCTTTTATCACAATATTCTTATCTTCTGTTTGTTTCTGAGCTAAAAAGAAATGCCCTAAGCTACACCCCAGCTGCAGAGTTTCTAGACCAAAGGCTACTGTTTTTTTCCTGCAGGAACCCTGGGGTGTTTGGGGGTTAAAAGGCCTGGGCCAGCCATGTGTGTTTAAAAAACAAGGCTGACTCCAAAGCTGGTGGCTCCAGCCTGACTCCATCCTGCTGTTAATGGAGGACAGAGGACCACTTACAGCTTCCTCTTCACCCCATAACAAATAACCCGGCGCTCCCCCAGGCCTTCCTGCACCCCCACCCGCACCGCCCTCCCGGTGGTGGCAGCAGCAAGCGCATGTTCTGAATCTGGTTTCTCGGCAGGCCCTGTGGTCAGCCCCGACAAGCTGTCTGAGACCCAGCTCCTTTCAGAGATAAGGCCCAAACTAACCACATTAGCAGGGTGCTTGGCCTGTTTGCCTTGCCTCTGTCTTCTGTTTGGACACTCCAGAACCTCTTGCGCAGGGTGGAGGCCTTTGCCCTACAGAGTGTGGTCCAGCTTTGAGCAGAGGCTCCTCTGGTGCCTCCTCTGGGAAGTCCTCCCTGACTGCTCTAGCCCAGGTGATGGCTCTTTGTTGCATTCATTTAGCAAATATTTGTCATGCACCTTTTAAAAATTCTTTATCACAGCTTGTACAAACACAGCTTAGCATATCAGCACCGTCACTCCCATTTACTCATTGTGCACCCAGCTTGGCACTAAGCATCTGACAGAAAATATTTTATTGACTCAGCACGAGAGTCCTGTGAAATTGGCATCATCAGCATCCCATTTTACAGACAGGAAAATTGAGGCATTTTTATGTTTTGTTCTCTTTCCTTTTCCTCCCTCCCTCCCTTCCTTCCTCCCTTTCTTCCTCCCTCCCTCTCTTCCTTCCTTTCTTTTTGACAGGGTCTTGCTCTCTTACCCAGGCTGGAGTGCAGCGGCATGATCACAGCTCACTGCAACCTCAACCTCCAGAGCTCAGGTGAACCTCCCACCTCAGTCTCCTGAGTAGCTGGGACTACATGTCTGGCCACTGCATCTGGCAGTATTTCTTTTTCTTAGCTTTTATTATCCTCTGTGGTTACATCATGTGTTTATCTGGTTACTTGTTTCATATCTGGCTCAAGTATTATATCATGAGCTCCATGGGGCAGGGATTTCCCTCCCAAGGTGGTGGGGACCTGGCATGAGCAGTACCTGTCACCTGGGAGGTACTTAGTAGATGCTTGCTCAATGGCTAAGACACAGGAGGCTGTCACTAGTCCACAGCTTCATACCTGGTCAGCAGTGAAGCTGGGATTTGAACCCAGGTCCCTGTGTGCAGTCATTGCATCCAGTAGTTTCTGTCCATGTGTGAGTTCTTGTCCCCGGCCAGACCATCAGCTCCTTCAGGCCGGCCCAGGTCTTACCTGAAAGGGCACCAGGGCTTTGAAGTGGGGTCCACCTGGATTAAAACACTGGTTCCGCCACTCAGTTGGGTGACACTTGGAACATTCCCTATCCATTCTAAACCCACATGGGCGCATTTCTAAAACTGGAAAAATAATGCCTAGTTGTTGTGAGAACTGGAAATAGTATGTGGGGTGCCTGGTTTTATCATAGGTGCTCAGTGAAAGGACAGCTAACATGAGACCGGACTCAACCTAACTTCTCAGGAAGCCAGGGGACTGGGTTAAAAAAGCTTGGAAATCTGTCCTCTTTTATTAGATTATAAAACTATAAAACATGAGTACATGCTCATTGGAAGAAGAAGAAGAAGGAGAAGAAGAAGGAAAGGAGGGAAGGAAGGAAGGAAGGAAGGAAAGAGAAGGGAAGGGAAGGAAGGGAAGGAAGGAAGGAAGAAAGGAAGGAAAGAAGGCCGGCCACAGTGGCTCAAGCCTGTAATCCCAGCACTTTGGGAGGCCGAGGTGAGCGGATCACAAGGTCAGGAGTTCGAGACCAGCCTGGCCAACATGGTGAAACCTTGTCTCTACTAAAAATACAAAAATTAGCTGGGCTTGGTGGCGGATGCCTATAGTTCCAGCTACTCGGGAGGCTGAGGCAGGAGAATCACTTGAATCCGGGAGGCAGAGGTTGCAGTGAGCCGAGACTGCACCACTACACTCCAGCCTGGGCAACAGAGCAAGACTCCGTCAAAAAAAAGGAAGGAAGGAAGGAGAAGAAGAAGGAGGAGGAAGAGGAAGAAGAAGAGGAGGAGGAGGAAGAAGCAGCAGAAGAAATTAAACTGTATAGAAATCAAAAGTGAAAGTTTGTATACGCTTTTTTGCCCCAAATCCATTTTTTCCCCCAATAAGTAAATACTGTTGATGGTTTGGTGTATATCTTTTTGATAGTTTTAAATGTGTTTACCCAAATCACATATTTTTTACATAGCAAAATCATACTAGGCATATGGTTTTAAAAATTGCTTTTTTTGGCCGGGTGCGGTGGCTCACACCTGTAAAGCACTTTGGGAGCCAAGGAGGGCAGATCATGAGATCAAGAGATTGAGACCATCCTGGCCAACATGGTGAAACCCCATCGATACTAAAAAATACAAAAATTAGCTAGGTGTGGTGGCGTGTGCCTGTAGTCCCAGCTACTAGAGGCTGAGGCGGGAGAATCGCTTGAACCCGGGAGGCAGAGGTTGCAGTGAGCGAGATTGCGCCACTGCGCTCCAGCCTGGTGACAGAGCGAGACTCCGTCTCAAAAAACAAACAAAAAATTGTTTTTTTCATTAACCTATCTTGGGGGCCTTCCTCTGTCACTTCATTCAGATTCACAGCAATCTTCTTAATGGCTGTGCAGCATTTCTGGTATGGCTGGACTATAATTTATGCAACCATTCTCCTACTGATGGCTTTTTGCTTCCAATTTTTTCTCTATTTCATACAAGATGACAATGAATATTGTTTCTGTTATCTATTCCTAAGTAACAAATCCCTCGAAATTAAATGGCTTAAAACAATAATTCATTATTCCCCATGTTTCTGTAGGTGGACTAAGTGGTGGCTCTGCCTCCTGTGGTGCTGGACAGGGAGGGTCCGAACGTTCTCACTGGTGGGGCTGGTAGTTGGTGCTGGCTGGTGCTGGGCTGGGGCTATCCCCAGGAGCGCCTTTGGCTTCCCTCTTACTGGTCTCTCCATGTGGCTTGAGTTTCTCGCAGCATGGGTCCGGGTTCCAGAATGTCACTGCTGCCATACTCTATTGATCAAAGTCAGTCACAAGGCAAGCCCAGATTCAAAGGGGGTGGGAGCCAAGCTCTGCCTCTTGATGTGGGGTGCAGCATGTGTGCATGTGCGGGGAGAGGAAGACCTGCAGGGGGCCGTGTACTAATAATACGCACTCTCCTCAACATGATACAAGAGCACTTATTTCTCCATACCCTCACCAGGGTTGGATGTTATCCATTGTTTTCATCATAGTCCATCTCGTGGATGTAAAATTATAACTCGTTTTTAGTTTTAGAGGTGCTGAGCATCTTTTTATGTGTTTCACTTTAAAAAAATTTTTTTGAGACAGGGTCTCGTTCTGTCACCCAGGCTGGAGTGCAGTGGCACCATCATAGCTCATTGTAGCCTCGAACTCCTGGACTCAAGTGATCTTTCTGCTTTAGCTTCCTGAGTAACTGAGACCACAGGTGTGCACCCCCTCCACACACACACACACACACACACACACACACACACAATTTTAAGAGATGGGATCGTGCTATGTTGGCCAGTATGTTCTGAGAGTTCAATTTGGGAATAAGTCCATGAATTTCCTATACCATCAAAGAAACAGAATGGTAGTTTGGAGCTCAGAGGGGAGGAAATATCCCATATGAGGACTCTGATTCAGGGTTTCATCAGCTAGCTCTGCTGCCTGCGAACTGACTTTGAGAGAGAGTTTCAAAGTGTTGACAAGCAGATTATTAACCCTGTGTTATCTTCAGGCTCATTCCTTACTTATAAGGGCCTGTGCTTTCAGAGGACTCTGTGATTCCCAGTAAGAGAATGTCCTGCTCTTCAGTGAAATTGTGAGGCAGCTCTGAACTCTAAGCCCTGGGGCTGGGCAAAAAATGCCCTTTTAGTGGGAGGGAGTGGGCTACCAGTAGTAAGATGGCGGGTAAACCTCCGTTAAATGGCCTACTATTAACGTACATTTCAGGCTTTTTCCCTCTGCTATTCCCACGTTCCCAAGAGAAGAAAGGTAACAGAATATAGGCCATGGTAACTTTGATGGAATAGTCCAGGGTTTAATTCAAAGATGCTCACTGGTCAAAGTGGGTCCCACTGCTTTTCCAGCTTTTGATTCAAGCTTCAGTCTCCGAGAGTTTGCACACTAGTATGTCACACAGGACCATTTTGGTTATAAGACCCAGAAAAGCCCATGCCCACTCTGGCTTAATAACGAAGCAGTTTGGCTGGGCGCAGTGGCTCACGCCTGTAATCCCAGCACTTTGGGAGGCTGAGGTGGGTGGATCACAAGGTCAGGAGTTCGAGACCTGCCTTGCCAACATAGTGAAAACCCTGTCTCTACTAAAAATAGAAAAAATTAGCCAGACATGGTGGTGGGCGCCTGTAATCCCAGCTACTCGGGAGGCTGAGGCAGGAGAATGGATTGATCCCGGGAGGCAGAGGTTGCAGTAGGCCGAGACTGCACCACTGCACTCCAGCCTGGGCAACAGTGTGAGACTCTGTCTCAAAAAAAAACAAAAGAGAAAAGAAAAAAAGAAAAAAGAAGCAATTTATTGGATCATATACAAGGATGCCTGGGGGTGGGGATGAGAATGGAAGGGATTCAGGGCCCAAAGAGGACACACATCAACCCTGGACTCTCTCTTCCCTCTCTTCTCGCCGTAGACTCCTTGTGAAGACAAGATGGGGTGGCACCAGCAGCCCCTCAGCCTCAGGATCGAAGTCTAGCCAGAGAGAGTGCCCGTCTCTGGCTCTGCATTCCCAGGAAAGGCCTCTGTGGCCCATTGGCTCCCCTGGGGCCATTTTTCCTTTCCTGATCTAAGCCCCGTGGCCCAGGGAATCTGGAACAGTGATTGGCTTAGGCTAGGACGTGTGTTCCTCCCCATGGCTGTGTTTTGGAGCCTCACCTTGAGGGTGGCAGGGTGGATCCCAAACCAACCCTGGGAGCTGTTCCTGAAGGCAGAGGAAAGGATACTGGGCATGTCAGAGACAAAAGTGACTGTCCCTGGTTCCTCCCCAGAGCCTGTCACACAGTCATTCATTTAGAATGTAAAATCTACAGTGGAAGGAATTTGGGCCTCCTACCTGTCCTCAGTTAAAGCTAATTCATTTCCTCCCAGGACTAGTGTTAGCAAACAAAAAATCGTGGGTCGTCCAAGAACAATTACAAATGATCCAAAACCCTCGCTTCAGTCACGGGTTGTGGTCTTAGAGCTCAGCCTTCATGGAGGAGGTGATGAAAAAGCTGGATTCTAACCCTTCTTTGTCCCTCTCGCCCTTAAGGGGAGGTGTCTGAGCAGTGAACTGGCAACAAAGGGAGGAGTGTAGGAGCTGATGGATTGAGCCCTTTCTTTCAAAATGTAATTTACAGGATTATTATTTGTAAAGTTGATTATTGCAAATTATCCATGGGGGTCTAGGGTAAGGGTATTTATTGTCTTCAACCACAAGCCTACATAGTTTGGGGAAGCGAAACGTACTTCTTTTTTGTCAGGCTGGGAGAGCAACCCTGGGATGTGCTAACAGGCCCAATGGGGTCATTCGCTTCCTGTTAATCCTTTTATGGTTTACTTTTTTTTTTTTTAGAGAGAAAACTTAGGTTAAATATTTATTATACAGGAAAGGAATGCTGCTGCTTCCTCCTGCTTTTCCTGCTCTGTTGCTCATAATTGTTTAATAGGCAATAGCATGCAAATAGTATAAAATCTAAAAGGTACACAATGCGGTATGAGAAAAATACATGGCCCCCGGAACCTTTGTCCCCAGCCCCCTCCCCCACTGCCACCCCAGAGGCAGGCCCTGTTACCGGTTTCCATCATATCCTTCCTGAGATAGTCCATATATACTCCTTCTTTTTAATAGAAAATCGCACCACATACACATCATCTAAGGACAAATTATTATTTTGTCCTTTAAAATGAAACAATCAGAATTTTCCACCACTGTGACTTGGAAGCCCCAGAGTTAAGGCCCAGAGTTAAGGCCACAGACTTAAAGAGACAAATCAGTCCTCACCTCCAGCCAGCTGACCTGCTGACCACCAAGGCGTGCACGCTGTTTCCAGACGTTTACTTGCACTCGCGTATTCTCTGCCCCGCGGGGCACCCCCATTCACAGGGCCTGCACGCTGAACTGCTTCCTTGCACTTTTGACCAAAAATGGTCTCACTCACCATCATTGGACAAACTCCTCCTCACCTTATTTGCCGTCTGAGCTCCAAATGGCCTACGGTTTCCAGAAATAAAGTTGAAGGCTTGTCACCACTGAGGTTATGCCAGAGCTGATGGCTCAGAATCTGAAGGCCAGAAAACATTGCCAACAAGGGCAAGGTGCCACTGGGAAAGCATGAATGTAGTCCCTACTGTGTTCTTGGGCCTTGTGCTGGACCCTGAAGATAAAGCGAGAGAAAGTGCACAGTGTCCTTCCTAGCCTCGCTTAGTGCAGTCCCAGGGGGACGGGGCACAGGCGCTGTTGTAATTCAGTGCTCCTTATGTCCAGCTCAGTCCCGTTGGAGATGACCATGAATGAATGGCATTCACTTTTACAGACATAAGAGTTCTGCTGTTTAAAAAGAAAATCAATCACTCGATAGTCACATGTCTTACAATGCAGCAGAGAGATATGGAAATAGTAATAGTAATAATCCTCACTTTTCAAAAAAACTTTCTTTTTATTTATTTTATAATGACAAGGTCTCCCTATGTTGCCCAGGCTGGTCTTGAACTTCTGGCCTCAAGCAACCCTTTGGCCTCAGCCTCTCAAAATGCTGGGATTACAGTCAGGAGCTACCGCAACTGGCCCTCACTTGCTGATGAGGAAAAATAATTACTGTGCATAGGTACAAAACCCTGTACTTAGTACTTCTTCAGCCTTACTTGCTACCTCCCAAGGGCTCTGTGAGGTAGGGCTGAGTGTTGTCCTCATTTTACAGGTGTGCACTTGGCCTCAGGGAGAGGAAGTTAGCAGCTCCAGGTCACAAAGTTGGGGCATGGTGGCAGCAGCATTTGCACCCCGGGCCTTCTGATTCCAGTGCCCATGCATTAGGCCCTAGGCAAAACCACAGCCACTGGCACAGTGAAGCCACCAACCTGTCCTTTGGCAGTTTGTTCAGAATTTAAACTATTCGCCAGGCACAGTGGCTCACTCCTGTAATCCCAGCACTTTGAGAGGCCGAGGCAGGCAGATTAACTTGAGCTCATGAGTTCGAGACCAGCCTGGGCAACATGGCAAAATCCTGTCTTTACAAAAAGTGTAAAAAGTTAGCTGGGTGTGGTGATGCATGCCTATAGTCCCAGCTACTCAGGAGGCTGACGTGGGAGGATCATTTGAGCCCAGGAGGCAGAGGTTGCAGTGAGCCAAGATCACACCACTGCACTTCAGTGGTGATAGAGCCAGACCTTGTCTCAAATAAATAAATAAAATACTCTCTTAAAGTGAGCAATTAGTGATTTATAGGAGAAATCCTTTATTCCCAGGAGACAGGTAGACAGACTGAGCCCTCTCTGGATTCGCTCATTGTGTTCCGTAGAGAGGTAGCATCATTATTTAACAAAAAGAAACACCTCCGTTTATTTATAGTAGAGCTGTAACTTTTGTTCCCACCACTCTCAGTATGCATAGAAAGTGCAGCTTCTTTATTTAAGGCTATACCTGGTGGAAGCCCCCACCCCACTGCTACCCACTGGGTGGCTTGTATACATACACACACATGCCATTCTGAGCCTCTCTGGATGACATGCCTGTAGGGTGGACAGGGAAACTGAAGCTTAAAGAGCTTAAGTTATTGAATAAATCAAAATGAACTGGGCTAACAAAGAAGCTCATGGTAGACATTGATGAATTAGAGATAATTCAGGCCAGGTGTGGTGGCTCACCCCTGTAATCCCAGCACTTTGGGAGGCTGAGGTGGGTGGATCATCTGAGGTCGGGAGTTCAAGACCATCTTGGCCAACACGATGAAATCCCGTCTCTATTGAAAATAGAAAAATTTGCCGGGTGTGGTGGTGGGTACCTGTAGTCCCAGCTACTCAGGAGGCTGAGGCAGGAGAATTGCTTGAACCTGGGAGGCGGAAGTTGCAGTGAGCCGAGGTGGTGGCACTGCACTCTGGTCTGGGTGACAGAGTGAGACTTCATCTCAAAAGAAAAAAAAAAAGAGAGAGAGATAATTCTTTCAATTCTAAATTATTTTTATTATTATTATTTTTTGAGACAGAGTCTTGCTCTATCACACAGGCTGGAGTGCAGTGGCATGAACACAGGGAGCGGCAGCCTCAACCTCCTGGGGCTCAAGCGGTCCCCCCACCTCAGGACCACAGGTACATGCCACCACGTGCAGCTAAGTTTTTGATTTTGTAGAGATGGGGTCTTGCCATGTTACCCAGGCTGGTCTCAAGCTCCTGGGCTTGAGCAATCCTCCCGCCTCAGACTCCCGAAGTGCTGGGATTACAGGTGCGAGCCACTGTGCCCCGCCGGATTTTTTTCTTCTACAGATTTACTACATGCTGGCTAGATGTCCTTTGGCTGTCAAGTTCAATGTTCTCCTTAGATAGGTAAGCTTATGTTGATTTAAAAATTTTTAAATCATTTCATATTTTAAAATATTTATGTATTTATCTTTTTTGAGATGCAGATTCTTTTTTTTCTATCAGACAGACATTTCTCAGGAGCAAAATGTTCCTGGTTCATGGATGGAATTAAATATGTCAATATTTTATGATGCCTCATGTGGTGACCCCAAATCCAGCACGACCAGGACAAATCAGTCAAGAGGAACATTCCCTTAAGTGTGTTCCTTACAGCACTACTTCCAGGGTAAAAAACCTGATGATTTTTAAGAAGGGGCAATGGGCCAGGCATGGTGGCTCACGCCTGTAATCCCAGCATGTTGGGAGGCCGAGGAGGGCGGATCACTTGAGGTCAGGAGTTTGAGACTAGCCTGACCAACACGGTAAAACCCCGTCTCTACTAAAAATACAAAAATTAGCCAGGCTTGATGGCATGTGCCTATAATCCCAGCTACTTGGAAGGCTGAGGCAGGAGAATCGCTTGAAACTGGGAGGCGGAGGTTGCAGTGAGCCGAGATCTCACCACTGCACTCCAGCCTGGGTAACAGAGCGAGACTCTGTCTCAAAATTAAAAAAAAATTAAAAAGAAGGGGCAATGACAGGAGGTGTGTGTTCCCTGGTTCAATAGGTTTGGGATGCAGGTGAAGTAAAGCTAACTTTTTTTTTTTTTCCTTCTTTTTGAGACAGTGTTTTGCTCTGGTTGCCCAGGCTGGAGTGCAATGGTGTGATCTCAGCTCACTGCAACCTCCACCTCCCAGGTTCAAGCAATTCTCCTGCCTCAGCCTCCTGAGTAGCCGGGATTACAGGCATTCGCCACCAAGCCTGGCTAATTTTGTATTTTTAATAGAGACACGGTTTTTCTATGTTGGTCAGACTGGAGTTTGGTCTCGAACTCCCGACCTCAGGTGATCCACCTGCCTTGGCCTCCCAAAGTGCTGGGGTTACAGGCATGAGCCACTGTGCCCGGCACTTTTTTTTTTTTTTTTTTTTTTTTTTTGAGACGGACTCTTGTTCTGTTGCCCAGGCTGGAGTGCAATGGCACGATCTCAGCTCACTGCAACCTCTGCCTCCCAGGTTCAAGCGATTCTCCTGCCTCAGCCTCCCAAGTAGCTGGGATTATAGGCACGCACCACTATGCCGGGCTAATTTTTGTATTTTTAGTAGAGATAGGGTTTCACCATGTTGGCCAGGCTGGTCTCAAACTCCTGACCTCAGGTGATTCTCCTGCCTCGGCCTCCCAAAATGCTGGGATTATAGGCATGAGCCTCCGTGCCCGGCCTCACCAAATGTTTTAACTACTGGGCTTCCCAGTTTCATGGGACTAGTGTTGCATGAAACCTACTCTGGAAGCACTGACCTAGAGTGAACCATTCCCTTGCAGGGGAAAGCAAGGAACTCTTATTATCTTAGTATTTCCTTGTGACCAAAATCTATGGTCCCTGAATCAAAGAAGGAGCCTGCATGATGGAACCACTTCCATGCTCAGTGCTGAGTCCCAGGAACTAGTCCTTCATTGCTCTTGTCCAACAAACCCTCCCCATAAACGAACCAGGCCAGCACTGGCTTCCTCCTGCCTCTCCTAGAAGCAGAGGCCACTCCTGAGGAAGGTATCGGGATGTGCTGCTTGGCTTGGAAGTGGGAGATGGTCTGTTCCAAGCTCTGCTTATTCAGCCACAAAAAATAAATATCTTTCATCCACCCTCCCCCCGCCACACCATCCCTACATCAAACACTAGAGCTTTCCTTCAACCAAACAACACTCAGAAAGTAAGAGGGGGAAATGAGCAGGAATTTCAAGAATTTGCATGACACTTCCTTCTTCACCCTAGCACCATATTGCTTTAGACTGCAAATATGATTCTAGACGTGTAAGATTTAAATGACAACTGAAATTAGTTGTAACAGGATTCCACATCTGTTTTGTCGTTGTGTCGCCCCTTTGGCCAAGGTCTGAGAGACGGCGGAATCAACCAGAGCTAATAACCCGGCACTTTGGGAGGCCAAGGCCGGCGAATCACTTGAGGTCAGGAATTCAAGACCAGCCTGGCCAACATGGTGGAAACCCTGTCTCTACTTAAACAAACACACAAACAAAAAACAAAGGTATTAGCAAAATTCCTTTGCAGGTGACTGAGATTGACTCTTCCAGCCTGTGGGGAACTGGGTGGTTCTGTGAACATTTTAGGGCATTAGGAAGGAGACAGGCCCCATCTCCCAACCACTGGCACTGTAGATTGGATTGGTTTTTCCAATGAATAAAGACAGCCTGAATACATAAAGGGGGGACTCAGGTTGGGGGGACTCTGAAAGAATCTATAGATGAGAACAAAATCTTACCTACCCGGTAAAGACTTCTTGGGCCATATACCACCCTCTAACAGATTTATATGTCTGAGGTATAAAGCCAGCTCTTGGAGGAGCAATACTATAGAAACAAAGCCACAGAGAGTATAAATTTGCTGGCTGCACAAGCCATAAATCAGCGGTGAGAGGATCCAAGGCCCTGTAGAGACCCACTGCCTGCAGAATAAGAGGGCAGTGTTGCTCAAGGGGTCTCTGCTGGGCCTGCCTTTCCCACGGCAGAGTAACCAGAATTCTCCTCTCCCCTCTCCCTGCCCGCCCCGCTTCTGTCCTGTGAACTGAGATGCTGCTGATTACAGCCTGATGGTAAGTGGGATTCATTCCATTTCTGAAGGTCACCAATGCTCCCCAGAGCTCCTGCCACACAATCCTTGCTGTCTTGGATCATTTCTCACTGTGGTATTTCTTAGTTCCCTTCAGAGATTGTTGGCTTGAGGAGGCCGATTGTGCCTCATCTGTTTCCATGTACTTCACAACCACTGCTCAACTCTTTGCATTTGATAGGCGAATAAGGGACACTTTTGAGGTCATTGACCCCTGGTCCCTACAAGTGTCCCCACTTCAATCAAGAATGGGTCCAGGAAAGAGAGGTCAAGCCAATGGGTGCGAACACACGATTAGATAGAAGGTATAAGTTTTTTTTTTTTTTTTTTGAGATGGAGTTTCGCCATGTTGCCCAGGCTGGTCTCGAGCTTCTGGCTTCAAGTGATCTGCTTGCCTTGGCCTTTCAAAATGCTGGGATTACAGGCCTGAGGCCACTACACCCAGCCAGAAGGTATAAGTTTTTTTTTTTTTTTTTTTTTTGAGACGAAGTCTCGCTCTGTGGCCCAGGCTGGAGTGCCGTGATGCGATCTCAACTCACCACAACCTCCGCCTTCCGGGTTCAAGCGATTCTCCTGCCTCAGCTTCCTGAGTAGCTGGGATTACAGGTGCGTGCCACCATGCCCAGCTAATTTTGTATTTTTAGTAGAGACGGGGTTTCAACATGTTGGCCAGGCTAGTCTCAAACCCCTGACCTCAAGTGATCCACCCGCCTTGCAGAAGGTATAAATTCTAATGTTCAATGATAGCAGAGTAAGACAAATATAGTCAGCAACAATGTATTGATAAATACTGGAGGTGATGGCTATCCCAAATACCCTGACGTGATCATTAGGGATTCTATCCATGTAACAAAATATCACATGTAGCCCATACATAGGTCAAATATTATATAACAACTAAAAAAAAATAAAAATAGTTCCAGGAGCCAGGTTTGTACCATGTAACCCTGTCCCCCTTTAACCTTTTCCCAAACCTGTGGAACCATGAAACACATGCCTCCTGCCATACCCCTTTCGTATCATTGGTTCTTTTTCCCTGGAACTAATGCCCCTTAAGGAATACATGTAAGGGAGTGTCACTCCTGACTGACTTGTCCAGGTGGTGCTGAATTTGAGGTCACTACATGGGGTATCACAACATATTGACATATTTATTAGGAGGCCATAGGAGATGGGCGACTGACCCACGCTGGACCACTCAGAACCTCTTTCCTGAGAACTTGGAACTAGGAATCAGACTCTTTGGTTCCCATTGGTCTTTTGAACAGGAATAGGTAAGACAGGAGCTGTGGGTCATCATCACCATTTTCTGCTGTGTGCATGGGGAACAGAGGAAAGAGGTCTGCCAGGGAGAAGAATAGAGCAGGTGTGCGGCAGCAGCACTGACGAGCGACCATGTGGCCGGAGTCAGATAGAGGAAGGACGCCTGCCCCGGCACCGGGCGCCTCTCTGGGTACTGGTTCTTACTCTTTGTGAGACCCAGCTGCTCCTCCTGCCTTTGGGTTCTGAGAGCTTGAGAGCTACACCTGAATCCTTACAAATTCATCCTCTTATCCTCTTTGTTTAAGTTAGAGTGGGTTTCTTTTTTTTCATTTTTTTTTTTTTTTTTTGAGATGGAGTCTCACTCTGTCACCCAGGCTGGAGTGCAGTGGCGTGATCTCGGCTCACTGCAACCTCCGCCTCCTGTGTTCAAGCAATTCTCCTGCCTCAGCCTTCCGAGTAGATGGGATTACAAGCATGCACCACTGCACCTGGCTAATTTTTGTATTTTTAGTAGAGATGGGGTTTCACCATGTTGGCCAGGCTGGTCTCGAACTCCTGAGCTCAAGTGATCCACCCGCCTCGGCCTCCCAAAGTGCTGGGATTGCAGGCGTAAGCCAACGTGCCCGGCCTAGAGTGGGTTTCTATTTGCAACCCACTTGAGCCATGACTAAGCAAACTAAGCAAAACAACAACAAAAAAATGGTCCTTGGGTTGAATTCCCAAGTGTTTTTATCAGTATTTCTTACTGACTTTACTTTTAGAATATACCTGGAATATTGACCACTTCTCACCACCTGAGTCACCATCATCTCAATGGGACTGCTGTGATAGCCTCTCACCTGGTCTTCCTTCTCCTCCTGCCTCCCTACAGTCTGTTCTTCACTTAGCAGCCTGGCTCTCTCCCCTCTTTTTTACTTCCTTTCCTGTGCTTTCCCATCCCATTCTGACCAGATTGTTCTAAAAACCATTAGGACAAAGCAAGGCAGGCACCTAGTACACCTGGGAGAGACTGCTGTAGTCCAGAATGGGGTGTCGGAGCCTGAGTGGGGTAAGGAGGGTGTCTATGTAGAAAGACTGCCTGGCATGGGGAGTAGACAGGGAGGAGAAGGCATCTGAGGAGGAGGATGTCAGAGCCTTTGAAAGGTGAGGGACGTATCCACGTGGTGAAAGGGCATGCCCTCGTGTGGGAAGACAGAACCTGGGTGGGAGAGGAGAGTGTGCATGGGGAGGAGAGGCCTGGCGGCGGGTATCATAGTCTATAGAGAGGGAAGAAGTTGTCTACACAGAGGAAAGGCCTGGCATGAAGGATCAGAGTCCATGCAGATAGAGGAACATCCCCATATGGGTGTTAGAGAGATGAAGAGGGTGTCCACGCAAGAGGGCAGCTGGGCACAGAGAGTCAGAAGGTGAGAAGCGTGTCCAGGGCAAAGGATGATGATGGCAGATGGGTGACAGCAGGGAAAGTCATCAAAAAGTACATATATTAGGAATAATGGGAGCCAGATTTCTCAGAGTCAGAGAAGGGAGTTACAATCACGGAGAGGAACAGAACCTAAGTGAACCCTGTAATGTCGTGTTGGAATTGAGATCTATATCAGAACTCATGGCTTTCAACACATAGGTAGATGGATGAATAAATAAAACGAGATAGCAATGTTCACTAGCTCTGAGGGCCTGGGAAGAGTGACACACCTCACTAGCAATGAACACATCCAGCACCCAGATCTTCTAAATACCATTTTCCAATAGCAGGAACTAGGGCTCCTTGCAGAAATGACTGATTCCCATATTAAGGCATAGAAAGTGTAAGAAAAGCCTAGAAGATCCTGTTGTGTCAGAAAGCAAAAAAGTGCTAAAAAAAAATGATGAGGATATGTCAACACAGAAGCCAACTTGAAGGGGCTTCTATTAAGCAAAGCTGGGACAATTTAAACACCAAAATAAATTATGGTAGTAATGGTTATAACCCATTGACTGATTTAGGAAACCATGACTCCACACTAATATAAATAAATAAATATTTACATAGTTTCAGATAGTCTCTCCAGAAAGCATCTATTAATTTCAAGGGGGAAAAGGGTAACTTTTCAGTGAAGAAGTCTGGCAGACATCACCTTAATCAAGTGATCAAAGTGAACGTCATCAGCAATGGGACAAATGGAAAGCAAGGCAGGAAATGCGCTAATAGGATGTGGGAAGAACACAGCATCACTTCTCTGATATTCTTGCCAAAGATGCATAACCAGGATTGAGTCATGAGGACTAAGTTGAAAGACATTCCATGAGAAACTGACCTGTGATCTTCAAAAGTGTCAAGGCCATGAAGGCTAAGGAACTGTTTCACATTGAAGGAGACTGAAGAGATATGATGACTAAATGCAATGTGTGATTCTGATCTGTCTCTAGGCCAGCTGGGGCTCCGCTGCTCTCTGCTAGCATCTGTGGGTCTTGGCTCCAGGTTGTGGCTGAGTTGAGGTCTGTACCACATGTCTTTCATCCCCCTTGGATCAGCAGATACCTGAGGCATATTCTTTTTATTTTTCAGTTTTTGAGACGGAGTCTTGCTCTGTCACCCACGCTGGAGTGCAGGGATTGCAGGCGCATGCCACCATGCCTGGCTAATTTTTGTATTTTTGTAAAGACAGGGTTTCACCATGTTGGCCAGGCTGGTCTCGAACTCCTGACCTCAGGTGATCCACCCGCCTCGGCCTCCCAAAGTTCTGGGATTACAGGAGTGGGCCACTGCGCCCGGCCACCTGAGGCATATTCTATTCATGGCCAAAAAGTAGGGCAAGCCCAACTGCACAATCATATTTCAAGTTTCAGCTCACTTCACATCTGAAATCTGTAATTAGCATTTAACACAAGTCACAAGGCCAAGCCCCAATTCAAGGGTGAATGGCACACTTTGCCCTCCCATGACCATGGCAAAGGTATGGATGTGTGATACTGCTGCAACAGGGCAGTGAAGTATTGAGATTGATGATTCAACCTACTACACTCTCTGTGTCCCTTAGACTTTTTTGAGCATACTGTACAGTCTGGGAATTCCTATGTTGGGTACGTGTTAGTGCCAAGTATACTGCTGAACCCAAGGAAAGTGCTTATCTTGACTAATTGATTGTTGTCAAATGTTTCTCTATCCTTGTTGGGGGAAGAGACTAAAACCACTGCATCAATGCTCCCTATCTACATTGGTTCCAGGCAGCCTTCCTACAATTTGGACCTACTTCCTAAAATGTAAGATATGCAAACTTTTTGAATCATCAGCTTAATTTTTCTGGAGAACTAATTATAGATATGGTTTAAAAAACAAACAAATATGAACAAGAGTGCTTATTATAGCATGGTTTGTTAGAGGAACAAAGTGGACCTTCCCAAAGGTCTCATATAGGAGAGAGGCTAAATCACATTGCCATTTTCATGGTGGTTAAAAAGAATAAAGAATGAAGTATCATTATGTATTCTCAACAGTTCAATTAGAGCAGTAGAACCACTAGGAGGTACAGTGTGTGTGTGTGTGTGAGAGAGAGAGAGAGAGAGAAAGAGAGAGAGAGACGGAGAGGAAGAGAGAGAGGGAGACAGAGAGAGAGAGAGATGGGGATTTGACTTTAAGCAATCGGGGAGCTGGCTAAACTGTCTTGGGAAGGCTGTTACCTTCTCATCTGACACTGGAGCTTGGCATCCACACGGCAGGAAGAGAAGAGGGATGTAAGTAGGGAAGAGTGAGAACCAGCAGGAGCCCACAAGATCCACAGGAGTCTCTCTCCACCTCCAACTTGTTGGTACAAGTGTCCTGCGGGAGCAGCTGACCTCTTCCTTCATCACAAAGCCAAACACACACCTGGCGCAGGAGATGGAGCTGCTGAAGGAGGACACAGGGCAGGTGGAGCAGCTGCAGCCGTCAAATGAGCAGCAATACAGGATATCCAAATCTCAGCCTAAACGTCTCTTGGTCCCCCCTAACTGGCCATATACAGGGAAGACAGAATCCAGCCTTCCCAAATGGATGCATTCCAATGCCACCACACTGCTAATATGGAAAGATTTCCAAGATATATTTATGTGTAAGAAATGCAAGTTTCAGGGCTGGGTGCGGTGGCTCATGCCTGTAATCCCAGCACTTTGGGAGGCCAAGGCGGGTGGATCACCTGAGGTCAGGAATTCAAGACCAGCCTGGCCAACATGGCGAAACCCTGTCTCTACTAAAAATACAAAAATTAGCCAGGCATGGTGGTGCGCGCCTCTTATCCCAGATACTCGGGAGACTGAGGCATGAGAATCTCTTGGATCTGGGAGACGGAGCTTGCAGTGAGCCAAGATCGTGCCACTGCACTCCAGCCTGGGTGACAAAGTGAGACTCTGTCTCAAAAAAAAAGAAAAAGAAAAAAGAAATGCAAGCTTCAGGCTATTATGGAGAATATGTTTTTATGCTGCCGCAAAAATTATTTTTATCTGTACACATATAGGTAGGTACATACATAGAGACAGATTTGGAAAGATAAACACTGACCATGGTCACCTCCAGAAAGGGACTGGAACTGGGGAAGAGGGTGTCAACGGGACTTTGTGTTTATCTGGATTCAAGTGCAATTGAAGGCAAACATAAAAAGCAAAAAGAAAATCCCCTCTGTGTTAGTGTCTTCTCAAGTCAGGGGTGTTTTACTTCTCTGCGAGGACCCTCATTTTTAGTTCTTTCAAAATGAGCAATGAAGTAGATTTCAAGACACTGTGAGGTGTGTGTAGATGGTCAAAGGGTTGTTCTTGTGGTTTTCTTTCTTCTCCGTTTCAAATTGTTAACAGTACAGCGAAGCTTTACCACATTGCTTTGGCCTTTTGCTCCTGAGAGGTGGGTGAACCCCCAGGGCTCCGCCTGCAGCCAGTTGGGCATTGGGGGAGGGGTGGTGACCCCTCCTGGGCAGAAATCAGCAGAAGTGATGATGTCCAGTTGGAATGCCAGGACCTCCTGCAGGGGTTGAGGAGGCAAGTCCCTCTGCTTTCTCAATAGTGATGCTACGTGCCAGATATTCCTTCTAAGAACTTTGCTAGTGTCATGGACTCCAGCTGGGGCACTACTGGGAGCCTGCCCTCTGTGGATGGCACATGCAGATCTCTGGGGTTTATGCAAGAATAGTCACAACGATTTTTCAAGAGAGAGAAACAAATAGATGATGAGCCTCAAGAGGCTTCCAGCCTGTTAAAAGTGACTCCATGAGGCCCCTCCCCAACCCCACACTGTGTCTCCAGGCCCAGAAGACAGCCTCCCGGATGGGGCTACCCCAAGAGTCCCACCTTTTCCCAGAGCCTCTCATTCTCCCGTCTTCTAGGAAGCCTTCAGGGGCTTTCTCCATTGAGAAGGTCTCTCCCTTCTCTTTTTTCTGTTAAAATCCCAACCATACTTCAAATCTCTCCAGAAGTTTCTCATCAGCCACAAGGATTTTCATTTTCCATCATCACCCAGCTCTCCCTTAAGGCAAGACATGGTACCCAGCCCGGTGCTCTCAGCAGGGAGCTTCTAGCTGTTGTTCCCACAGGGGTTGTCCTGCCTGAGCCCATGGCCTCCCTAGGGGAGCCCAATCTGGGGGCCAGGTGAGATGAGGGCACCAGGGCCTGGCCACTTCAGCCTGGCAAGGGTAACTCTGCTGCAACATTTGCTCCAGAGCTCTGCACTGGGCTGGCCACGCATTTGACAGGTCTGCATTGCAGCTTGGCTTTTCCCTCTGCCTACATCTGTTCCCGTGCACCTCTTTCCTTTCACAGTTATTGATCTCTAGTAAACATCATGCACCCTCAACTCCATATCAGCCTCTGCCTTCTGGAGAACCCAATTTGTGATAGTTGGTACAAGGAATGGTCCCAGAAAGCAGTTGACAGGTGGGTTTTGGAACTGGACCAGTTATCACGGGGCCAGCATTAAGAGGGGTGAGGCACAGCAGCCCCTGGGTCAGGGCAGTGGCCCAACTATGGATTCCCCTGGTGAGGAAGGAGGGGGAAACGCACTAGTAGGTGTTATGCATGAGGTATTTGAGAGGTCTGGCGTTCACAGTTGCTTTAAGGATAGGGTATGGGATAGAAAGTTGATGTCCTTCAGAAAAAGAACAGACAGCTGAGGGCCATAACAGGCAACTGAAAGGCAGTTGTGAAGCCAGAGGGCCTTTTTGTTTGCATACAAAGAAATTCTAACCTCCTACAGCACAGGGCAGGATGAAATGCCCATTGAAGCAGTTTCATTATACCAAGGTTAAGGCCCTGGTGGGTAAAACCTGGCTGTGATATATATGTGTGATGGAGACATCTATATGGATGCTCCAGAAGCCTGTGAATTCCCAGACTCAGCTGACCCTTCCGAGCATGCAGAATGGCCCACCGACACGAGTGGGAGCTAGCACTGTCCCTGTGCTGGAGATCACTGCAAAGGCCATTCTCCTGAAGTGTCTCTCAGGAAGTGCTCCCACCTCCCCTCCTGGCCACTAGGCCTAAAAATAAGGTTAGGTCACAGCATGATCCAGCTGGGTGTGCAATGCCCCTGATACGGGAGGAAAGGGATCATTCCCCAGGGGTTGCAGGACCAAGCCAGACGGCAGCACACACAGGGACCAGGGGAGTGCGCAGGGGCCTGGACTGAGACTGTCGATCAGAGGACCAGAACATCGCAGCACACAGGGAAGAGCTTTCCTGAGATGCAGCATCCAGGGAGATGGCACTAACTGGGCATCACTACTAGGATGCCCCAGAGGTGCGGAGAAAGTGACCATCCTGCCGAGCAAAGGTGAAATGCCAGAATTGCTGTGGCAGTTGGTGGAGGAAAGGATTAAAAGGCTCAAGGCGATGAGTGTGCCAAAATGGATAGGCTATGGGCAGCCGGAATGTCTGTCTATTCATACGGTCCATGAAAGGGCTCAGAGGACACAATGTGTTGGTGAGAAGGGCACCAGCATCACTAAAATGTTCAGTGGTGGCTCTCCTCTGCAGGCCAGGGCTGAGGGCAAAGATGCTGCTATGGAACTTGGCTCCCGACTGGGCGCGGTGGCTCACGCCTGTAATCCCAGCACTTTGGGAGGCCTAGGCGGGCAGATCACCTGAGGTCAGGAGTTTGAGACCAGCCTGGCCAACATGGTGAAACTTCCTCTGGGTTTCCAGAAAGAAAAGTGGCTGGGTTTCCAGAAAGAAGAACCCTGTATTACCATGGTATGTAAAACTCCTGTTGCTGGCATGTGATACCCCTGTGCTTTCCCCCAACAGGACCTATGGCCATTTATTTAGGTCACTCTGCACAAGGGAACTGGGAATACAATACCTAGACATTTGAGGACCGTTGGACACAGGGTCTGAGTTGACATTGACACCCAAGGACCTGAAGTGTCATCATAGCTCCCCTGTCAGGTGGGGATGTGGGGGTCCAGGTAACAAATGGAGTCCTGACCAAGATGCAGCTTACAGTGGGTCTACTGGGTCCCAGACCTAACAATGGTCATATCTTTCCATCCTACTCCCACCTTCCTTCTCTCTTATTATGACGTTCTGGAGAATAAGACCAGTGTCTTTGAATGCCCCCTAGTGTGGGGCATGATGCCTGGCATGCAATGAGGAGTAGGTACTTAATAAATATCACCACTCCCAACTGGACGGGAGCCAGAACTCCCCTGGGTGCTTATAGCTTCTAACACTTATTTTGCACATTGGGGACTTTAATCTTTACTGCCCTTATTATTTTTTGTAACTTATTTTGAAATAATTATAGACTTATAAGAAGTTACAAAAATAAGGCTGGGTGCAGTGTCTCACGCCTGTAGTTCCAGCACTTTGAGAGGCTGAGGCGGGCAGATCACCTGAGGCCAGAAGTTCAAGACCAGCCTGGCTAACGTGGCGAAACCCTGTCTCTACTAAAAATACAAAAATTAGCCCTCCATGGTGGCACACACCTGCGGTCCCAGCTACTCGGGAGGCTGAGGCAGGAGAATAGCTGTAACCCAGGAGGCGGAGGTTTCAGTGAGCTGAAATTGTGCCACTGCATTCCAGCCTGGGTGACAGAGCAAGACTCCATCTCAAAAAAGAAGAAGAAGTTACAAAACTAGTCCAGAGTGGTCCTGTCCATACATTGTACCCTTCCCTGAGCTTCCCCAGTGATAATATCTTATATAACTACAGCACATTAACAAACCAGGAAATTGACATTCGTATGGCAATATTAACTAGATGGCAGCCCCTATTTGGATTTCACCAATTTATATGTGAACTTTTGTATGTGTGCATAGTGCTATGAAACTTTGTCTCCTGTATAGATTTGTGCGACCACCACTACAATCAAGATACAAAACTGTGCCATCACCACAAAAGAACTCCCTCGGGCTACCCTTTTTATAGTCACACTATCGCCCCATCCCTTACTTCTGGCCACCACTTTTTATAATTTTGTCATTTTGAGAATGTTATATAAAATAAGTTATATAGCAAGTATCTTTTGAGATTAGCTTTTGGAATTCAGCATAACACCCGTGGGCAGTATTCTCTTGTGTAGATGCTCCCGACCTTTTTCTTTTTTCTTTTTTTTGAGACAGAGTCTCACTCTGCCACTCAGCCTGGAGTGCAGTGGTGCAATCTCGGCTCACTGCAACCTCCGCCTCCTGGGTTCAAGCAATTCTCCTGCCTCAGCCTCCTGAGAAGCTGGGACTACGGGTGTGCACCATCACTCCTGGCTAATTTTTGTATTTTTAGTAGAGATGAGGTTTCACCACGCTGGCCGTGCTGGTCTCAAAATCCAGACCTCAAGTGATCCGCCCGCCTCGGCCTCCCAAAGTGCTGGGATTACAGGTGTGAGCCACTGCGGCCCACACTTTATTTTTAATCTGGTTACCTCTTGAAGGACATTTTGGTTGTTGGCACTTTTTGGCTATTGCAAATAAAGCTGATTTGAATATTCACGTACAGATTTTTCTGTGAACATAGTTTTGTTTTGTTTTCTTTTCTTTTTGAAACAGAGTTTTGCTCTTATTGCCCAGGCTGGAGTGTAATGATGCAATCTCGGCTCACTGCAACCTCCACCTCCAGGTTCAAGTGATTCTCCTGCTTCACCCTTCCGAGTAGCTGGGATTACAGGCACCTGCCACCACACTCGGCTAATTTTTGTATTTTTTTAGTAGAGACGGGGTTTCATCATATTGGCCAGGCTGGTCTGGAACTCCTGACCTTGTTATCCGCCTGCCTTGGCCTCCCAAAGTGCTGGGATTACAGGCGTAAGCCACCGCGCCCAGCCGCCTGACTAATTTTGTAGTTTTAGTAGAGACAGGGTTTCACCATGCTGGTCAGGCTGGTTTCAAACTCCTGACCTCAGGTGATCTGCCTGCCTCGGCCTCCCAAAGTGCTGGGATTACAAGCATGAGCCACCGCGCCCTGGCTACAGTTTTCATTTCTATAGAATAAATGCCCAGGAGTGCAATTGCTGGGTCATATGGCAAGTGTGTTTAATTTTATAAGAAACTGCTAAGCTGTTGTCCAGGGTAGCTGCAGCATTTTACAATCCCACCACCACGGTGTGAGAGCTCCAGTTTCTGCCTCCTCCCCAGCACTTGGTATAGCAGCAGTTGTTTTTAGCTATTTAATAGGTGTACAGTGGTATGCCATTGTGGCTAAAATTTGCATTTCCCAATTGCTTAATGACGGCAAACATCTTTTCTTGTGCTGATTTCTCATCTGTTTATTTTCTTTCATGAAATGCCTGTTGAAGTCTTTGCCTATTGGATTTATTTTCTTCCTGTTGAGTTTAGAGTTCTTTTCATATTCTAGATACAAGTTCTTTGTCAGAAAGGTGAATTGCAAATGTTTTCTCCTAACCTGTGGCTTGCCTTTTCATCCTCTGCGTGCGGTCTTTCGCAGAGCGAAAATTTTAAATTTTGATGAAGTCCAATTTATCAATGTTTTTCTTCATGGATTGTGATTTTGGTGTCAGGTTTAAGAACTCTTTACCTAACCCTAGTTCATAAAGATTTTCTCCCATGTTTTCTTCTAAAAGTTTGATATTTTACATTTAGATCTACTATCCATTTTGAGTTACTTTTTGGATAAGGTGTGAAGTTTAGCTCCAGGTTTGTCCATTTTGCCTAGGAATGCCCTAAACCATTATTTCAAAACCATTTGTTGAATGACCTCTCTTACTGGCTACTTCTTTCTACACATCCACCTTTTCACTACATAAATAGTAAGAGTAAAAGTAGGAATCACATCTTATGCCTTTTTTTTTTTTTTTAAATATAGATGGGGTCTCATTATGTTGCCCAGGCTGGTCTCAAACCCTTGAGCTTAAGTGATCCTCCTGCCTCAGCCTCCCAAAGTGCTGGGATTACAGGTGTGAGCCACAGGGGTCGGCTTATCTTATGCTTCTTGACATCTCCCTCTGAACTTAGCATTCATTCATTCATTTCTTCATTCATTCAATAAATATTAATTGAATACTCATTATGTACTCATTATGTGCTGGGAATTATGCTAGGCACTTAGAATACATCGGTTCTCATGGAGTTAATAACCTAGTGGAGAAGAACAATAATAAAAAAGCAAAAAGGGCCAGATACTGTGGCTCACTCCTGTAACCCCAGCACTTCAGGAGGCCAAGGCAGGAGGATCACTTGAGCCCAGGAGTTCCAGAGCAGCCTGCACAACATGACCAAACCCTGTCTCTACCAAAAAAGATACAAAAAGTAGCCAGGCGTGGTGGTGTGCACCTATAGTCCCAGCAACCCAGGAGGCTGAGGTGGGAGCATCCCTTGAGCCTGGGGAGATCAAGGCTGCAGTGAGCCGTGACTGTGCCACCGCACTTCAGCCTGGACGACAGAGTGAGACCCTGTCTCAAGAAACAAAAAAAGAAAAGAAAGAAAAAAAGAATCGAATTGGCGTTGTGACGATGTGCTCTGAGAGAAATGAGAAGCACAGTAGAAAAACAATAACGGATGGGGGTGCAAAATGCGTAGGGAGCTGCACTTAGGGGAAGATAAAGTCTAAGCTAAGATCTTACCACCTCTGAGGCTGTCACTGGGATGAAGAAAGAGAAGCGGCGAGAAGCTCTAACGCTATTGGTCCAGCCATCTCTTTGTCTCTACGCCCTCCAACTCTCACAGCTGAAAAAGGCACCCGGAAATATTAGCCACCATCGTTAAAAGGAATGCAGTACAACTCCATCTCCTGACACAGGAACCTCCCCAACATAATGCTCAGTGAGTGATACATTTCTCCCTTCCTCCCTCTCCCCTCCCTCATGCCATCTTTAGCTACTAGAGTTCCCCACACCTCTGATGCCTTCCCCTTTCTCAGAAGTTAGTCATGGGCAGTGAAGAGTCTCCATTCGTTACTGACCCTCTGAGCTATGTCATGCCCCACACTGCCTCTCCCTATCCCCCATTCTCAAGTCCACCTGGGGAGAAAGCAGGTATTCCCAGCCCGCAGAGCTGATTGAGGAGTTGTGGGGGTCAGGAGAGGCTGGTGGACAGAAAGCGGGTTCCCACCACTGCTCCACACAGGGCAGCGGTGACCCTGATTGAGCCCAGCCGAAGCCCAGCCTAGAAGGAGGGGGCAAGTGGCATCCCCGGCCTCAGCCTCATTCAGGACTGGTTGTCTACAACCCAGTGTGGTTTTGCGGTTCCTCTTGGATTTTGGATGTTCATAAAATAAGCTGCCAGCTGCCTGCCTGCTGTGGTAGGGGGAGGGTCTGTGGGACGAGTGCCTTGCTGTTGAGGGCTGGGGGTGCTGACGGGTTCCAATGAAGCTGGCCTGTGAGCCTCCTGGATGGCTGCCTAGAGCACTTTCCTAGGCCAGGGCAGGAGGCCCAAACCACCTGCTGGCCTACTGGTGAATGAGTAGTAGACCAGGTGGGATTTCATAGCTGCATCTATTCGGGATTTTCAGAAGGCTTCCAAGGTTTCTATCCCCTACCAGTTCTCCTGGCCGCACCCATCTTCTAGCCATGTCCTTCGACACCCACATCTCCAGAAGCTTGGCCGTGATTAGCGCAGTGCCTGGCGCAGAGGGGTGAGGCCTCACCTTTCTAGGGCCTTCTCGGCCTGCGGTGTGTTCTGGGAAGCACCGAAGTCTGGAGAGTGAGGATCAAGCAGGTTCTCTTTCTTCCATGGGCATTGTCAACCAGTGAGAACTTTAAGGCATCACAGTGTGTTTGCTTTTAGCCTCCAGGGGCAATCAGATCTCTCTGCTGGAGGGCCTGGCGGGGTCTCTGCTGCTGGTGGGGAGACAGCAGTGGTGCCCAAGCATCTTGGCCCTGGTGCTCTGGGGGTGTGTTCGGTCAGCTCTGGGACTAGGGGGTCCTGTTCCAGCCCCGTGGTCATTGGCTGATTTAACCCTGAGGTGGCCTTGGTTATGCAGGCCACCCAGATATAGCCTCTCCCTGGGCTTGGGCTGACTTGAGCAGGCTGCTTCACCTCTAAGAGTTTGCTCTGCCCACACAGGCTCACTCCTCTGGGAGTGACACATTCTGGAAGTGTGTCCCCTAACCTCTGTCCACAGCCTGGGGGCCGGGAAGAAGACCACTCCAGCTAAGATGAGATTCTGTCTCTTCTTGCACTTGACACTTCCCTCAGATTTGATACTTGTTCCCTGACACTGCGCTGTCTTATCTGGCCTTGAAGGCAGGACTTTCTCCTCCTTGGAAACTAGAGGTACCAGGATCCCTGTGAGTGGCCAGGCACTGGGGTGTGGCTTGAGGGTCACCCATTGTGTTCATGACACATCATCCAGACATTTTCTTTTCACCCCCCATTGCGGGGACTAGGATCACCAAGGTCCTGCCCTGCTGCCCCTCCCAGAAGCCTGGGTGATACCCCAAACTTCAAATAAGGTTAAGAGAATTGGCTTTCATTCCAGAATGCTTGGGTTCAAACCTGACACCATTACTTGCCTGCTCTGTGATCTTGGACAAGTGATATAACCTCAGTGCGGCTTAGTCCCCTCTTCTCTACCCCCTCAAAGAACTATTATGGAGATTAGATAGGATAAGGTACATGAGTAGGCTGGGTGTGGTAGCTCACGCCTGTAATTCCAGCACTTTGGGAGGACAAGGAAGGAGGATCACCTGAGTCTAGGAGTTTGAGACCAGACCAGCTTGGGCAACACAGCGAGACCCCATTTCAAAAAAAAAATTAAAAATCAGCTGGGTGTGGCGGTGTACATCTGTAGTCCCAGCTACTTGGGAGGCTGAGGCAGGAGGAGGATCATTTGATCCCAGGAGTTTGAGGCTGCAGTGAGCTATGATTGTACCACTGCACTCCAGCCTGGTTGACAGAGCAAGACCCCATTTCTAAAAAAATAAAATTGGCTGGACGAGGTGGCTCATGCCTGTAATCCCAGCACTTTGGGAGGCAAGGCGGGTGGATCACCTGAGGTCAGGAGTTCGAGATCAGCCTGCCCAACGTGGTGAAACGCCCTCTACTAAAAATACAAAAAATTAGCCGGGCGTGGGGGTGGGCGCCTGTAATCCCAGCTATCAGCAGGCTGAGGCAGGAGAATCACTTAAAACCCAGAGGTAGAGGTTGCAGTGAACCAAGATTGCACCACTGCACTCCAGCCTGGGCAACAAGAGCAAAACTCTGTCTCAAGAGAATAATTAATTAATTAAAAATAAAAGTCCCCTGGGGGCGATGGCTAATGTCTGTAATCCTAGCACTTTGGGAGGCCAAGGCAGGAGGATTGTTTTTGAGCCCAGGAGATCAAGATCAGCCTGGGCAACATAGCGAGATTCCTTCTCTACAGATAATAAAATTAGCTGGACATGATGGTGCTCGCCTATAGTCTCAGCTACTCAGGAGCCTGAGGTGGGAGGATCACTTGAGTCTAGGAGTTGGAGGGTGCAGTGAGCTGTGATTGCACCACTGCATTTCAGCCTGGGCAACAGAGCAAGACCTCATTAAATGGTAGTCATTGTTTTTGTTATTCCTTACAAAATTTACCCAGCTTGTCTTCTGTTCCTCAGGACTGATCAGTGACAGGGCTAACAGAAAATTAACTCAATTAGCTGGGGAAGACATTCATAACATGCTTTGTGCCAGACACTGTTCTAAGCCCTTGATATATATTGTTGAATCCTCCTAACAACTCTCTAAGATAGGCTATTATTATTTTTTTAATTGTATTATTTTATTTATTTATTTTATTATTTTTTTTTAAGACAGAGTCTTGCTCTGTTGCCCAGGCTGGAGTGCAATGGTTTGATCTCGGCTCACTGCAACCTCCGCCTCCCAGGTTCAAGCGATTCTCCTGCCTCAGCTTCCCGAGTAGTTAGGATTACAGGTGCATGCGCCACCACGCCCAGCTAACTTTTGTATTTTTAGTAGAGATGGGGTTTCACCATGTTGGTCAACCTGGTCTCGAACTCCTGACCTCGTGATCCGCCCGCCTCAGCCTCCCAAAGTGCTGGGATTACAGGCATGAGCCACCGCACCCAGCCCTGTTATTATTATTATTATTATTATTATTATTATTATTATTAGAGACAGGGTCTCACTGTTTTCCCAATGCTGGTCTTGAACTCCTGGCCTCCCTAAGTATTGGGATTACAGGTGTGAGCCACCACTTCTGACTGGTACCATTATTATACAAATATAAAATGAGGAAACCGAGGCACAGAGCGGTCAAGTGAGTTGCCCGAGGATACACAGCTAGTGAATGGCTGATCGAGGATTCAGATGCAGGGAGTCTGGCCTCAGAATCTATAGCCTTCACCCTAACACACTTGGTTTGCTTCCCCCAGAAAACAAAGGGCAATGGAAGAACCTGACCATGGAGTGGTGATCGGGCTGGGCTTCTAGTGCTTTTCCTATTACCACAGGCAGAAAGCCCCCATCCCTACTTAGTCCCCTGGGTACCTGGGGCATCTCACCATTACTAGCATAGGATTTTGTGATTTGCAAGACATGTTTACACATCTACAATTTCTCTGCCCCTTCCAGCAATCAGGTGGGGAGGACAGAAGAGAGTAATTGTTATTTCTTTCTTACCAAGGCTCATAAAGGTGAAGCAGCTTGCCCGAGGTCACCCAGCTAAAACAACACAATAGGTTTTCAGGTTCCCAACGCAAGTTCTTTTATCTATACAGTCATCTCCCTTTATCCACAGGGAATACGTTCCAAGTCCCCCAGTGGATACCTGAAACCATGGATAGTACTAAACCCTATATGTGTGTAATATGTTTTTTTTTTACTATACATACATACTTGTGATAAAGTATAATTTACAAATTAGGCACAATATGAGCTTAACAACAATAATAATAAAATAGAACAATTATAACAATATACTACAATTAAATTTATGTGAATGTGGTCTCTTTTTTTTTTTTCCTCACTCTGTCACCCAGACTGGAGTGCAATGGCACAATCTCGGCTCACTGCAACCTCTGCTTCCCCAGCTCAAGCGATTCTCCTGCCTCAGCCTCCCAAGTAGCTAGGATTACAGGCATGGGCCACCACACCCGGCTAATTTTTGTATTTTTAGTAGGGACAGAGTTTCGCCATATTGGCCAGGCAGGTGAATGTGGTTTATTTCTAATTTTTCTTTCTTTCTTTCTTTCTTTTTTTTTTTTTGAGACAGAGTTTTGCTCTTGTCACCAAGGCTGGAGTGTAAATGGCATGATCTCGGTTCACTGCAACATCTGCCTTAAAGGTTCAAGCGATTCACGTGCCTCAGCCTCCTGGGTAGCTTGGGATTACAGGCACCCGCCACCACGCCTGGCTAATTTTTGTATTTTTAGTAGAGATGGGGTTTCACCATGTTGGCCAGGCTGGTCTTGACCTCAGGTGATCTGCCCACCTCAGCCTCCCAAAGTGCTGGGATTACAGATGTGAGCCACCGCGCCCAGCCTCTTTCTAAATATTTTACTGGATCATGGGTAACTGAAACTGCAGAAAGGGAGACCGTGGATAAGACAGAGAGACTACTGTACCATCCTGCCTTTTGCTGATGCCAAGGGTAGTTCCTATACCTGAAAAACATAATATAAAATACTATCTTGGGGTCGGGTGCAGTGGCTCACACCTGTAATCCCAGCACTTTGGGAGGCTGAGGCGGGCAGATCGCTTGAGGCTGGGAGTTCAAGACCAGCTTGGCCAATATGGTGAAACCCCATCTCTACTAAGAATACAAAAATTAGCCAGGTGTTGTAGCATGCCTGTAATCCCAGCTGCTCAGGAGGCTGAGGCACGAGAATCACTTAAACCTTGAAGGCAGAGGTTGCAGTGAGCCAAGATCATGCCACTGCACTCCAGCCTGGGTGAGAGAGTGAGACTCCATCTCAAAAATAAAATAAAATAAAATATTGGAACTAGACAGTCTCTTAAAGCCATGCAGTTTATGTTTGAATATGCTTGAATACCTCCAGTGATAGGTAACTCACTACCTATAAGAGGAAACTAGAGAGTGGATCCTGATGGTATACAAGAAGGAGGTGGCCTGGGACATGGCTGACCTGCTGACCTTGGAGATTTTTGCCCCACAAATGAGGCTGCAGGATTGAGTCTATCTGAGGAATGTCCTGCAGCCAGGCCCACAAGGTGTCCCTCCCAGCCCTGCCCCAGAGCCCTCTCAATCCTTCCTCTCTAAAACCGCAGCCCCTCCTTCAGAAGGAAGCCCTCTCTGCACAGACTGGTTAAGGTTTATTAGTCCTTAAAATTCCTTCGAGATGAGTTGGTATTTATTTCCCTGCAAAGCTTATGTAACCGTAAGAGGATACTGGGGCTGCCAAAGCTGTCTGTGGTTTGGATGGGGCTCACAGCGGTTTCTTCTGGGAGCTAAATATTATAATGAGTGACCTCATACTATCATTTTCTTTGGAACCGAGTTGTGCTTGTCCCAGTGGTACCCGGAGCTACCTCCCAGGCCCCTGCTGTTTTGATTCAGGCCAGGACCAGAGGGTAGAATGAAGGGAACAGGGAGAAAAAATTAGTCTGTTGAGCCAACTTGTTCACTCGGCTTCCGGGGAGGCTGAGATCTGGGTTTTCAGCCAGCGCCGAGCGCTGGGTGGCCACAGTGATTGGACTGCTGGGGAAATTATGGGAAAGGCCAGCCTTCCAGCTACTGTCTGTTTCAATCTGAGCTTTTGTAAGGATGCAGATTTGGGACTTGGAACAGGAATGGGTTGGGGAGGATCTGACTGCTGAGTGGTCACGGGCCAATCCTTAGGAACTGTTGAAGCTTGGGAAGTCTTGCATGGGGAGCCTCCAGCTGTTGAGTAAGAGGCGCCATTCGTGGAGCACTTGCTGTATACCAGGCACGAAGAAAAGCACTCTGCCTGCATTCACCAGGGGGGCTGTGTAAGACAGTGGGTTGGAGGGTCGACATAGTGTGGAATGGCTGGGTCTGTGTCCCAGCTCCACCACTTAATGTCCGTGTGACACTGGGCAATGATATAACCTATATGTCCCCATCTCTAAACAGTGGTGATGACAGCCCCCCTGTGAGGTTGTTAGGAAGATTAAATGTGATAATGCAGACAAAATGCTTGCACAGTGTCTGGTATAGAAAAGAACTCAAAAAATGTTAGCCGTCATTATCAGCGGCAGCATCTAACTGGATCCTCATAGCATCCCTAAGGGGTAGGGTCTCTTGATCTCCATTTTGCAGGTGAAGAAATGAGACTTGAGGGGTCATGTGGTTAATGAGCCACAGGACTAAGATATGAAAACTTCACTCTAGTGTCCCCTTGGCCTGGAGGTGGAAAGGGTGGGGTTTACTGCATGGATTCCTTCCTTAGGGAGCTTGAAAGCTGCCACGTGCAAGGCTAGGGAAGGGAAAGAGCTGGATTCCCTGGCCATGGAGGTCTACACTGGGAGAAAAATGGTTCTTAGAAAAGACTCTGAGGAACCTACTGGATGGTGAACTTCAAGAGGGATCAGGAATCATGTTGGTCTTGCTCACCACCACGTCCCAGTTCTGAGCACAGCGCCTGGCACCATGGTTTTTGACTGAATAAGTTACATTTGCAATGATCCTTTGAGCATTTTCATTTTAACAAGAAAAGCCTGGCTTCTTTCTCTGTTATTAACTTTTTTGACCTCAGTGACACCATGCAGGTGGCATCTACTGGGGCTGATAAATCCCCTTGGGAATAAAATGCCCAAGGCAGATGAGGGGAACACAGCTCTGGGGCCCAAGAGAACCCACAAGGGAGAGGGAAGGATGGGTTAGTGCTTCCAAAGCCCTGGTCAAGTGCCTTGAATGTAGTGGGCAGATAGATATAAAGCACCTTCTAGGTGCCCACCATGTGCATAAGTGCTGCAGACACAGAAGTGAGCAAGAGAGACAGAGAATTCCCTGCCCTTGGGGAGTGCCTGGCCTGGTCGGGAAAAGATAGCAAATGAGTAATTAAATGAGTAGTTGTTGATTATAAATTGTAGTAACTGCTGTGAATGAAAAATGCCCTAGGTACCAAGACAGAGAATCATAGAGAAGCAGAATTCCTATTTTAAAGTAGTCAGGGTAGGCCTCATGGAGGAGGTGATGTTTAAGCTCATTGGGAAACTTTGTACGACCTCGAAAGGGACTCAGTTTTCTCTCCTGATGGTCACAGGGGAGAATTGGAGGCTCATAGGCCCGAGGCTGGCATCAAAGCCTAAGTGAAGCCATGTTAAGGTATTTCTGAAGCCCCTTTTGCACTAGAATCTCAAGAGTAAAGATTCTGTCTCACCCAAAAGGCTGGGAATAATTAACAGTGAAGGGACAAAAGAGGAGCCTAGGCCGGGCATGGTGGCTCACGCCTGTAATCCCAGCACTTTGGGAGACCAAGGCAGACAGATCACCTGAGGTCAGGAGTTGGAGACCAGCCTGGCCAACATGGTGAAACCCCATCTCCACTAAAAATACAAAAATTAGCCGGGCGTGGTGGCATGTGCCTGTAGTTCCAGCTACTCGGGAGGCTGAGGCAGGAAAATCACTTGAACCCGGGAGATGGAGGTTGCAGTGAACCAAGATGGCGCCACTGCACTCCAGCCTGGGCGACAAAGTGAGACTCCATCTCAATAAATAAGTAAGTAAATAAATAAATAAATAAATACCTAATTCAAGAAAGAAATGGAGTGGCTCTAGCCAATCAGGCTAGAGGTGCTATACATCGCTATTCCGAGGGCATACATGAGGCCCGTTTTCAAGAGTTTTTCACATTTATCCCCTTGGTTCAGGATCTTCTTAAATTATTTACATGTCCCCAGCAAGAAACAGCTCTGGACTTTTGCTTTACCCCTTTGCAGAGCATTGTCAACCACTAGTCCTCTTAGTCATCCTCACCCACACTCAATAGGCCCTGCCAGTTCTACCTTTGAAGTGTACCCCAAATTCGTCCTCTCCCAGCCCCATTGCCCAGTGCTTCCTGTTCTCACCAGGCCATGTGCACACGCTGCCAGGGAGGCTTTTAAAGATGTTGGCCTCGGCCAGGCACGGTGGCTCATGCCTGTAATCCTAGCACTTTCGGAGGCCAAGGCAGGCGGATCACTTGAGGTCAGGAGTTCAAGACAAGCTTGGCCAACATGGTAAAACCCCATCTCTACTAAAAAATACAAAAAAACTTAGCTGGGTGTGGTGGTGGGCACCTGTAATCCCAGCTACTAGGGAGGCTGAGGCAGGAGAACTGCTTGAACCTGGGAGGCGGAGGTTGTAGTGACCTGAGATGGTGCCACTGCACTCCAGTCTGGGCTACAGAGCAAGACTCTGTCTTAGTGTATGCTTATTGTAACTTGGAACTAAAAAGCCCTTTCCATGGCCGTAGTGGCCCATGCCCTTTCCCATCTGCGTCTTGTACTCCACACCCCTCACCCACCGCCCTTCACCTTTCGCCAGGATTTTGTCTGAATGGATCTAGTCCCAGCTGCATACGTTCAGCATAGACAATGATTAAAACCTAGACTTCAGGGGTCTGTAGCTGGAGGCAAGTTGCTCTGTGAGCCTGTTTCCATACCTGTTCAATGAGCATAGGAAACGCCACCTCTGACAGATGTTTAAAGAATGTTAATGGGAAAGTCTCTTTCCCATTTAGGCTAAAACAAAAGTACCTCCTTAGTATACTTTATACTTTAAACCTTCCAGGGCACTTTCCCATTCGTTCTCTTATTTAAAGCTACTGAAATCTGGGCTGGGTGTGGTGGATCACTTGAGCCCAGGAGTTCAAGACCCGCCTGGGCAACATGGCGAAGCCCCATCTCTACTAAAAACACAAAAATTAGCCAGGCTTGGTGGCTCATGCCTGTAATCCCAGCTACTTGGGAGGCTGAGGCAGGAGAATTACTTAAACCTGGGAGGCAGAGGCTGCAGTGAGCCAAGATCGCACCCTGCACTCCAGCCTCAGTGACAGAGCGAGACTCCATCTCAAAATAAATAAATAAAACTATTGGTCGGGCGTGGTGGCTCATGCCTGTAATCCCAGCATTTTGGGAGGCTGAGGCAGGCGGATCACCTGAGGTCGGGAGTTCGAGACCAGCCTGACAAACATGGAGAAACCCCCGTCTCTACTAAAAATACAAAATTAGCTGGGCATGGTGGTACATGCCTGTAATCCTAGCTACTCGGGAAGCTGAGGCAGGGGAATCGCTTGAACCTGGGAGGCAGAGGTTGTGGTGAGCCAAGATCGTGCCATTGCACTCCAGCCTGGGCAACAAGAGCGAAACTCCATCTCAAAAAAAAAAAAAAAAAAAAACTATTGAAATCTGCATATGGTTGGGTGTGGTGGCTCACGCCTGTAATCCCAGCACTTTGGGAGGCTGAGGCTGGTGGATCACAAGGCCAGGAGTTCAAAACCAGCCTGACCAACATGGTGAAACCCCGTTTCTACTAAAAATACAAAAATTAGCTGGGCGTGGTGGTGCACACCTGTAATCCCAGCTACTCAGGAGGCTGAGGCAGGAGAATCACTTGAACCCAGGAGGTGGAGGTTGCACTGAGCTGAGATCACGCCATTGCACTGCAGCCTGGGCAACAGAGCGAGACTCCGTCTCAAAAAAAAAAAAAAAAGAAATCTGCATATGAAGCAGGGTGGGCGATGTGGTCTCCTTATCAAGCAGGAAGTGGCCTCAGAGAGGTTAAAGCCCTGTTCAAGGAGACACAGGGAATGGATAGTGAAACTGGGACTGCAATGACAGCTGCACTTGAACTTCTCCTGAAGGTGATGCTGCGGAGGGACCAGATGAAGACTCTGAGCCCCAAAGCCAGCCAGCATCTAAGGGACAGACCTCTGCTTTCAGGTCAGCCCCGACACGGCTGCCTGCTCAGGGAGGCCGACTTCCCTACAGCCCAATTCTGGGGCACTCACACATCTCTCAAATTCTTCAGTGTTCACCCTCTCCCTGGTCTTCTCCCATTGCACTTCTCCCGCCACTGACCTTGGCTTCTCCAGCCTTCCCTCCTCCAGTTTACAGCCCCAATTCACTGGGCAGTGTGGGGAGCTTGGGCCAAGGGTAGGATTTGGCTGTGGGGTGGGTGGGGTCACAGGGCAGCGAAAGCTTCACCAAACATCTTGCCCACTACCTCCACAGTCCAAGTCCGGGGATGCATTTCCTAAGGGGAGCCCAGTTCGGTATCTAAATCCTTCAAGGTGGGGAGCCAGAGGGAGAGGGGTGTTAAGATCTTTAACTTCCAGAATTCACATTCTTGCAATGAGCGGGACCCTGTCCGGCTAAGAAGCATCAGTACCACAGGAGGGAGTTTAAACAGGAAGAGGAGATTTTGCTTTGTGGTTGTGATTTTAATGCTCTCCCGGCTGGTTGGATGAGTGCCTACTTTCTGGGGCTGGGGTGGTAGGGTGGAGGTGAGAAGGTGGTGGGGGAAGAGAATAGGGAGGAAAGGAGAGTCCTCAAAAAAGTAGTGTAGCTGCATGGGAGAAAGCGATGTCTGAATCCTGTGAATCCCCTGGAGCTGCTTCCCAGCTGTTTGACCTTGTGAAATGGCCTAACTTCTCCCAACTTCCATTTCCTCATCTGTATAAAAGCAGGGACAATACTTCCTTTATTAAGCAAATATCTTCTGTCTGCCTACCGTATGCTTGACCCTGTGCAAATGAACAAGACAAACAGGAGACAGGATCTCTGCCGCCCTGGAGCTTATATTCCAGGAGGGAGACAAACAAGAAATACATCAACTATAAACAAACAAGATAATTTTGGATCATGCTAAGTGTTAGTCAAAAGCCGAAAGGGAGTGGGGAACATGGGACGGACAGGGAACTCCTCTCTGAGGACGTAGCCTCTGAACAGAGTCCTGGAAGCTGAGAAGTCAGTTCTGGAAATGGAGGAAGAGTGCTCCAGGCGCAGGGAACAGCAAGTGCAAAGGCCTTGAGATGGGAATGGGCTTGACGCGCTTGCAAAACAGGCAGTGGCCTGAAAATATAAAATGTGGTGAGCAAGCGGAGAAGTGGTTTGAGCAGAGGTGGGAGAAGTAGGCCAGAAACAGATCACACAGGGCTTTGGAGGCTATGCTGAGGGGTTTGGAAGGCTTTCGAGGGTAAGTTAAGCAGGAGAATGACATGATTAGGTATGTATTTGAAAAGATCACCACCATGAATTTTCTGAGCCTCATTTTCCCCCTCTGTTAAAAATGAGCATAATAATACATATCTCACAGGATTATAGAGGATTAAAAGACTTGAAAGTTAAAGCAACAAGCAAATTGATGAACATATATGCCCGAGGTGCACAACAAATGCCAGGACCATGATGTGAAGACTTTTTAGGAGCTCTGAAGAGATCTGCTTAGGAGTGAGGATGGTTCCTAAAGAGTTAATCAAACCTGTCTTGGGAAAAGCAATCCCATGCTGCTAATATAATGGTAAAGGATGCAATTCAGGCTGTTTATTTTTTAGAGATTCAGTGCTCCTATTAAGCAATCACTCTGTTTATGTCACTGCTAATTGAAGTAAATTGCTTTCTGCAATCAAATCGGGAAGTTCCCCCTTCCGATCACGAAAGGGACTTGGACTCTGGTTCCTGATTTCCAGTATTTAGTCTGACTTGAGATTTGCCCTGTAATTAATTGCATACATTCCACTGATTTCCTTAAACAAGCAGTTGGTTTGCCGTTGGGTCGGCAAGGGATGCGTTGATTTTGAAATTGCCCCTGGGATAGGAAGTGTTCCGCCTCCCTTCTCTCGCAACCCCAGCCACAGCAGCCTTCTGGCTGATGGAGCTGGTGGGGAGTGGGCCTCACAGCAGATGTGAGAGGTGGAAGTGAGCAGCAGGTGTGACCGCTGTGGTCCAGAATCCTCTTGGTGCCCCCGCCCAGTGGAGAATTCTAGTGCATTAGAACCAAAGCCCGTGAATCAGGCTGGAGGAATTCCGGGCCATGGGCACAGGCTTCCTCGCACCAATCATCAGCTCTATTTTCACTTCTCTGAGAGGCATGGGAGGAAGTGAGGGGAGGTGGGCAAAGAGCAACACTGCATCTGAATAAGCACCCTAAGAGCCCCGATCCTCTCCACGGCCCAGTCGCTGCCACCCACCCCACACCCCACCCCCAGCTCTCCGTCGTGTGCATAGGCCTGGAGGATGTTCAGGAAGGTGTGAAGGGGTACCCCAAGGAGGTGGGAGTAAAGAGTTTTAAGGCCTGTGGCCCAGCCCCAGGGAGGAGCACTCCAGCGCCTGCTCCTGGTCTTGGGGAGCAAGAGCAGGGGATGAGGAGGAGTATTTGATGCTGGACACAGCTGTTAGGTTAGGTTGCCAGGTCACTGAGAAAACAGACAGTGTCCGCCCCATCCTTCATCCTTGACGCTGAAAAGAAAAAAAAGGGCCTCAGGATTTAGTTGAAGGTGAAGACGTTGGGTGCTTTACCTTGAAGTGTGGAGAGCATCTCTTTATGGATTAATCCTGTGACCCTGCAGAAAGTGGTCTTCAAGGCCCAGCTCAGTGGCTGCCTCCCACATGAAGTCCTGTCTGATGCACTCCCCAGGAGTCTCCCTCTCACAATTCCCTTGGACTGTGTGCCTCTGGGGCAGTGCCACACCTGTCCTGCCCCGCAGTGGGCTCTATATTTGAGTTTCCTCATCCACCGACAAAGCACCTGGCGTGAGTGAGATTCTGCTAGGCTGGGGATTCTCAGGTGAGCTGAAGTCCGGAGTTCAAGACCAGCCTGGTGAAACCCTGTTTCTATTAAAAATACAAAAATCAGTGGGGCGTGGTGGCACGTGCCTGTAACCCCAGCTACTCGAGAGGCTGAGGCAGAATTGCTTGAACCCAGGAGGCGGAGGTTGCAGTGAGCCAAGATCACGCCACTGCACTCCAGCCTGGGTGACAGAGTGAGACTCCATCTCAAAAAAAGAAAAAAAAAGACTCAGTTGAGATACAACCCCTACCTTCAAAGAGCTACCAGAGCCGCAGAAGAGTTAGGTAAGTAACAGGAAGTTAATTAAAGAAGTAGCATTGGCTGGGTGCCAATGGTGACTCATGCCTGTAATCTCAGCACTTTGGGAGGCCGAGATGGGCGGATCCCTTGAGACCAGGAGTTTGAGACTAGCCTGGGCAACATGGGGAAACCCCATCTCTACCAAAACTACAAAGACTAGCTGGGTGTGGTGGTGTGCACCTGTAATCCTAGCTACTTAAGAGTCTGAGGTAGGAGGATTGCTTGAGTCTGGCAGGTTGAGGCTGCAGTGATCGCACACTTACCATGAGCCAGGCACTGTACTGAATGTTTTATATGCATTGACTTATCAAACCCCACTATATCCATACAAGGGAGAGACTCAGTATATTGAGTTTGCCGATGATGAAATTGAGGCTAAGCCACTTTGGAAAACAGGGAGGCAATTTCTTAAAGAGTTAGACAACCCATACTTTTTCTTCCCCATACAGCTCAGCAATTTCACTGCTATGTATAGACCCAAGAGAATTGAAAACATATATCCACACAAAAACATCTATACAAATATTACATAACAGTAATATTTATAATAGCCCCAAACTGGAAACAATTCAAATGTCTATCAACTGATGAGTGGATAAATAAAATGTGGTTAATTTATACAATGAAATATTATTTGACAATAAAAAGGGAAGAAGTACCAGTATATGCTACAGTGTGGATAAACCTCAAAAACATTATGCTATGTGAAAGAAGCCAGACATAAAAGGCCACATATTGTATGATTCCATTTATAGGAAGTGCCCGGAAATGCCAAATCTATGGAGACAGAAAGTAGATTGATTAGTGGCTGCCAGGGAGTGAGGATGGGATGAGGACGAACTGAATGGGCACCAGGGATTTTACTGGGGTATTAGAAATGTTCTAAACTGAATTGTGGTGATGTTTGCACAACTCAGTAATATCTACTAAAAATTATGACATCGTGGCCGGGCGCAGTGGCTCACGCCTGTAATCCCAGCACTTTGGGAGACAGAGGCGGACGGATCACCTGAAGTCAGGAGTTCAAGACCAGCCTGTCCAACATGGCGAAACCCTGTCTCTACTAAAAATGCAAAAATTAGCTGGATGTGGTGGCAGGTGCCTGTAATTCCAGCTACTTGGGAGGCTGAGGCAGGAGAATCTCTTGAACCCGGGAGGCAGAGGTTGCAGTGAGCTGAGATCATGCCATTACACTCCAGCCTGGGTGACAGAGTGAGACTCTGTGTCAAAAAAACAAAACAAAAAAAATGAGGCTAAGTAAGATGGAGCAACTTGTCTGAAGTGATTAGCTGTTAAGTGATGAAGCCAGAATTCAAACCCAGGCAGGAGTGCAGTGGCACAATCATGGCTCACCCTAACCTCGAACTCCCGGGCTCAAGCAATCCTCCCGCCTCAGCCTCCTGAGTGGTTGAGACTGTAGGTGTGCATCACCATGCCCAGTTACATTTGTTTTTACTTTTTGTAGAGATAGGGTCTTACTATGTTGTCCAGGCTGGTCTCCAACTCCTTGGCTCCAGTGATCCTCCCACCTCGGCCTCCCAGAGTACCGAGATTACAGTCAGAGCCATGGAGCCTGGCTCAGAGACCGCATTCTTAACCACTGTGCAACATTGCTTCCCTGAGGTAGCTTATCTCAGCCCAGCAGGGGCATGCTCACATAGGCTTGGGATGAGGCTGGCTTTCTTGGGATATCTCTGGGAAAAGTAACGCTTGAGTTGTGTCTGCAAGTCTTGCGTGCAAGTTCTCCTCCACCAAGAAGGCTTCTGGGTTCCCATCTTTAACCCTCCCTACCTTTTAAGAGCTGGATCTTATTGAGTAAACAGAAGAGTGAATGCCTACAGAAAGCAGGTGACACCAGCCGTCTTCCCACCATGATGAAAATCCATAATCTGGTGACTAATGTGGCCTCTGGAGAGGTGCTTAGCTGGAAACAGGCCTCACACTAGGGCTCTGGCCCCACTGAGGTCCAGGGCTGATTCCCACAGGCAGAGATGTCCTCTGCCCCTCTTTAGGCTGGAAAGAGGATAAACTTCCTTCTTTGGGCCTTTTGGGAATTCTTGGCTTTCTGGGGGCTTCTTCCAGGGGCACATTTGAATTAGGGCCAGGAAGGCAGAAGGAAACAAGCACTTTAAAAAGCATTTTCCAAAACCCTTCCAAAAGCATTTTCCAAAAACTTTCCGGTTTGGTCCTCACTGACTTAGTCACAGCAGTGTACAAAGAGCAGGGTGGCAGGAGCGGCCCCCCGGTGCAGGCAATAAGGGGGTGCATTGTCTGCAGAGAATGAAAAGAGAATAAAGAATAAAACCAACCTAAAGGTGCTTGCCATACACCAGCAATTCTAAACAATGTCAGGGAAAATATTCCTCCCACTGGGACAGGCTGCTTCTGTGCCCTGCCCTTGGTCTGCTACTGTTTGGTTAGGATAATTTAGTAGCAGGGTAACAGAGACTCATTACAAACTGGATTAAACCTAGAAGAGTGAATTATAAGGAACCAGGGTCTCTTGTGGAAAAGCCTCTGGGCAGTGCCTCTCTCCTTTCTCTGGCACCCTGTGACACCTCTGGTTTCTCTGTGTGTCAGCCTCATTGTTCCTTCTTTGCATGATGGCTTCCTCAGCTTTACTGAAGTAGCACATTCTCAGTTCAAGCAACCAGCAGAGACTGACCTGCATCTCTTAGTTCCAACTCCAAATTTCTGGGAGGCAGAATTGAACTGGTTCAGTGTAGATCCAGTGACCAACCATAATGCAATAGCCAAAGGAGGGTGTCCTAAAAACCAGGGCTTTTAGGGCACTTGGGGGTTTGTGTGCTGGCCAGACACCCCAAAACAAGTCTACTAAACATGCTGGGTGTTGTTTGAGAGAAGCTGAACAGTTCTTTCTTCAGGACCCCTAGGAACCTGTCTCTTTCCTTATATTCCTGTTTCTTTCTGATATAGCCCTTTTCACTTAAGTTAGCTGGAGTGGATTTTTATTTCTTGCAGCAGGAGAGTCCTTGACCAAAAAAAAAAAAAAAAAAAAAAAAAAAAAGAACATAAGTTGATGGGCAAAAGGGAACACATAAGAAAGGTGAACATCCCTGGTTGTGTGTGCACGTGAGTAGTGGGAAAGGGGTGGCCTCGCCTCTGAAAGAGGCATAAGTCTACGTTTATGCTTCGCAGTGGGGAATTTCCCTTTCCTTGGAGCACTTGGAAACTGACATAGGTTACAACAATGTGGAGACTTACACCTCTGCAGAAGGCAGTGGCACCTGCCTCTCCCCCTTCTTGTCCTGTACTTTCCCACAGATTTTCCATTCTACCATCCAGACAAATCTCAATATGAAATCCCCTGTCTGGATTGCCATGAGACAGATTTTTTTTTTTTTTTTTTTTTTTTTTTTAAGACAGAGTCTTGCTCTGTCGCCCAGGCTGGAGTGCAGTGGCGATCTTGGCTCACTGCAAGCTCCGCCTCCCGGGTTCACACCATTCTCCTGCCTCAGCCTCCCGAGTAGCTGGGACTACAGGGGCCTGCAACCACGCCAGGCTAATTTTTTGTATTTTTAGTAGAGATGGTGTTTCACTGTGTTAGCCAGGACGGTCTCGATCTCCTGACCTCGTGATCCGCCCTCCTCGGCCTCTCAAAGTGCTGGGATTACAAGCGTGAGCCACCGCGCCCAGCCAAGACAGATTTTTCTAATGGCTGATAAGCTTATCTCCAGGCCTTCCTCTACCCTCACCCCCAGCTGGGGAACTGTCTGTTGACTGGCAGGTAAAAGTGCAGGCTCCAAGGGCCACTTAGCATGAAAGGCCTCCTGAGGAGATACAACAGGAGGGACCAGCATCACCTATAAAGCATTCCATCCAAAAATGTTTAATCTGAATCAAATTCATCTTCTACTTCCAGTTTACAGAGATGAGGAACAGAAGAACAAGTTAAATGACATCATGAGAAAATGATCAGACCAATGGAGAATGTAGAGTGTTCAATAGGACAGCAGGGCTGGCCTCTTCAAAAAACCAATATCGGCCGGGCACGGTGGCTCACGCCTGTAATCCCAGCACTTTGGGAGGCCGAGGCAGGCAGATCACGAGGTCAGGAGATTGAGACCATCCTGGCTAACACGGTGAAACCCCGTCTCTACTAAAAATATTTTAAAAATTAGCCAGGCGGGGTGGCAGGCACCTGTAGTCCCAGCTACTTGGGAGGCTGAGGCAGGAGAATGAGGTGAACCTGGGAGGTGGAGGTTGCAGTGAGCCGAGGTCGTGCCACTGCACTCTAGCCTGGGTGACAGAGCCAGACTCCGTCTCAAAAAAACAAAAAAACAAAAAAAAAAACAAAAAACAAACAAAAAAGAAAGCCAATATTGTTTAATAAGAAAGTTGGGGCCAGGGATGGTGGCTTATGCCTGTAATCCCAGCACTTTGGGAGACCGAGGCGGGCAGGTCACTTGAGGCCAAGCGTTCGAGACCAGCCTGGCCAATATGGCAAAACCCGTCTCTACTAAAAATACAAAACTTAGCTGGGTGTGTTGGCACATGCCTGCAATCCCAGCTACTTGGGAGGCTGACCCCAGGAGGCAGAGGTTGCAGTGAGCTGAGATCTCGCCATTGTACTCCAGCCTGGGTGACAGAGGGAAACTGTCTCGAAAAAACAAAAAACAGAAAATGCAAAAATTAGCTGGGCATGGCGGCACACGCCTGTATTCCCAGCTACTCTAGGAGCTGAGGCAGGAGGATTGCTTGAGCCTGGGAGGCAGAGGTTGCAGTGGGCTGAGATCCTGCCACTGCACTTCAGCCTGGGCGATACAGTGAGACCCTGTCTCAAAAAAAAAAAGTTGGGATGCAGTTCTAAATTAAAAGAGGCTTAAAATTCATGACAACCGCCGGGCTCGGTGGCTCATGCCTGTAATCCCAGCACTTTGGGAGGCCGAGGCAAGCTGGTCACCTGAGGTCAGGAGTTCAAGGCCAACCTGACCAACATGGAGAAACCCCATCTCTACTAAAAATACAAAAATTAGCCAGGCATGGTGGTGCATGCCTGTAATCCCAGCTACTTGGGAGGCTGAGGCAGGAGAATTGCTTGAACCCGGGAGGCGGAGGTTGCAGTGAGCTGAGATCACGCCATTGCACTCCAGCCTGGTTAACAGGGGCAAAACTCCGTCTCAAAAAATAAAATAAAATAAAAAATAAAAATTCATGAAAACCATATGCAGTGCTCAAACTTTAATGGGCTCTTGATTTAAATAAAAATTAAATAAAATAAAAGATATTTTGGGAATACTAGAGAAATTTGACTCTAAGCTGGTTTGATTGATATTTAGAAATTGATGTTAATGTTCTTACTGTGCCAGTAGCAGAGTGATTATGAGGAGAATGCCATCATTTTGGAAGATATATGAGGAACTATACAACTTATTTTATATTTTTCCCAAGGAAAAATCTACATATTTAGCTCAAACAACCCAATTCAAAAATGTGGAAAGAGGCTGGTCATGGTGCCTCATGCCGGTAATCCCAGCACTGTGGGAGGCCAAGGTTGGTGGATCACTTGAGGTCAGGAGTTGAACACCTGCCTGGCCAACATGGTGAAACCCTGTCTCTACTAAAAATACAAAAATTAGCCAGGTGTGGTGGCGGTCACCTGTAATCCCAGCTACTCAGGAGGCTGGAGGCAGAATAATTGCTTGAGCCCGGAAGGCAGAGGTTGCAGTGAGCCGAGATCGTGCCATTGCACTCCAGCTAGGCGATAGAGCAAGATGCCGTCTAAAAAAAAAAAAAAAAAGTGCAAAGGACTTGAATAGACATTTTCTCCAAAAAGATAAACAAATGACCAATAATCACAGAGAAAGATGTTCAACACCATTAATCATTAGAGAACTGCAAATAAAAACTACAATGGGATATCACTTCATACCCATTAGGATGGCGGCTATCAAAAAACCAAAATAGTAAGACTTGGCAAGGATGTGGAGAAATTGGAACCATTGTAGAGTGTTGGTGAGAATGCAAAATGATACAGCTGCTATGGAAAACACTGCATGGAGATTCCTCAAAAAATTAAATATAGAATTACCATACAGCAATCCCACTTCTGGGTATTTATCCAAAATAATTGAAATCAGCAACTTGAAGAGATGTTAGCACTCCCATGTTTCTTGCCCCACTGTTTACAATACTTGAGATTTAGAAACAACCTGAATGTTCATCCAGAATGAATGAAACAAAAATGTGGTGCCTACATACAATGGAATGTCATTCAGCTTTAAAAAATACGGAAATTCTGGGACACACTACAACATGGATAAGCCCTGAGGACATGGTGCTAAGTGAAATAAGCTAATCACAAAGAGACAAATACCTCATGATTCCACTTATATGAGGTGCTTAGAGTAGTCAAAATCATAGAGACGGAAATAGAATGGCGGTTACCAGGTTTGAGGGGAAGGAGAAGTGGGGAGTTTTTGTTTGTCTGTTTGTTTGTTTTGGTTTGGTTTGGTTTGGTTTTGAGACAGAGCGCTCTGTCGCCCAGGCTGGAGTGCAGTGGCGCTCCAGTGGGACTCCAAGTGGCACTCCAAGTGGGATCTTGGCTCACTGCAACCTCCCCCTCCCGGAGCAATTCTCCTGCCTCGGCCTCTCTAGTAGCTGGGATTACAGGCATGTGCCACCACGCCCGGCTATTTTTGTATTTTTAGTAGAGACGGGGTTTCACCGTGTTAGCCAGGATGGTCTCAATCTCCTGACCTTGTGATCCGCCCACCTCGGCCCCTCAAAGTGCTGGGATTACAGGCATGAGCCACCACGCCCAGCCCGAAGTAGGGAGTTGTTGTTTAATGGGTTTGTTGAAACTCTCTTGTTTGAATTTTAGTTTTACAGGTGAAAAAAGTTATAGAGATGGATGGTGGTGATGGTTACACTACATTATGAATGTATTTAATACCACCAAACTGTACACTTAAAAATGATCAGGACTGTAGATTGTATGTTATAGGTACTTTAACACAATAGAAAACTGAAAAAGAAATACAGAAAAGGTAAACCAAAAAATCTACAGATTTATGTATACATATAGATGAAACAAATATGACAAAATATTGCCAGTTGTTGAATCTAAGTGGTTAGTACAAAGATGTTCATTGTTTTATCCCTTCAACCTTTCTCTATGTTTAAACATTTTCATAATAAAAAGTTGGGAAATAAAAATAAAGAGGCCAGGCACAGTGGCTCATGCTTGTAATCCCAGCACTTTGGGAGGCCAAGGCAGGTGGATCCCTCGAGGTCAGGAGTTGGAGACCAGCCTGGCCAACATAGTGAAACACTGTCTCTACCAAAATGATATAAAAATTAGCTGGGTGTGGTGTGCGCGCCTGTAAACCCAGTGACTCAGGAGGCTGAGGCATGAGAATCGCATGAACCCAGGGGGCAGAGGTTGCAGTGAGCCAAGATTGTGTCAGTGCACTCCAGTGTGGGTGACAGAGTGAGACTCTGTCTCAAAATGAATGAATGAATGAATGAATGAATGAATGAATAAATAAATAAATAAATAAATAAAATAAAGGAAACTGTATTTTAGTTCCTATTCCTCCATTAATAAGCACAGGCCTTGAGCCAATTCCATAAACCCTTTGAGAATCCATTTTCTCATCTGTAACATGGGGATAATAACGTTGCTCATCTCAGTGATGTTTTGAAGATTAAGATCGTTTATGTGATGCCGGTAACACAGGCGTGGTGCATAGGTGCTCAGTAAGTTGATTTTATCCACAAGCAAAGCTAACAGAGAGAAGCATCGCATGGCCCCTTTCTTAGCTTCGTATTGGTCAGATGCTGGCTTCTGGTCAACCAGCAAATCCTTTCTGAGGGCTGGGCTAGGTGTCTTCTGTTTGCCATTCCAGATCCAGTCTATTCTTTCTCTACCCTGCTCTGTGACCAGAGAGGCAGAGGCGTGTGGACTGCATCCTTGCCCTCCCTTTCCTTCTGCCCTCTAGTTAGGTTCAACCAATGGGAAGCACCAGCAGGAGGCTGGACGGAGGTGCAGAGGAAACCTCTTCCTGCTGTGGTGCCCTGGATGGGCAACCATTCCCTCTTCTTGCCCCTTCTTGCCCCTAGGAATTTAAAGAACCCCCCAGTATTGCTTGCCCTGGGACACTGTACTGTCCCTTGTTACTTTACTTAAACCTCGTACATACAGACTTTATTAAACTGCTTATTGATCCAGTTTGAGTGTGCCACCTATTTCCTACCAGAACTCGGGCTGACACAGGGTCTTCTGTGTGCTATTTTGCCAGGCTCTGAGAGATACCATAATTAGGAACTCAGACATAGTCCTTTCTGGGGCTTATTGTGCCTTCACCTTGAACCTGTCCCCTTGGAGATTTCTGAGCTGATACCAATTTCTTATTCCAGTGGACACAGCATACACAGAATGGCAAACAGCACCTACCCTGCCTCTACTCCTCAATTCGCACGTGGTAAAATCTGACTTGGATTCTGTGATATCTAGGCCTATCCCAAATCTTCAGATCCAAACAGAGAGAAATGTTGGCTGTGCCCCATTCTCTTTACTCTGCGTATCTAGGAGCTTGAGAATTCAATGGAACCTCATTAAATGTCTGAAGCACTTTGACAACAAACAAATATGGTAACATTTAGCAGGATGCTGTGTATAGTGTGGGGCTTCATTAAGTCAAGTTTGTGGTGAGAAGAACTCAGAAAACACATTTGTTTAAGACAATAGGATTAGATCATATTCTCCTCAGATGTTTCTTTGAGTCTTTCAATGTCTGTATAGATGGCCCCCAAATGAGACTAGGATTTAACATCTCTAGAGAAGCTGGGGTTCGCAAACTCAGGGTCTTCCTTTATATCTACTCTGAAATGGTTTTCTCCCTCCCACTATAAACATGAAGAGTTGGACATCGTTTGTGGGCAGGATTTAATGGCAACAATGGTAAACAGTCCCCACCCTGGTGCACCACTGAGCCTGCACCACCATGCTCAGCTTATTTTTTTGTTTTTGTTTTTTTTCAGAGGGAGTTTCACTCTTTGTTGCCCAGGCTGGAGTGCAGTGGCGTGATCTTGGCTCACTGCAACCTCCACCTCCTAGGTTCAAGCAATTCTCCTGTCTCAGCCTCCCGAGTAGCTGGGATTACAGGTGCCCACCACCACACCCAGCTAATTTTTGTATTTTTAGTAGAGATGGGGTTTCATCGTGTTGGCCAGGCTGGTCTCAAACTCCTGAGCTCAGGTGATCTGCCCATCTCGGCCTCCCAAAATGCTGAGATTAAAGGTGTGAGCCACCACGCCCGGCCAATTTTTATATTTTTTTGGTAGAGATGAGGTTTTGCCATGTTGCCCAGGCAGGTCCCGAACTCTTGGGCTCAAGGAATCTGCCCACCTTGGCCTCCCAAAGTGCTGGGATTACAGACGGGAACCACCACGCCCGGTCTCAGTGAATGATTTCAAACACCCTTGTGTTCTCCCCGTTGGGAACCACAACGGAATCTGCCTTTTTGTGCCAACACCTGTTGATATGGTTTGGCTCTGTGTCCCCACCCAAATCTCATACTGAATTGTAATCCCCACGTGTTGAGAGAGGGAAGTGATTGGATCATGGAGGTGGTTCCCCCATGATGTGCTCACGATAGTGAGTTCTCAAGAGAGCTGATGATTTTGTAACTGTTTGGAAGCTCCTTCTTTGTGGTTCTCTCTCCTGCCACCTTGTGAAGAAGGTGCTTGCTTTGCCTTCGCCATGATTGTAAGTTTCCGGAGGCCTCCCCAGCCATGCAGAACTGTGAGTCCATTAAACCTCTTTCCTTTATAAATTACCAGTCTTGGGTAGTATCTGTATAGCAGCATGAGAACGGACTAATAAACCTATGAAACAACTGATGAAACTTGCATCATCTTCTGGTTTGGTAGCTCACAAAGGACCCTCTCAGAGCACGCTGTTTCCTCTTAAATAGCCCGATAACAATTAAAAACCTTCCTGGATCGTCCTTTCTCGAAGACTGCAGAAGTCTGAACCATATAGAGAGTTTCTTTGCATTTGGATCTTGTCCTCTGGCTCCATGCATTGGCTGCCAGGTTGCAATTACAGCTCCTGAGTGTAAGCCTCAGGGGAGGCTCATCCACTGGGGTAAGCATATGCACAAGTGGAAAATAAACAACCCAAGGTATTTCTGGCTTTGGAGCTGGCTCACAATAAGATGTCACAGAGAAGGGAGCAGTCGAGGCAAGTGGAACTTTTGCAGGTACAATGTAAACCAGGGTGAAAATTCCTTCCTAACCCATCCTAGCTAACATGGTGAAACCCCGTCTCTACTAAAAAAAAAAAAATCAGCTGGGTGTGGTGGCATGCGCCTGTAGTCCCAGCTACTCCGGAGGGCGAGACAGGAGAATCGCTTGAACCCGGGAGGCAGAGGTTGCAGTGAGCCGAGATCGCACCACTGCACTCCGGCTTGGGCGACAGGGCGAGACTCAGTCTCAAAAAAAAAAAAAAAAAAAAAAAAGAAAAAGAAAAAAAAGAAAATTCCCTCCTATGGATAGCTTCCCCCAGGAGGAGTGACCTCATGATGATACCTAATGTTTATTGAGCATTTATTTATTACATCCATAGCACTCAAGATGCTCTTGACACACATCTTCTCACTGGGCCCTTACAACAACCCCTGTGGTAATACACTACCATTACCCTTAACAATAATGTTTATTTCAGTAACAAACCCTATCTTACAGATGAGGACACTGAGACTTAGAAAACTAGGAAAAATTCTCCTGGGTGGACATGATAGCTCATGCCTGTAATCCTAGCACTTTGGGAGGCTGAGGTGGGTGGATCTCTTGAGACCAGGAGTTCAAGACCAGCCTGGGCAACACTGCAAGACCCTATCTCTACAAAAATAAATAAAATTAGACAGGTATGGTGGCATGCACCTGTAGTCCCAGCTACTCAGGAGGCTGAAGCAAGAGGATCAATTGAGCCCAAGGATTTAAGGTAACAGTGAGCTATGTTCACGCCACTAAACTACAGCCTGGGTGACAGAATAAGACCCTTTCTCATTTAAAAAAAAAAAAAAGGAAAAAAGGAAAAATTCTCCTAAGGTCATACAGTTTGCAGATGGATAGAAGCAGACCTTGAGGACAGGTTTAGGTAGCATCAAAAACCCTACTCCTGCACACCCCTGCCAAGGAGGCATTTTATTGTCACACGGACCTGGCACACAGTTGAGAGCAGAGAAACAAGGAAGGATCTGCCTGCTAGAACATAAGCTACTTAAAGAGAGAAATCTTTGTTTAGTTCACTGCTGTATCCCCAGCACCTGTAACAGTGCCTGGCACATATTTGTTAAAAGCAGTGAAAGAAGTGGTTATTATTAGTCACTTGTCACCTGACCTCAGCCATCACACTTCCAGCCTGTGAGTGTGTGGGGGTGATGATCACAATGGAAGAAGTCGATCAGTCATCGAACTCCACCCAGTGTGGCTGTGGTCCTCGGAATCATGGGGTGGGCTCTGCCAGGTTGGGAATGTGTTCAGATTTTAACTGCATGGATCATAGCTACAGATGTGCGAGAAGGAATGCCGCAGAGCTCCGCAGGGCAAGCAGGGTCTGGCGACAGGTGACAGGCATCAGGGCGGGGCCCCTGGGCCCTGAGCTTCCTGCACACTGAAGATACTGTTGAGGGGCGGTGGGGGGGTGTGGGTAAGGGGGAGAAGAGGGTGTGGGAGATCCAGAGTAGGGAGGAAGAGAGGGAGAAAACACAAGAGCCCAGGAGGGAGGTGGGAAGGCCCCCTTCTGCTGCTCCAGCTGGTCGGACAGGCCCCCAGGCCCCCCCTCCTCCTGCTCCTTTGCCCATTGTAGGGCAGTCTGAGCGAGAACAATGGGAATGGAATCCTTCTTCCCCTCCTGCCTGGCAGGGCTGGGCCCACTTCCTCCTGGCCCCACCGAAAGGAATGCTTTCTTGTCCAGACTGTGTGGTACCCGCAGGGAAGAAGGGCACTTGGGGCTCCCCAGGGACCGAAGGCTTTGTGGCTTGAGCCGATGACAATGGGGTTGGAGCAGGGAGTGGGGGTGGGGGGGTTGGATCTTTTCAAAATTTCTCTTGGGTTTCTAATGAGTATTTCTGCTCTTTTTTTCTGATTCATGATGGGGTCTCTGTCATGAGGCCTTAAGTCACGCTAAGTTACTTGGGGCCTTTTCTGACTTCTGGAGCAGAACACTCAGGCGGATCTGTGACCCCAAGTGACAGCACCCACAGCCGGAGAGAAGCCCTTTGAGACAGGTTAGCGATGCCTGAGCACCACCCCCACCCTAGGCAGGGCTGCGGATCATCTGAGCTCTTCCCTCCTGGCCTCCCGGTACCCCAGAAGCCACTCCATTCTGTGTGGAAACTGCAGCTCAGGGCCACTCCGATTTTTATTTCAGGTTTGGAAGGCACAAAAGCTAATTCTTCTGCCTCCTCCGTGTCTCAAAGCATAAAAATCCTCCAATCTCCCGCCTGGAAGGTCGACGCCTGGCTGTCCACCTTCTGGGGACAGATGAAGGCAGAGGGCTGGGGCTGTCTCAGCACACAGTCTGTAAACTTAATCCCACTGTAGTCACCTGTGCTGCTTGTTGACCCTCTGTTGTTCCTTCTTCGGAGAATAAAACGCCTGTCTCTGCCAGCTTTTGGGGAGAGGCAGCAACCGGACTGCATGGCGAGTGGGAGGGTGTGGAGTCTGGCTTCTGTACAGCCCGTTTTCGGGCTCGGAAGCTCCACTGTAGCAGGACAAGCCGCAGACAAAACTCCTCAGACACCGAGTTAAAGAAGGAAGTGGTTTATTCGGCAGGGAACATCGGCAAGACTCCTGTCTCAAGAGCCGAGCTCCCCGGGTGAGCAATTCCTGTCCCTTTTAAGGGCTCACAACTCTAAGGGGGTCTGCGTGAGAGGGTCGTGATCGATTGAGCAAGCAGCGGGTATGTGACTGGAGGCTGCATGTACCAGTAATCAGAATGGTAATCAGAACAAAACAGAACAGGACAGGGATTTTTACAATGCCTTTCCATACAATGTCTGGAATCTATAGATAACATAACCGGTTAGGTCAGGGGTCGATCTTTAACTACCAGGCTTAGGTCAGGCAGGCCCAGGCCTGGTTTCGGGTCTGGTTCCTTGGTTTCGGATCTGGTTCCTAGGCACTGGGCTACCTGCCTTTAGTTTTGCTTCTCTTCCCTTTTTTGAGTATAAGATAATATAAAACAATATGAGAGGATCTGTCTCTCTTCTCCCACCACCAACACTCCACTGCTAGAGATCCTTGGTGCTGTAGATCCTGGAGCCCTCTGTAGGGATCTGCAGTGCAAATCACATTGCTGCTCAGCATTCCGACTGCTGGATTAGGAGCCAGCTTTGTTGGGTTTGCTAAATTGGTTACGACTTATGGGTCTGCTTTTTGTTGTTGTTGTTGGGTTTTTGTTGGTTTATGTTGTTTTCCTTATTTTTTGGCTGCTGTCTCTTCCCCTGTTCACTTTGTCCTTCTAGGTTTTTGTCTTTTTTTTTTTTTGAGACAGTTTCGCTCTTGTTGCCCAGGGTGGAGTGCAATGGTGCAATCTCAGCTCACTGCAACCTCCACCTCCCGGGTTCAAGCAATTCTCCTGCCTGAGCCTCCAGAGTATCTGGGATTACAGGCATGTGCCACCACGCCTGGCTAATTTTGTATTTTGGTAGAGATGGGGTTTATCCATGTTGGTTAGGCTGGTCTCGAACTTCTGACCTCAGGTGATCCGCCTGCCTCGGCCTCTCAAAGTACTGGGATTACAGGCGTGAGCCACTGTGCCTGGCCTGGGTTTTTTGTTTTTTTTTTTAATTCCCTTCATCTTACTCTAGCGGGCTTTTGGAATGCATGTGTTCAAACTCCCACCTTTGAACTGTTTTCATGTATCAATCCTGGAAAGGTTTAAGACTTTGAGTAACAGAAAATGTTGTAAGTCATGGCCCTTAAACACATTTTTGGATTTAAAAATTAATTTTGCAAATAAATCATTGTGTGTTCTCTCTTGTCTCCACTCCCATTACCTTTCCCTAAAATGTGTTACTTCGTTATGGAACCCAGAGCCTCACACTGTACCAGAGCTTGGTGCATACGTGTTAGATGACTGATTGACAGGCTGACTCACAATCTAACTAGCCCGTATCTTATGGGATCTTTCATCTAAGAAGAGACACAGCATACTATACCATGCATGTTAATTTCCATAGCCTATACTTGCTTTGTTAATTTTCATTACAAACTATATTGAAGATATCAAAAAGCATATTAAATGCAAGATATAGAATGTAAAGAGGAATAATACAAGAACTACCACGGCACCCAGTAGCCAGCTTAAACACTGCAGCCTTACAAGCCCCGAGTGCCTCTTTCTGAGCACATGTCCCTCCTTCCCAGAAGCACCCACTGTTTTGTGTTGATAAATCACCTGCTTTCTTTATAGTTTTACCATTTGTGCATGCAAATCTAAACAATACATTGTATCCTTTTACTCATTTTTGAAATGTATACATGGAATCATACACTGTAGTTTTCTCTGATTTGCTTCTTTCACTCAACATTGGTTTCGAGGCCCATCCTAACTGATCTACATAGCTGCAGTTCATTCATTCTGCTAAAATATTCCATTATAAATAGCACCACAATTTATTCATGTATTCCACTGTTGATGGACATTAGAGTTGTTTCATTTTTTTACTATCCTGAGCAACAGGCCTGGGACTAGGGTGAGGAAGAGGGAAGTCACACTAGTTTCCTAGTGCTGCCATAACAAATTATTGCTAACTTGGTGTCTTAAAACAACAGAAATTTTTCTTCTCGCAGTTCTGGATGCCAGGAGTCTGTAATCAAGGTGTTGGCAGGGCCATACTCCTTCAAAGGCTCTAGCAGAGACTCTTTCCTTGCCTCTTCTAGCTTCTGGTGGCTCCAAGTGTCCTTGGCCCATGGCTTATGATTGCATGACTACAACCTCGGCCTTGGCCTTCACATGGCCTTCCCCTCTTCTCCCTGTGTCCCTCTTCTGTGTGTCTCTTCTAAGGACACTTGTCATTGAATATAGGACCCAACCAGTCTATCCAGAATGATTTCAGGCCGGGCGCGGTGGCTTACGCCTGTAATCCCAGCACTTTGGGAGGCCGAGGCGGGTGGATCACGAGGTCAGGAGATCGAGACCATCCTGGCTAACACGGTGAAACCCCGTCTCTACTAAAAATACAAAAAATTAGCCAGGCGTGGTGGCAGGCGCCTGTAGTTCCAGCTACTCGGGAGGCTGAGGCAGGAGAATGGCGTGAACCCAGGAGGCGGAGCTGGCAGTGAGCCGAGATCGCACCACTGCCCTCCAGCCTGGGTGACAGAGTGAGACTCCGTCTCAAAACAAACAAACAAACAAACAAAAAACAGAATGATTTCATCTTCAGATCTTTAACTTCATTACATCTCCAAAAACCCTTTATCCAAATAAGGTCACATGCACAGGTTTTGGGACACAGATGTACTTTTGAAGGGCTATCATTCAGCTTGCTATCAACACTGCGCGTGCAATATTAGAGACCACAACCTACAACAGTCCTGAAGGGGAGTAGGGGAGTACCACCTTAAGTTTTTTGCCCTAGGAGCCGTTCTTCCTCCTTCTGGTCCTGACCCTGCTGAAAAACCCTGCCATGAACATCTGTGCATACCTCCTGGTACCCTTGGGCAGGAGTTTTTCTAGAGTGCATAACATAGGACTGGAATTGCTGGGTAGTAGAACATGTGCATATTTGTCTTTATTAGCTAAGGCGAGGCTCTTTTCCAAAGTGGTTTTACCAGTTTATTCTACTATTAGTGGTGGAGAGCAGTTCTGTTGCTCCACATCCTGTTCTTGTTGCTCCAAGACCTGGCCTTGTCTGGCTTTCTGATTGTAGTCAGTTGGGTAAGTGTGGAAGAGTATCTCCTCAAGGAATTTTTTTTTTTTTTTTTTTTTTTTTTTTGAGACAGGGTCTGTGTCACCCAGGCTGGAATGCAGTAGCATGATCATATAGGTCATTGCACCCTTGAACACCTGGGCACAAGCAATCCTCCTGCTTCAGCCTCCCAAGTAGCTGGGACTATAGGAGCGTGTTACTGCAGCTGGATAGTTTGTTTTATTTTTTGTAGAAATGGGGTCTCACTATGTTGCCCAGGTTGGTCTCAAACTCCTGGCCTCAAACCGTCCTCCTAGCTGGGCCTCCCAAAGTGCTGGGATTACAGGCATGAGGCATCACACCTGGCTTCATCAAGGTTTTAATTTGTATTTCTCTGATTACTAATGAGGTTAAGTATATTTTCACATGCTAATGAGCCACTTGTATTTCCTCCCCTTTGAAAGGCTTTTTCAAGGCTTTTGCTCATGTTTATAATTTATTTTTGCTTTTTCTTTTTGGTTTGTAGGAATACTTTATATATTCTCCATACTAATCCTTTGTTATTTAAATATGTCCCAAATATCCTTTCCCAATAAGTTATCTCTTTCCCAATAAGTTATCTCTTTTTTTGTTTTTTTTTTTTTTTGAGATGGAGTCTCACTCTGTCACCCAGGCTGGAGTGCAATGGTGTGGTCTCGGCTCACTGCAACCTCCACCTCCAGGGTTCAAGCGATTCTCCTGCCTCAGCCTCCCGAATAGCTGGGACTACAGGCACGTGCCACCACACCCGGCTAATTTTTGTATTTTTAGTAGAGACGGGGTTTTCCTATGTTGGCCAGGCTGGTCTCGAACTCCTGACCTGGTGATCCGGCCGCCTTGGCCTCCCAAAGGGATTACAGGCGTGAGCCACCGTACCTGGCCTAAGTTATCTTTTTACTCTCTCTTTTAAAAATGTAGTTGAATTTATCAATTGTTTCCTTTATAGTTTGGGCTTCTGTTCTTGTTTAAAAAATTCTCCCCATTCTTAAGCATATAACAGTATTTCTCTCTGTTGCCTTTTAAAGGTTTTATAGTTTTGCATTTCATATTTAAGTCCTAGAATGGATTTTTTGGTATATAGTATGAGGCAGGGATGCAATTTTGCTTTTTTCTATTTTATTTATTTGTTTATTTATTTATTTGCATTTATTTATTTTTGAGATGAAGTCCTGTTCTATTGCCCAGGCTGGAGTGCAATGGTGGGATCCCGGCTCACTGCAACCTTTGCCTCCTGGGTTCAAGCGATTCTCTTGCCTCAGCCTCTGGAGTGGCTGGGATTACAGGCTCACACCACCATGCCCAGTTAATTTTTTTGTATTTTTAGTAGAGACAGGGTTTCGCCATGTTGGCCAGGCTGGTCTTGAACTCTTGAACTCAGGTGATCCGCCCACCTTGGCCTCCCAAAGTGCTGGGATTACAGGTGTGAGTCACTGAGCTGGCCACTCTTTTCTATTTAATTAACCAAGTGTCTCAGCACCATTTATTAAATAGTCCAGGCTTTACCCAATATCTGAAATGCCCACTGAGTCATAAATCAAGTCTCCATATATACATGGATATTGTTCTAGGTTCTCTGTTCTGGTCCATTGATCTATGTGTCCATCCCTTTCCAATACCACATCATTTTTATTACTACAGTCTCAATGGTAAGTTAAATCATGGTATCTGGTAGGGTAGGTTCCCCTCAATTTACTCTTTTTCATAAGTGCCTTGACATTCTTGGACAGTTGCTCTTCTATATACATTTTTGAAATAGCTTTTCAAGTCTCTTAAAAATGCCTGTTGGGGCTGGGCGCTGTGGCTCACGCCTGTAATCCCAGCACTTTGGGAGGCCGAGGCGGGCGGATCACAAGGTCAGGAGATCGAGACCATCCTGGCTAACACGGTGAAACCCCATCTCTACTAATAATAAAAAAAAAATAGCCAGGCGTGGTGGCAGGGGCCTGTAGTCCCAGCTACTCAGGAGGCTGAGGCAGGAGAATGGCGTGAACCCGGGAGGTGGAGCTTGCAGTGAGCCAAGATCGCGCCACTGCACTCCAGCCTGGGCACAGAGCGAGACTCCATCTCAAAAAAAAAAAAAAAAGCCTGTTGGGATTTTTACAGGTGTTGCGTTAAAGGCAATTGACAGTTATGATATTGAATCTTTTTACCTAAGAACATTGCATTTCTCTTCATTTATTTAGGGCTTTCCCCGCCACCCACCCCCCACCACCCCCGAACCAAGATCTCACTCTGTCACCCAAGCTGGAGTATGGTGGAATGATCATACTCACTGCAGCCTTGAACTCCTGGGTTCAAGTGATCCTCCTCCGTCAACCTCCCAAGTAGCTGGGACTATAGGTACATGTCACCACATCTGGCTAATTGAAAAAAAAAAAAATTTATAGAGATAGGATCTTGCTGTGTTGCCCAGGCTGGTCTCAAACTCCTCAGTGATCCTCCCACTTTTAAAAGTAGCATTTAGAGCTTGATCATTTTTCCATAAAGAGTTCTGGGTGTTTGACCCCTCTAAGCCTCATGTTGAAATTTGATTCTCGATGTTGGAGGTAGGGGCTAATGGGAGGTGTTTGTGTCATGGGGGCAGGTTCCTCATGACTAGATTAATGCCCTCCTTGAGGTGTGGCTGGGGAGTGAATGAGTTCTCACTCATTCACTCTCACTCATTAGTTTCCTCAAGAGCTGGTTGTTAAAAAGAGCCTGGCATCCCCCTCCCCTCTCACACTCTTGCTTCCTCTTTCGACATACGAACTCTGCACACACCAGCTCCTCTTCAACTTCCACCGTAAGTGGAAGCAGTCTGAAGCCCTTACCAGATGCAGATGCCCAATCTTGAACTTTCCAGTCATGAGAATCATGAGCCAAATAAGCCTTTTTTTTAATATATAAATTACCCAGCCCTGGGTATTCCTTTATAGGAATACAAAATGGACTAAGACAGTTTTGTGTATCTTTTATAGATTTATTCCCAAGTCCTTTTTTTTTTTTGAGACAGAGTCTCACTCTGTCACCTAGGCTGGAGTGCAGTGGTACAATCTCAGTTCACTACAACCCCTGCCTCCCAGGTTCATGAAATTCTTGTGCCTCATCCTCCTGAGTAGCTGGGACTACATGTGTACGCCACCATGCCCAGCTGATTTTTTGTATTTTAGTAGTGACAGGGTTTCACCATGTTGGGCTGGTCTCGAACTCCTGAGCTCAGGCAATCCATCCAATTTGGCCTTCCTAAGTACGAGGATTACAGGTGTGAGCCACCGTGCCTGGCCTCTAAGTACTTTTTAAAAAATGGAAATTTATTTTCTCACTGTCTTAAAGGCTGAAAGTCCAAGAACAATATGCCAGGAGGGTTGATTTCTTCTGAGGCTTTCTTCTTGGCTTTCAGATGTCCACCTTATCTCTGTGTCATTATGTAGACTTTTCTCTGTGTGTGGGAATCCTTGGTGTTCATTCCTAGGTGCTTAAAAATGTTTTGGTGCCTATTAGAAATGGGCATCTTTATAAGAAATTTACATTTTGCAACTGATTGTTGCTGATGTATAGAAATTCTATAGAAATGCAAATGATTCTTGTATCCAGCAATCTTGCAGACCTCTCTTATTAATTCAAACGCTGTATCTGCATATTATTTTGGGGTTTCTATGTAGCTAATCCTTCCTCCGCAAATAATGACAGTTTTATTCCACTCATCCTTTCTTGAATGTCTGGAATGTTTAATGAGGCATTGTTCATCCTGCAGGTCCAGTAAGAAAACATTAAGAAACACTGAGTTCAAAATGACAATCTACTCACTTTATATAAATTCATTTTAGTGTTTAAAAAGTCCTAATCCAAATATGTAGCATAAAATGCAAAAATACGTTGGAACAACAGATCTGAACCCATGTTTATGAGATACATAGAATTCCAAGGAGAATTAGGAAACCAACCCCTTGACTTATGTCCTGAGATCCTGAGATGGTATGAGGAGATTCCTCACTATATATGGCAGGTTTTTGGCTACATGGGGTTGCGGGTGATACTTGCTGACAGAATGACTACCTAGTGACTTCCTCTCCCTTCTTCAAGGATGGTGGAAGATAGACATGGGCTTTAGAATCAAACAGCTCACTCTGCATGACCCTGAGCAAGTGAGTGAACCCATCTGAGCCATAGTTTCTTCATCCGCAAAATGGTGATGACAAGCAGACCTATCTTGGAGGGCTTAGGAGAAGATTGAATGTGTTAATGTGTGTAAAGCGTGTAAGGCAGCCTGGTTCCGGCTAAATGTTCCATTAATATTGGAAACCAAGATTTCTCCCAAGTCACAGACCCTTAAATCTGGGCAGGTCCCTGAGTCCTGTGACTCCACAATTCTTCAGCACAGGGATGAGAAATCCTTCAGTCCGGTGGTTTCAAAAAATTATTCAGCAAGAGAAGTTTCTTAAAAAAAAAAATAGGTAATTAAACCCCAATATATATATATATATAAACCCTAGCCATGATATATGCCGTCTCCAATGATATGGGTATGGAGGATCAGGAGCCCATCTCCCCAGCCCCCCTGTGCCTGCCTTCCATGGTGGCTGGTCGCTGGGGCCCCTCTAATGCACACTCTTCCTTCACAGGGTGCCGATTCAGTCCACCTCTTTATATGAGGCTACTTGGGCTGCCATAAGAAAATACCATAGACTATGTGGTTTAAACAACAGAAATTTATTCTCTCACAGTTCTGGAGGTTAGAAGTCCAAGATCAAGGTGCTGGCCAGGTTGGTTTCTGGTGGGGCCTCTCTTCTTGGCTTGCGGATGGTCACCTTCTTGCTGTTTCCTCACATGGCTTCTTCTCTGTGCACACACCAAGACAGAGAGTCTCTGGTGTCTCTTCTTCTTCTTATAAGGACACCAGTCCTATCTGATTAAAACCATAGCCTATGACCTCATTTAACCCCTCCTGCCTCCTTTTGGGTCCTATCTCCATAAATACAGTCACATTGGGGGTTAGGGCTTCAGCATATGAATTGTGTTTGGGGAAACACAATTTAGTTCATAACACCATCCCATTTTCCAGGTGGAGGATCTGAGGCTCCAATAAGGTGGTGATTCTTCCCAGCACACTTTGAAAATGAGGGACTGAGGCTAGACCAGTTCTGACACAAGCACAGTTGCCCTGATCTCCGGTGGCTGAGTGAGGTCCAGAGCTTGGCAGGGCCTCATTCTCCTGGCCTCTGCTCAGAACCCAGCACTCCACTGGTACCCTGAGAATGGGCAGGAAGCTCCAGGAGCATGTGTGGGAAGCACTGCTGGCATGGACATTGGCATGCACACCGGGTGTTTTTCTAAGGGTCTTTATGGGCTGGAGCACATGGTGGCTGTGGTCTGTGTGCACATAGACCTATAACCCTCATGGCAGGTGAGGGGCACTGAGGTTCTGCTGTGAAAGGCTGAAGAGTCTCAAGGGAGTAGACCTTTGGGGTCACTGCAGCAGCAGCTCACAGTGATCAAGTGCTTACTGATTGTCAGCAGAGTGCTAAGTGCTTTATAAACCTCTGTCATTGGCCAGGCACGGTGGCTCACGCCTGTAATCCCAGCACTTTGGGAGGCCGAGGCGGGTGGTTCACGAGGTCAGGAGATCAAGACTATCCTGGCCAACATGGTGAAACCCTGTCTCTATTAAAAATACAAAAATTAGCTGGGCGTGGTGGTACGCGCCTGTAATCCGAGCTACTCGGGAGGCTAAGACAGGAGAATTGCTTGAACCAGGAAGTCGGAGGTTGTAGTGAACTGAGATCACATCACTGCACTCCAGCCTGGGCGACAGAGCAAGACTCCGTCTCAAAAAAAAAAAAAACAAAAAAAAAACAAAACACCTCTGTCATTGGCCCCTCATGACCATCTTTTGAGGACCTTTGATTATCAGAGAGCTCAGGTCACCTCCCAATGCGACACAGCTCAAAAGTGGTGGAGACCATTCATGGGCCCAGGTCTGTTTGACTCTACAAGGTCACACCCTTAGCACTGTACTCTACTTCCTGGGTTGTCCGCAACCCCTTCCTTTAAGCTCCTTTCTTCTCCAAACCTAGAAAACAGCCCTTGGTGATGCTGCAGGGCTGGGCTGGGCTGGGCTTCTTCTCACGCTTGGTCAGACTTGGATGTTTCTTGTCTCCTGGTGGAAAAATAGGGAAGGGAAATGTATGTTGTTGATCTCCAAGCCCCTCCAGGAGCCAAATAGATCAAAAGAGGTTGGAGGTGGGAGGTGGAATGTCCCAGGCTGTCTTCTCCCAGGTTGAGGAGCGGAAGCCATGACAACTAAGGGGATTTGTGGAAATTCCTCATGCATTGTTACCAGGCAAAGGAAGTGGTTTAGTGTTGAGCTCTCAATTTCTACCCTGGGGAGCCACCACCAGTTTCCGCTTCTGAAACTTGTTTGTGGGAAACTGAAGGGGCTGTTTCAGGTCTTGAGTGTGGGGGGCTCCAGATAACGCCACGTCCCTCCTTTCCAGAGGGGAAAGGGGCAGAAGGGCCCAGCAAGCCAGACAAAACACCCCCAGAATCTGCTCTTTTTCCTTCCACTCTGAGGCTGGTGGCTCAGAGCCGAGGCAAATGAACAGAAACATTTTATCCAGGCCTGCTGGTATTTGTTTCTGGCACGATCAGCACAAGCAGATTAGAGAAATAAGTTGCATTTTTTCATCTGTTTGCTGTTTGGACTGGACCTTGGCACGCTGGATCTGTGTGGTTCTCTACAGCCTCCAGTCCATTCTGGAGGGATGGCTGGGCCTGAGTCCCTGGCATGGCTGTCCATACTCTGCCAGATAGTGAGTCACTTCCCAGGCTCTCGGGAAGGTGGTAATTAGCTCACCAGGAAAGATACACAGGCACCCATACATGCGTCTACATATGGAGACACCACTTAACGTACTTACACCTGCGTATCCTTACATGCGCCAAACGGCTGCATGTTTCCTTCTCATTGCTCTCCTGGGGTGCCTCTGGCTCTCCTTTCTGATGCAGGAGCACTCTGTGGGAGCCCCCCAGAAAACACCAGAGGAAGGGGAAGCTGGCTTTTCTGAGGCCAGTAAGGGTCTCCCATGGAAACTCTGGCTGGGAGGCAGACACGGAAGACCCTACCAGGCTGCGCCACCCAGTCCCTGCCAGAAAACTCTTGCCCAGAAAATCACCTTTGAGGCCAGGCGTGGTGGCTCACTCCTGTAATCCCAGCACTTTGGGAGGCTGAGGCAGGCGGATCACAAGTTCAGGAGTTCAAGATCAGCCTGGCCAAGATGGTGAAACCCTGTCTCTACTAAAAATACAAAAATTAGTTGGGCATGTGCCTGTAATCCCAGCTACCTGGGAGGCTGAGGCAGGAGAATCATTTGAACCTGCAGTGAGCTGAGACTGCACCGCTGCACTCCAGCCTGGGCGACAGAGCGAGACTCCGTCTTTAAAAAAAAAGAAAAAGAAAAGAAAATCACCTTTGAGGTGTGACAGAAATCTGGCAGGGGAAGAAGGGACACGTAGGCCCACAAAGTCTTTCTCAGCCCCCACACTCTGCCTGGCTAGAAAGCCAGGGTGTATCAGCTTGGCTTAACAAACCAAGTAGGAGTTACCAGCCTGTGAAAGAACTTTTACAAGATGAATGAACTGGGCAGGAAATGCCCAGTTGCCTGCCTTTCTCCCTCCTTCCTTCCATCTTTTCTTCCTTAATTTTTTTCGGGGGTGGGTGTGGGGTGGTGGACAGAGTCTCACTCTGTTGCCCAGGCTGGAGTGTAGTGGCGCAATCTCAGGTCACTGCAACTTCCACCTCTCTGGTTCAAGAGATTCTCCTGTCTCAACTTCCCGAATAGCTGGGAATACAGGCGTGTGCCACCATGCCCAGCTAATTTTTGTATTTTTAATAGAGATAGGGTTTTGCCACGTTGACCAGGCTGGTCTCAAACTTCTGACCTCAAGTGATCAGCTCGCTTCGGCCTCCCGAAGTACTGGATTACAGGCGTGAGCCACCGCGCCAGGCCTCTTCCTTGCTTTTTAAATTTTCTCTTCTTTCTCTTTCCCCTCTTTTCTCCCCTCCTTTCTGAAATTTCTTCCTCTTCCCTCCCTTCCTACCTTCTCCTTTCCTTTCCTTTCTCTGTCCTTCCCCTGCTTTCCTTCTGTCTCTTAATTCTATCCTGGAAAGAGATCTCCAAGCATCCCTCTCCTTTAATCTTTCAGGGCACATACTCCCCGACTTATGATGGTTGAACTTATGATTTTTTTTAGTTTACGGTGACGCAGAAGTGTCACGCATTCAGTAGAAACTGTACTTCGAGTACCCATACAACCATTCTGTTTTTCACTTTCAGTACAGTAGTCAATAAGTTGCATGAGGTATTCAACACTTTGTTATAAAATAGGCTTTGTGTGAGATGATTTCACCCAACTGTAGGCTAATGTAAGTGTTCTGAGCACTGTAAGTGTTGAAGGTAGGCTAGGCTAAGCTATGATATTTGGTAAGGTTGGTGTGTTAAATGGGTTTTCCACTTACGACATTTTCAACTTACAGTGGGTTTATCGGCAGATAACTGCATTGTAAATCAAGAAGCACCTGTATATCCAGCTCAGTATAAGCACTGAGGTTGGAGGATTTAACAAGCCACAGCTCAAGGATTACAAAGGATCTTTCCCCTTCACAAACTCCACCTCTGGGTGAGATTTCAAGATGGCCAGAGTTGAACCTGTCATATCTCAACCCCAAACGCTTTCCTTCTTCTCCAAGACTGAGGAGCAGGGTCTTTGTGGAGCCTACGCAGCAGGCTAAGGATGCGAACACCTAAGAGAAATGGAATTTGGGGTCATAAGTCAAGTAGCATATTCTATGTGGAAGAATTATTTCAGAGTTAACAGAGAATTTTTTTTTGGTTTGGTTTTAAAGTGGTTTACATCTATAAGACTTCTGGGAAAGGGACAGATTCCCAACGTGTAAAATATGAAATTTTCAAAGTCAACATTCCTAATGCCCAAATACACTTTAGGACTATGAAAACTTCATGTACAATGATATGTTGTTATGAACTAAATCGTACTGAACAGTTAGTTGTAAGAGGGCATTTCATGTTTTATTTTTATTTCCATGCGCGGTTTATTTTTGCTCTGACATTTTGTTATAATTTCTTCCTACAGTAGGTGAAGTGCTTGGGAAGTTAATTTAAACCAGCCTGACTCTCTGTGTGTTTTTTAATATTTGTTTAAGCTTTTATTGAGCTTGTCAGGCAAGTCAGTGTGCAAAAATGCAGCCGAAAACCCCTTTTCCCTTCTGCGGTGCCTGCCCATTAATACTAGGTGGTGACAACAAGATTCGCGCACACTTCAAATGGGGGATTATTCTGGGTTTTCAAGGAAATTTGAGCCACCTGTTTCAGAAACCTCTTAGTGACTTAGCAAGATGATGAAGGGTGTCTCCCCACTCAGCCGTCACTCAGAGTTCCGCCTCCTCTGGCTCCTTCAGACTCGGCCGGGCCCTGCAGGGGCAATTTGCAGCCCTGGTTGGACGCCTGAGCTCCAAGTTGTCCTCCCAGCTTGTGGCTTGGCCTCAGCCTGGGCCAGAGAAACAGCTGCCATCTCTCTGCCTGTGGGGAACTTTCCAGATCCACAGCAGGCTGGCTTTCCCCTGGGTTTGGGCTGCCCAGTCTGGAGCTGTTTATCATGGACAGCAGAACGACATGGGATCACCTTTGAGGAAGTGAGTTGTGAGAGCCAATTGTGCGGCCTACGTGTCGGGGAGCCACGCTGCCCACAAAATTTGGCCAAGGAGGGAAACAGAAAGTCAACATTTTCCAGCAGACTGGGAAGGCGGCTGGGTATTTCTGGAGCCCAGGACTCTCTGGTAAAATGGTCCTTGTGGTGGTGAGAGGCAAAAAAAGGTGGTAGTGGCGGGGGGGGGGGGGGCACAATCAGATCTCTACTCAGCTCAGGAAAGGCCTCTTAACACAAGCAAGAGGTTTCCCTGGCACACAATCCCAGTGCTCCACACTGACCAGGAATCTCACCAAACCTAACCCCAGGAGCAGACTAGAACCAGGGTGCCATGGCTGGAAGGAGCCTTAGCGATGATTTAGACCAGGGGCCCTCCAAGTGTGGGCTTGGGTCCTCTGCATCAGCAAGTCCTGGGAACTTGTTAGAAATGCAGATTCTCAGGCCCCAACCCAGACCTGCTGGGCCAGAAACTCCAGGGGTAGGAACCAGCAGCATGTGTTGTCACAAGCCCTCCAAGTGCTGGTGCTGCAGGGCACAGTTTGATCATCACTGGGAAGGCTCTAAGCTTTCAATCAGTGGGGAAACTGAGGCCTGGGGTGAGGTGGGAGGAAGGAAAGTAACGCATTCATCACCGGTTTGTTTGTGGCGGAACCAGAACAAGTTCTGCCAGGCTAGGTTTCCTCCTGCCCCTTCTTCTCCTGCCAGTTTAGAGAGGAGAAGGCTCTAATGTCTGAAATCCCACCAATTGATGGCAGTTGATCTGGCTCTTCTCTCCCTCTGCTGACCTTATACCCATCTGCAAACTTCAGGAGGACTCTGTACCACCTCTCATAGTGGGCATGTTGATAATTCAGACTTTCACTTTTCAGTCAATGTTGTGAATAAGCAAGCTAGAAGAATGACCTTTGATTTTGATAAATGACCAGGTCTTTCACAAGTTGAGTTAGCTAAGTGTTCCTGCCCTGCTGCACTCCCTTCTAAATGAGGGCTCTATGCCTGCCACCCCTGCTAAGTGGACAACACCTTCTGCTCCATGGGACAATGCTCCATGGTCACTGATATTGATGGCAGGGGGACAGAGCCCTGACTGAGAGGAGGGGGCAGCCACAGGCTAGCTAAGAATCTCCAAGGCCCATAGACTTGAAAAGATGATCTGGGCCAATCAAATTCCTCCCCTGGGAGTTTAGAATTGGGAAACTCAGAGGCTGGGGCCATTAGCAATGGAAACCAAAGCTGAAAGGCCATTTGGGGAATTGCATGATGTAGATGGGGCCTGGGTAGTCCTGAGGAGCTTGGTGCAAGCTGAGGACAGACAAAGTAAGTGGAGGAAGGTTGGCAGTGGAAAAAGAGCAGAGAAGAAAGAGAGAGAAACAGAAATCCCACAAGGAAAACCTGTGGGATTTAGCTTTCTTGAGGCCTGATTTTTCTTTTTCTTTTTTTTTCCAGATGGAGTTTCGCTCTTGTTGCCCAGGCTGGAGTGCAATGGCACGATCTCGGCTCACTGCAACCTCCACCTCCTAGGTTCAAGCAATTCTCCTGCCTCAGCCTCCTGAGTAGCTAGAATTACAGGCATGTGCCACCATGCCCGGCTAATTTTATATTTTTTATTTATTTTATTTTATTTATTTATTTATTTTGAGATGGAGTCTCACTCTGTCACCCAGGCTGGAGTGCAGTGGCTCGATCTCGGCTCACTGCAAGCTCCGCCTCCTGGATTCAAGCAATTCTCCTGCCTCAACCTCCCAAGTAGCTGGGACTACAGGCGCCCGCCACCACATCCGGCTAATTTTTCGCATTTTTAGTAGAGACGAGGTTTCACTGTGTTAGCCAGGATGGTCTCGATCTCCTGACTTTGTGATCCGCCTGCCTTGGGCTCCCAAAGTGCTGGGATTACAGGCATGAGCCACCGCGTTGGCCGAATTTTGTATTTTTAGTAGAGTCGGGGTTTCACCATATTGGTCAGGCTGGTCTCGAACTCCTGACCTCAGGTGATTCACCCACCTCAGCCTCTGAAAGTGCTGGGATTACAGGCGTGAGCCACCACGCCTGGCCAAGGCCTGATTTTTCTGTAGCTCATGCCCTTGGCATCTAGCACATTTCCTGTTACGTTCTGACCACAAACAGAGCTAACCTGGGTGGGCCTCTGTTCCTAGCAACCCAAGGTACTACATCAGGGCTTGGCAACATTTTCTATAAAAGGGCAGATAGTAAACATATTAGACTTGCCAGCTGCGTGGTCTCTGTTGACACTACTCAATGCCACCTTCCTAAGGCAAAAGCAACCATAGACAATATGGCAATAAATGGGTATGGCTGTGTTCCAATAAAACTTTATTCTCAAAAATAGGTGACTTTGCTTGTCCCCTTCAAGCAGAAAAATAAATAAGTTAAAAAAAAAAAACCCACAGGTGACCATCTCACTGGCCAAGGTTTGCTGACTCCTGTGCTGGATTAAAATCTAAGTGTGGCCGGGCGCGGTGGCTCACGCCTGTAATCCTAGCACTTTGGGAGGCCAAGGAAGGCAGATTGCCTGAGCTCAGGAGTTGGAAACCAGCCTGGGCAACACGGTGAAACCCTGTCTCTACTAAAAATACAAAAAAATTAGCTGGGCATGGCAGCATGTGCCTCTAGTCCCAGCTACTTGGGAGGCTGAGGCAGGAGAACTGCTTGAACCTGGGAGGCAGAGGTTGCAGTGAGCCGAGATCGCACCCCTGCACTCCACACTCCAGCCCGGGTGATGGAGTGAGACTCCATCTCCAAAAAAAAAAAAAAAAAAATTTAAGTGTGGCAGCCCGGGGTGTGGTGGTTCACGTCTGTAATCCCAACACTTTGGGAAGCCGAGGCGGGAGGATCACCTGAGGTCAGGAGTTTGAGACCAGGCAGGCCAACATAGTGAAACCCTGTCTCTACTAAAAATACAAAAAAAATTAGCCAGGCGTGGTGGCGCATGCCTGTAATTCTAGCTACTCAGGAGGCTGAGGCAGGAGAATTGCTTGAACCCAGGAGGCAGAGGTTGCAGTGAGCCGAAATCATGCCACTGTACTCCAGCCTGGGTGACAGAGCGAGACTCCATCTCAAAAAAACAAACAAACAAAAAACAAACAAAAAAAACCTTAAGTGTGGCAAAGACTACCTCCTTTCCATCCCCATCCACTTAAGTCTAGTCCAGGTCTCATGTGACTGTGGAATTTTTTTTTTTTTTTTTTTAGACAGAGTTTCACTCTTGTTGCCTAGGCTGGAGTGCAATGGCATGATCTTGGCTTACTGCAACCTCTGCCTCCCGGGTTCAAGTGATTCTCTAGTCTCAGCCTCCCAAGTAGCTGGGATTACAGGCGTGCACCACCACACCTGGCGGATTTTTTGTAGTTTTAGTACAGATGGGGTTTCATCATGTTGGCCAGGCTGGTCTCGAACTCCTGACCTCAGGTGATCCAACCACCTTGGCCTCCCTCCCAAAGTGCTGGGATGACAGGTGTGAGCCACCACACCCAGCCTAGATCTTAATCTTAAGGCTGAGTGGAGTATGGGCCATACATTCCCTCTGTATCCTCTCTTCTCTTAGTACTCTGCCACTTCTCAGGCTGGCCAGCTACCTCTGGAGTTATGGTAAAAACTCCAAACCCAAAAGTTTATAAGAACCAGGATTATCCAGTCAACAAACTAACATACACACAAAGTATCTGCAAAGCGAGAACATCCTCTAAGCTCAGCTTTAATGAACTATGTGAAATTTTACAAACAGGAAATCTGGAAGGAAACCTTATAATTTTGACATATGAAAAATCAAATAAAATACTTAAGTTACATTTAGATAATGATGAATGTAAAATAGGGTTGACAACAGAGAGTGGTGGAGACTGTGGTAAACTGGTAAGATTCTGCCCTGTCTAAAGTCAGTGCTAGCCAGTACTTAGCTTTGGTTCATTGTACCCTTTGGGGATGCAACCTGTCTGATGTCAGATTTTCCAATTCTTGGGTATCTGAATTTTTTAAAAAGTAAAACCTCTTTGTTTTTTAATATTAGCAACTAATTTAAATTTGGGGAACATTTGGTTTTGTTTTTTTTGAGATGGTGTCTCGCTCTGTCACCCAGGCTGGAGTACAATGGCATGATCTTGGTTCACTACAACCTCCACTTCCCGGGTTCAAGCAATTCTTCCTGCCTCAGGCTCCCGAGTAGCTAGGATTACAGGCAGCCGCCACCACACCCAACTAATTTTTGTATTTTTACTAGAGACGGGGTTTTGCCATGTTGGCCAGGCTGGTCTTGAACTCCTGACCTCAGGTGATCCGGCCCCCTTGGCCTCCCAAAGTGCTGGGATTACTGGCATGAGCCACCGGGCCCAGGCTGGTTTTTTTGAAAAACGTCCACAAGTCAGATTCAACCCATGAGACTCTCAGAGCCAATTCACCCTTTTGTCTTTATCCACATTGGAGTGAGCTTCCTTTGGCATATTTACCTCACTCCTCGGAGAAGGAAGGCCCTGCAGTTATCTCCGAATTCTTGAGAAGGAAACTGAGTCCAGAAAGAGTGGGTACCTTGCCTATCACTCACTGGGTCAGGACCAGAGCCGAGCGGCAGCCACGCCGACTCCAGGTTTCCACTTGAGGGAGGCCTGCCCTGTGTTTGAAGCTTCGGCTGGTCTTCCCAGCATTTCTCTCCACTCACTCGCGCTCCCACATCTGGGCTGTGCTCACAGTGGTATCCGCCTGTGGTTGCTGCAGTTGGCAGGAAGGGCTCTGAGAAACCAAAAGACTTGGGTATATTTAATAAGTCAGAATATGAGCTGGAGTTTAATCCTGTGACACAAACAACTCTCAGCTGGCCCCTCCAGCACGTGTTGGGAAATGGACCTTTCTCTGGTCCTCATACAGAGTCCCTCCAACGTGAATCACAGGTTGTTTATTCAAATTAAGGAATATATTTTCTTCCTGAGGGCATGGTAGGAAGAAATATGCTATTTGCAAAACAAGAGTTACAAGCAAGACTTCAGGAAGAGAGAGATTAAAAAACAGGGACACGGCTTCTGGAAGTGTTTGTGGGTGTTCTTTTTCTAGAGGCTCTCAGGGATGCACTAGCTCAGGGCAGCTGGTTGGGGAGTGGGGGACAGGGCTGCATCCTTTGAGGATCCCTTCCAGAAAATGTCAGCCTTGGGTAAAGATGGAAGCCAAGTCCAGATGGTTTGAATGTAGCTGCTCCTCTGAGAATATGTTTCTGGCTATATTCCTGAGCCAAATGAAAGTGGTTTTTGGATTATCCAGTGTTTTATTTTAATTCAAGCCTCATCTTCCATTAGTCCAAGCCAACCCATCGTTACCAGCATTTGTTCTGTAATTGTGAGTCATCAATCTATTTCTCTATGGCCAATGGGAGTAGTGGTGGTGTTTGGTGTCAAATAGTTGGAGTTCTAATCCGAACTACCATTATTAGCCATGTCATTCTGGCAAATTACTTAATCTCCTTGTGCCTCAGTTTTTCCATGTGTAGAATGAGAACAATCATAGTATCTACTTCATTAGGTTCTTGTGAGATTAAAATGAGAAATGTATTCATTTATTCCTAAGTATTCACTTAACACCTGCTTTTAAGTGCTGGCAATAGAGAACTAGACAGGCAGTGCTCCTGCTCTTGAAATGTGAACATTCTCCAGTGTGCTCAGCAAATAATAGGTACTATTATTGTTGTTGTGCTGTTGCTATTGGTGTTCTTACCACCCAACTCATGGGGAGGGAGAGAGATCTAATCCTAACCTGTGGCTCAGTTTTTCTGAATATGCATGGTCTGAAAGATTCGGCCTGGCACAGTGGCTCTTGCTTGTAATCCCAGCACTTTGGGAGGCCGAGGTGGAGGCATCACTTGAGTTTAGGAGTTCAAGACCAGCCTGGGTAACATGGAGAGATCCCATCTCTACAAAAATATAAAACAATTAGCCAGGCATCGTGGTGTGTGCCTGTGTTCCCAGCTACTTGGGAGGCTGAGGTGGGAGGATCACTTGCGCCCAGGGAGTCAAGGCTTCAGTGAGCTATGACCAAACCACCATACTCCAGGCTGGGTGACAGGGCAAGATCCTGTCAAAAAATAAAAAAATAAATAAAATAAAATCCATCCTTTACTGTGTAATAACCATTCTCAGGCCAGGTGTGGTGGCTCACCCCTGTAATCCCAGCACTTTGGGAGGCCGAGGAGGGTGGATCACCTGAGGTGAGGAGTTCAAGACCAGCCTGACCAACATGGTGAAACCCCACCTCTATTAAAAAATACAAAAATTAGCTGGGCATGGTGGTGGGTGCCTGTAATCCCAGCTACTCAGGAGGCTGAGGCAGGAGAATCGCTTGAACCCAGGAGGTGGAGGTTGCAGTGAGCCGAGATTGTGCCATTGCACTCCAGCCTGGGTGACAGAGCAAGACTCCATCTCAAAAATAACAATAATAAAATTAAATAAAAAATAGCCATTCTCAGAGCCTGCTTGGTGTCAGAAACAAGCTCCCAGAGTACCTGGACATATAAAATATGCCCACAAATTATTTGATGCTCTTCCCTTCAAGTAGCAATTCCCCTCCCTTTGAATGTGAGCTGGACTTAGTAACTCACTTCTAACAAACAGGATGTGGCCAAAATGATGAAGTGTGTGACATCCAAGCTCAGATCATAACAGACCTTTCAGCTACCTCCTTGCTCTCTCTCTGGGCTCACTCTTCCTGGGGGAAGCTGACTGCCATGTTGTGAGGACACTCAAGCAGCACTATGGAGAGGCTCACACGGCAAGGAACTTAGGCCTCCTTGCCAGCCAGCAAGGAACTGAGGTCTCTTCATAATGACCATGTGAGTGAGACGACTTGGAAGAGCAACCTTCACACCCAGTCAAACTTTCAGATGATGGTAGCCCCAGCCAGCATTTAGACTGCAACCTCATGCGAGACAGTCAGAACCACACAGTTTTAGCTGTTTTTGGATTCCTGACCCACAGAAACTGTGAGAGAATAAATGTTTGTTGTTTAAGCTACTAAGTTGTGAGGTAATTTGTTGCACAGCAATAGGTAACTAATACAGTGTCTTTCCCTAGAACAGACCTTGGAGGAAGATCCTCTCTAAATACTGGGGTGAAATTCTGTAGAGTATATTTATATATCAAAATCTCAGAGGAGTCTATCTTAATATAAGAAGAAAACAATAAGATGGTAGAAGTTGGAAGGTCTATAGTGTAGCCATAGTTCTCCTAATTTCACTGATATAAAAATCACCACTCTCGGCTGGGCCCAGTGGCTCACGCCTGTAATCCCAGCACTTTGGGAGGCTGAGGCAGGCAGATCACAAGGTCAAGAGATTGAGACCATCCTGGCTAACATGGTGAAACCCTGTCTCTACTAAAAAATACAAAAATTAGCTGGGCATGGTGGCACGTGCCTGTAGTCCCAGCTACTCAGGAGGCTGAGGCAGGAGAATCGCTTGAACCGGAGAGGCAGAGGTTGCAGTGAGTCAAGATCACGCCACTGCACTCCAGCCTGGAGACAGAGCGAGACTCCATCTCAAAAAACAAACAAACAAAGAACTACCACTCTCATTGCAAAAGCAATGCTACAGAATTTAGGCAGCATGATAAATCATTACTAATTATATATCCCTGAGCAGTCCTGCATGAACTGGAGGTATAGAGGAAAGGTTTCAGAAGATGGTGCCCAGTGCAATTTAGCTTCGCACTGATCCATTCACTTGGTGATAATGCCATCACAGCCAACTAATGTCCTCCTAAACGAGAAATGTGCCTCCATAGTTGGCAGGGAAATACTTTTCCAGAGATGGGGGAAGAAAGATGCTGCAAGAGGGTAATCAGCATTAAAGTGACTCAGCTTTCTTCTCCAGTAGGGCAATATTCACCAGCCTCTGCCTTCTCTGAGGTCCTGTCTTTCCACCTCTGCCATCTGGCCCTGAATAGGGCTACTCTCAAGTATATATCTCTTCCTGGAACATGAGATTTTTATTTCCTCCTTTTGTCCCTTACTGCCCACCTGTGATGGTTAACTTCCTCTGTTAACTTGACTGGGCACAGGGTATCCAGATATTTGGCCAAACATTCTCCTGGATGTGTCTGTAAGGGTCACTCTGGATGAGATTTAGATTTGAATTGGTAGACTGAGTAATGCAGATTGCCCTCTCTAAGGCGGGTGGGTCTCATTCAATCAGCTGAAGACCTGGATAGAACAAAAAGAAACTGAATAAGAGGGAACTCCTCCTGCCTGACTTCTTAAGCTGGGACGTTTGCTTGCCAGCTTTTGGACTGGAACTTACACTATCAACTCTCCTGGTTCTCAGGCCTCAGGACTCAGACTAGAACTATGCATTGGCTCTCCTGGGTCTCCAGATTACCAATTGCAGATCTTGGGACTTCTCAGCCTCCACAATCATGTGAGCCAATCCCACATATAATACATATATATATATATATTTGAGACAGAGTCTTGCTCTGTTGCTCAGGCTGGAGTGTAGTGGTATAAACTCAGCTCACTGCAGCCTCAACCTCCTGAGCTCAAGCAATCCTTTGGCCACAACCTCCCAAAGTGCTGAGATTACAGGTATGAGCTATGGTGCCTAGCCATGATAGATATATATATATATATATATATGCATGCACATACACACACATATAATACATGTGTGTATATATAAACACATATATATGTATATACACACACATCCTTACATACACACACATATATAATCTCCTATAGCTTCTGTTTCTCTGGAGAACCCTGACTAATGACCATCCACCCAACCCATCCACTTTTTTCCATCTTTGCAGTCACTTCCCTACTCTAATCCACTATAGCCCTTCACCTGCATGCCTGCATTAATCTTCTCATTGGTCTCTGCAGTGGGTTGAAATGTGCCCCTCAAAAGGATATGTCCAACTTTTAATCCCTGGTCCCCGTGGATGTCACCTTATTAGTTAAACAAGTCTTTACAGATGTAATTAAGGAATTTAAGATAAAATCATCCTGCATTAACCGAATGGGTCCTAAGACCAATGACAAGTGCCCTTACCAAAAGAGGAGAGAGCTAGGCACAGTGGCATGCGCCTAGAGTCCTAGCTACTCAGGAGGCTGAGGTGAGAGGATCACTTGAGCCCAGGAGGTTGAGGCTGCAGTGAGCTATGATTATATCACTGCATTCCAGCCTGGATGACAGAGCAAGACCTTGTCTCTAAAACAAATTAATAAATAAATAAAAAGAGAAGCATAGACGCACAGGGCAGAAGGCACAGAGAGAAGGCCACGTGAAGAAAGAGGCAGAGATTGGAGGGATGCCACAGACCAGGGAGGACCTGGGACCACTAGAAGCTGAAAGGGACAAGATTCTTCCCTGGAGCCTCCGGAGAGAGCGTGGCCCTGCTGCCATGTTAATTTCAGACTTCAGCCCTGTAGAGAGCTGAGAGAATAAATTTCTGTTGTTTTAAGCCACTCAGTTTATGCTAATTTGTTATGGCAGCCCTAGAAGACTAATACAGTCCCTTCCTTCCACTGTTTTTCATTTTTTATTTTATTATTCATACATAATAAATATATTTTGGTGGTTCATGCAATAATTTAATACATGTATATAATTTATAGAGATCAAATCAGTATAATTGGGATATCCATCACCTTCAGTATTTGTCTTTTCTTCATGCTAGAAACATTTGAATTATTCTCTTCTAGCTATTCTGAAATATACAATAGATTACCATTAACTATAGTCACCCTACTGATCTATCAAGTACTGGGTCTTATTTCTTCTATCAAACAGTGTATTTGTACTCATTAATCAACCTCTCTTCACTCCCTCCTCCCAACTTTACCTGCCTCTCATAACCACCAATTTGTCTTCATAAGATCCATTTTTTTAGCTTCCTTATATAAGTGAGAACATGCGATTTTTCTTTCTGCACTTGGCTTATTTCATTTAACATAATAACCTCCTGTTCCATCCACATTCTTGCAATTGACAGGTTTCATTTTTTTATGGCTGTATAGTATTGCATGGTATACGTGTACCACATTTTCTTTATCCATTCATGAACTGATGAGCTCGTAGGCTGATTCCATATTCTGGCTATTGTGACTAGTGCTGCAATAGACATGGGAGTGCAGATATCTCTTTGATGTATTGATTTCCTTTATTTTAGATAAACACCCAGTAGTGGGATTGCTGGATTATCTGGTAGTTTTATTTTTAGTTTTTTGAGTAACCTCCACACAGTTTTCAATAGTGGCCATACTAACTTACATTCCTACCAAAAGTGTATGAGGGTTCCCTTTCTCCACATCCTCACCAGCATCCACAATCACAAACCCTCCTTCAGCTCTTGGCCACTGTGATACATTCTCCACCCAGCAGCCAGGGTCATCTTTGAGAAATACAAATCTGATTTTAACTTCCGCTAAAAATGCTATCATGGTAAACTGCAAACCTTTTACCATAGTCTCCTAAGCCCAGCTAGATCCAGATGGGGACCTCTGGGCTCTGATGGCTCAGATACTGCCCTCTCTCTCCCTCAGCACACTCCTGTCCCCAGCCCTTCAGTCACTGCCTGGAACACACCAAGCTCTCCCCTGTCTCAGGGTCTTTGCTGCTGCTCCCTCCACCTCCAACTCTCTTCCTTCAGATCTTGTGGGACTGGTCCTTTGTCATCTTTCCAGTCTTTATTTTTTATTGAGACAAAGTCTCGTTCTGTTGCCCAGGCTGGAGTGCAGTGGCGTGATCTGGGCTCACTGCAACCTATGCCTCCCAGGTTCAAGCAATTCTCCTGCCTCAGCCTCCTAAGTAGCTAGGATTACAGGCATGCGCCACCACGCCTGGCAGATTTTTGTGTTTTTAGTAGAGACGGGGTTTCACCATGTTAGCCAGGCTGGTCTCCAACTCCTGCCCTCAGGTGATCCGCCCTCCTCTGCCTCCCAAAGTGCTGGGATTATAGGCATGAGCCACTGCGCCTGGCCTCCGGTCTCAATTTAAATATTACCATCACAGAGAAGGCCCTGCCCTATCCACAGTGCTCTCCCACTATACCCCATCCTAACTGCACTATCACCATGTTTATGCCCTTCCTACTCCTTGTCACTGTTTGAAATAAATGCATTTACTTGTTTACTTGTTTAGTCTGCTCCCCACCCCCACCGTGGAAGTAGGCACTGTGCTTGTTTCCCACCATATCCTCAACGTCTAGAACAATGCACAGAGTAGCTTTTGACAAATGATTGCAAATGTGTGCTTGCATGAATTCTTTCCACTCGCTCATTCATTCAATAATTGTGTATGAAGTACTTAATTGGGGCCAAGCATATATCACAGGCCAAGCTCAGTGACAAATGTCAGGTTTCCTTTTCTTTTAAACTTAAATTTTATGTATTTTTAAAATTAAGTAACACTTTCCCTGAAATAAAATTGAAAAGGTAAAATAGGTATTCGGTAGGAGCCTCTGTGCTAGTTATTAAGTTATTGTTTCTCAGCCCCAGCCCAGCCTTTTGTTCTCAGGTTTTGGGTGCTAGGGCTGGGGTTCTTTGCAAAGCACATTTCTGCTTTGTCAGCTGCTTCATGTTAGATTCTCCCAGTAACGGTGCCAGGGAGATGGTAAGGCCAGAGGAGGAAGAAGGGACTCGCTCCTTCCTGTCGGCTTCCCGTCTGCCTCCTCACCGTGAACATCACCCCAGCAGCGCTGCTTCACCCAGAAGCAGCAACTCCGTCCTGAAGCTGCAGTCGAATCCAGTTTGTAGTTTTTCTTTTTCTTTTTCTTTTCTTTTTTTTTTTTTTTTTTTTTGAGATGGAGTCTTGCTCTGTCACCCAGGCTGGAGTGCAGTGGCGCGATCTCAGCTCACTGCAACCTCCACCTCCAGGGTTCAAGTGATTCTCCTGCCTCAGCCTCCTGAGTAGCTGGGATTACAGGCACATGCCACCACGCCTGGCTAATTTTTGTATTTTTAGTAGAGAAGGGATTTCGCCATGTTGGCCAGGCTGGTCTCAAACTCCTGACCTCAAGTGATCCGCCCACCTCAACCTCTCAAAATGTTGGGATTACAGGCGTGAGCCACCGCGCCTGGCCATGTTTGTAGTTTTTCTACCATCAGCTTCATTGCCTCCTGCTCACAGACACCAGCAGTAGCCATTGGTGCCCTCCTCCTCAGGGGTCTCTGCCCCAGCACATGATAGGAGGGCCCCTCTCCAAACTTCTTAGTTTTAATAATTTTTTTTTCTTCTTAAGACAGAGTCTCACTCTGTCGCCAGGCGACAATGGCACGATCTCGGCTCACTGCAACCTCTGCCTCCTGGGTTCAAGCGATTCTTCTTCTGCCTCAGCCTCCTGAGTAGCTGGGACTACAGGCGCCCACCACCATGCCCAGCTAATTTTTGTATTTTTAGTAGAGATGGGGTTTCACCATGTTGGCCAAGATGGTCTTCAACTCCTGACCTCATGATCCATCTGCCTCGGCCTCCCAAAGTGCTGGAATTACAGGCATGAGCCACCGCGGCTGGCCCAGTTTTAATAATTTAATTCCAACTCTTCCTTTTGTTTTTCCAGCCCCAGGGCTGGCAGCTGCTTCCTGCAGTGGTTCTGTCTATACAAAGTTGATGCGTTCTCTTTTTACCTTTTCAGTTACCTGATTAGCAACTTTACATCACATTCACAATTCTTTATATTGAGTTCTCTCTGTTCAAATGACTGGTGTGGTTTCTGTTTCTGCGTAAATCTTGACTGATTCAGCCTCCCTTCCGCATCTGTCCCCACTTCTCTTCAAGGGCTACCAATGAACTCATTTCTTATGCATCCTCCAGAGATCAAATGTTAGTTTTTTTGAGTCAGTCTCATCAAATATAGATAAAATAGAAACTGTCAAACTTTGTCAATAATTCAAGCAATAACAACTAACTTTGTTGTTAGTACCAGGCTAAGTGCTGGGCTGTGGGGAAAGTACGACTTCATGTGGAAGATACTATTATTCACTCCATTTTGCAGATGAGGAAACTGAGGCATAGAGTGATTGATTACCTCACTCAAGGTCAGTGTCAGAGCCACCATATGAATCCATGCACATCAGTCCAGCATCCTCACACTTAACCACTTTGCAATATTGCCTGGACTGTGGTGTTATAGTTAAGAGCTTGGGCTTTAAATTTGAGGCATGAAGTTTGATTTCCAGTTACTGGTGCTTATATCCTTAAGCAATCTACTAGTCTCTTTGGGCCTTAGTCCCAATGTGGGTAAAGTAGGTAAAAAATAATTATCTCCCTCACAGAGCTTTACAAAATTAAGTGAGACACTATATTAAAGCAACAAATCTAGCATGTGGCATATAGTACTTGCTCCATAAATGTTAGCTTTTATAATTAACATTAGCACTATACCTTCCCTATTCACTCCGTCTGTGTCTATTTTTCTCTCTTTTAGCACATGTAGGCTGTGGTGTGCTGGTAAATGTTTAACAACAGCTTTTTCTTTTTTCTTTTTTTTTTTTGAGTTTGAGTCTTGCTCTGTTGCACGGGCTGGAGTGCAGTGATGTGATCTGGGCTCACTGCAACCTCTGCCTCCCGGATTCCAGCGATTCTCCTGCTTCAGCCTCCAGAGTAGCTGGGATTACAGGTACGTGCCACCACACCCAGCTAATTTTTTTGTATTTGTAGCACAGACCGGGTTTCACCATGTTGGTCAGGCTGGTCTCAAACTCCTGACCTCAAACCATCTGCCCTCCTCAGCCTTCCAAAGTGCTGGGATTACAGACGTGAGCCACTGTAACCGGCCTAACAACAGCTTTCTGAAATTTTTAAAAAGACCTCATTTGTAATTTTTTATGGATTTCTGCTGTGTTAATAATTCTCCCACCATGGCCAGTTTTGAGCTACAACTGGCTTGTAAATTTCCTGAAAACTTAACACTGAGCTCTTGAGAGCTGGTAGGGGCAGCTCCAGGGTACCATCACACGTAGGCCTTGCTGGGAAACCTGGCCTTCCAGCACTCTTTTCCTAATGACAGCCTCAAAACACATCCACCTTAACTCTGCTTAGGGTTCAGGAAGGTGACTCTGAGCCCTTAAAGAGCTTCCTGACTTTTGCTCGTGCATTCATGCATTCAGAAGATATTACTTGCACTCCTGCTATGTGCTCTCTGGAAGCACTTATTCAAAAATGAACACCTGCAGGCTGCCCTGTTGAGTCTGCTTTGTCCTTGTGTACATTCCTGTCCCTGTCCAGGGAGCCTCCTCTTTCCTCCTCAGCCCTTCCTTCCTTCCTCCCCTTCTGCCAGCTTCTTTACTGGGAATGCAAGCTTCGGTCCTGGTGGGCTCCTCTTCCTCTGTACTCTGTGACAAAGACGAGAAGCTGTCCCTCCCAACTCCCTAGGGCCCAAGGAAGTGCATGTGGTTTAGGTGACACCCTCATGGTTGAACAAACATTTGTTTACCAGTAGTATTTTATGCATATTTGTCTTTCCTGTACAATTTTTGCTTTCCCTGGAGGTAATACTCATATTTTTTTGTTTGCTAAGTATTTTCTTTTTTTTTTCTTTTTTTTTTTTATTATTATACTTTAAGTTCTAGGGTACCTGTGTGCAACGTGCAGGTTTGTTACATATGTATACATGTGCCATGTTGGTGTGCTGCACTCACTAACTCGTCATTTACATTAGGTATATCTCCTAATGCTATCCCTCCCCCTTCTCCCCACCCCACCACAGGCCCCGGTGTCTGATGTTCCCCTTCCTGTGTCCAAGTGTTCTCATTGTTCAATTCCCACCTATGAGTGAGAACATGAGGTGTTTGGTTTTCTGTCCTTGCGATAGTTTGCTGAGAATGATGGTTTCCAGCTTCATCTATGTCCCTACAAAGGACATGAACTCATCCTTTTTTATGGCTGCATAGTATTCCATGGTGTATATGTGCCATATTTTCTTAATCCAGTCTATCATTGATGGGCATTTGGGTTGGTTCCAAGTCTTTGCTATTGTGAATAGTGCCGCAATAAACATACGTGTGCATGTGTCTTTATTGTTTGCTAAGTATTTTCTATGATGATCATAAATTCAACCTAAAGAATCCCTAATTGTGAGTCTCCTCTCAATACATTAAAATATAAAGACGTTCTTTTCTTATTTATTTATTTATTTATTTTTTAGAGACAAGGTCTTGCTCTGTCACCCAGGCCAGAGTGCAGTGGTGCAATCATGGCTCACTGCAGCCTTGAACTCCCAGGCTCAAGGGATCCTCCCCAGCCTCAGCCTCCCAAAGTGTTGGGATTACAGGCTGGTGCCACTGCACCCGTCCTTAAATACTTAGACATTCTTTCAGCTTCCCATCGGCGAAGTCCCTGCAGATCCACTGAGCTCTCCAGCTGGGCCTGGTTTTCCCCTGGCCTCAGCAGCAGCTTCTTGCTCGGGCTCTCTCTGTTCTGTCTCCCAGGAGCCCCTTCACCTCCTGCTGCTGCTGGTTCCCTGCTGCCAGACTCTCAGCTCTTCTAAGGTGGATTACATTAGTCAGGGGCCTCCTCAGACCTTTGCTGAAAATGCTTTCTTCTGCCCTTACTTTTAACTGATAATCTGGGTGTGGGAGTCTAGGTTGCAAGTCATTTTTCTTCAGAATTTTGAAGACACAGTTTCATTGTCTTCTGACTTTCAGAGTTGCTGTCGAGAGGCTGGGCGTGGTGGCTCACGCCTGTAATCCCAGCACTTTGGGAGGCTGAGGTGGGCGGATCACTTGAGGTCGGGAGTTCAAGACCAGTCTGACCAACATGGAGAAACCCCGTCTCTACTAAAAATACAAAAATTAGCTGGGCGCGGTGGTGCATGCCTGTAATCCCAACTACTCGGGAAGCTGAGGCAGGAGAATCGCTTGAACCTGGGAGGCAGAGGTTGCGGTGAGCTGGGATCACACCATTGCACTCCAGCCTGGGCAACAAGAGCGAAACTCCGTCACAAGGGACAAAAAAAAAAAAAAAAAAAAAAAAAAGAGTTGCTGTCGAATCATCCGATGTCATGATTCTTTGCCTGAAACCTATTTTATTTCTTTCTGGGAATTTGTTTTCTCTTTGTCCCCAGTTTTCTGAAATTTCACAACAATGTGCCTTGATGTGAGCCTGTTTTTCATCCATTATTTAGAGTGCTCTGTGGACTCAATTAAACATGTCTTTCTGTTTTTTGTTTCTGTTTTTGTTTGTTTTTGTTTTTGTTTTTTTGAGACAGCGTCTCGCTCTGTCACCCAGGCTAGAGTGCACTGGTATGATCTCGGCTCACTGTAACCTCTGCCTTCCAAGTTCAAGCGATTCTTGTGCCTCAGCCTCCCGAGTAGCTGGGATTACAGGCACGCACTACTACGCCCAGCTAATTTTTGTGTTTTTAGTAGAGATGGGGTTTCCCCATGTTGTCTAGGCTTGTCTTGAACTCCTGACCTCAGGTGATTCGCCCGCCTCAGTCTCCCAAAGTTCTGGGATTACAGGTGTGAGCCATCACACCCAGCTAAACATATCTTTCTATCCTGATAAATGTTATTGAATTATTTCTTGTGGTGGCTTTGTACTGTTGTCCTAGCTAAGCTAGAACTAGGCCCCCTCGTGTTTCCTTATCTGTATGGTGTCAGGCTACTGTTGGCCACCAAGGCCATTTTGTAGCAGATTTGGAAGCTAGAAATGAAGTGGCAGCCATATTTTATGCTCTGAAGGTTGGTGTCCAGCACCAGGCCCTGATGCACCTGCTGCCTCACCTAACTGGTTTGGGGCAGCACCTGGACTCACAGCTCCATTAGCTCTACCATAACTGTTCCTTTAGACACTGCAAGTTCTTTGGCTGGTGTGTGTGTGATTCTGTGGTGGTGGAGAGGGTACCGGATTCTACTGTAGATCACCCGTGGCATTGAGGTTGGAGGCAGTGAGAAAAAGACCTGGGTTCCAGTTTGTCTTTTTGGATTCCACTCTGTGCCTGCTCTCATCCACATTCAGCTTTCCTTCCCAACTGCCCAGTCTATGGAGATTTTAGGCCCAATGCTAGTTACAAAGGCAGCAGTCTGCAGAGACTGCCCCACCAGGTTCACAATTGTGTATAGTCCAGCTCCCAAAACAAATCCCTTATCCTATATCACATGTCATGGCTCTCTTCATACCCTGACTGATTCATTTCTTTAATGATTTCCTCCCCTTCGTTTTCTGTATTCTTTCTTTCTGGGACCCCTATTAATTGAAGATTAATCTCCTGGATAGGTCCTCCATTTTTCTTATTACCTCTCTCTTATTTTTTATCTCTGTCTTTTTACTCTACTTTCTAAGAGAATTCCTCAGTTTTGTCTTCCAACAGTTCTATTCAGTTTTAAATTTGTGCTAAATTTCCAGGAGTTTTTTTTTGTTGTTGTTATTGTTGTTATTCTCTGAATATTCCTTTTTTATAGCATACTGTTCTTTTTTCAGGAATGCAAAAATCTCTTGACACTAAAAATAGTAATGATAGTTTTTTTAAAAAGATTTCTTCTTTATATACTGTTTCTACTTCTTCCAACATACTTCTTTATTTATTTATTTATTTTTGAGACAGAGTCTCACTCTGTCGCCCAGGCTGGAGTGCAATGGCACAGTCTTGGCTCACTGCAACCTCTGCCTCCCAGGTTCAAGCGATTCTCTTGCCTCAGCCTCCTGAGTAGCTGGGATTACAGGCGCACGCCACCACACTTGGCTAATTTTTGTATTTTTAGTAGAGACGGGGGTTTTACCATGTTGGTCAGGCTGGTCTCAATCTCCTGACCTTGTGATCTGCCCGCCTTGGCCTCCCAAAATGCTGGGATTACAGGTGTGAGCCACTGCCCCCAGCCCAACATGCTTCTTTAAATGTTTGTTTTAGTCTCTACCTTTCGTTTCGCTGTCCCCAAGTATCTAGTGAGATAAATATGTTTGTTCATAGTTAAGAATGAGGTACTTGGCTGGGCGTGGTGGCTCATGCTTGTAATCCCAGCACTTTGGGAGGCCGAGACGGGCAGATCACGAGGTCAGGAGATCTAGACCATCCTGGCTAACACAGTGAAACCCCGTCTCTACTAAAAATACAAAAATTAGCCAGGCATGGTGGTGGGCACCTTTAATTCCAGCTACTAGGGAGGCTGAGGCAGGAGAATGGCATGAACCCAGGAGGCAGAGCTTGCAGTGAGCAGAGATCACACCACTGCACTCCAGCCTGGGCGACAGAGCGAGACTCCATCTCAAAAAAAAAAAAAAAAAAAAGAACGAGGTACTTACTGGTAGCTCTGAGTGTGTGGGGCTTATTGACCCTGATGTTTGCAGTATGCTGATCTGACTGACTCCTTCATTGGGAAACTTCTGATTTTTCTTTCTTTTTTTAGCATTTAAATTACCATATTTTATTTGAAACTTAACAGTGAGCTACCTGGTGATTTAATCTAGGGAAGCAAAGACTGAGAAAAGAAAGTCATATTTCACCTTGGAAGAGAAGACTTGACTACATCTAATTTCAGTTCATGAAGACTTATTACCAAAGCCACACATTAAATTATTACACTTATTCAAAAGAAATATATAAGTGAGTGAGAAACAAATGAAAAAAATCAAGAAGGATGATACTTCAGCGATATCCACCAAGGATTTTTAAGTACTACTTAGTAAGTGCCATGTATTGCTAGTTGGCACTGGGGATAAAATTGCAAAAAATATAGAAATGGTTCCTGCAGTCATAAAGCCCTTAATTTAATCTTATTTTTTGCATTGTGGCAATAACCATTAATTGTTCACTGTTAGAAGTTTATAATTTAATGTATTATTATTTGAAGAAAATATAGAAATATATTCATATGATCTCAGAGATTTTTTGACATAGTTATTCTCAACTGGGTAATCAAGTAATAAGAGATTTTTTTTTTTCACTCAGCAAGCATTTATGGAATATATATTCACTATTCTAGACTAATAGCAAGACTGGAGATCTTGTTTAGGAAGAAGCAGTCCCTGTTCTCCAGAATTTGCAAAACCATAAAAAAGTACCTACTTTAAGCTATCTTTATTTTTTTTCAGCAAGCAGTCATTCTGCCAGAAAAATTTAGTACACAAATACAGGATAATATATGGGACACTTCTGATTTTTCTATTTTGGATCTTTCCTCTTGGGTTAGTCAGATTCCCCAGAGAAGGGATTCTAGTCTCCTACTGATACAGCTCCAATGAGTGGAGGAACACCAGGTTCTTTGCCTTGCGTCGAATTAGAAAAAACGACACCGACACAAGTGGAGTAGTTTTAAGGAGCGGAGAGTTTAATAGACAAGAAGGAAGGGAGAAGACAGAAGGAAGAAGCTCCCCCATACAGAGACAGAAGGACAGGGGCTCCAAAGCCGAAAGCGTAAACGCCAAGTGCAGTGGATATCAGCCAGGTATTTGTAGAGGCTGGAGGAAGTGGTGTCTGATTTGCATAGGGCCTTTTTTTTTTTTTTTTTTGAGACAGAATCTCCCTCTGTTGCCCAGGCTGGAGTGCAGTGGCATGATCTCAGCTCACTGCAACCTCCGCCTCCCAGGTTCAAGTGATTCTCATGCCTCAGCCTCCCCAGTAGCTGGGATTGCAGTTATGCACCACCACGCCCGGCTAATTTTTTGTATTTTTAGTAGAGATGGGGTTTCACCATGTTGCCCAGGCTGGTCTCAAACTCCTGAGCTTGGGCAATCCGCCCACCTCAGCCTCCCAAAGTGATAGGATTACAGGCGTGAGCCACCGCTCCAGGCCTGCATAGGGCTTAAGGAATTGGTTTGAGCAGGCATGTCATTCACGTAAAAGCTGACCTTTTCACCCTAGCCTTTTAATATGCAAATGCAGGGCGCCATGATGTTCTACACACGTGGGGATATGTGGGGGTAACCATGTTGCCAGGAACATATGGGGCAAGGGCAAGAAGGCAAAGAGAATTGCCGTGTTTGGGTGGACCCAGTTTCTAATGGCCTTCATTTGCATATCAAATGTGCCGGCCTGGCTCCAAGAGCTGCTTTAAAAACGAAAACTTCCCAAGGACCCCTTTTCCTCTCTATCTGCCTAAAATAATTTCTTAATAACTCCTACAGCACTACCAGGAGAGTACAAGACTGGCTGCCAGCTTTCTGGGAACCAAGGCAGGAAAGAAGCTGTTGAAGCTGGGGTTGTGTCTTAGCATTCAGTATGTCAACGTTGCTTAATCCATGTTTTTCCGTGGTGCCTTTACCTTCAGCTGTAGATTTCTCTCCAGCCCAGAGTCTTCCCATTCTACCCTCTTCTCAAAAGAAACCTAAATCTTCTACTGAGGCAAGGACATGGGGAGTCACTCCTGAAGTGGGGGAGGGGATCTGGGCTTTAACAGCTTTTTTTTTTTTTTGAGATGGAGTCTCGCCCGGTCGCCCAGGCTGGAGTCTAGTGGCACAATCTGGGCTTACTGCAACCTCTGCCCCCTGAGTTCAAGCAATTCTCCTGCCTTAGCCTCTCGAGTAGCTGGGATTACAGGTGTGCACCACCATTCCTGGCTAATTTCTTTTTTTGTATTTTTAGTAGAGATGGGGTTTCACCATGTTGGCCAGGCTGGTCTCGAACTCCTGACCTCAGGTGATTCGCCTGCCTTGGCCTCCCAGTGTGCTGAGATTACAGGCGTGAGCCACCATGCCTGGCTTTAACAGCTTCTTAAACCAAGTTTTAACCAGCACCCTGCTTTTAGCTCCACTCTACCCCTACTTTAGGAGTTAACCAGTGCTCCCTATTCCTGAGCCTTTGGGGGATGTATAATCTGGCTGCCCCTTGGCTTTCTCCACACCTGACTTAGGAGTCAACTTTCTGAAGTCTGCAAAGTCAGTTGATATTTATCCCTGCTTCCAAATTTTTGTCAGTGTTATCTCAATGTCTATTTTATTTACTTTGTAAGCTTATTAATTTCTTCATTCATTGCTTTATTCTATAAATATTTATGAGCCCATAATATGTGCTAGACATTCTTTGGCTCTTAAAAAAAAATAAATTTAGGCTGGGTGCGATGGCTCATGCCTGTAATCCCAGCACTCTGGGAGGCTGAGACGGGCAGATCACCTGAGGTCAGGAGTTCAAGACTAGCCTGGCCAACATGGTGAAACCCCGTCTCTACTAAAAGTCCAAAAATTAGCTGGGCATGGTGGCAGGCGCCTGTAATCCAAGCTACTCAGGAGGCTGAGGCAGGAGAATCACTTGAACCCGGGAGGTGGAGGTTGCAGTGAGCCAAGATCATGCCACTGCACTCCAGCCTGGGCGACAAGAGTGAGACTCTGTCTCAAAAAATAAAAATTACTCTTTCTTTGCTATACCACACAGATGTAATCAATTTACTCTTTTAGTGGAGTTTTAGATGTGTACAAACACAGTTATGTGTATTCAATCCTCCATCTTTACCTGGAAATCAAAATCTTTTCTAAATCAGTTAAAGAGGGATAATATTTAACCATGGGATTGGGAGAGGATTAATTGAGATAATGGAATGTAAAGTACTCAGCACAGTGCTCAGCACATAGTAAGTGCCCCAAAAATTGTAATCACTATGGTTATTATTTTAGTTTTTACTGTTCTAAGGTAGAACCAGGCTAGGTATGGTGGCTCCTGCTTGTAATCCCAAAGCATTGGGAGGCCAAGGCAGAAGAATCATTTGAGGTCAGGAGTTTCATATCAGCCTGTGCAACATAGTGAGACCCTGTCTCTACAAAACAAAATTTTTTAAAATTAGCCCAGCATGGTGGCATGTACCTATAGTCCCAGTTACTTGTGAGGCTGAGGCAGGAGGATCGCTTGAGCCCAGGAGTTCAAGTCTGCAATAAGCACCACTGCACTTCAGCCTGAGGAACAGAGCAAGACTCCATCTCTAAAAGGGACAGGAAAGGGGAAAGGAAGAAAGAAAGAAGTGGAGGGAAGGAAGGATGGAGCAGTCTGCATGGTTAATAATTATATAAATGTTTTGTTGAGGATAGTTATGTTCAAGTGGATTAGGTACATTGTGGATTATGCTGCGAATTTTAATTTTTGGCTGACCTCTCCCATCAGGCCATTAGAGGTGTGCCTACAGTCTTAGCTTAAGAATACCCCAAATGCAATTCAACAATAACTCTGCTATGGAGAAGAAATCTGATAAAATGGTCCAAAGTCAGATAGACATCACTTTGAAATTTTCACTGCTGGTCCCCTCCATTAACATGACACTTGAAATTTGTTCGATAAGTAACACTTTGCAAGGCACTGCCACAATGCTTCTCTGTTGAAAATTCCTTTCCACTGAGCATCACTCTGTCTTATTTTTATTTTTTAATAGAGACCACTGCAATGGGGTCTTGCAGTGGGGGAGAAAGAGAGGACTCAACTTCCTTACTCTGTCTTTTTAGAAAGAGTACCTGGGCTGGGTGCAGTGGCTCAGGTCTATAATCCCAGCACTTTCGGAGGCCAAGGCAGGAGGATTGCTTGGGCCCTGGAGTTTGAGACCAGCCTGGGCAACACAGTGAGACTCCATCTCTACAAATATAAAAAATTGGCTGGGTGTGGTGGCTCATGCCTGTAGTTCCAGTTACTCAGGAGGCTAAGGTGGGAGCATAGCTTGAGCCTGGGAGGTTGAAGCTGCAGTGAGCTGTGATTGTGCCACTGCACTCCAGCCTGAGTGACAAAGTAAGACCCTGTGAAAAAAAAGAAAAGAAAAGAAAGAAAGAGAAAGAGACAGAGAGTGAGCAGCTGGTCTCCTTTGGGTCTCTAGGCCTTCATGGCACAGGCTCTATAGCAAAATATTATAATAATGACAATTTAAAAAGAGGGAGAGGGAGAGAGTATTTTATTACTCAGGAAACTGAAGCCCTAGAAAGTAAAGGTTCTTGTTTATTGATGGGTGGCTAACAAGCAACTAAGCCAGGATTAGAACACAGAGTTGCTCCCTTTTTTCCTCCCTAGTTCTGCTAAGTGAGAAGAATCAAAGATAGTCCTGAACTTCCATTGGATAGTCATGATGAAGTCTAGGAAATAAATGGTTTCTGTGGTCCAGGAATGTTTTCGTTCTCTTATGTGATTGCAGTCACATATTAGTGAGGGCTGCAGTCATCTGAAAGCTTGACTGAGACTGGAGGGTTTGACATGGCTGACTCCCATACCTTAAAGTTGGTGGTGGCTTAGGGCTCCTATATGAGTTACCTCATGCTGTGTAACAAATTACTCCTGAATTTAAAGACTTAATGATATGGTTTGACTGTGTCCCCACCCAAATCTCACCTTGAATCGTAGTAATCCCCACATGTCAAGGGCAGGGCCAGGTGGAGATAATTGAATCATGGGGGCGTTTTCCCCCATACTGTTCTCATGGTAGGGAATAAGTCTTGTGAGATCTAATGGTTTTATAAATGGGAGTTCGCCTGCACAAGTTCTCTTGCCTGCCGCCATGTAAGACGTGACTTTCCTCCTCCTCTGCCTTCCACCATGGTTGTGAGGCCTCCCCAGCCATGTGGAACTGTGAGTCCATTAAACTTCTTTCCTTTATAAGTTACCCAGACTCAGGTATGTCTTTATTAGCAGTGTGAGAACAGACTAATACACTTAAAAACAATAATTTTTTAAAATAAAAAACAGGATGAGGGTATGGGTAGGTTGATTGCAAGATAAAACCTTTCTAGGGCTGGGCACGGTGGGTTCACACCTGTAATCCCAGCACTTTGGGAGGCCAAGGCAGGCAGATCGCTTGTGCTCAGGAGTTTGAGACCAGCCTGGGCAACATGGTGAAACCTCATCTCTACTAAAAATACAAAAAATAGCCAGACATGGTGGCATATGCTTATAGTCCCAGCTACTCAAGAGGCTGAGGCAGGAGGATTGTTTGAACCCAGGAGGCAGAGGTTGCAGTGAGCCAAGATTGTGCCATTGCATTCCAACCTGGGAGACAGAGTGAGACCCTGTATCAAAAAAAAAAAAAAAAAAATTTCTAGGAGACGCCCTGGGTACCTCTAAAGGCACCAACAGCACCAAATGCTGATAAGGATGCAGAGTAACAGGAACTTTCATTCATTGCTGCTGGGAATGCAAAATGATACAGCCCCCTTGGAAGACAGCGTGGCGGTTTCTTACATAACTAAACCTACTCTTACCATATGATCAATTGCACTCTTTAGTATTTACCCAAAGGAGTTAAAAACTGATTTCTGTACAAAAACCTGAACAGGAATATTTATAGCAGATTTATTTATAATTGCCAAAGCTTGGAAGCAACCAAGATGTCTTTAAACAGGTGAATAGACAAACTGTGGTTCGTCCACAATGTAATACTATTCAGAGCTAAAAAGAAATGAGCTATCAAGCCATGAAAAGACACAGAGGAAACTTAAATATATATTGATAAGTGAAAGAAGTCAATCTGAAAAAGCTGCCTACTATATGTTTCTAACTATATGACATTCTGGAAAAGGAAAAGCTATGGAAACAGTACAAGATCAGTCAGTGGTTGCCAGAGTTTACTGGGGAGGGAAGGAAGGATGAATAAGAGGAATGCACGGGATTTTTAGGGCAGTGGAAAGATTCTGTATGATACTGTAATGGTGGATCCAAGTCCTTACACATTTGTCAAAAGTCATAGAAGGTGCAACACAGAGTGAAGCCTAATGTAAACTATGGACTTTGGTAAGTAATAATTTATGAATATGGGCTCATCAATTGTAACACATACACTGCACTAATGCAAGAGGTTAATAATGGAGGAAACTGTGAGAGAGAGAAAAAAGCTTATATGGAAACTCTGTACTTTCTGCTTAAGTTTTCTGTAAATCCAAAACTGCTGTAAAAAATAAAGTCCCAGCCCTGGCAACATAGTAAGACCTCACCTCTACACAAATTTGAAAAATTAGCTGGGTATAGTGGCATGCGCCCGTAGTCCCAGCTATCTGGGAGGCTGAGGTGGGAGGATCACTTGAGCCTGGGAGGTTGAGGCTGCAGTGAGCTGTGATCACACCACTGCACTTCAGCCTGGGCAACAAGGTGAGACCCTGTCTCAACTCAATAACTCAGTAAATAACTCAATAAATAAGTCTATTAATTTTTAAAAGGATGGGGGCATGTGGTAGGTTGGTAGGTTTCCGACAAAACCTTTCTAGGAAACATAGCCCAGATGTCACTGAGGACTTTGTGCCACACATTCTCTAAACAAATCAATCTAGAGGCAAAGATGCTCTAAGGATAATGATGTACTTGGGATAATATAATATCTGCAACCTCCTGAAATGCAGGCCTGGCTTGGGTGACTTTGAGGTTGACTGAAGATTATTATTTTATTTATTTATTTATTTATTTTTGATACGGAGTCTCTCTCTGTTGCCCAGGCTGGAGTGCAGTGGTGCAATCTCGGCCCACTGCAAGCTCCGCCTCCTGGGTTCATGCCATTCTCCTGCCTCAGCCTCCTGAGCAGCTGGGACTACAGGTGCCTGCCACAACGCCCAGCTAATTTTTTGTATTTTTAGTAGAGATGGGGTTTCACTGTGTTAGCCAGGATGGTCTCAATCTCCTGACCTCGTGATCTGCCCGCCTCGGCTTCCCAAAGTGCTGAGATTACAGGCATGAGCCACCGCGCCTGGCCAGATTATATTTTTAATACATTTGAGCCATTCATCTTTATAAGTTTTGTCTTCCTTTCTCTCTCCCCTCTGTTTATTGTCATTATTATAATATTTTGCTATGGAACCTGTGCCACGAAGGCCCAGAGACCCAAAGGAGACCAGGCACTCTTTCTAAAAAGACAGTGAGGCTGGGCACAGTCACTCATGCCTGTAATCCCAGCACTTTGGGAGGCCGAGGTTAGCAGATCACTGGAAGTCAGGTGTTCGAGACCAGCCTGGCCAATATGGTGAAACGCTGTCTCTACTAATAATACAAAAATTAGCCGGGCATGGTGGTGGAGGCCTTTAATCCCAGCTACTCAGGAGGCTGAGGCAGGAGAATCACCTGAACCCGGGAGTTGGAGGTTGCAGTGAGCTGAGATCTCGCCACTGCACTCCAGCCTGGGTGACAGAGAGAGACTCCATCTCAAAAAAAACAAAAAAAAGAAAGAAAAAAAAGAGTGAGGGAATTGAGTCCACTCTTTCTCCCTCACTGCAAGACCCCATTGCAATGGTCCCTATTAAAATAAATAAATATAAATAAATAGAGTGAGTCACGCTAAATGAAAAAGAATTTTCAACAGAGGAGCATTGTTGAACAAAGCTAGTATCGGTAGCCCCAGTCCCACACCTACCTTAATGACTCACTCCATCACCTTTAGATTGGAAGTACAGCTGAGGGCACTCAGCCCACAGAGATTCCTGGGAAGGCAGACGATACCTCAGATAACCTAACTGGCTACCAACAGCTGGCACTGCCCCATGTAAACCTCAGGGAGGAACTGCACCTGGCTGTGGCATCAGGATCAGTCCTTGGCTGGGGCAGAAATAAAGTCCTTGGCTGGGGCAGACATGTTGCTCAGTGGTTTATGAGTCTTACACATTTGTAACTGAATATATCCTAACATGGTGAAGAAAGAAATATAGCTGGCCGCGGTGGCTCACGCCTGTAATCCCAACACTCTGGGAGGCCGAGGCAGGCAGATCACCTGAGGTTGGGAGTTTGAGACCAGCCTGACCAATATGGAGAAACCCTGTATCTACTAAAAATACAAAAATTAGCCGGGCATGGTGGCACATGCCTGTAATCCCAGCTACTCGGGAGGCTGAGGTAGGAGAATCGCTTGAACCCAGGAGGTGGAGGTTGCGATGAGCCGAGATGGCGCCATTGCACTCCAGGCTGGGCAACAAGAGCAAAACTCTGTCTCCAAAGAAAAAAAATAAAATAAAATAATATATATATAGATATAGATATATATTATATATATAATATATAATAGATTATATATTATATATATTATATATTATATTAAATAATATATATATTATATATAATATATATTATATATTATATATAATTATATATAATATATATTATATATAATATATATTATTCTGTTCTATATAAATATATATAATATATTATATAAATTATATATAATATATATTATATATAATTTATATATAGAATATATAAATTATATATAAATTATATATTATATAAATTATATATAACATATATAATATATATATATATATATATATATATATAGAACAGAATAAGAAAAGTCCTGAGTGACATTTCTTTTTTTTGACATAGGGTCTCACTCTGTTGCCCAGTCTGGAGTGCAGTGGCTTGATCAAAACTCACTGCAGCCTCAAACGTCTCAGCTCAAGAAATCCTCCCACCTCAGCCTCCCGAATAGCTGGGATCGCAGTTGTGCGCCACCACACCTAGCTAATTTTTAATTTTTTTGTAGCGATGGGGTCTCACTATGTTGCCCAGGCTGGTTTCAAACCCCTGGGCTCAAGTGATCCTCCCACCTGGGCCACCCAAAGTGCTGGGATTACAGGCATGAGCCACATACCTGTACGTGGGTGATATTCTGAATGTCTGCAAGCAGGTCAAAGAAACACAAACAAGCTGACTATGTGTAAGTGGCCAAGGGTTTAGGGAAAACCAGTGTGTGCAAGCAACAGAGCTCTTGGAAGCTCCCTGGCAACTGAACCCCCATAGATGCTTGGGGATCTCTCCACTGTAAGAATCCTGATGGAAGGACCTACTTCTCACTATAGAAGCCCATCCTTCCCTTCTGGAGGTTATGATGAGGCCAAGTGATTGATGCTGCCACTGGGACTCAGGGCCTAGGACTGGTGATGCAGAGAAGCAGGAAAAGAGAATTCATCCTGGGTAGTGGCAGCCATGAGCAGCTGTCAACAGAAGCAAAGCTGGTGCCAGCATCCAGTGGTGTTGTGATGACACTGGTATCCTCACCAGGTGGGGACTGGGGTCCATTTCCCTTGATTCTTGCTTGTTTTCCAAGTTTAATTCTTTACTTTTCTAGCAATTCTGTGGGCTACCTTGTAACCCCTAAACAAATCCTTTTTCTGCTAAACCAGTCAGAGTTGTTTTCTGATCCTAGTGAGGATCCCAACTGACTAGGCAAGGTGGGTGGTCAGTACTGCTAAGAAGAGGACTAGTCAAGACTGATCCGGGTAGAAGGCTGTAAAGGTCTCCTGAAAAGAAACTGCCTACATGTCAAGTGCAAGGGATCTGGGGACAGACCTTCCTGGATTGAACCCCAACTCTGTCATTTGCTGCCTGAGTGACCTTGGGCAAGTGATTTAACCTCTCTGAGCCTCAGTTTCATCTGTAAGAGGGGTTTGACCATAGGACCTACTCCTCATACATCCCTATCACTGATGAGATGATTGAATTAGATGACACAAGTGGAGTTCTAGTTCAGATTCTGGCACAAAGCTGGTCTTTAGGGAATGGTAGTTATTGTAACTAACTTTAGCTCAAGAGGTGAGCTTCCTGACAGGGGACTCCATTGCAACCTTTCTTGAATCTATTCATCCTCCCTCTTTGTTCTTCATTCACAGCAGGAAGGGAAAAATTCCTGATGTGCAGTGGGAGAAATTTAAGTTGGATCCAGGCAGACATGTGCTGGTAAATGTTTAACAACCAGCTCTACAGGAAAATAAAAGCACTGATCCGCGGCATTTGCGGATTTCCACCCCTCCATGGCTGATTTCAAACAACCAACATGATGTTGCTGAACAATGGAGTTGGGACAAGATGTGTGCAGTTGGCTCTTATGAGCCAGCACCAGTACACCACTGGACTCAGGGGAGGATACCTTTAAAATACTAGGGAGTGGGGAAAAACAGGTGGTTCCTAAGTTCTGAGGAAGACTGTCAAAAGAAATTCCTCAAGTACTGTTGAGAGGATGGGGGATGAACTCACATTATGCTTTGACTTAAAACTCCAGAGTTCTCTTTAAATGATAGCCTTTAAATCCTCCCTCCTGCTCCCACATACAGCCAGTCAGGTCTCTGGCTCTATTTCTTCCTTAAAATATCCCCTGCAGGCCGGGCATAGTGGCTCATGCCTGCAATCCCAGCACTTTGGGAGGCTGATACGGGTGGATCACTTGAGGTCAGGCAGATCTTGAAAGACCAGCCTGGCCAACATGGTGAAACCCCGTCTCTACTAAAAATACAAAAATTGGCTGGGCGTGGCAGCATGTACCTGTAATTCCAGCTACTGGGAGGCTGAGGCAGGAGAATTGCTTGAACCCTGGAGGAGGAGGTTGCAGTGAGCCTAGATCATGCCACTGCACTCCAGCCTGGGCAACAGAGTGACACTGTGTCTCAAATAAAAAAAAAAAAAAAGGGAAAAAGAAAGAAATAAAATATCCCCTGCATCCATCCATCTCTTTCACTTCATGGCCCGCATGGCCACCCCAGCCCATGGGCTCAGACTGTCAACTCTGAAATACTGCTCCTTGTCCCTGCCCCTTCCCACCCATTCTGTACTAGAATGGACCAGCCATGCCACCCCTAAGCCAGCATTCATTGCATCATCCTCATTCCAGCTTCACTGCCATATGGTTCCAGGCTTGCTGTCCCATTCATTGTAAGTGCTGCTGCCTGGCTGTCCCAGCTTTCACCTGGCCCCTCAGTCTGGAAGTGGTCTATGTGTGAATCTCAGATTTCCTGCTTACTAGTGATATGCTCTTGGGAAAATTACAGAACACTTTCTGAGCCTTCACTTCCTTACCTCTAAAATAGTGATAATGAAAGAACTTTCTTAGGGATGTTTCAAAGGTCAAACAAAATAGTTCTAAAAAAGGCTTGGTAAAATACCTGGCCCCATTGTAAATGCGGAATTGAATATTGGCTCAATGACGACTCTGATGATAAGTACTGCTAGTACTAACGGTAAATGGTAGCTAGTTGAAGGATGATTTTCCTCCTACCTGAATTCTACCCCACTCTCCTTTGCTAGTCCAATGCCACTTTTCTTTTGGCTTTAGTTCTATTTTTTCTGATATACTTTTTCTCTGCACTCATTAGCTCCTTTTTCTCTGAGCTTCTGAAGCAATTACACCCTGCAGTGGAATATTTAATTCAATATTGCCCCTGACTATTCCCTGTTGATGTCAACCTTGTCTTCCTGGCTCATCTTTTTCAGCTTGCAGGGAGCAGCCTGTCTCTATCATCTTCTCCCCTGGAGGGTCTTGGATCAGCAGCCTCACACCAGCAGCCAAAGCGGCTGTGGCTGTGAATGGTACTGAGCTGTGCCTGGTATTTTGCCTGCACCATCTCATTTTATTTTTTTTCATTGAGCCAAGATTTATTGAGCACCAGCTATATACTGGGCACTGAGGCTACACAGTGAATAAGACAAGAGCCTCTGTCTTCCAGGAGCTCACAGTGTAGCCAGAGGAGCTAACCCTGAACACAAAATTACCTAAACCAATGTCCAAAGATGGACCATGCCCAAGAGCTGTGGAGGGGAAAAGAGGGTATTCCAAGAGGTTAGAGCAGGGGCCTGATTCAAAGAGGGGCAGGGGTCTAGGCAGGAGTTACTGAGGGGAAGAGATTTCCCAGGAAGCTCATATTCTGGGGGCCGAGTGGAATGGCTGAGTGCTGAGGACCTGAGATAGGCCCAAGCAGCTGGAGGGGCAAGCAGGAGGGAGAGCAGCCCGCAGTGACGGGCAGGCAGGCAGGGCCAGGGCCTGCAGGGCTTCCCAGGTGGGTTGGGTATTTGGGTCTCTATCCTAAAGTTGGCAAGCATTTAATTCTCAGAGATCTTAGGCAGTAGCATCCATTATCAGCTCCATTTCATAGCAGAGGAAATTGAGACCCAGAGAGATGAAGTCACTTGCCTAGGGTCACACGGCTAGTCACTAGTCAGCCACAAAGCAAAGGCCAGCGTTGCCAAACACACCGCCTGCTGAGTGATTGATGGCAGCACTGACCACTGTGAGCCTGCCCAGCCGGCCTTCCCACGGGCTATCTGGAACGCACCCTCTAATTGGAGCTTTCCTCCAAGCAGGGCCAGCCTGAGGCCCTCTCAGAAGCACTGAACCAGTTTGGTGGGAGTAGAGATGTCAGCGGTTCTGATGTCATGACTGGCTTTGAAGAGCTCAGCTCCCACTGCTGCTTCCATTCCCAGCCCCTGGGGACTGCAGTGAAACTCTCTGGGTTGTGTTTTGTTTTCCCCAGAAGTCTGGGGCCAGGGTACTGAGAAAGGGAGGAGGGTGGTTTATGGTGAGCCGTGTGATTTTTCAGGATTTAGCTGGGACATTCTTGGCCCAGAAGCCAATACTGGTACAAAGAGACCTGAGGAAGCGCCACATCCTGGTTCTCCGGGAGACAGGATGTGCTCAGGAATCTGTGAAATAGGCTGTATTTGTCTCTCAACTCCTCTGAGTCCCCTTTCGTCTAAGGCCTCCTTCCTTTCTTAGCGAGTCCCCAGGGAGATTTGGTCTGGAGCCCTTTCCTTGTGCCTCCCTGGGGCCTCAGCCTTCCCAGCCAGGCCTCCAGAGGGCCCCTCCCCAGACATTAACGATGCTACTAGGTGATAATGACACCTCCAGGGTCAGACCCCAGGCGGCAGGAATTTCAGGCACCAAATGGAGGTGGCTTTTTGGCCCCCCTCGAGTCAACCTGTCACTCTGAGGAGAGAATTCTTTTTATTTCCAGAGTCTTCGACGGTAGGCAGATTTATTTTCATCCAACATTAAAACCCCTCGGTTTGTGGAGAGGAAGGAGCTTGAAGCTCAGTGTGCCAGAGGGGCCAACGGAGCAGGGAGAGATGGGAAGAAAATGAGAAAAGTAACCCTCTTGCCTGGCGTCCTGCCAGGGAAAGTCCTCTGCTCAACCCTGATCCTGGCCCTTCTGGCACGGCATGACCAGAGGCCCTGGGTCAGGCTGCCCTTTATGGCCTTCCCATGGCCCTTCCTTCCAGCCACTTGACCAAATGCCCCTGCATGCGAGGGGGGTGCGCTGCTCTCCAGCTGGTTTGCCAAGGACCCCTACTCCCACCTCCCTCCATAAAAAACTCAGCACCTCTGGGGCCAGAAGAGGACGTGCAGCAAATTCCCACCAACAATTTTGTCTGAGGGACAGGAAGGTTTGCTGACTTGTCGCCCTAAGGATTCGCTCTTTGCTTTTCCTTTTGCAGTTTGGAATCTATCTGTTCGCAGCTTCCCTTTGGCTGCACCATGTTGTGGGTCTTAGGCTCCATCAGCATTTGGTCAGGACAAGTTGGCCCATGGTTTCTCTGATGCAGAAATGGTGTCAACAGGTCCCAGGAGCCAGCGATCTGAGCCTGCACACACACACACACACCCCCACACCCACCCATCCCCGCAAACAATGCCTTCAGCTCACCCTGACCTCCCTGTCTTCTTTGTATCCTTCCTGACTTTTTCTGTCCTCTTTACCCCACTCTAGCTCAGGGCCTTCCTGGCTAATCTCTGACCTGTACTCTGCCTCTCTAATCCATCCTGTAAATGGCTAGCACATTAATTTTCCTAATAATAATTATAGCTAACATTTGGTGAGTGTGTTCTGTGAGTCCGGTGTACCAGAAACTTGCATTAAGTTGTTGAGTATTATATCCATTTTGTAGTTGAGGAAACAGACAGGTTGAGTAATTTGCCTAAAGTCAGATAGCTAATAAGTGGCAGTACTGGGATTTGAACAAAGTCAGTCTGGATGCAGAGCCTGCGTGCTGATCATCACTAACGCTGAATTTCTTTTTAAACCCTTTTCTAAGTGTTTATGATGAATAAAGCATTAGGCCAGGTACTGAGGCCATTTAAACATGAGTAAGATTAAACTTGCTTCCTCCTGCAGTTCTGGCCCCAGGGAGTTGACTTGTCTGGGAAGACGAGTAAGACGAGTCCAGAAACGGCCTATGCAGGAGAGGGTAGAGAACCTTTCACAGAGAATGTGCACACAGAAGGCCTTTCCTACAGAGGATGGAGAAACCACATCTGGTTTGTGAGAATCAAAAGTTGGCCGGCATGGTGGCTCATGCCTGTAAACCCAGCACTTTGAGAGGCTGGGCAGATCACTTGAAGCCAGGAGTTTGAGACAAGCCAGGAGTTTGAGACAAGCCGGGCCAAGAAAGCGAAACCCCATCTCTACTAAAAATACAAAAAAGTTGACTGGGCGCGGTGGCTCATGCTTGTAATCCCAGCACTTTGGGAGGCCAAGGCGAGCGGATCACGAGGTCAAGAAATCAAGACCATCCTAGCTAACATGGTGAAACCCCATCTCTACTAAAAATACAAAAATTCAGCCAGGCATGGTGGCATGCACCTGTAATCCCAGCTACTCAGGAGGCTGAGGCAGGAGAATCACTTGAACCCGGGAGGCGGAGGTTGCAGTGAGCTGAGATCGTGCCACTGCACTCCAGCCTGGGCAACAGAGCCAGACTCCATCTCAAAAAAACAAAAAAAAAACAAACAAAAAAATTAGCCAGGCGTAGTGGCACCAGAAAGGAAGAGTTCCAGGGAGGCGGGTGGGTGGAGGATAGTTTGGAAAGTCAGATAGGGCTCAGGGTCCTGGGGGTGAGGAAGCACCAGATGGGAGCAAAGAGGGTGAATGTGATGCCCGGAAACCACAGGACAAACCGAGATAGAAATGCCCTGACCACAAGACACAGATCCCTGAAAACTCAACATGGAATTAAGGTTTAGTTTTATTTTAAGACAATGGGCTCTGGACTGTCTGAGTTCTCATTTCTGCTCTAGCACTTACCAGCCCTGTAATCAAGGCAAATAACGCAACCTCCCCCTTGCCCACATATCAGTTTCCTCATCTGAAAAGCGGGCAAATTCAGGGCTAGGACCAGGGAAGGTGAGCAAGACAGGTGCTGTGAGTATAAAATTTAAGGGATACTCCCTAAAACCTCAGTCATCAAGATGAATAATACTTAAATGCAATATTTTTAGAGAGTCAAAATCAATGCAAAAAAATCTGCGATGAACAAAGCATCAAACATTTAAATAAAGGAAACTCATACCAAGCCAGCCCGGAGCCTGAAGCAAAAGAAAAAATCAGTAATAATGATCCTGTCTTAAGATAAAGGCACGTAGGCCGGGCACAGTGGCTCACACCTGTAATCCCAACACACTCATCTCACCTTGGTCCTGGCCCTGATTTGTAACACTAGGTATTGGGTGGCTGCAAGGATTAGACAAGATCGTGCATGTTAAGTGCTGAGCGTGCATCTGGCAGGAAGTGCCTTGTAGAACTTGGGGATCCAAGGCCTGTGTTTTGAGGTGAGATGGAGCTGTGTTTGAACACCTGCTCCACCACTTCCCAGCCATGAGACTTGGGCCACAGCCTGTTTCCTCATCTATAAATGGTGAGAGCACCTTGTTTGCCGGGGCTGTTGGATGACATGGGATGAAAAAGGCAAACTGTCTCACACGATGCCTGGCACAGAGAGTCAAACGATCATGCTTGTAGCAGATGCCTGCGTTCGCCAGCAAGCATATGTTGTACCTGCACATGGAGGCTTTCTGCTTGCTCCTGGTAGATTATTGCACTTGCCGGCTTTTCTTTTCTAATAATTTTTCATTTTATTATTGGGGCGCGAGATTTAGCTGTGTTCCATGGGTCTAGCCGCCAAGTCCTGCAGTCTCGCTGTATTCCTCTGTGCCATTCACCCCTGCGACCCTCTGTGGTGCTGCTCCTGACCAGACTTCCAAACTCACAGGGACCTGGCTGCCCTGACTAGCAGCCCTGTCCACCCCTACCTTTTCTCTACCCAGGCCAGAACTGGGTTCTGGGCTGGATTATTTGGTGGTATTATCACCTAAATGATGGAGTCCTTGGCCTGGCCTTCACAAGGCTCAGAGAGCCCTATTCATTCCAAGCTGTCACTCCCCCTTGCTCTGTGCCGCTGCTCTGCTTCCCCACCACCCCTCTACCTCTTTGGTGGGAACACTGCCCCCTTCCCCAGGTATTGGCCGCCCACCTATGACATCTTCCTTTGTGGTGCAGCTGTAGGTGCTCTTTGCTTGTTCCCAGACCGAACCACTGGCATAAAATGCCATTGTCATTAAAGCAATCCCTTAAAAAATCTACCCTGCCACTGCCTAGCCGCAGGAGGAGGTCCCAGAATGTTACCTGTGAGACCAGAGGAGCCATTTCCCATTGTGTTACCCTCAAGGCCTTCTCAGAAATGTAGCCTGGAGCCTGGACAGGAGGTAACATGGTGCTTCTCCCACATTCTGAGGGTTCCCAGAGGTAGGCCAGCCTGGGCTAGAGTCCGGGCTCCACCTCTTAGTAGTTGTGTGACCTGATCAAGTCACCGAATGCTCTAGCCTGTGTCCTCATCTGCAAAAATGTGCTGATCTCAATGGCTTGCTGTGAGGGCAAAACAGGAAATCAGTGTTTGCACCCATGTTATTTATTTGTATTAACTCATTTGGTTAGAACATAAATTGGAAATAATCCCCTCACTTATGTGACAAAAACATACTTGGCATGTACTATGTGCGAGGTAATGTTCAAGGTTGTATGAGGAGACCAGGCGCAGTGGCTCATGCCTGTAATCCCAGCACATTGGGAGGCCCAGGCAGGAGGATAGCTTGAGCCCAGGAGTTTGAGACCAGCTTGGGCAACAGAGCAAGCTGTTTATTAAAAATAAATGAATACATAATTTATTTAAATTAAAAATAATAGTAACTTAATTAAGTTTAAAAAGTTCTATGAGGAGATCTAAGGATAAGATACAAATCCTGCACCTTGCAGTGATCAAATGGAGGAGGAAAGAAATATGAGCAAAAGACTGTATGGCAAAATAGAACTGTGAGGTGTCTGACACTTAGTAGGCACTCAGAAATATTGGTTGAATAAATCAAAGAAAGAAAACCAGGCAGACATTAAAAATTAGGAGATATTTGGCCGGGCACAATGGCTCACATCTGTAATTGCAGCACTTTGGGAGGCTGAGGCCGGTGAATCATTTGAGGATAGGAGTTCCAGACCAGCTTGGCCAACATAGTGAAACTCCGTCTCTACTAAAAAAAAAAAAAATTAGCCAGGCATGGTATCAGGTGCCTGTGATCCCAGCTATTCAGGAGGCTGAGGCATGAGAATTGCTTGAGCCTGGGAGGTGGAGGTTGCAGTGAGCCAAGATTGCACCACTGCACTGCAGCCTGGGCAACAGGGCAAGACTCTGTCTCAAAAAAAAGAAAAAAAAATTAGGAGATGTTTTGTGAGCAATCAAGCAAGGCTCCCTGGAAGAGGATGAATTTAAGCTGTCAGAGGTCAACATCATTTTAAAAGGGTTTTTGTTTTGTTTTATTGTTGTTGTTGTTTAGCAGGCACCAGAGATACAGCAAAGTATATGAGAGATACTCTTCATAACTTCAAGGAGTTTACACTTTATGGGGAACATGAGTAATAGCAAATACTTCAGACTCACTAATTAATCTCCCCAAGTATAATAAGTGCAAGGCAGCGGTACAGGGTGCTGGGGGACTATAAACTGAAACACAAGAACTGAGCACTGAATTTTTCTTTCTTTCCTGCTGTATTTATAAGCTAGATCTGACGGATTTTTTTTTTAATTTACAAATAAATTTCAAGCTTTATCTCTTTTTTTGAATAGGTATTACTTGCATATGATACAAAATTTAAAAACACAAAAGGGTAGAGCATGAAAAGTCTCCACACATCCCTTCCCCAGAGGCCAGTGATGTTGGAATTCCTTGTGTATCTTTCCAGAAATAGTCTCCCCACAGTCAAACAAACTCATGTATAATTACAGAAGTGGGAGCATGCCATACTCACCAATTAACGCTTATTTTTCTTGGAGATTGTTCCATATTGGAACAAAATCTCTATGGCTGCATAATACTCCACTGTGTTCTATCACAATTTGTTTAATTAATAACCCATTGGTGGACTTGTAGTGTTTTATTGTTGTTGTTGTTGTTTTTTGAGATGGAATCTCGCTGTCGTTACCCAGGCTGGAGTGCAATGGCGCAATCTCAGCTCACCACAACCTTCGCCTCCCCGGTTCAAGCAATTAGCTGGGTGTGGTGTCAGGCGCGTGTAATTCCAGCTACTCAGGAGGCTGAGGCAGGAGAATCACTTGAATCCAGGAGGCGATGGTTGCAGTGAGCCGAGATCGTGCCATTGCACTCCAGCTGGGCCACAAGAGTGACACTCCGTCTCAAAAAAAAAAAAAACAAAAAAAAAAGAAGGGACTAAGGAGGAGTGTTCAAGGTGGAAGAAACAACATGTGCGAAGTCACAGCATTTTCTGCAAACCTCCAGGAACATTTGCATGGCTCACATATCTGCTCTTTCTAGTTGTTTTTGTTTTTTGTTTGATTTTTTGGTTTCTTTTTTTGTTTGTTTGTTTTTGAGACAGGACTCTATCGCCCAGGCTGGAGTACAGTGATACAATCGTACTTTACTACAGCCTCGAACTCTGGGCTCAAGTGATCCTCCTGCCTCAGCCTCTCTAGTAGCTGGGACCACAGGCATGCATCACCATGTCCGGCTAATTTTTTTTTTTTTTTTTTTTTGAGAGATGGGGTTTTGCCTAGGCTAGTCTTGAACTCCTGGCCTCAAGTGATCCTCTGGCCTCGGTTTCCCAAAGTGCTGGGATTACAGACATGAGCCACTGTGCCCAGCCCATCTGCTAGATTTTTTTTTTTTTTTTTGAGACGGAGTCTCGCTCTGTCGCCCAGGCTGGAGTGCAGTGGTGCAATCTCAGCTCACTGCAACCTCTGCCTCCCGGGTTCAAGTGATTATCCTGCCTCAGCCTCCCAAGTAGCTGGGATTACAGACGCGGGCCGCCACGCCTGGCTAACTTTTGTATTTTTAGTAGAGACAGGGTTTCCCCCATGTTGGTCAGGCTGGTCTCAAACTCCTGACCTTGTGATCTGCCCGCCTCAGCCTCCCAAAGTTCTGGGATTACAGGCGTGAGCCACCGCGCCCGGCCCACCTGCTAGTTTTTGAAGGAAGAGAACAATCTTTAGGCATAAGTTAATCTATATGTGCTCAGTGACCAGCCGGGCCTGGTACACAGTGGAGCCTGTGAATGTACAGCAGAACTGTCCGACCCATGGCCAGGCCCTTCTCTGTGGCTCCTATCCTTTCCTGCAAACACTCCTCAGCCTCACTCTCCCCAGCTGTGCCCTGGGGGCTTTGTTTGCTGAAACATTTGAGCCCTTGATACCAAGCCCCAATTACCCAAGAGAAAACTATTGCCTCTTTAAAGAGGCAATTCAAAAGCCCAAGACTTTTTATAAATAGCTCATATCCTTTCACCAGCCCTTAAGGCTACAATTTATGGCCCATTTCCCCAAAGGCAGACAGACCTACAGACAGGTTACTTCCCTTAGAGTCCAGGTTCCTACAATTGTGGGATGCTCCCACTTCCTTTTTGCATTTTATGACCTCCTGGCTGGCTAATCCTGAAATGGGTTACATGGGAAGGAGGCAAATCGTGGAATTGTGCAGGGCTGCAGCTGCCTCGGAAACAAGAGTTCACACCAGACACAGGAAAAGGCTGGCGGGTGGTGGGGAAGGCCCAGCAGGCTGGCCCCTCGGCTGTGGCTGGCCGTTGTGGTATCCAGAACATTTCTGCAGCAAGACAGACCGAGAGTGGAGGCCTCAGTATGATAGGTTCCCTGTGGAGTTTACCACAGAGGGGCAGACAAGAGGCCAAAAACAAAACAAAACAAACAAACAAACAAACAAAAAAACAAAAAACAAGCCACACACACAGTCAGTCCAGTGGCAATGCAGCAATATTCATGAGAAGCCACTCATCATACACACACAGTGCTTTGATTTTTAGAAATGAAAGAGAAATGAAAATGAAAGAGAAATGCCTTTCATTAATTATTACAGAACTCCAGTGAATAGGTTTTCTTTTCTTTTCTTTTCTTCTGAGACAGGGTCTTGCTCTGTCGCCGAGGCTGGAGTGCGTGGCACGATCTTGGCTCACTGCAACCTCCGCCTCCTGGGTTCAAGTGATTCTCCTGCCTCAGCTCCTGAGTAGGTGGGATTACAAGCATGCACCACCACACATGGCTAATTTTTTTGTATTTTACTAGAGATGAGGTTTCACCATGTTGGCCAGGCTGGTCTCAAACTGCTGACCTCAAGTGATCCGCCTGCCTTCGCCTCCCAAAGTGCTGGGATTACAGACGCGAGCCACCATACCTGGCTGTGAGTAGGTCTTCTGACATCCTTCTGACGAATGAGGAAACAGCTCCAGAGACTAGTCTGGGTTGCACAGCCAGAAGGCGGCAGAACCATATCCTGATCCTGGCTTCAAAGGCAGAGTTAGGGGCTGGAGGCCATCAGAGCAATGAGAGGTAAGGAAAGAGAGTAGCTTTTGGGATGGGTGGACCAGCTTTCAATAGACTGCAAAAAGTGAAAGAGTGCTGTAGCAGGGGACACAGCAGAAAGGGCAAGTCCTGTCGGAGGACGACGCCAGCAATAGCCTGGCCCAGGGTGTGGGAAGGCACAAGCCTCTTGCTGATATTTCTCACGGGTCTCCTCCATTGCACACCAGCCTCCCTCCTTCTCCACAACCTTTTCTCTAGTTCATTCTTTCTCACCCAGATAGTAAGGCAGCATCCAGGAGTACAGGCTGTGAGTTCAAATCCCTTTTACCAGCTATGTGGCTTTGGGCAATTGGCATATCCTCTCTGGTCCTCCTTTTCCTCATCTCTAAAATGAGCTTGGTAACAGCAGGATTGGGGCGAGCACTGGCCTCAACAACGATCGCTGATACTATACAATTCCCATGACTGTTGCCTTTTCAGTGCTCCCCTTTCCCAAGTACAGCTCATAACTCGCTTGCCCTGCTCAGAAAACCAGCACTGTTCTTTTAGTATTCAAGGCCCTGTAAGCTCTGATCCGACTTTCCCCAGCTTTACTCTGGCCCTCAGTTACCTTGTTCAGTCGATGGTCTGAAATCCTCAGAGAGGGGACATGATGGCATGAATTCCCTGACACCATGGAAAGAATATCAGCATAGGAGTCGAGAAAAGCCAGTATGCACAGCCTGTTTCTTCCAGCAATCCCATGTGAGGAGGGCACCTCACTTCCTGGAGTGCCAGCGGCCTTGCCTGTAGGGAAGGGTCCCATTCCTCTACTGGCTGCTTTGAGAGACTGGTACCATGGCATGCTTCACCTTCTGGGCATCATGGATGCCTTTGCAGAGTGTTTACATTTCTTCATTTCAACAAATGGTGCCTTCATTTCATGTCATCCGTATAAAAGGGCTCTATGAAAAACCCGGAATCAAGGGGCCCAGCAGTGTAACTTACATTATCGCCTTGCATTTAGCGTTGCCACCAAGCATGAGTATTGTCCCCCCAGTTGGATGGCCAGGCTTCCAGAGGGCAGGCTCTACGTCTGTCGGGTTCATCCCAGCTCCCAGGCCTGACAAATAGTCAGTGCTCAACAAATATTTATTGGATAAATTAATTATGGAAGAGAAGCCTTGAGCACTATACTCAGTGTCCAGGGAGCATGTTTGAAACTGTACTGTGCATCTCAAAGGCCTTTGGCAGTAAACTCATGTTCCTACGAGTATGACGGTGAATGATAATCAACAGGTCACAGCCATGTGACCTGGAGAGCAGTGATTAAAGAGTACGTTTGTATTAGAGATAGGGGACCCGTTGTCTGAGCAGCTCTCCTCAGCCCCGCTCTGGCCCTCTCTCTTCCTCTGAGGGAATGGAACTAACTGTTACAGTGTGCCTTCTAGCTCCTCTGTCCTTGGTATTTTACTGCCAACATCCCTCTTAATCCCAACAGCAATCAAGTCAGATGAGAATTATGATACCCATTTTACAGATGATGAAACTGAAGCGAAGAAGGGATGAGGAACTGGTCTAAGGTTCCCTACCCAGTGGATGCAGAGCTGGGATTTGAACCCAAGGCCACCCATGAAACCCACATTCTTTGGACTACTCCATCCTTCCTGTGTTGTGGCCTTCAAGCAGCACATCTACTATTCTTTTCTCAGCACCCATTTCCTAGGCTAACAGGACCACCTATGAAAGACCAGACCAACTCAGTTTGTTTCCAGCCTTGGACAAGCCCAACCCGCTCTGTGCGCTGGGTGCTAGCAGCACTCGGCCATGTGTCTCCGACAGTCCCTGAAGGGGTTGAAACTCAGGGCAAGTGGAAACTTCCCCCAATGTGGTGTTCAGAGATGGAATTTTTTTCTCTCTCTCCTGATTTTGGAAGAGTGAGGATGGAGGCTGCAGTCTGTGCTCTGCTCCTCGGGGTTTGATGATTTATTCATCAGGTGGCTTTGGTACGTACATTCCTCTGCAGGAATTTGTTGTAGAGGGAAGTGGAGAGGCAAGGAAATCCACGGGGCTTGCACACCATGCCCCCCCAACCCTCAACCAGAGGTGAACAAAGACAAGTCTCCAGGGGAAAATGAGATCTGCACCACCCCCCGCCCCCGCCAAGCTGGGTGCTTGATAGGCAGAGATAGCATCAGGGCAGCAGGAAGCAATTAGCTGCCATTGTATTACTTAGGCTGGAGCCAGAGGGAGGTTAGGGATTCGGGGTGGGAGATCTGCAAGTTTATTAGCTCTCCAGCCCTTTTACACACAAGTGTACACTAATCCCCTTGAGCTCTGGGTTGGCTAAGCCAATAGTAAGGTCAAGTTGATTTGCTTCATTCCTTCCTTCCTTTCTTCCTTCCTTCCTTTTAGTTTGAATACTGGCTTCACCATTTACTATTTGGGTGGTAATTTGCTTAAACTTTGAAGGCCTCAGTTTTCTTATCTGTAAAATGACAAAAAATAATAGTGCCTCATGGTTTTGTGGGGAGGCTTAGGTGATGAGCTAATCCATTTCAAGTGTTTGGCATCTGGCCTGGCATATAAAAGGAACACCCTGAATGTCAGCTTTTACTATTACTATTGTTGACTTAGCAAACAGTGATCATTAACCCACTGTGTGCCATGCATTGTGTTAAGTGTTAGTGTGGTCCTGCCTTCCAGTAACACTCGACTAGTAAGAGAATGTCTTAGTCTATTTGTTCTGCTATAACAAAATCCTTGAGACTGGGTCCTTTATAAACAATAGAAATTTATTTATGTATTTATTTATTTATTTTTGGCCGAGTCTCACTTTGATGCCCAGGCTGGAGTGCAATGGCGCGACCTCGGCTCACTGCAACCTCCACCTCCCAGGTTCAAGCGATTCTCCTGCCTCAGCCTCCTGAGTAGCTGAGATTACAGATGCCCACCACCACGCCCGGCTAATTTTTGTATTTTTAGTAGAGACAGGGTTTCACCGTGTTAGCCAGGATGGTCTCGATCTCCTGACCTCGTGATCCTTCCGCCTTGGCCTCCCAAAGTGCTGAGATTACAGGCGTGAGCCACTGCGCCTGGCTAAACAATAGAAATTTATTTATCACAGTTCTGGAGGCTGGAAAGTCCAAGATCAAGGTGCTGGCACCTTTGGTGTCTGGTGAGGGCCCCGGTCTTTGCCTCCAAGATGGCATCTTGAACACTGCATCCTCCAGAGGAGATTAATGATGTATCCTCACATGGTAGAAGGGATGGACGGGCAAAAGGACCTCACTAGTTCCCTCCAGCCCTTTTATATGGTCACTAATCCTATTCATAAGGGTTCTGTCCTCATTATGTAATCACCTCCTAAAGGCCCCACCTCTTAATACTGTTGCATCAAGGATTAAGTTTGAACATAAATTTTGGAGGGGACACAAACATTCAAACCATAGCAAAGGGGATGGACATTAAACAAACAGTTATAACACAGCATGGTCAATGAAGTGCAGACAAATGCACTTACCACATGTCAGGCACTCTTTGAAGGTCATTACTTACCTTATTTAATCTTCACAACTGTCTCATGAAGCAGGTACTATTTTCTCCCTCCTTTTAGATGCAGAGACTAAAATGCAAGAGGGGTTAAGTAACCTCCCTACACCACCCAGCTGCTGTTGGAGGTGGGATGAGAAACCAGGCAGCCTACACTAAGTGGCAGAGGGACACCTGACCAGCTTGACACAGGAGAGGCTGCATGGAGGAAAAGATGACCGAGTTGACCTTGAAGGTCAAGTACATCAAGTAGGAATGAATAGGAGGCAGGGGATTCCAGGCAGAGGGAGCAGCATGTGGAAGTTTCTCTCTGCTGTGCAAAGCTCAGAGTTTAACCTGGTTTCCTTTGTCTTTAAAATGGGAGTCACATGGGCCAGGCACAGTGGCTCATGCCTGTAATCCCAGCACTTTGGAAGGTCAAGGTGGGCGGATCGTTTGAGCTCAGAAGTTCGAGACCAGCCTGGACAGCATGGCGAAACCCCAGCTCTACAAAATAAATAAATAAATAAATAAACAAAATTAGCCAGCCAGGTGTGGTGGCACACCCTGTAGTCCCAGCTACTCAGGGAGCTGAGGCTGGGGGATCACTTGAGCCTGGGAGGTCAAGGCTGCAGTGAGCAGGAGTGGGTGACAGAGCAAGACCTTGTCTCAAAAAAAAAAGGGAGGAGTCACTTTGTAGTGATAATAATTGTGAGGATGAACAAATGTATATATAATATGTAAAGTGCCTTACACAGTGCCGTGGTGCATGAACGCCCAGTAAATTCATTCATTTGTTCATTTGTTCATTCAACACATTTTTATTAAGCACCTACCATAAGCCAGCTTCCTGGGCACTGGGAATATAATGGTGAGCAAAGACAAACTCCTTGCCCTCATAGAGCTTACATTCTAGTAGACAAGACAGACAATAAACACCTAAAGTAAAAAATGTAAATATAAAATAAGAGCAGGTAGTGATGAAATATAAACTAGGCTAAGGGGAGGTGGGAGGTTGAAAGGTGGACTATTTTGGACAGGGAGGTCAGATAAGCCCTTTCTGGCCGGGCACAGTGGTTCACGCCTGTGATCCCAGCACTTTGGGAGGCTAAGGCAGGCAGATCACCTAAGGACAGGAGTTTGAGACTAGCCTGGCCAACATGGTGAAACTCTGTCTTTACTAAAAATACAAAAATTAGCCAGGCGTGGTGGTGAGTGCCTGTAATCCCAGCTACTCAGGAGGCTGAGGCAGGAGAATCGCTTGAACCTGAGAAGTGGAGGTTGCAGTGAGCCAAGATCATGCCACTGCACTCCGGCCTGGGTGACAGTGCCAGACTCTGTCTCAAAAAGGAAAAAAAAAAATAGATAAGGCCTTTCTGAGGAGGTAGCAACTAAACAAAGACCTGAATGAAGTGAAGGAGTGGCGAGCCATGCAAATATGTGGCCAAAGAGCTTTCCAGACCAAAGGATCAGCACATCCAAAGGCCGGGAGACAGAACATGCTGGTGTGATGGAAGGACCCTGAGGAAGGCCATGTGGCAGGAAGGAAGTGAGTAAGAGGTAGGGTGGGTGGAAGAGATACAGTCAGGGACAGGTCACTTGGAGCCCATGGGCCACTACGTGGACTTTAGACACTGTTTTAAAGGAAAAGAGAAGCCTGGGGATGTGGGGGAGAGGGGGTTGAGCGGAGGAGTAACTTCTGATTTTGTGCTAGGTGTTAGGTATGGCTCCAGCCTCCCAGCGCCACCCAATCTAATGAGAGATGACTGTTATGCTTTGTTTTGAGACAGAGTTTCGCTCTTGTTGCCCAGGCTGGAGTGCAATGGCACAATCTGGGCTCACTGCAAACTCCACCACCTGGGTTCAAGCGATTCTCCTGCCTCAGCCTCCTGAGTAGCTGGGATTATAAGCATGTGCCACCACCCCTGGCTAATTTTTTATTTTATTTTATTTTTTAGTAGAGATGGGGTTTCTCCATGTTGGTCAGGCTGGTCTTGAACTCCTGACCTCATGTGATCCTCCCGCCTTGGCCTCCCAAAGTGCTGGGATTACAGGCGTAAGCCACCCCGCCCAGCCAGAGGAGATGACTGTTAAACAACCAGTGTGGTAAGTGAAACAATAGACAAATCAGAATGCTAGGACTTCCTATGCCAGGCACTCTTGGAAGGCTGTGACTTCTTTTATGTCATTTTCACAAGTGTCTCATGAGGGGGGTACCATTACTCTCTCCCCTGTTCAGATGCAGAGACTGAAGAGCAGAGGGGTGAAGTAGCCCAAGGCCACCCTGCTGGTAAACGCTCCCAGCTGATTCCCTCGGGGAGGCAGGGGGAGACCTGTTTAGAGATAATCCAGAGAGAGAATGGTGGCTTGGAGGATGGTGGCAGATGTGGAGATGGTGAGAACTGATAGGATTCTGGATCTGTTTTGGCAGAGGTGGTGAGAACAGATCCAATCATTTGAATGTACACCTTTAATTTTCAATACACGGCCGGGCACGGTGGCTCATGCCTGTAATCCCAGCACTTTGGGAGGCCGAGGTGGGCAGATCACGAGGTCAGGAGATCGAGACCATCCTGGCTAACACGGTGAAACCCCATCTCTACTAAAAACACAAAAAATTAGCCGGGCGTGGCGGCGGGCCCCTGTAGTCCCAGCTACTCGGGAGGCTGAGGCAGGAGAATGGCGTGAACCCGGGAGGTGGAGCGTGCCGTGAGCCGAGATCGTGCCACCGTACTCCAGCCTGGGCAACAGAGCGAGACTCTGTCTCAAAAAAAAAAAAAAAAAAAAAATTTTCAATACGATTTTGCTGCTGGATCAGATGTACGGTAGGAAATAAAGAAAGAAGCCAAGAATGAGCCCAAGATTTTTGGCCTGAGCTACCAGGTAAATTGAATCTTAGATGAGGAAAGCTGTAGGAAAAGCAGGCTGGGAGAGAAACCGAGACTTCGGCTCGGTTAAAACGCGTAAAAATACGCGTTTACGGAATGAATGAAAGCAGCCGCCGAATGCTGGGCACCCACCCTTCTCACGCTCTTTCATCGCAGTGGAGGGACATCTGCGGTTAAAATGGTTGAAAAGTGCTTTTTAGTCAAGTCTTTCTCACACACACGCCTCACCCCCACCCCTGGGTTCCAGAGAGAGAGGCCCATAGCTGTGTGACCTTCTCACTTTGTTTTTACACCTTTAACTTTGTTTTGGCAGCTTTGACCTGAAGGCAGCAGTTCCAACCCGGTTTGTATTCCTGGGTCAAGGAGAGGCTTCCTGCCTGGAACTCTTCCCCTGGCTCCCCTTGAAACCCCCATCCCTGGGCTTTTCTTTGTATGTAGATCACGGTCCTGTAGTCCCTGGCAAAGGCAGAGGTGGGTTGGGGGCCTGCAGGGCTGGGAAGTGTGAAGTTTCTCCGCTGTTAGAGGAAGCCCGGGTGATTCAGTGAGCTGGGCGCTATCTTTAGGAAGGAAAACATCACGTAGCGGGGGATCTCTATCCGGGCCATTTGTCTGCCTGCTCCCTCCCCAGGGAGGTCTTCCCAGAGGCCTGGCAGCCCCTTCCTGCTCTTGCTTAAGCCGTGTGACAGGCGTCTTTAGTTCTGAATAACTCTAGACCTGTAGATCCAGTTCATCCCCGTCTTGTGTTATTTGAGCAATTCTTGCAGATTTTTCTTTGGTCTCTTTTTTACGGTGTGCATGTGCATGTAAGGACTAAGTCCGGGAAGCCTGCTAGGTAAAACCACAGTGGAGGCTCAGACCCCCAAATTTCAAACCAGGTTTCAGCTCAAACATCACCTTCTAAGAGAGGCCTTCCCTGACCACTACCTGCATCATTTGCTACCTTGTTACCGGACTTAATTTCCCTGCAGCATTTTTTACTCTTTAAAATTATCCTGACCATCTATTTCTTACGTACCTGCTTCTTGTCTGCCTCCTTCACTCTAGAATGTATGCACCCTCCATGATGGTCTTGCTCCTTACATAGCCTGAGCCCAGGCCTGTGCCTGGTACATACTGGGCCCTCAGTCAAGGTTAGTTGACCTGGTTGACCTTGACCTGGTTGACCAGCTGTAAGGCCCTCGGGGAAGGCCAGTTAGCAGGCACTACCTCTGCTCTTGTTTGGATCTCTGCTAACTATAAGAGGATCTGAGTTATAATTTTTCCTTTTTCAGCTGTGGAGCTTCCCTGACCCTTTATCAGCAGGCAGTGGGGACTCTGGGGAGCTTTATCAACTCTATGCAAGAGAGAAAGCCACTTTTGTCCCTCCTTTTCCCCTCGAGAGCTTCTCATATCATCTCAGCCTCTGCCTTCCTGTGTCTCTCTAGATCTGTGCTCTCAATTTGTCCCCACCCCACATATCACTGTGGTTCTCCCCGTCTGCCCTCCGTTTCTCTATTTCTGTCTCCCTCTTCTCCTCCTTCTCCCTCAGCTCTATGTTTTCTTTCCTTTATTGAGTTCTTACCTCATGGTAAATGCTATACACAGACTCTCACTGACCTCTGACAAGAGTCCGTGTGAGAGAGGTCATTATTACCCCCATTTTCCAGATGGGGAAACTGAGACGTGGGGAGGCTCCTTTAGTGTCAAAGCAGTGCTTGCAGGTTGTTGGGTTTTTTCTTATCCCAAGGTCAGAGAAACTTGGGGAAGTCAGAGCTAGAAGGTGAGAGACAGCTATAAACTGCCTCCACCAGGTCATCTGTGTCATCTGCTAACTTCAGCAGATCCTTTTTGGGGAAGAGGTGGTAAGGCAGATGGAAATAAAGCTTTCTTCTTATTCAGTCTACCAGAAATATGAGCTCTTCAAACTTTAACATGGAGGCAGAAGGGCCAGGATGAATCAGGTTAAACCATGATCTCCCAGACTGCATTTTCAAGAGACGTGTGGGGCAGCCTTGGAAATAGCTACTCCCCAGCTCGCCTGGCCTGGATAAGTTATTGTTAAAGAGTAAAGGGAAATGATCCTAATGGATTCCGCTTCCGGCCTCCCCCACGGAGTGGGCTGGTAACCGTTATTTACAAGGCTGCCTTATTCATGGCCACTGAAGCTAGGAGAGGCAGGATGGAGACAGAATCCAACAAATGGTTTATTTATATCTACATCCCAGACCTCAAAAGGAAAATTCCCATACTTAGACATTCCTAGATGGCCTGCGACACAGGATATTTAAAGTAACAATGGGCCAAATTCTTGCTTACATTTTTGGCAGGGCTCCAGTCTGAAAGTCCACAAGAGAAAGACTTGGGCTGTATAACATGGAGGGAGGGGGGACTGTTTCTAATTTGAGACCTGTTTAAGATCTGACTTCCCCCTCCTTCCTGGAGTTACAAGGAAAATATGATTTTGATTTTAGAGACAACATTCCATGTGATCCACTTTGGAAGATTTTAGAAGTTGAAGCTCTGTGCCCTCCCCCTTGCCTTTGAGAAAAAGGGGGTTGTTAAAAGAACTAATAGAACACACTTTGAAAAACCCTAGAACTCCTCTTCCATTTCTTCTACCTGTGTCAGGGGTTGGCGAGGGGAATAGCCACTACCTATGGGCAGTCTAGTAGCCAAACCCTCTGAATGCTGCAGATGACCATATAGAGCTGAATATGGTTGTCTACAAAATAGTCATTGAGCCATTTAAAACATGTCTTTGTGACATTAGTTCCAAGGAAAATCTCAGGAAGGGTTTTTAATGGTGACTTATTAGCCTGGGCAACATAGCAATGTAAAAAATCAATTAAAAAAAAATTAGGGCCAAGCATGGTGGCTCACGCCTGTAGTCCCAGCTACTCGGGAGGCTGAGACAGGTGAATCGCTTGAACCTGGGAGGCAGAGGTTCTGGTGAGCCAAGATCACGCCATTGCACTCCAGCCTGGGCAACAGAGCAAGACTCCATCTCAAAAAAAAAAAAAAAATTAGCCAGGTGTGGTGGCAGGTACCTGTAATCACAGCTACTTGGGAGGCTGAGGCAGGAGAATCGATTGAACCCAGGAGGTGGAGGTTGCAGTGAGCCAAGACTGCACCACTGCACTCCAGCCTGGGCAACAGAGCAAGACTCCATCTCAAAAAAAAAAAAAAAAAATTAGCCGGGTGTGGTGTCACACACCTGTATTCCTAGCTACTCCGGAGGCTGAGGTGAGAGGACTGTTTGAGCTCAGGAGTTTGAGGCTGCAGTGAGCTATGATTGTGCCACTGCACCCCAACCTGGTGACAGAGTGAGACCCTGTCTCTAAAAAACAACAACAAAAAATAGTGACTTATTGTACTTATAGTCAAGGTGAATTTTTTCCCAATAACTTTATTGAGGTATGATTGACATATAAAAAGCTGTGCATATTTAATATATACAATTCAATGAGTTATGACCTTCCCAACCCTATGATAATTCTAAACACCAGCCTTGTAAAGAAATAGAAAAATGTACTAGCTCTGTAAGTTAGGAAGCCTTTGGCTGCCAGTCATAAACCAGCTCACCCAGCGTGGCGGCTCATGCCTGTAATACCAGCACTTTGGGAAGCTGAGGTGGGTGGATCACCTGAGGTCGAAAGTTTGAGACCAGCCTGACTAACATGGAGAAACCCCATCTCTACTAAAAATACAAAATTAGTCGGGCGTGATCGTGTGCATCTGTAATCCCAGCTACTTGGGAGGCTGAGGCAGGAGAATTGCTTAAACCCAGGAGGCAGAGGTTGCGGTGAGCCGAGATCGCCCCATTGCACTCCAGCCTGGGGCAACAAGTGCAAAACTCCATCTCAAAAAAAAACAAAATAAAACAAAGAAACTTCCCAGAAGTCCCCCTAGATTTCCCCTCACCTCCCATCGGCCTGCACTGCATCACATGCCAACACCTGGTACAGTCACATTTGATAAGACTCCTCTGGGTTTTACAGCTGGAGACGTGAATAGGGTTATTCTTCCCTGAGTCACATGGGAAGGGGGTGAACTCCAGAACAAACGTGGGGCAGCAATAAAAAATGAAGGATAGCTATCAACCAAGGTGTCTGCCACAGTGGCTGTGATCAAAAAAATGTGGAAGCAATGTAAATGTCTATCAGTGGGGGAGGGGTTCATTCATTAAAAGAAAAGAAAAAAGTACTGATAGTCAATATAGTGATAACCAATATGGATAACTAGGTAGTGTCTAGAACCTGCAGATAGAGCAGTGAATAAAACTGCCTTTGATTCAGTGGTTCACGCCTGTAATCCCAGAATTTTGGGAGGCCGAGGTGGGCGGATCATTTGAGGTCAGGAGTTCTAAGCCAGCCTGGCCACAATGGTGAAACCCCGTCTCTACTAAAAATACAAAAATTAGCTGGGCGTGGTGGTGGGCGCCTGTAATCCTAGCTACTCAGGAGGCTGAGGCAGGAGAATCGCTTGAACCCAGGAGGCAGAGGTTGCAGTGAGCAGATGCCAGCCTGGGTGACAGAGCAAGACACCATCTCAAAAATAAATAAATAAATAAAAAATAAGCAAATAAAAATAAAACTGCCTTTGAAGGGGAAAAGACAGATAGCAAATAAAGTAATGAGCACATGTGTGATATAATTGCAAATTGAAATAAGGACAGCAAAGGAAAAGACAGCAAAGGAAATAAGGACAGCAAAGAGAATATCAGGGCAGCCCAGGAAGGCCTTCTTACCTTCCTGAGGGTAAGAAGGAGTGAGCCGTGGGTAAGGGAGTGGAGGACTATGGAGTATTCCTGGCAGCAGCAAGAGCTTCTGAAGCAGGAAGGGCTCAGAAGCAGGAAAGGGCTGCTTAGCTTCTTGAGAGAGTTATAGGAGGTGTGGGAAGGGGCACAAGATAAGGGTGGGAGAGGATGGAGGTAGCCAGGGCTAGATTAGGTAGGGTCTTACAGGCTTCAGTAAGAAGTCTGACTTTATTCCTAAAACCAATGAGAAGGAACTGAAGTTTATTGTTTATTTATTTATTATTATTATTATTTATTTGAGATGGAGTCTTGCTCTGTCGCCCAGGCTGGAGTGCAATGGTACAATCTCTGGTCACTGCAACCTCTGTCTCCTGAGTTCGAGCGATTCTCCTGCTTCAGCCTCCCGAGTAACTGAGATTACAAGTGTGCACCACCATGCCCAGCTAATTTTTGTATTTTTAGTAGAGACGGGGTTTCGCCATGTTGTCCAGGCTGGTCTCGAACTCCTGACCTCAAGCAATCCGCCAGTCTCAGCCTCCCAAAGTGTGGGGATTATAGGCGTGAGCCACCGCACTTGGCCTGTTTGTTTTTAATTATTTTTAAACCCTTTTTATTTTGGAATAATTTTTGATTTACAGAAGAGTTGCAAAGATGGTACAGAGAATTGCCCTATATTTTTCAGCCAGCTTTCCCTAATTTTAATATCTTACAAAACCATGGTACATTTATCTAAATCAGAAATTAACATTGGCACAATCCTGTCTAGATTTTATTCAGATTTTACCAGTTTTTCAACTACTGGCCTTTCTCTGTTCCAGGATCCAGTCCAGGAAAACATTTACTTATCATGTTTTTCCCAGTCTGTGACAATTTGTCCGTCTTTCCTTGTTTTTCAGGACCTGGACACTTTTGAACAGTACTGGTGAGGTATTTTGTAGACGGTCCCTCAATTTGGGTTTGTTGGATGTTTTCTCATGATTAGGTTAAAATTATGAATCTTGGGAAAGAATACCAGAGGTGAAGTGTCCCTCTCACCACATGATATCAGGGGTATCTGATAACATGACTTCTTATTTTTGAGGCAGGGTCTCGCTCCATTGCCCAGGCTGGAGTGCACTGGCACCATCATGGCTCACCGCAAGCTCCAACTCCATGGCTCAAGGGATCCTCCCACCTCAGGCTCGCAAGTAGATGGGATACAGGCGTGCGTCACCATGCCTGGTTAATTTTTTTGGCATTTTTTGTAGAGACAGAGTTTCACCATGTTGCCCAGGCTGTTTCGAACTCCTGGACTCAAGCAGTCCGTCCACCTCAGCCTCCCAAAGTGCTAGGATTACAGGCGTGAGCCACTGGGCCTGGCCAATATGACTTATTACTGGTGATGTTTAACCTTCTTCACCAGGTTAAGGTGGCATCTGTCAGGTTGTAAAGTTGCTATTTTTCCTTTTCATACTCTGTTCTTTGGAAGTGGGTTACTAAGTCCAGCCTACACTCAAGGGGAGGGAGAAACTAGAGGGTTTTAAGAAGGGGAGTGACAAGAAAGAACTGGATAAATAAATGATGGTCACTGTGTAATACTCCAAGTTGTGCAGATGTGAAGCTTACAGCCCAGTCAAAACTGTGGATTTTAAAGGCAATATCCTTTTATGTCTCCTCCTGTTTATTTTCTTGGTTATCTTTAAGGTGAATCCCACACCATCTAGGATTTTGCCCTAATTCAGAGATATAGCACTTGGCAGGTCTTCTGAGGCAAAGGGAACGTCCTGTGCCCCTCAGTGCCTCACAGCCTGCCCTGTGTCTGCCCCTTCCCCCTGACCCCACTTCATGCAGGGACCCAACAAGTCTCCTGTTTTTGCTCACTGGCCTCCTGGGCAGGGCAAGCAGAGGGTGTGGCTAGTGTGGTCCGGGTGTGGCTAGTGTGGTCCAGGTGAGGTTTGTGGCTGGGTGTGAGAGCAGAGCCTGTCACAGGAGGCGGTAGAAAGAGGAGGTGATAAGACCATAAAATGAACGACAACACAATACCAGCTATTATAAAAGACAAGGTGGAGCTAGAGGTGTGGAAGGATATCCATGTGTAATGTTACACAATACACAGAAAAAAGCATTTTGCAGAACGGCTTGGTGCAGTATGATCCCATGTATGGTTTTAAAGATAGAAGGGCAATGCCTAGCACATAGTAGACGCTCACTATTTGTTAAATGAATCAATGCATGGTATATACCAAAGTGTTACACTAAAGCTGGGAATACGGTGGGGAGAGTTTTATTTTTCCTGCTGTTTTCCTTTTTGCAATAGTCATGTTATTTTAACATGACATTACTGATCCTTAATGTATCTGTCTGGTGGCCATACATGCTTTAGAAGGGCCAGGAGAACCACATGGCATAAATTCCTACAGTGGCCTCCTTTTTATTCTTCTTAAAGGTATTCATCACAGGCAAGTGACAAAGGGAGCTAAGGGGTGGGAATCTACCAGGTTCAGTTTTGGAAACTACGGGTTTTGAAGACCTTTTACAGCCCATGAGTGATTCTACAATGCAGTCAAGGCTTCCGGCTCAGGCCTCTCCCCCTATACACCAACCGTCCCCATAATTGGTAACCACAAGACACCCTGCTGATGCCTCTTCCCAGTGTCCATGGGTGGGTGGCTGGGTAGAAAAGCAAGGGTCTAGGGTCAGGCCTACACAACCTTGGGCATATGGTTTCATCTTCTAGATCCTCAGTTTCTTCATCTGTAAAACTGGGGTTATAAAAGTACTAATGCAGCCGGGTGCAGTGGCTCATGCCTGTAATCCCAACACTTTGAGAAGCTGAGGCAGGTGGATCACTTGAGGTCAGGAGCTCAAGACCAGCCTGTGCAACATGGTGAAACCCTGTCTCTACTAAAAATTCAAAAATTGGCCGGGCACGGTGTTTCACGCCTGTAATCCCAGCACTTTGGGAGGCCAAGGTGGGCAGATCATGAGTCCAGGAGATCAAGATCATCCCGGCCAACATGGGGAAACCCTGTCTCTACTAAAAATTAGCTGGGTGTGGTGGTGCGCGCCTGTAGTCTCAGCTACTCGGGAGGCTGAGGCGGGAGAATTGCTTGAACCCGGGATGGAGAGGTTGTAGGGAGCTGAGATCACACCACTGCACTCCAGCCTGGGTGACAGAGCAAGACTCTGTCTCAAAAAAAAAAAAAAAAAAAAGGACAGAAAGCACTTTGTTGGTTCACATTGTACTCAGCACCCTGGCACATGGCAAATACTTAAATGTCAGCCATACAAGTTGGAAGCTGGTACTATATCGCTATCATTATGGCTATGCAGTGGAAACACTGCTACATAATCGTAGCAATTTTTTTTTGAGACAGGGTCTCCCTGTCACCCAGGCTGGAATGCAGTGGCACGATCTTGGCTCACTGCAGCCTCAACCTCCCCAGGCTCAAGTGATCCTCCCACTTCAGCCTCCCACAGTGCTGGGATTACAGGTGTGAAACACTGTGCCTGGTCCTAGCCATAGCTATAGGACAGAAATAAAGTTTAAGGCTACATGTCCAACTCTCTTTTGACTGTCCTCTCAGTTTATTATTCATTAATTAATACCTTTAATGAATACATTTAATGAGCATCTGCCACTCCTATGCCAGATGCTGTACTGGAAGCTTCCCAAAAGATGTGAGGTATATTGAAATTACTGGTCCCCCACTCTCACGGCAGTGGGTGAGACCTGGGGAGGACAGAGCCCCTGGATATCAGTGTCCCTGGAAGTTAACTTGTTGGTTTACCTCAGTGGACAACCCAAATATCACGTTTATGTGGATTGTGAAGAAGGCCGGGAAGCACTAGAGTCGTGGACAAAAGAGGCCAAGTTGTCTGCTCTCATCGAGCTTATCCCCCAGTGGGGAACAGACAGGCTGCGAACAAGTCAGCAAATCACCGTTCACTGTAGGAGTGGTGGCAAAGAATCAGATGCAGAACAGGGAGAATCAGGGTATGGCCAAGTGGGAGTGTTACTGATACATCATTAAGGGTGATGTCACTTTTGTAGAATTTTTTTTTTGGAGACGCTATAGATTGGTTCATAAAACCACAATTTCCTAGAGAGATAGAAAACCTGGCTGCTGTTCTTGGCTTTGCAACTAAGCTTCTGTGGGACCTTGGGCAAGCCGCTTGTCTCCTCTCAGGGTCTCACATCTCCATCCACAGAACAGAAGTAGGTGGATTAAACCAGTGATTGAACCCTCACATTTTGGGGAGGCCACTTACCTCTCTGAGAATCTGGAAAGCGTCCCTCAGAAAAAAAGCACACACAAACACACAGAACTTTATCTATAATATCAAAAGGTTCACCAACAGTCCTCCCTCTTTAACCCCCAATGCCTCAACACACAGACAAATTCTGGGCTAGGAACCACTGGCCTCTACAACCTCAGTCCTTTCTGGGATGATGACTCTGGAAACTGCATCTGAGTCACAGGCTTGCGGGGTGGGCATCCTTAGGAAGCCACCAGACGGGGGTTGGGACATTATGATGGTTTGACTTAAAGTGCCCAAGGAGGCCAGTCAGACCTGACGCCAGCCAGCATCAAGCGCGGAGAGTCCAGCGGGTAGCAGAAATGAGAAAATAGGCGAGGCGTAAGAGACATCAAGGTGCAAACACAATGATTGATGGCAACGGGCACCCAGCCCAGGGGAACTGGGCAGTGGCACTTAACTGGGAGAGCTGCTGAAGGAGACTGAAGGGCTGTGCCTGGTTTGGGAAGGGAAGCTGCCCTTCTGCTCTAGCCCATCGCTGCCTTAGGGAATGGGGGCCCAGCAGGGCAGCTCTCGGTATTTTTCAAGAAAAGTTTTCATCGTAATTTGAAACCTCTTAATTTCTGAATGATGACAACCAACAGTTTTTGAAACACTGTGGGCCAAAAGCTTGTGACTTCCTGCCTACGTGGTCCAGACTGCCAGGCTGAAGATGAAGAAACTGAGGCTAAGAGGAGAGGAGAGGCGAGTTCTTCTATTCTCTGCTCTCCAGTCTTTCAGATATTAACAACAGTTGTCAGTGCTGGGCTGAGTGCTGTGCAAAGTCACAATCTAATCTTCCAACTACTATTAGAAGGGCAGCCACTTTCCCAAGATCACAGCTAATGAGGGCGGCAGAGCAGTGGCCCACGCAGCGGGCTGTAAGGCTCTGTGCGCTCTTCCCCACCATGTTGTTCTAAGAGGAGTGGCCCGTGGAAGGAGCAGTCACTTCTCAGAGAGCACCAAGGCCCATGCCAGGCACACTCTGGGAACTGGCCCTGGCTAGATGGACACTAGTTCTTGAATCCTGTTAGAGGTGCATCTTAGAGTGCTTTAGTAATCCAGGGCTGGCCAGGGAAATGGTCAAGGCGTGGCCTGGCAGGGTTGAGTGGAGCACTATTTGTAACATGGGGTTCCCCAACTCCTACCCCCTCCACTGCACCCCAGCTGCTTTGGCTCTCTGGTCCTGCCCCATCCATCTGACTCCAAGGCTGGCACAGGAGGAATGTGTCTTTGCCCCTGGAAGAGCAGGAGTGGCCTGCACCCCTCTGTCTCTGTGTAATACATCTTTTCCACAAAGCCACCAGATGCTGACTTTTTTTTTTTTTTTTTTTGAGATAGGGTCTTACTCTGTTGCCCAGGCTGGAGTGCAGTGGTATGATCTCTGCTCACTCAGCCTCTGCCTCCCAGGTTCAAGCGATTCTCCCACCTCAGCCTCCTCAGTAGTTGGGATTACTATTGGTGCCAACTATTATTAGAAGGGCAGTCACTCTCCCAAGATCACAGCTAGTGAAGGTAGCAGAGTGGTGACTCAAGCAGCGGTCTGTACCTGCCACCATGCCCGGCTAATTTTTGTATTTTTAGTGGAAACAGAGTTTCACCATGTTGACCAGGCTGGTCTCGAACTCCTGACCTCAAGTGATCTGTCTGCCTCGGCCTCCCAAAGTGCTGGGATTACAGGTGTGAGCCACCATGCCCAGCCAGACCCTGACTTTTTGAATTATCTGAAGCAATTTACAGCCCCCTCTCTTCTCTGTAAGATTATTGCCCCTTCCCCAAATAGTCTCTGGCCATCACAGCCCAAATTATTCTTTCTGTTGTAGAAGAAATCAGGAAAGCTGGCCAAAAGCAATGTCGTGTGGTAATAGAAGATCCTTCCTGAGATCAGTTTGAGAACAGCGTTGTTGTGGTTCAGTGGTTAGACCTGGGCTCAAGTCCTATCTTGATTAGTCTATGTGTTATTTGTTGAAACAAACTACATATTCTATCAACTTCTATAGAAGCACAAGTGGGAAGGAAGCCTCTTTCTGGGGACACAGGAAAGCAACCCAGGGCAGGTGCGAATTGAATTGATCTCAAAGAGGGGGCCTTAGCGAGCAGTGCACTGACTTTGGAGGCATATCCTCGGGTTAAAATTCCAGGTCTACCACTTATCAGCTGTGTGGCCTTGGGCAAGTGACTTTATCTCTCCGACCTTTGGTTTTCTCCTCTATACAATGGGGTTGATTATATCAACCTAATTTGACTGTTTTCAAGATTGTAAATGATGGTCGGGCGGGGTGGCTCACCCTGTAATTCCAGCTACTCAGGAGGCTGAGGCAGAAGAATTGAGTCTGGGAGGCAGAGATTGCAGTGAGCTGAGATCATGCCACTCACTGTACTCCAGCCTGAGTGACAGAATGAGACTCCATCTCTCTCTCTCTCTCTCTCTCTGTCTCTCTATGTATATAAATGATAATGCATCTGTACTCAGAAGTGATAATTACTGTAATGATTATTTTATAAGGCCACTTGGCCACTGTTACCTGAGGGCTTATTAATATTATAGAAGCAATCTAACTGCTGATTCTAATTAGAACATCACCCAGGTGGGGTACAGTGTCTCACAGCTGTAATCCTAATACTCTAGGAGGCCAAAGAGGGAGGACTGCTTGAGGCCAGGAGTTCGAGAACAGCGGTTCAAGACCAGCCTGGGCAACATAAGACCCCTGTCTCTCCAAAAAAAAAAAAAAATTAGCTAGGTATGGTGGCACATGTCTGTAGTCCCAGCTACTCAGGGGCTGAGGTGAGCGGTTCCCCTGAGCCAAGGAAGTAGAGGCTGCGGTAAGCTAAGATCATGCCACTGCACTCCAGCCTGGATGACAGTGAGATCCTGCCTCAAAAAAAAAAAAAAAACAAAAAAACACCAAAAAACAAACAAACAAAAAAACACATTACCTAGAGCTCCATTGTCTTCTTCTGTAGATCATGGTGTTTTTTGTTTTTTTTTTTTTTTGGTTCAGAGTCCCAAGTCACCCCCTCCACCATGCCCAGTGGGAGGGAAGCCAATCGAGAGAAATTTACCTGAGTCTCTTCAGTTACAGGAAAGAAAAGGGCAGGCCTAAGGGAGGAGAAGGTGGGAGAGGAAGGGAACAGGAAGGGTTCCAACCTTTGCAACAGTTAAATGTTAATATAGGTGTCAGCATAGGAAGTGTCTTCTAATGATAGAAGGAACAGAGGGAGTTTTTCAATCATCTCCTGCTTAACACATACAGATGTATTCATAATTATCCCTTGCCTCAGGCCTCAAGGCCCAGGTGGGCTCCAGAAGGCCTGTGTTCCTGCCAGACAAGAGTCCTTAAAGAACATCATGTAGACAATTGGAATGCCATTTATCGTGCAAAACACAATAAAACCCCAAACTCTCTTCCTGTCTCACAGACCCATAAATTATGAAAATTATACCTGCCCTAGGCCATGGACATATTGTTTTATTAAAGTTCCGATGAATAAACTTAAGGCTCTTAAAAATGTCCTCTTGGCTTTCATCTGGCACACACCTCCAGCATGGAGCTGGCCGCCTGGGTTCATTTGATTGGTTCACAAACCTACTTTGGAAAGTGGAGCTCACTTCAAGTTGCAGGTTCAGCAAGTGGGAAAGGCTGTCTGGAGAGCTGTAGGAGGGAGCCAGGGACTCCTGGCCAGATGACGAGGCTGCCTGGGGGGTTCTCTTGTCACCAGCGGCTGCCCCTCTCTCCAGATCGTTCCTTTTTATTGGGATGAGCGTCAGGCTTGGTGCCTTCATAGGAGCTGTTTGGTTATGGGTGTGGAGAAGGCTGAATTCTGCTTCTTTCTCCTTAATTTTAAATTTGTTCACGGGGGAGCCTTTGATCTACTCCATTTTGGGCTTCTTCCTTCTTCCCCAAATGCTAAATCCTTCAGTTGATGTTTTTACCCTCTACCTCTCCATCACATACTGGGTGCGGGACAACTTCTCTGAGCCTCAGTGTCTGCATCTCTAAGAGGGAAAGAATAGCGTCTGCCATGGATGTTCAGTACCTGGAGAAAAGAAGCCATTCAATAAATGATGGCCGTTATTACTACTCCAACGCCATTTGATAACTGGGAACCAAAGGCATGGGGCCAGAGGGATAAAGATAAGAGGGGCACATGTGGAACTTTTTCTCTGGATACTGCTTGGCTCCTGTTTCCCCAAGAGCATTTGGGTGCCTGAGACGTTCAGCACTCAAACCCTTGTATAGATTTTTGTCATTGTTTTTAATCTCCAAGCACTAGAAATTGTTAAAGTAGAACCAGGGGTAGGCCTGCCCCATGTGCCCACCCATAAGGAAACCCAAGACTGAATCAAAGTGTGGTGTACACGAACTGGGACTGAGCCAATTAAAAAGACGATTATCTCTAAGTGCCAGTGACTTACCTTGTCAGTGAAGCAGGACTTGGAGCATTACCTAACCTTGGTCCACACTGCAGGAATGGGACAGGCCACATGGTCTGGCCACAGAGCGGGAGGTCAGGGCCTATCTTTATTCTAAAAGTTCTAGAGCAGACAAGCCCACATTGAAGAACATCCTTTGTGTCTTCTTGGGCAGTGTCTGGGGATCCTGGCAAGCATTTGGATGTCTCTTAAGAGGAACTCAAGGTTTGGATTTCACAAAGGATCCTGGGAGGCCATAATTGGTAACCCCTAGAAAAACCAAGAACCAGACCCACAGTTCCTGATCTGTCTCTACCACTCCCCTTTCTTCCCCCATCCCTCACTATTGGTTATTTCCCCCCAATTATTGGTAATAGAAAAAAAAAAAACTATTGATTTCTGGAAAACGAGGTACGTGCTCACATGTTCAAAATAAAGTCCAACTTTCATCCTGATTGGCATATGAATAAAAGGTCATTAAAAAGTTCCCATAGTGGGCTGGGCGCGGTGGCTCACGCCTGTAATCCCAGCACTTTGAGAGGCCGAGGCAGGCGGATCACCTGAGGTCAGGAGTTCGAGACCAGCCTGGCCAACATGGTAAACCTCGTCTCTACTAAAAACACAAAAATTAGCCAGGCATGGTGGCGTGTGCTTGTAGTCCCAGCTACTTGGGAGGTTGAGGCCAGAGAATCGCTTAGAACCTGGGCGGTGGAGGTTGCAGTGAGCTGAAATTGCGCCACTGCACTCCAGCCTGGGCAGCAAGAGTGAAACTCCATCTCACAAAAAGGCTGGGTGTGGTGGCTCATGTCTGTAATCCCAGCACTTTGGGAGGCTGAGGTGGGTGGATCACGAGATCAGGAGTTCAAGACCAGCCTAGCCGACATGGTGAAGCCCCGTCTCTACTAAAAATACAAAAATTAGCTGGGCATGCTGGCACGCACCTGTAATCTCAGCTACTCGGGAGGCACAAGAATTGCTTGAACCTGGGAGGTGGAAGGTTGCAGTGAGCCAAGATTGTGCCACCGCACTCCGGCCTGGGCAACAGAGCAAAACTCTGTCTTGGAAAAATAAAAAAGTTCCCATAGCTATGTAAATTGAGAAGTGGCTGGGTCTAAAGTTTGAGTGCCCTGGTCAGGGGTGGGGGTACGAGGGAATCAGAAGCAAGATGCTGGCCAGGCGCGGTGGCTCACACCTGTAATCCCAGCATTTTGGGAGGCAGAGGCGGGCAGATCACTTGAACTCAGGAGTTTGACACCAGCCTGGCCAACATGGTGAAACCCTGTCTCTATTAAAAATACAGAAAATTAGCCGGGCATGGTGGTGCGTGCCTATAATCCCAGCTACTCAGTAGGCCGAAACAGGAGAATCGCTTGAACACAGGAGGTGGAGGTTGCAGTGAGTGAGATCGCTCCACTGCACTCCAGCCTGGGATGCTGTCTCAAACAAAACAAAACAAAAAACAGAAGGAAGGTACATTAGAAGGTCATGAAATGGATGGAAGGCTTTCGAGGCTAAAAGGACTAGTTTTGTGCAATATGCACCAATCCTGTGAAAATACGGAAATGACCAAGGGCTTTTCTATTTAGTTCCTTGAAGCATGTATGTTGTGTGTTCATGTGTGTGAAAACCTGCTTTGGGGGCAATCGGGACATAAAGGGAGAGGAATGGACAGGTCAGATGACACTTTTCCCCCTCTACCTCTTCCCAGTTTTGGAGCTTTGCTGTCCATCTGCAGCACACTCCAGTTTAGGGGACAGCTTTCCCAGGAAGGAGGCTCTAGCAGCTCCTTGCAGTATTCCGCTTCATAATGAAGAGCAGCTTTCCTCCGATGGTTCTACGGTCGTCCTAGAGCTGGGAGAAGGGATTGCCCAGCCCAGGAAGCCCTATCTTCTCTTCCCCTTTCAGTGGCTGCTTATTCTCAAACTTGAGGCCTTGCTGGCTGAAGAGGTCAGGGAAGTAAACACACAAACACACCAGAAACGGCAGTCCCGTGTATATTTAACAATATATATTTATATATATTTTCTAAATCAGTACATTCAGTTTTTAACTTGTTTTTTTCTTCACAAACAGAAGAACTCTTACAATAGTAGACTTTCTAAAATAAATACTATTAAAATAGAGCTTCAAAATAAATATTCTATACAAAGAAAACCTGTGGCAACTTTGTGGTGGGGTGGAAATGGGCTACAGTGAGGGGGAAATGAAGTTGGGATGTGGCGGGGTGGGAGCCTCGAGCTTTTCTGTTTGTAACATGAAACCAAGCTGTGGGACAGTAAGAAGAGAAAGCAAGGCAAGACACTGCACGCAGTTACCCACAGCAGAAAATGGCAACGCAAGATTCATCATCGACTGTCACAGTAAGCAGAGGGGGCACAAAAATGCTTGTCAAAGGCATGAACCAGAAGGCTAGTGAGGCTCGCAGGATGCCCTAGTGAATCGTACAGTGTAGAGCTGTGCTGCCCACGCCCGCCAGACACTTCCTGGGACAGCACAGAAGGAGAACAGGATGCTTCAAGGTGACAGTCATCCGGGTTCTGGTGCAGATCAACTTTCCACGTGTGCCATCTTGGACAAGTCATTATCTAGCTGGGCCTCACTCGAGGTATGATGGCGACTGACAGGCTCCACAAGGCTGAAAAGAACTAGCCATGTCTTCCATCTCAGCTCTGAGGGGGTGCGTACCAAAGGACCAAAGGAAGGGATTGGTCTTCACCCCCTTCCTGCTCAGGAAAGCCTTAGTTGTGCCCAATCTTTTCTCTGGGAGGGCTTTGCTACCCAAGACCCAGTTCCCAGGGTGCTCGCGGAAGCGCTGTCCTTCATTAACACGGGCAGCCAGAGCCCCCTAGAAGCGTCCTGGATCCCAGGTGCCCCTCGAGTTAAGACAGAACCCCCACCTACCCCAGGTTTACCAGGGGCGGGAACTAACCAGCACTTTTCAAAAAAGGTCAAGCCGAGGCATCGTCCAGCCAAACAGGCCATTGGTGACAGGAAACACACTCAGCCAGAAGCAGCTACACATGTGTGTTGTGTCTCTGAGTGCTGGGTCCCTCAGTGGCTCTCGACTGGCCCCAGAGCCGGGGAGGGTCCACAGGCAAGCCAGTTTATCCTTCTGTTTGTTGTTGTTGTTGTTGTTGTTGTTGTTGTTTTAATTTTTGCCAAGAAGCTGAGAAAAACAATGCTGAGGGATTGCTACACAACCAAGCTGGGAGAACCAAGGATGGTTCCTTCGCTCCTTTCCCATGACCACTGAGCACACGAGGCACTGAGGTGGACTCTTAGAGAGCACTCTGCAGACATCCATCAAGCAGGTTGAAAGCAAACCAAGAAGAACAAGCTAGAACAGGGGCAGGGGGAAAAAAGGAAAAAGCAAACCAAAACCCAGAAAAATCCGTGTTTACAAGTATGTACACAAAAAGTCAGGGTTCAGGAGGCCGTTTGCCAGGAAATAGGGTCTTTGTCGGTAGACAGTCAGTGTGGGGTAGGGGTGTGTGTGTGTGTGTGTGTGTGTGTATACACAGCTTATGTAAATCGACTCTCCACAGAACGGGTGTGTAGACCACCAAGATCACCAAAGTGCAACTTGCCACTGGGTCAAGTTTCCCATGGAGACAATTTGAGGGAGGGGCCCTGGGAAGTTCTGAGGCCTCGCAGAAAGCGTGCAGATGTGCACTATCAATTTTGGGGCCCCCTCATCTGAGGAAAACCATCTCCAGTCCCTTCAGTACACTTCTGATACATTCAATTCATATAAGTGGTTGGCTGAATGTGTGTTTTTTTCTACCACTCCTTCTGAAATGTTCAAGAACATCCATACATCCGTCACAACTGTGGCAAGGGTAGCTACACGAATCAGCCTTGGAAAATGCAGATGCAATATTTCACATTCGCCTTTTACAAGCTAGCAAATGTTACATAAATAAAGCCGAAAATAATATGACCCTCCCTTCCTCCAATCAATAAATACCTATGGTTACAATCAACTTACTCTAAATCATAAGATGTTACTACTAGTCTTCAAGAAGGAAAAAATAAGTCCTTGAGAAGCATTAGGTGCCTATCATAGCTACCTACCTCGCTGCCTCCTTCCCGGAGGCACCTCTGTTCCTATACAGAACAAACTGGAAATGCTACGGACGCTCTGCCTCATGCACTTCCAGTTTCACCTGGGGTAGCTCTTCTGACTCAGGCCATGCCCTCTCATTAGAGGGGAAAACAAAATACCACACAAAGCAAGAACCCCACACAAAAGCTGGGGAGGAAGGACCAGATACACTACAGCTTTTGCATGCAACAAGTACCTACCCACTGGACGTGCTGCACCTTCTGAGTCCTTTAGCACCTTGAGAGAAAGAGTTGCTACGTCTTTGAGGGCTGTCGGGAGAGGGTGGTGTGGCTGTGCACAGAAGCAGGGCTCAAACCCAGTGGCCCCTGGAAAAACCTTTCCCCTACCCTCTCCCCAGCTCTTCCAAGCTCTTCCGACTCCCCTGCTGGGGCTTCCTAACACTAAAATAGACTCTTTTTTCATCATCTCTCTATTTACATTAAAGATACAGACACATCACTATACACAAAAGGCTATGACAGTGAGCAGCAGAATCAGAAGAGAAGAAACCCAAACCCAGCCTGGCTCAGCGGTCATTCTGCCAATGGGAGGTGCTGCCTCTCTTCTTTGCTGTTAAAATCCTCTTGTTGATAGGGAGGGAAATTGTGTTCCTTGAGGTTGCTCGCCCCCAGATTTTGAAATCAGCCCTTCCTGGGGGTGGCCAAAAGGAAACAAGTTGTTTTATTATTATTTTTTAAAACACCGTTAGCATCCGGTTTAATTATTCTATAAAAACATAATGACTGGATCCAGAGACCACAGCCTCAGACTCATTGGCAAAATGATATTTGGTCTCGCATTTGCCGCCCTGGCTTCCTCTACCCATATAAAGTTTCTGGAAGGGATCTGAGTAGAGAGAACCCAGGACACGTAGTGGGCAGGCGAGTCTGTGACTCAGTAAGAACCGAAGGACGGTGTGGTGAGCAGAACACCCCCGAGAGTTAGTTGATGCAGTTGGAAGGGAGAAGTGCACTGAGCAGTGGCTCCTAAATCCATCCTGTGGCTCCGGGGAGGCAGAAGGAGGAACGAGGCTTGGACTCACTGGCCGTCCTCTGTTCTCAGTGGCTCCCAAGTATATACAATAGGAACTGCTAGGGTGTTCTACACCTTCCCCAAGACATCAGGGACAAAGTGGGGTGGAGTGAGATGGGGAAGGAGAAGAAGGTATAGAAGACTCCAAGGGTCTTCTTTAAAGGTACCCTGGTACTCAGTTAACAATTCCTCCCAGGCAGCTAGCTCCTGTGAGAGCCAAAGACAATGGAAAAGAGGAAGGGGGGGGGGGCGGAGGGAGGGAGGGAGAAGGAGGGGCTGGGAAGGCATTCAAGCAGCTGCAGTTTCCGGATATGTGTCCACATCTGTGTTCTGTCTTCTGAAAAAGAAAAATTTCCCCCCAAACCACACCCTGCCCCTGCATTGTCTGTTTGACACAAAGTTTCAGGACCCTGAAAAAAAGCCCCAAAGTGCTTCTTCATCACCTTGGGGAATACAGGGTACGTGGTGGTGGTCTCTGTATTTTCCGAAGCTGGGGGTAGGGAGTGGGCAGACTAGCAAGGTCAGCCTCAGGAGGCTAAAACCTCTGACCTTGCTGCAGTCTTCTTAGATGTCAGAAGAGAACCAGGTTTCCAGGCAGAGCACTGGGGCTTCGACACAAACTGTCAGAAAGGCTTGTCGGGCCTGCTGGTCTTGGCATCCCCGCTGGCTGCTTTGCAGATGACGCTGTTCGTGTGCTTGCAGCGGCAACCAGGGCGGCGCAGACGGTCGTAGCCACGCTGGGCCAGCTTCACGCAGCCGGTGGCAGGCAGGTAGCAGAGCAGGCAGGGCAGCACCACGGAGAGAGCACCCATGAAGGACCAGCGGGCGCAGCAGTTGGAGCGGGAGCAGGAGCAGGGGTGGTCAGCGCAGGAGCCCTCATCGTCCTCATTCGTGCAGTGGTAGAAGATGCCCTGCACCAAACACATGCACGTGCCATAGTTGACCAGAGTCTGGGCTGAGCACAGGCACTCCTGGTTGCAGACCCAGCAGGAAGGCAACGTCCGGGGGGATGCACACTCCTTGCATTTACACTTCCCACAGGCCTCGCACAGCAAGAAGTGCTTGTCCAGCTCGGGTGGGACCGCCGGGCCCTTGAGGTCCAGCGGCTGGCAGTGGACCACCTTGGGCTGGATGCGCACAGCCCTTGGTGAGGCCTGGTCAGCCACGGGTGGTGGTGCCATGTGGTCTAAGAGCCGTTGGTCAGAGGATGTGCTGCTGCTGCTGCTCACAGAGCTGGGGCGCCCGCTGAAGGAGATCCAATGGTGGGTGACATCCTGGTCACAGCGGGCGGGCGTCGGGGCCAGCTCTGGGGCCCCGCCCCGGGTCCGCTTTGGGCCGGTGGTCAGGGCCAGGCTAGGGTTGTCTATGTAGTCATTCTCCACATGGCTGGTCTTCACCTGGTCAATGGGTAGGATGGTGAGTGGGTGCTGGAGCCGGCTGTGGGACATCCGGCTGTCAAGAAGGGGCTGGACCATGACTGAGTTGGGAGTCAAGGGGGCGCTCTGTGGGATCGGGGGCTCCATGGGGCTGGAGGTCCTGGACTGTACGGAGAAACAGGCTTCTAGGGGCCCTGGGGGTGGGGTGGGGAAAAGGAAGAGAGAATGGATTCCAGGCATCAGTATGTGGCCTGCCAATACCTCACCCCCCATCAGGTCCTTGGGAGCCGCCCAATTGACATAGGAACTAAAATCCCTCTGTGGACTTTCCAGTGACTCCCCAAGCTTAAGATGATTAATAATGACAAGAAGTCAGTGGTGGAAATAATACTACTGAGCACTTAAGATGGAGGTACTCTCCTAAGCACCATATGCATTAAGTCATTGACTTCATGATAAGCCTAAAACGTAACTACTATTATCCCCCTTTTCTATTTAGAGAAAAGACATGTTGAAATTAATTTGTCCAAAGTCACACAAAACTATCCAAAACTATCAGTAGCAGGACTCAAACCTGGGCAGCCTGAGTTCATTCTCTTAGTCACTGTGAAACATGCTCCTTATTTAAGACACATAGCTCAGTGGATGTAAACACAGGCTCTGGAACAACACTCAAATTTGACTCTCACTTTGGTCTAGCAATATTGCTATGAATGAGTTCTTTCATCTCTATGCCTTAGATTTTGGTTTTGTCATCTGTAAAATGGGCTCTTGCAAGGATTAAATGAGAAAATACTATCTATTACCTAGCATATTACCTGGCACGCAGCAACAATTTATCGCTACCCCAGGGAATAAGTTTAGATCTCCTGAGCACTTACAAGCACTGCCTGCCAAGCACTGTGCCAGGCACTGGGGACAATGTGGTGAACTCAACAGACAGCTCTGGGTGCTCCCATGGAGTTTATCAGCTGGATAAACAAGCCCTTTATTTCAGATATTCACAAGAGAAGGGCTGTATCTGATGCCTGCACATCCAGGATATTAACTTATTACTACCACTTCTTAAGAGCAGCAACCTGCAGTGGCTAATAATCCCTGGGTATGTGAGCTTCTGACAACTTGGATGGGAAATCCTCTCGAGGGGCACTCACATCACCCATTTCCAAGTGCTGAGCTGAACATTCAGCCTAAATGCTATTTACTAGAGTAGCTAAGCCAACCCTGGATCAGTTTCTAATTTCACCGAGAGAGTGCAATTTTAAGTTGGAATCCAGCCAGAGATTCAACTGCAGTGCCTGACACGGAACCCCAGGAAGTCACTTAAATCAAAGAGCGGAAACTGCTTGGTTCAAATTTAGAAAGTGCACATTGTTTTCTATTAGAAGTGCCATTTCCTTGCCTGCTGACCTTTACATTTGGAATTCTGCTGGAGATCAATTTAAAGAAATAGCAGCAGAAGGCCAAGACCTCTGCTCAAGGGGATACAATTTGGAATCCAAGGGAAAGATTACACTCTGGGAAGATTCCACCCCAATCTTAAGAACCCCAGGGAATGGGGAGGGAGGGTAAAAGAGAAAGATAAGTCTTTAAAACAAAACCAAAAAAAGGCCATTGCATTAATGTATTATGGGGTGGGGTTTTAGTAAATGCTTTTGCATTTACTAAATTTGCATCAAGATGCTAACGATGTTCTAATTAGGAGAGCTGATCCTGCCCCTCTGCTGTTAGGTTTATCTAGAACCTGTCTAAAATAAAAAGCTAGCTCTAGATAAAAGTTTATGAAGGGGATAAAAAGGGGGCTATCCACGGGGCTCCAGTATGTATATCACTTACACTGCTAAATCCAAAAAGCATCCAGTCTTTTCTGCGAGGTTCAATGCTCAGTCAACTGATATTTCCCATTCACGCAGGGCATCAACTATTGGCTTTGCTCCCATGGCCCTGCCTACTTAAAAGGATGCTGGTATTTCTTTACACGCCTTGTTTTTCCTGTCTTGGAGAAAGCCTACCTAGTGGCAGTGCCTGCCCCCATGTTCTCTTCGGATGAAACCATAGCATCACCTTTGAATTGGCGATTTCCTTGTGGCAGAGTTTACCTTAAGTGTCTGGCAGGTCTGCCACCAAAGAGTAGCCACTTGCCAAAGCAGCCTCCCCTGGAGATCCTGTGGTCAGGGCTGGAGAGAGGGAATGCAAGTAAGCATCTATGGAGAGGAGTTTTTCCAAGGATCAGGCTGATGACAACGTAGGAATTCCAGGGAATGCTACCTCAGCCTGCCCACTTATTCTCAATAGGTGTTCCAAAGCCTTGCTTCTAGAATAAATGAGTTTGGGGCAAGAGGCCAGGGTTAGGAGCCCAAGGTCCAGCACTGAGGACGCTGCCTGGAGGAAAGGGTGTGGCTTGGCCTAAGAATTAAAAATGCCACGGATAAGATTCTCCAGCACCAGCCAGAACCCTCACCCCCGGACAATGATAACATGAGTCCCTTGTTCCAGAAACCGATGTCAGGAATATTCAGGGTCCTGCCAACACAATGTAGGCAGCAGTTTGAAGCTTCTATTGCCCCATATAGTTGGGTTTTGTCTCTCAGGACCAGGATTGGGTCTGGTCATGCTGTGGAAGAAAGTAAAAGACTCCCTTTCCTTAAGCAGATTCACTTTTTTTTTTTTTTTTCATTTGTGAGGTTCTTTAAAAACAGCCCATGTCCTACAGATAAAGCAAAAGAAATGGGCAATGCTCAGAAATTTTAATAGGCCTTGGAATCAGAAAGCAGATTCCCCAATTCATGGAAAAGTCCCACCAGGAAGCCAGGATGGGAGCAGCCGCTGCAGGCAATGGGGATGTTGGCATTCACAGGCTCCCATAACCCTCCAGAGGCAGCTGTCAACATCTGGGCCTGCAGTTGAGGCCAGACATGGGGATGGGAGCTTGGCCCACGATGACTTGGCTCTCTGGGGACGATGCAGCATCCGATGGCTCCACTGGGCATATTCTAAAATGTATCTTCCCTATTATAACCCCGATGTAGTAGGATTCCTTTCAACCACCAGCTCAGCAAAAACCAAATCAGAGTTCCACTGCTGGCCTCACCCCTCACCAGCAGGGACCCTCCAAGAGCCTCTGCTGAATTTATGTGGCTGACAAAGGAAAACAATTTTCTGAGCTGCCTATTTAAGAACCCCTCAGCACAGCTAAATGATGTCTCAAAAAAAAAAAGAAAGAAAAAAAGAAAAGAAAGAAGGCCTGGCGCAGTGGCTCATGCCTGTAATCTCAGCCTTTTGGGAGGCCAAGGTAGGCAGATCACTTGAGGTCAGGAGTTCAAGACCAGCCTGACCAACAGGATGAAACCCCCATCTCTACTAAAAATACAAAAATTAGCCAGGCATGGTGGCAGGTGCCTGTAATCCCAGTTACTTGGGAGGCTGAGGCAGGAGAGTCACTTGAACCCAGGAGGCGGAGGTTGCTGTGAGCCAATATCGCACCACTGCACTCTAGCCTGAGTGACAGAGCAAGACTGAGTCTCAAGAAAAAAAAAAAGAAAGAAAGAAAAAGAAAAAACAACTCTCAGTTGATTTGGTAGATCAATCTCTACTCACTGAGAAACACCCACCCTCCACTCTGAGCAATGCTGACAATCTTAAGTGCAATTTAATATGTGCTCCCTGCTTCCCCTGCAAGGTAGTAAGAGATTTATAATATAAATAAGAGAGAGGAGGTTTTGCCTCATTTAAGCAGTTTGGAAGAGACTGATGGCCAATTTGGAAGACACTGGACAGAGAAACAAACCCAGCACTCCACTTAGCCAAAGAAGCACCTCTATCAAGTTTAGGTGGTACTCTTACGAACTGGCAAGAGGGAAGGGACTTTTACCTCCACTCAACCTTCTAATAATAATAAATAATAATTATGGAAGCGGCTAATATTTACGAAACATTTCTTGGTGCCAGGCTCCGTGCTAAGCCCTCAGTGATTTATTTTCTCACCATAAATCAAGTCATTTAATCCTCACCATACTTCAAGAGAGAACCCATTTTACAGAGGAGGAAATGGAAGCACAAAGGGTCATAGAGCTAGCAAGTGACCAGAGCAGGATTTGAACCAAGACAGCAGAGGCTTCAGAGGCTGAAATATTAACCTCTCAGCCCTGACTTACAAAAGCCCTCCATAACCTCTGGGAATTTATGGAAAGGCATGAAAGTGCCATCACTTTCACAACCATGGACTCCTCCAGCCCTCACGGAACATCATTAGAACATCCTGGGGCTCTGCAATGCAACCAACAGGGAAGGAAAGCCAGATGGGGCTTACATCAGCCTGAACCCCAGGGAGGGGAATTTTCAATGTGGAGAGTGAAGGCTGTGGGGGTTTGTAATCTCTCTCATTCAAGGAAGGCTCAGAGTTCAAGTGCTCTTCACTCCAGTTCAGTGTTACATGCCATCCCCCGTCTTAAAAGTGGTTTCATTTTTAGTTTTCTTATAGTTGAATGGATTTCACTTGTAGGAGTTTATTACAAACCAGTCCCCAAAAGGAAACCCTGGGGTGGAAAGGAATCTCTACTCCTCCCCACCTATCAAGTTGAACTTAAGGGTCCCTAGGGTACCTTCATTGATGGGGTCCCTGGCCCAGGTCTGTGAGGAAGGGAGGGAGCCAGGGCACAGAGAGTCCTAGAATACTGAATCAGCAGGATATCAAAATCCCCAGAACACGCGCAACACTGTATTTGCTGCTTGGCGGGTCTGGGAGCCCAGAACCAGCCAGTCTGACACTCACTGCATTTGTACCTGTGGGGAGGGGGCTGAGCATCAGGCTGCAAACCGCTCAATACAGGCTGGCTGAAAAGAATCAAGAGGCATGTTAAATGTCCGCACAATTGAGCAGGATGCCTAATCCCACCCACCCACACCCTCCCCTTGACTTACCCTAGGGAGGTGAGTTGGGAAATATTGGGAAAACCTGACAGTTGTACTTTGAAAGCTACAGGTCAGCTAATGACAAACTGGCAAGAGGCTGTGAATGAATGGGTAGTTTAAGCACTGCCCCATTCAGTCTCAGCGGGTTCTTTCAGTGAAGGCTGTTTAACCCTTTAAACAACTCAGAATAAAGGTCTCTAGGCTGCCAGAGAGCCTGCCCACCACTATTGCTTGGTTCTTTGTGACACTATTCCAGTTTAGCTAATTAAGCTACAACCAAATAATGACTTATTGCTTTAAAAGGACTTTAAAAAGAGGGGGAGGGATGCTGAGGGAAGCAGAGGACTTGCCCCTCCCTATACCCTGCAAAGAAAGACAATCTCTGCTGAGAATGGCCCCAGTGGAAGAATAAAGCATTTGGGCAGCTGGATTTGTCTATGAATCTTTCTTCCTTCCCCCACCTCCCTACCCCCAGCACCAGCACTAAGAAGCTCACCTCTGGCCACAATCTGTCAGAGATCACAAAAAAAAAACGGTTGTTTTTCATCACTTCATCCCACCACATTACCGATTCCCAACCCTCTTCTCTTCTCTCTTTCACAGCCAATCAGCTGAGCTCCAAAGCCCCAGCACACGGAAGGGTGGGAATCTTGCTGGACTTTGGGCTTTGGGCTATTTAATCAGCTTCGAGTTTCTGCTTCACTGTATTACCGCCTTAATTGTCTGCTCAGATTCCCATAAAGAAGGATTAGAAGCCAAGAGTCAGTAAAGAAGGAGTCAGAAGGAGCCTGTTAACCACTGGCATAGTTTGGGAACTACTGGCCAAGTCCAGGTCTGGGTGGGACCAGAACCCTAGACTCCTAGGGCAGGGCTTCCTCCCACAGACACTAAGATCTTATTATTTGTCTTCTTACCCTCCACCAAGAAATGAACTTACAATAATAGATTTTAGCTTACTCCTGGGACAGGAGCAGGAAATGACTTCCCCTTCCCCCAACCAAAAAAAGACTACTGACAAGGGAAACCACTCTTCTGCAAGTGGCCACCTGCCCCGAAGGGCCCCTTCCCTTCTCCGCCAGATCCAGCACATCTGTGCTCCCTCCCCTGTGCCCTTGCTTCCTTCACTGACTGGGGCCTGTCCTTGGAAAGAACAATCATGATCACAGCTGAACTGTGGAGCCTCTTAAGCCCAGCCACATGTCCCGGATACATTCCCCAGCCTTGTCAGCTGTCCGGATCTGCAGGGTGGCCCCAGACCCCGAGAGCCAAGAATACCCTCCCTCTTACATCACGCAACACCCCACACCTCCTGTGCAGGAAAGGGGCACCCTTAAAACTAGGCCCTCCTCCTAGGAGCCCAATAATAACCATGAGCATGGCCCTAGTCCTGGCCGCTCACTAGCAGCTCTGCTGGCCTCTGTCCCCTTGGGAAGAGTTTATTTTCTCTACTGTGCAGATGGGGAAGCTAAGGCCATGCTTAGCAGGTTTGCCTAGTCACACATCTGCTCTGTTCTAGCCCCTGGCTTGGTCTGGAAGGGACAATACAGCTTTCTGAAAGTTGTTCACCTACCCCTGGCTCTTTTGAAAGAGCAAAAACATATTCTAATGAGTCACTGCTTTCTCCTTTCAGGGAGATAAGGTCGGCCCTGAGATAGAACCTTCTCCACTCTAGCCATTTCCCTTCCTTAAAAACTCTGTCATGTCTACATTCAAAACCCCAAATTTTCAACTTTGTCTCCAAATTCAGAGGCCTGGGCGAGAATCCTTAGCCAGGTTGTCATCACAAGGGAACTGCCACCTAAGTAGAGGCCAGATGACAAACACTGTGGATTTAGAACCAAATGGAACACTATGATTCTCCAAGAAACACTGGACTTTTCTGAATAAAGAGGGAGGGCTCCTTCCTAGGCCTCCTTTGCACCAACACCCAGGCCCTCATCAACAGGATAGCCCAAGGACAGAAAAACACACTGTGGGGGCACAAATCTTGGAGCTAGAAGATGTCAAACAACAAGACATTCAGCCCTGTAAACTGGAATCCCCACATATGGTCCCAAAGTATTAAATCCCAGAGCAACACAGCTCAAGGGTCACTTCTGTAAGTATTAATGGGTTTTATTCCTCTCTTAACTTTTATATCACTGATTTTCAAATTTGGCACTGAAAGGCTGCTTTCATTTATTATTCACGAAAGTCAGCCAAACCTCTGGTTTACCAAAGTTGGGGCTGGGGTCATGGGTGGGTGCGAACTGGGCAGGACAGATTTCCAAAGAGCCACATCTCTCCGCCAATTCTGGGAGGATGCAGATAAAAATGACATATGAGGCCGGGCGTGGTGGCTCACGCCTGTAATCCCAGGGGAGGCAGAGGCCGGCGGATCATGAGCTTAGGAGTTCGAGACCAGCCTAGCCAACATGGTGAAACCCTGTCTCTACTAAAAATACAAAAATTAGCTGGGTGTGGTGGCACACACCTGTAATTCCAGCTACTTGGGAGGCTGAGGCAGGAGCATCATTTGAACCTGGGAGGCGGAGGTTGCAGTGAGCCAAGATCGCGCAACTGCACTCCAGCCTGGGTCACAGAGCAAGACTCGTCTCAAGAAAAAAAAAAAATATATATATATATATATAAATGAAAACGACATCCGTAAGCTCCAAATGTCCACCTGTCCACAGCCTCTGCCCTACTATGTGTTCTGTCTCCTCCCACCAGCCCCCAACTAAAGCTTCAGTGAGATGAGGCCATTTCAGAGGGTGATCTGGAAAAGGTCATGGAGCTGGGCAGGAGGGCTAAGGGCAAGAGGGCATTTACACTCCACTGAAAGGGAGTGACTCCTGATAACCAACAGATGCCTTTAAAGTCTGCTCACTGTAACTGACCAATATTTGTCCATGAAGATTTCAGAAATCTGCTACTAAAATCCCCACCCTACACCCGTACTGGCCACATGGCGTGGTTGGTAAGTGTGTGTGCTGTTCACCACATTAGGATTTGCTGGAGCCTCGCAGCACGTGAGAACCCTCCCAAGAGATGGGAAAGAGGAAATGTGATTTCACACTGGACATCTCCACTAGTTCTTTCCCACCCTTCTGGGAGACAGAGAGGGAGAGAGAAAGAGAAATCTTTAACTGCAGCCCTGCCTCTCCTAGCTCTCCTGACACCCGCCCTAAAAAAAAAAAAAAAAAGGCTGAAAATTTCAGAGATGTTTATGCTCCATTTGTGTGAAGATCTGGAGAACTCCAAACATTGTGAAATCCACCAGTGCAATATTGGGTAGGGCCTCAGGCCAGACTGAGCTCATTAAGAGATTGATAAACCCGCAGTTCCCAACTTCTCTGAGCCTTATACCTTCCAGCTTTGAATCCCGAGAGACTTGTCAGGGAGGTTAGTGCCTCGGTCAGCTACAGACACAGACGAGTGCTTGCTCCCGCCCCTCTGCAAGTTCTTTGGCCTCCAGTGTGTCTGGCCTCTCCCAAAACTGGAGAGAATCACGCCACTGATTTGGAGGCAGGAAAGAAGGGGATGCCACTAGGTTTGGGCACCCCACTGTACACTCTTCTTTCCAGCACTAACCGCGCTGGGGGGTACGGAAGCCTTGCTGCGCCAGAAGGCGGCCTCCTGCCCTCACAGAGGCCTTGGCAATATGGATGCCCCTCCAGCAGCTGGTGAAAGAGGCAGCCAGCAGCTCCCTACTCTGCCTACCATCTAGCCCCTCCAGCCCATTTCGCCTCTCTTGCCCATCCTTCAGCCCTATAAGCCACGCAACCATTTTCTGTCTCCCCTGCCTCTCCTGCCCACAACCCCCTGCCCCCAATCAAGGAGAATTGAGAAACCGTCTTCTTGCACAAGAGCAGCTACTGTCTAAATGCTTTTTGATCGTCTGCATGGAGGGGGAACTGGGCACAGCCCTGGACCCAGTGATGGAGCCAAGCTCTAGCTGCCCTGGCTAGCCAAACCCGCCCTCACCCAGCTCACTGTCCCCGGGGTCTTGGCGATTCAGAATTTGTCAGAACATACCGTCTCTATCCTCTTCTCTGTGATGTCAAGCCTGGTACCACCAAGAAGGAAGGAGGGAAAGCAGGAGCCTTATCTCTCCTACATTCGCAACCTCTTCCTCCAGCTCCCACACGCCTGGTGTTATGTAAACGCACCTTCAACCCCCACCGCAGCCCTAGCGCGGCCTGGGGGCTCCGGGGCCTGGCACAGCTCGGTGCCCGAGGATAGGGAGGTACAGGGTGGCCGAGGAGCCTCAGGCCTTACAGAGGCCAGGCAAGAAAAAGTCAACTGCAAGGCAGTTGCATAGCATAAAATGCGGCAGCGGAGCAAAGGTCAGACGGCGAGGAACCGCCTCGCCAAGGAGAGGGAGTAGGAATGCCCAGTCCTGAGCCAGCCCCTCGCTGACCATCGAGGGAGAGGCAGAAGGGGAGGGAATTCAGTCCGTCACGGCTCCGAAGAGAAAGAAAAAATCTACGTCGAGCATAGGCCGCTACGGCGGGCTGGGAGATACACGGCAAAGCTGGCACCGTGGGCACCGAGCTGGGAGGTGGGCGAGCCGCCCAGAGCGAGGGCGCCCCCCGACCCAAACGGTGGCTCCTGACCAAGCCCAGAGACGCCCGTTCCAGCGTTCGAGGCGGATGGTGGCAGGAGAAGGAAAGAGGCCAGGCCAGAGGCAAACTCCCGGGACACGCACGGGGCTTCCCGAGTCTCAGAGGGCGGGGAAGCCGGGCTTGGCAATGCCCAGGGGTCGGAAACGGCGGTGCCAGGCTGTGAACACCCCCGGCGCCGTGCCGGCCGGGCCGAGGGCGTCAGGGAGCTGCGGCGCACCGCAGCGACTCAAGGAGGCGCAGGCTGAGGGAAGGAACACTGAGGCGCGCCTAGAAATAGCGCACCATTTGCCCCAGCCCAAGGGGGGAGTCGCGTCGCGGCTCAGAGAGGGGCAGTTTCAGATCTCCAAACCAGCCATGGACTTACTTTGAGGAGCTGCAGGGTCACAAGCATCGCCCCACGTCTGTGTAAATCCTGAAGCCGGGGCAGGTTAGCCGCCGCTGTACTCGCAGACGCCGGTCGGAGGAACCGGCAAGGCTCCCTGCGCTCCACAGCGCCAGCTCCGCGCTGTCAGCTCAGCTCGCTACCTCCGCGGCGATGTTGCAACCACTGCCTGGGAAAATGGCTTTTTTATGAATGGGAGGGAAGGGAGCGCCAGTGCGCACGCGTGCCGTTCGCGATTCTATGAATGGGTGGGCACAACAGACCCTGAGCGCGCATGCGCTCCGCTCCTTTTTTTATGAATGGGGGGCGGGAAAAGATCTTAACCCGTGATTGCTGGGACTGGCTCAAGCTCCACCAGGAGCCGTCGTTCTTTTACAAAGAGGGGTGGAGGTTCCAGTGGAGGCTGTTGTTGCCTTTTTTTTTTTTTTTTTAATGAATGGAGGGCGGCGGCGACTGCTGCAGCTGGGCCAGCTGCGCGGGCTGCACCCCCTCCCAGCCTGCGAGAGGAGGTAAAGGCCACCTTCACGCCACTGCGGGCCTGGGCAGGAACCGTCAGTGTCGCTGGGGGGTGGGGGACGCTGCGGCCTCCGGATCCCGGGTTGAGAGCAGGGTGGTGGAGGGCACACCTAGATCTGGGGATCTCTGCCCCCCGCAGGCAGTCAAAAGGGGGGGCGGGAGGACCCCTACTGGGGGCCTTCTCTTGCTCTAGACCAGAGACGCCAGGCGGGAGGGGTCTTGAAGCTGCGTTTACCAAAAATTAGGAAAATGTCCATCATTCATATCAAAGGGTGGGGTGAGGATTGGTGAGTGAATCTGGTTCTTTTTCCTGAGGCTGAATCTCTCGTGAGTGCTGGCCGCCCCTCCCCCCATTTCTTGGGTGTAGACAGTGACTGGGCCCAGGCCTCTTCCGGCTCCAGTACCCCCCGGGGCGATTCTGGCAACTCAGCCAGAGGAAGCCTGGCCCTCGCCTCCCAGCGTTCCCCCCGCCCCCCGCCCCAGTGCAATGTCCGCAGTGCCCGGGCGTCTGCCCGCTCTCTGTCGCCCTAGCTAGGTGTCCTTTCTCTGTCCCAGTCGGTTTCCCAGCCCTCACAGGACGCTGGCCTGAGGAGCCTCGGTCCACCGAAGGCCCACGGCCCTTCGCTGTTGTAGGCGCCTTTCCCCAATATCCCCCACCTCTCACCGGCCTCCCCTCCGGGGAAGTGGGAGCGGCCGAGAACTGGCCAGGTGGATGGGTGGAGCCGGCTGCGCCGAGGATGCTGCCGGGGTGGCCTCAGGATTAAATAACAACGGGGCTCTTGAGCCGCAGAGGAAATGGAAATGGCTGGGGATCCTTTCTTCGCTGTTAATGATGGTGGCGTTGGGGGGCGGGGGTGAGGATCAGCTCAAGCCGGTGAAAAGAAAAGCCCCCGCCATTAGGCCTGACTCCAGGAAGGCGGGGAGCCCTCGCAGCAGGCCCTGCTCCTCCCTGGAACGGAGGAGCCTGTAGCCTCCGGGAAGTCCGGGGCGGGGGGTGGCTTTGATGCGTGGATAAGAGCAGAGTCTGGGCCAGGGCTTGGCCCTGAGTCCCTTGTAAGGTCTGTCTTGCCGCTGTTCTGGCCGCACGGGGAGATTGTGTGGCAGTCTTTTTCTTCCTACGCCACTATAGGATTGTGCTTGGCTGTTGTCAGAGGAACCAATGAAAGGCTCCCAGCCCAGGGCTGAGGTCTGGCCTAGGGCTGGGGCTGGGACTCTAGAGGCAGGCAGCCCAAGGTCACCGAGTCCTAGCCTAAAATGCCTTCTCACCATTCGGCTCACCCCTCCGTGTACTTACCCAGCTCCTGAGGGCAGAGCAGACTCTCCCCTAGGGAACCTCAGCCTTCCTTTCAGGGGCGAGACCTTTCTCTAAGACCAAGAGAACTCTTCGCCAGAAAAATGGGTACAGTTGTCCAGGACTTCCTTTTAAGGCTGTTGAAGTTCAGTATCGCCCTCTCTGTCAGCTGTAGAAACTGAGGCCAAGGGTCCTGCACCGGGTATATGGAAGAGCTGGTAAATTGTAGCACTTATTTTCTAGGTCTTTGCAACCTGGCTTTACTTTGCTACCAACCCTTCTCAGCATCACAGACCTAAAAACCTGTTTCTCGCATGTCATTTAAGCATTTTAAACAATGAAAGTTGAAGCAGTAATTTTCCAGCTGGTGCTCACCCATGGCCCTTGCTGAAACAGTCAGAAGGATGGGAATAAATAAATCTTAAATCTATGGCAGAAAAGGAGGATTGGAGGAGCCGCGGGGAGGGGGGTTGCTATCCTGTTTTCTTTATTAGAGAAACTCAGGAGACAGACAGGATTACATTTCATAGTCTTTCTCAGCTTCCCTGAAAGAGAATGCGAGGAGACCCCAGCCTGTGGTGGGGAGAAGGAGGAGCTCCCAGTCTTGAGCTGGGAGGGGCCTCTGATGCTTAAGTACAGCGAGATTCAGAGCGTCTAGAAGGGCTCTGGAGGTCATATTCTGGTTGTGCTTGGAACCTAAGCTGAGGAATGGTTTGGAGCAGCAGTTATGAAAAATTCATTCATTCATTCATTCATTCATTCACTCATTCACTCATTCATTGATCGATTCTGTAGTGGGGCCTGCCCTGACTCTGGAGACTCAGTGGTGAGGGACAGACAGCCCTCCCTGCCCTTGTGAAGCTCACAGTCTTTTGAAAAGACAGACAGACAGGCTGCAACATGAGGTTCTAAGTGCTAGGAGGGAAATGAGCTTTCTCTGGGGTATGTTGCTTGCCGGGGAGGTGGGGGATGGTGGAAGGAGCTGATTCTGATTTGGTCATCAGGGAATGTCTCTGAGAGGGCGGCTTCTAGTTGTGAGTTGAGACCCAAAGACTGAGAAGTGAATCTGAGGGAGGACTGGAGAAACATCTCAGGCAGAGGGAGCATGGGTGGAGGCCGTGTGTGGGAAAAGCCTGGCATATTAGAGGCACTGACAGAAGGCCTCTGTGGCCACAGCTTTATGAGCAAGTTTGAAGTGAGCCTGGTGAGGAATTCAGATGTCATCCCATTAAGGATTTTAAGCAAGGTCTGACACATTCTGATTTGTGTTTTAAACCTCTCCAGCAGCCCTGGGGCCACAGTTTAGGGGGTGAGGGGACAGAACGAAAGGTGGTTGGGGAATGCAGAGCATTTGCTCCATTGCAGGGTGAAGACATCATGTTCCTTCTTTAGGATTGGGTGGCCGGTAGGTCTGTGCTGGATTTGTTTTTCTGCTTCATCTGACTCTGTTCATTCCAAAGCTACTCGATGTCTTCCCCAGGTATAACTTTCCTGCTAGAGGCACATCCTAACAACCTTGCATTCCTGCCAGGGCTAATGACAATCTTTTACCCTGATTCCAATAAAAACAGCGTCACTCCCACCAGATTGTGGCCAGGGGAGTAGAGTAGGTTCAGTTTTGAGCTTTGTTCTTTTATTAATCTCCTAGGCTTGCTAGGACCTGGAGTTAGTGGGATTGAGGAGAGGCAGGAATTCCAATTCAATGACAGTCACTTCTGGAGCACTTACTGTATGCCAGTTGTATGTGCAGCATGTTTTCATATGTAAAATTGTTTCAAAAAGCTGGGTCTTTGGCTGGGTGCGGTGGCTCACGCCTGTAATCCCAGCACTTTGGGAGGCTGAGGTGGGTGGATCACAAGGTCAGGAGTTCAAGACCAGCCTGGCCAAGATGGTGAAACCCCGTCTGTACTAAAAATACAAAAAAATTAGCCGGGCGTGGCGGCATGCGCCTGTAATCCCAGCTACTCCAGAGGCTGAGACGGAGAATTGCTTAAACCTGGAGGGGCGGAGCTTGCAGTGAGCCGGGATCGCGCCACTGCACTCCAGCCTGGGTGACAGAGCGAGACTCCGTCTAAAAAAAAAAAAAAAAAATGGGTCTTGATTGTGTCACCCCTCTTTTGCAGACCAGAAGTGCAAGGCTCCATTTTAAAATTTTATTTATTCCACAAAAAATTGTTTTTTTGCGTGCTATTTTTGTGACACACTTCTTATGTTTCAGGCATAGTGCCAGCTGTTAACAGTTATAGTGAGAAAAGGGACAGACACAATTTTTGCTCTTATAGGGCTTATAGACAGTGGTGATGCCACAGGGAGGGCATGGAGAGGTGAGGATGGCATGTGTTTTCTTCCTACAATCTCCATCAGAACCCCCATTCGTTTCTGTGTTCAGTTGACATTTCTCAACCTTAGTAAGTATTATGCAATGGAAGCAAAGGCCCCCCTACCCAAACAGATTATTTCCTTCCACCTGTGTAGAAATTCTGGACTCCTACCATTTATAGTCAAGTTCGGGAGATAGACATTAAACAAATAGTTGATCAAAGAATCACTTAATTACAGTTAACATCAGCAGTGCATACAAAGTACAGAGAGCAGAGGAGGGGGGCACAGCCTGAGGCCCTCAAGAAGGTTCCCCAGAACTCAGATCTGCAGAATTCAGACTCAGCCAGGCTGAGCTCAGTGGTAGAAGGCCCAGAACCAGGAAAGAGCCTTGGGGACCCTAGTCCTTTGAGGAAGAGACGATGTGTCAGAACAAGAGGTTAGAACTCTGGCCTGGCACTACCTCCTAAGCTTTCCGGTTCAGCGTTTCAGCTGTTTCAGCTTTGGGCTGGACAGCTTGAAAGACAGATGGACAGACACTGCCTACAGATTGCTAGGGTTAAATCCTGCCCTTACATGCTCCATAGTCTCAGACAAGTTATTCAAACTTTATGTGCCTCAGTTTCCCCCTCTATAAAATGAAAACTGATAGTAGTACTTACCACAAAGGGTTGAGCGGAACTTGAATGGGGTATTGAACATAAGGCACTTAGAACAGTGCCCAAGCCAGGCTCGCCTGTAATCCCAGTGCTTTGGGAGGCAGGAGGATCACCTGAGCCAAGGAGTTCAAGACCAGTCTGGGCAGCATAAGGAGACACCCCCATCTCTACAGAAAGAAAAAAAAAAAAAAAGCTGGGTGTAGTGGTACACGTCTGTGGTCCCAGCTACTTAGGAGGCTAAGGTGGGAGGATAGCTTGAGCCAGGGAGGTTGGGGCTGCAGTAAGCCGTGATTGAGCTAATACATATTAGATAATTATTCAACATATGCAACTGTTTTGTTGCAAAGAATTAGTTAGAATTTCAACAGAAGCTCATTTATCTGGGTGCATCAAGAACTCAGAAAAACAATCTAAAAATTTTTTTAAAGTCTTTATTAATAAAAAGTTAAAACAATTATACTGCAGTTGTCATCAATGTTTTAACTAGAACAGTTTTTGCAGGACAAAAGCATTTTGAGGCCGGGCACGATGGCTCACGCCTGTAATCTCAACATTCTGGGAGGCTGAGGCTGGCAGATTGCCTGAGTCCAGGAGTTCAAAAACAGCCTGGGCAACATGGTGAACCCCTGTCTCTACTAAAAATACAAAAAATTAGTCAGGCATGGTGGCGCGTGCCTGTAGTCCCAGCTACTTGGGAAGTGGAGGTGGGAGAATCACCTGAGCTCGGGAAGTCTAGGCTGCAATGAGCCAAAATGGCACCATTGTACCCCAGCCTGGGTGACAGAGTGAGATCCTGTCTCAAAAAAAAAAAAATGTGTTTTTAATTGTGTGGTTGGCTACCTTAAATGGTTGACCAAAGGGTTGATTTTAACCAAGATCAACCCTTGTTTGAAGAGTTTCAGTGGTAACAGGTAGTGTGATATAAGGCTGAATGTGTATGCTGTTGGTTCTCTTGAATCTGTATGGCGGGGGGGGGGACATGTTAAGCACTTGGTGACTTGGCATAATTCTTAATCTCTTCAGGCCTTGACTGTAGGAAGGGAATATACATAGCATCTACTTAGAGGGTTGCTGTAAGCACTAAATGGCATGATGCTTTTCAAGTAACTTAGCCCAGAGCCAGGTGCGTAGCTATTTTTGTGGTCTTCTAGTTGTTTTGTGTAACAGGGAGATGTTAAAGATTTTAACTTGGCTATGGTAACACAGGTCACTAGTTTCCTTTTCCCTGCCCTTCTTCCAAGACCCTGGTTTTCACTCATGAATTTCTATGGCACAGTTCAAATTTGCGTTTGTTGAAATTCACATTTAAATGCAAGCACACTGTCCATTTCAGATGTGAGAGCTAAATCCAGAACAGCCATTGTGAGCAGTGAATATGAAGAATAAAAAAACAAAAAAAAACACAACCCCACCAGTGGCCAGGAGTAACCTCCTTAGTCCTTGCTTGCAAATCACAGAAATTCCCTGGTAACCTTGAACACTCAGATGTGACAGTGGTTGACAAGCTCTGGCTTTGGGAACTCCATAAACGGACTTGGCCCAGGGTACTGCCACTTAGTTTGTTTAGAGATCTTAGGCAAGTTACTGATCACTTAGAGCCTCAATCTTATTTATGTAATGGGCATGATGATTCCAACTCCATAGGGTGGTTCAGTAAACACCTCATAAGTGTCTGTGTCCTTTATATAAAAGAATGGGACCCTCAGGAGAAGCACAGGGATAAGGAATGCCCACCTGGACTCATCTGGATCAGTGACTTTTTGGAGGCCTGATCTTGGCTTTCACACTGCATGGGAGGGATGGCGGCTGGGCCTGTCTTTCTGACTTGACATTTGTGCTTTGGGCCACCTTTACTACTCTGGCCTCCATTCATGCCACTTCATTTGGTCATTCATTCATTCAACCAGTATTTAAGCCCCTTCTAGATACCAGGCAGCATGCTAGACCCCAAGGACACAACAATGAATGAGTTAGAGGAATCCCTTGCTCTCAAATAGCTTAGTCTAATGAGGGGAGCATATAAAATTTAAACATCCACTGGGCGCGGTGGCTCACGCTTGTAATCCCAGCACTTTGGGAGGCCAAGGTGGGCGGATCACCTGAGGTCGGGAGTTTGAGACCAGCCTGACCATCCCTTGAGACACGACTCATGGGATGAATCTCAGTTTGTGTAGTGATTAAGCGCACAAGTCTTGGAGTCAGCTTGGCCTGGGTTAGATTCTCTCTCATCTCCTCTACCTATCTACTACCTCTGTGACTTCAGGCAAGTCACCTAATGTCACTAAGCTTCAGGTCCTTTATCTATCAAATAGTGTAAATACGGGAGCACTCATCTCATTGGGTCTTCCACCCATTCCTTTATTTGAGAAATGTTTATGGAATGCCTACTGGGCTCTGTTTCGGGCACTGAGAATTCAGAAGTGAACAAGACAGATAAGGCTTTGCTCTCGTGGAACGTACATTCTAGTTAGGGGAGAGGGATGGTAGTTAAACAAATAATTAAGATCATTTCAGATAGTGATACATGCTCTGGAGGTATCAGGGGGCTGTGGTCAAGCAAGGAGGTGAGGGTGGTAGGGAAATCAGGCAGGTGATGCCTGAGCTGAGACTCAAATGAAGGAACAGCGCTTTACACAGAAGGGCTAGCTGGTGCAAGGGCCTGAGGCAGAAACAAGCGTGGTGTATGTGAGGAGCAGAAGGAAGGTTGATTTTGTTGGAGCTAAGTAGCCAAGGGAGAGGGCTGTTTGAGAAAGGCAGTAGAAATAGGCAGAGCCAGGTCATAGGGCCTTGAAGGCCGTGGTTAATAGTTTGCATTTTAAGATCGATGAAGAATCACTGAATGGTTTTCAGCAGGGGACCAATATGAGCTGATTTCCACAAAGATTTAAAAGAGATTTTATATATATAAAATCAATAACTTAGCACAGAGCCTGGCACAGAGTGATGTTCAGTATATGTTAGTTGCTGCTACTGTTATTATTATTGTTATTATTTTTTTTTTTTTGAGACTGAGTCTTGCTCTGTCACCCAGGCTGGAGTGCAGTCACTATAACACCTCTGCCTCCCTGGTTCAAGCAATTCTCCCACCTCAGCCTCCCGAGTAGCTGGGACTACAGGCGCGTGCCACCACACACGCCCAGCTAATTTTTTGTATTTTTAGTTGAGACGAGGGTTTCACCATGTTAGCCAGGATGGTCTCGATCTCCTGACCTCGTGATCTGCCCACCTCGGCCTCCTAAAGTGCTGGGATTACAGGTGTGAGCCACCGTGCCCGGCCTACTGTTATTATTGTTATTATCGATGCCCTTAAAGAGCCTAAAAATCTTCATCCTCCTTAAGGATAGGAAGCCAAGGCATAGTTATTACCATCCACGTGTAAAGTCAATCAAATCAGAGAACAGGATGCAGATTTTGTTAATCAAAGGAAATGCTTTTGGTCCTTTTCCCAAGTGTGAATTTTAAAGCAGAGGGTTTTCTCTATGATTAGCAATCATCTGGAACCAACTAAACTCCTTCAGCCCCACTTTGCCAAAATGTCTGGAACTCAGTCACTTAGGTGCCATTGCCTATGGCCCCAGCCACCATTTAGGACCCTTGGAAAGGCTCCTGATTGATTGTTCAATCCAGCTGCCTTCGCTCTGGGTCTGACGGGCCCAGATGGGGAGAGGCTCCCTATCCTCCACCTTGAGTGCCCACCAGGTTTGCTGGGATACCTGGCCAATCTGCCATCGCTGACTTGGAGGTTCTCCCACAATGTTCATGTCATTAAAAGCCCAGGGGCTGTTTTGATGTTTCAGAGAGGCCCTTGAAGGAAGCTGCCTTGAATTCTCTCTGACCCAGAGAAATGGAAAGTGAGTAATATGTGAATGGGCTGGGCACAGTGGCTCACACCTGCAATCCCAGAACTTTGTGAGGCCTAGGTGGGAAGATCGCTTAAGCCCAGGGGTTCAAAACCAGCCTGGACAACATAGCAAGACCTTGTTTCTACAAAATAAATTTAAATTTAAAAATATATATGTGAATGAATGATTGCAAGCTGTGTAATGAAACTGGGATAAGCTTCTTGGGGTATATAGTATTTGTTTCTGGACAAAGTGCTTTACACCTGGTGAGGATTTTTCATTCCTTCATTCATCAGTATTTACTGAGCTTCTGCTAGGTGCCAGCCACTGTATAGCAGTTAGCAAAAAGGCTGCCATTCTCACCCTCATGGAGCTTCCAATCTAGTGGGACGTACACGCATCAAATAACTGCACAAGTATGGTCAGGTGTAGTGGTTCACACCTCTAACCCTAGCACTTTGGGACCAGCCTGGGCAACATAGCAAGACCCCATCTCTACAAAAAATTAAAAAATTAGCCAGGTGTGGTGGTGTGTGCCTGTAGTCCCACCTACTTGGGAGGCTGAAGCAGGAGGATCCCTTGAGCCCAGGAGTTCATGGCTGCAGGGAACCATGATTGTACTACTGCACTCCAGCCTGGGTGACAGAGCAAGACCTTGTCTCTAAAAAAAAAGAAAAATTAATTGCATAAATATAAGTAGAAAATGACAACAGCAATAAGTCTTCTGCAGGAGAGGCAGTAATGTTCTAAAGGTATATAATGAAGACAGAGTTTGGAAAAGTTTCTCTAGTAAGCGACATTTCAGCTCAGAGCTAAAAGATCAGTGGTATTAAGTGGGGTTTGGAAGGTGGAGTGAGAAATATTGCAGGCAGAAGACAGCATATGCAAAGGTCTTGAGGCTAGAGGGATCACAGTGAATCCAAGGAAATGCAAAAAGACCAGTGTGACTACGGGGATGAAAATGAGGTGGACCCTGGTCCCACGAAGAGCTAGAAATATGGGGGACAGGGCCCATGCTGAGGACAGATCACAAAAGGCTTTGGAGGCTCTCTCAAGGATCTGCACTTTTATGCTTCTTGAGGACAATGGGTTACTATTAAAGGATTTGAAGCCATGGATATGTGTGTAAGTATTTGTGTTAGGGGGTGACAAGATCTAATTTGCATTTTGAAAAGCTCATTCTGGCCACAGAGTGAAGAATGACTTGCAAGGACCACAATGGGTTCTGGTAACTGCCCATCCCCACACTGCCCCTTCAGTTCTAGGAGTGACAGTGGAACCCTGTTGTTCCTGGTTCCAGGGTGCTGCACCATCCCTGTAGTTTCCCTACACTCTGCAAAGTATGTCTATTATGTTTGTAAATAGTTTCTTTATCAAATGACCTCTCCTCAAATGAACAAATTTGTTCTGCTTGACTTTATGGAGAAATTATATAGGCTGGAAAAAAACAGGAGGAAAGTTTAGCAGTCACTTACCCTAACTCCTTTGTTTTGCTTGTGATACACATGTATTGCTGGATTTTGTTTCCTAGCAAGTTGGACAAGCTTTGTCTTTTCTCTATTTTCGCTACAGTGGATAAGCTTCTTGGGGTATATAGTGGAGTACATTTCAGATTGCTTGCGTTAATATGAGTATTGAAAATTATTAAATTAGTCAGATTTCCTTCTATCTTATTCTCTTCTCTTTGTCCTGGTTTTATTCTTGTGTTTCTTTCTACTTTCCTGTCTTCTTATGGATTGGGCTTTTTTTTTTTTTTTAACCATCTCTTTTTTTCCCATTGATTGCCTAGTAAGTTACAGTCTCTCCATCTCTTCTTTTAGTGGATCCTCTAGATATTTAAAAAGTTAATCACAGGCCGGGCGTGGTGGTGGCTCACACCTGTAATCCCAGCACTTTAAGAGGCCGAGGTGGGTAGATCACCTGAGGTCAGGAGTTCGAGACCAGCCTGGCCAACCTGGTGAAACCCTGTTTCTACTAAAAATACAAAAATTAGCCGGGCGTGGTGGCAGGCACCTGTAGTCCCAGCTACTCGGAAGGCTGAGGCAGGAAAATCACTTGAACCTGGGAGGCGGAGGTTGCAGTGAGCCCAGATCATGCCACTGCGCTTCAGCCTGGGTGACAAGAGTAAGACCCTGTCTGAAAAAAAAAAAAAAAAAAAAAAAAAGTTAATCACAGTTTCTATCCTCCTAAAGAATACAAGGACCTGGCCAGGTGCGGTGGCTCATGCCTGTAATCCCAGCACTTTGGGAGGCCAAGGAGGGTAGATCACCTGAAGTCAGGAGTTTAAGACCAGCCTGGCCAACATGCTGAAACCCCATCTCTACTAAAAATACAAAAATTAGCTGGGTGTGGTGGCGCGTCCTGTAATCACAGCTACTTGGGAAGCTGAGGCAGGAGAATGGCTTGAGCCCAGGAAGTGGAGGTTGCAGTGAGCAGAGATCGCACCACTGCACTCCATCCTGAGTGACAGAGCGAGACTCCATCCCCCACAAAAACAAAACAAAACAAATAAAACCTGAATACAAGACTCTTAAATTGCATTAACTTCAATCTCTGCCCTCTCCCTTTACCTCAACACATATACACGTTTATATTCTGTAGTCCGGTGTTTTCATTCTTTTTTTTCTTCCCTTAGGCCAGATTAGACAGTATTATTGTTTCTTTATACAGTCAAATGTTGCTCACATTGACCCACAGAACTACCAATCTCTTTTTTCACTGTTCCTTGTTATAAGACCATATGTCTAAGATAGACTTCCTTCTGCCTGAAATTCATTCTTTAGAATTTCCTTTAGTAAGAGTCTGTTGGTAGTAAATTCTGTTAGTTTTTATTGGGTTGAAAATGACTTTATTTCATCTTCATATTTGAATTCTTGAATAGAATTCTTGGTTGCTAGTTGTTTTGCTGCAGCACAATGAGGAAAATACCATTCTGCTGAATTCCAGCTTCCGTTGTGCCTACTAAGAAGTATGCAGTGAGTCTAATTGTATCTTTTTAAAAATTGATCTGGGCTGGGCACGGTGGCTCACACCTGTAATCCCAGCACTTTGGGAGGCTGAGGTAGGAGGATTGCTTGGGTCCAGGAGTTTGAGACCAGCCTGGACGACATGGCGAAACCCCATCTCTACAAAAAATAAGAAAATTAGACTGGGCGTGGTGGCCAAGGCCTGTAATCCCAGCACTTTGGGAGGCCGAGGTGGGCAGATCACGAGGTCAGGAGATCGAGACCCTCCTGGCTAACACGGTGAAACCCCGTCTCTACTAAAAATACAAAAAAATTAGCCGGGCATGGTGGTGGGTGCCTGTAGTCCCAGCTACTTGGGAGGCTGAGGCAGGAGAATGGCGTGAACCTGGGAGGCAGAGCTTGCAGTGAGCCGAGCGCCACTGCAGTCTAGCCTGGGCAACAGAGCAAGACTCCGTCTCAACAACAACAACAACAAAAAGCCGGCTTGTGGTGGCTCTTGCCTGTAGTCTCAGGTACTCAGGAGGCTGAGGCAGAAAGGATCGCTTGAGCCCAGGAGGCGGAGGTTGCAGTAAGCTGAGATCACGCCACCACACTCTAGCCTGGGTGACAGAGTGAGACTCCATCTCAAAAAAATAAAATAAAAATTAAAATTGATCTGGGCTAGGCACAGTGGCACACGGCTGTAATTCTAGCACTTTGGGAGGTGAAGGCAGGATTGCTTGAGCCTAGGAGTTCCAGAACAGCCTGGGCAGCATAGCAAGACCCTGTTTCTACAAAAAGTAAAAATTGGCCGGGCGCAGTGGCTCACGCCTGTAATCCCAGCACTTTGGGAGGCCAAGGTGGGCAGATCACGAGGTCAGGAGATCGAGACCATCCTGGCTAACATGGTGAAACCCCGTCTCTACTAAAAATACAAAAAACAATTAGCCGGGCGCCGTTGCAGGCACCTGTAGTCCCAGGTACTCGGGAGGCTGAGGCAGGAGAATGGCTGAACCCGGGAGGCGGAGCTTGCAGTGAGCCGAGATCGCGCCACTGCACTCCAGCCTGGGCGACAGAGCGAGACTCCATTTCAAAAAATAAATTTAAAAAATAAAAAATGAATGAATAAATAAATAAATAAAATAAAAATTGACTGGGCATAGTGGGATGCATCTGTGGTCCCAACTACTCAAGAGGCTGAGGTGGGCCAGGCACGGTGGCTCACGCCTGTAATCCCAGAACATTGGCAGGCTGAGTTGGGTGGATCACCTGAGGTCAGGAGTTCGAGACCAGCCTGGCTAACATGGTGAAACCCCATCTCTACTAAAAATATAAAAATTAGCTGGGCATGGTGGTGGGTGCCTGTAATCCCAGCTACTCAGGAGGCTGAAGCAGGAGAATCACTTGAACCCGGGAGGCAGAGGTCGCAGTGAGCTGAGATCATGCCAGTGTACTCCAGCCTGGACAATAGAACCAGACTCTGTCCAAAAAAAAAAGAAAAAAGAGGCTGAGGTGGGAGGATTCCTTGAGCCCAGGAGTTTGAGGCTGCAGTGAACTGTGATCCCATCACTGCAGTCCAGCCTGAGGGACAAAGCAAGATCTTTTTTTTTTTTTTTGTATTTTTAGTAGAGACGGGGTTTCACTGTGTTCGCCAGGATGGTCTCGATCTCCTGACCTCGTGATCCTCCCGCCTCTGCCTCCCAAAGTGCTGGGATTACAGGCGTGAGCCACCGCGCCCGGCCAAAGCAAGATCTTATCTAAAAAAAAACAAAGAAAACAAAAGTGATATGTATTTGTCCCAGGCCCTCTGCTGTTTCACTGTAATATATCTAGATGTGAACTTTTTTTTCTTTATCCTGGACCCCTGGAATTTCTGGACCCAGAGTTTGGTGTTTTACAACAATTTGTAAAAATTCTCAAGGCCATAACTAGTGTGAACCTAGGGCGCAAAATTTAAGGATGTGCTCATTATGGAGCGTGTGTAAATATAAGCCTGGCCCTGAGAGTGAGTGTCTACATTAAATTTTGTAGTCTACACATATCACTTACCTCACTCTAGTCTCTGTCCTATTCTATATAAATACTTCCTCTTCCTTGTTCTTTTCTTTATTAAATACAAATATGTATTGGAACTCTCGTTTTATCTTCCAATGTCACATATGTTGCTCTTTGTATTTTTTTAATCTCTTTGTGTCTCTGGGTCACATTCTAGATTTCTGCAGATCCATCTTCCAGTAAATGAATTCGGCCTTTAACAGTGTTTAGGCTGGGCCTGGTGGCTCACCCTGTAATCCCAGCACTTTGGGAAGCTGAGGCAGAAGGATTGCTTGAACCCAGGAGTTCAAGACCAGCTTGAGCAACATAGCGAGACCCCCATCTCTACAAAAAATTAAAAAATTAACTGGTCATGGTGGCATGCACCTGTGGTTCCAGCTACTCAGGAGGCTGAGATGGGAGGATTGCTTGAGCCTGGGAGGTAAGGCTGCAGCGAGCCATGGTCACACCACTGCACTCCAGCCTGGGCAACAACAGAGTAAGACCTTGTCTCAAAAAAACAAAAACAAAAAGTGTTTAGTCTGTTAATCTGCCATTTAAACCATGCTAGGTTTTTTTGTTTTGTTTTGTTTTTTCCAAATTGGCTTAGTTATTTTACAGCCTTTTGCTCCTGGCTCATGTATTTAAGCCTCACATTTACTTCTTGAAATATAGTAAATATACCTATTTATATTCTGTGCTTGATCATTTCTATATCTCTTATTTTTGTGGGTCTGATGATGCTGTCTATTGTTTTTGTTGGTTCTCGCTCATGGTGCCTTATTTCCTGTGTGTTTTGTGATTTTAACTTTAGGCTCAAGTTTCTTGAAACTTTATGGGCATTTCTTTGAGGTATGGGCTGAAATCAGTGATCTTGACTCACCACAACCTCCACCTTCCGGGTTCACCAGATTCACGTGCCTCAGCCTCCTGAGTAGCTGTGATTACAGGGGTGTGCCACCACGCCTGACTAATTTTCTTTTTTTTTTTTTTGAGACAGATTCTTGCTCCATCACCCAGGCTAGAGGGCAATGGCATAATTTCGGCTCACTGCAACCTCTGCTTCCCAAGTTCAAGCGATTCTCCTGCCTCAGCCTAAGTAGCTGGGATTATAGGCATGTGCCATCACGCCCAGCTAATTTTTGTATTTTTAGTAAAGACGGGATTTCAACATGTTGTCCAGGCTGTCTCAAACTCCTGACCTCGTGATCCACCTGCCTCAGCCTCCCAAAGTGCTGGGATTACAGGCATGACCCATTGTAATTTTTGTATTTTTAGTAGAGACAGGGTTTCACCACGTTGGCCAGGCTGGTCTTGAACTCCTGACCTCAAGTGATCCGCCCACCTTGGCCTATATTTACTTTTAACAGCTATATTTACTGGGGTTTATTCCTATTAGGAACTCCTACTAGCCACAGTGGCTCACACCTGTAGTCCCAGCACTTTGGGAAGCCTGAGGCAGGAGGATTGCTTGAGCCCAGTACGTCACGACCAGCCTGGGCAGCAGAGCTCCTTGTGCAAGAAACTTTGTCTCCTGTCCCCCTCACCTGCTGTGTTAATCAAAATGGAAGCTTCAAGTCATCAAGTTGTAGCAGACATCCTCAATCTAAAGCTGTCTTGTGCACTCACTTATGTTTCAGAATTCCCTTTTTCATTTCTTTTGTTGGTCTCTGAATATTCCTTACTTTTCTGCCAGTTCAGCAATGCATTTTTGAAAAAAAAAAAAGAGAGAGAGATTTCATTCAATGTTTGTCTGTGTTTTTTTTTTTATTCGGAAGGCCATCTGATAGTATGGCTACCATACTATCAGAAACTGAACAAATTCCTTTACATTTTTGCAGAGAGAAAGAGGAGTAGAATGATGTAGTATAAGAGTTTTGAGGCCGGGCATGGTGGCTCACGCCTGTAATCCCAGCACTTTGGGAGGCCAAGGCAGGCAGATCACCTGAGGTCAGGAGTTCAAGACCAGCCTGCCAACAGGGAGAAACCTCGTCCTTACTAAAAATACAAAAATTAGCTGGGCGTGGTGGCACGTGCCTGTAATCCCAGCTAATTGGGAGGCTGAGGCAGGAGAATCGCTTGAACCTGGGAGGCGGAGGTTGCAGTGAGCTGAGATCATTTCACTGTACTTCAGCCTGGACGACAGAGTGAGACTTTGTCTCAAAAAAAAAAAAAAAAAAAAATTTTGAGGCTAGACCATACTGGGTTCAAATCCACATTTAATACTAGGGCTGCCATAACAAAGTACCACAGGCTGGGTGGTTTAAACAACAGAAATGTATTTTCTCTCAATTCTGGAGGCAAGAAGTCTGAGATGAAGGTGTTGACAGGATTGGTGTCTTCTGAGACTGCACTTCTTGGCCTGGGGGTGGCTGTCTTCTCCTTGTGTCTTCACGTGGACTCCCCTTGCTCTGTGTTGTAATTTTCTCTTGCTACTATTAGGACACTAATCATATTGGGTTAGGGCTCACCCTGGTGACCTCATTTTATCATAGTTACTTCTTTAAAGATCTATCTCCAAATATGGTCCTATTCTGAGTTGGTAGCGGCTAGAACTTCAACATATTAATTGGGTGGAATGCAGTTCAGCTCATAACAGGAGACAAGAAGCAGAAACTGAGAGGGGAGTGCGGAGGATGATAAAAAAGGGGATCCCGCAGTGGCTTACACCTGTAATCCCAGCACTTTGGGAGGCTGAGGTGGGCGGATCATGAGGTCAGGAGTTCAAGACCAGCCTGGCCAACATAGTGAAACCCCGTCTCTACTGAAAATACAAAAAATTACCCGGGCGTGGTGGCGGGCGCCTGTAATCCCAGCTGCTCAGGAGGCTGAGGCAGGAGAATTGCTTCAACTAGGGAGGCAGAGGTTGCGGTGAGCCGAGATCACGCCGTTGCCCTCCAGCCTGGGTGACAGTGCGAGACTCTGTCTCAAAAAAAAAAAAAAAAAAAAAAGTGGGAGTCCCCCAGAGAAACTGAAGGAGGAGAAAGGTGCTAGGAGAGGGATATCAAGTGTTTAGTGTTGTAGAGAGGTTGTGAGGGGTAAGAATGGAGGAAAGAGGGGCTTAGCAATGAGCACTCCCTGAGGATTACCTACGAGGAAGCCCTCCCAGCAGAGGCAGAGGCCAAGCCAGCGTGGTGAGGAGCACAGGGGAAGCCGAAGTCGAAGTGGGAGATACTCTGTAGAGGTTCACTGAGTGAATACAATGCACTTCTGTTCCTCACTCCTCTAATATTCCATGGCTCTGGGACTTGGTTTCTCCTTAGAAACTCTGAGGTAAAGGCTGCATTCTAGGACCCTGACCCTGAACTTACTATTCATCATATGCAACTGGGTCTTGAGGATGAGCCAGGAAGAATAGAATATGTTTTCTCCTGGGAAGCCAGAGAGAGAGAGAGAGAGGGAAAAGAAGGGGGAGAAGGAGGAGGAGGAGGAGGAGGAGGAGGGAGGCAAAGAAGAAAGAACTGAGAGAAAAACAAACCAAACCACATTGTCACTAATCTGCCACAGCCATAAAGAAAAGAATGGGGTGACATAGGAAGTTAGAGAGGCCTTGGGGGCCATTTTGCAATTTTCCTGTCTGCCCTCCAGAAAGAAAGAGGTTGTTTATTCAGTCACTTATTTTAAAAAAAAATTCTAATTAAGCACCTACTCTAAGTTGGATGCTAGGCTAGGCCAGAGGGAAACGTCAGTGAAGCAAATATCAAATATTTATTGACTGCTTATGTAACACCATGTCCTGTGCTAAGCACTTGGTGTACATCCTGCTCTCAAGGACAGTCTAAGACGGGGGCTGTTGGTGTGGCTTTTATACCAACGGGGAAATGGGCTAACTGAAGCTTAGGATGGTTCGGAAACTCACTGCAGGTCACAGAGTGATCAGTAAGCCAGTTGGACACAGCCCAGGGGCACCTTTTCCAGCTCTGTCTTCACCCAGGCCCCTAAGGCTTCTCCCAGGGCACAGTCAGTGGCTGCTTGGAGTTGTGGATGAGTCAGGACGAGCTGGGGATAAGCAGTCCCAGTTCCTGCCTGCCCATCCCGTCCTTGGCCTGAGAAAGGACAGGCACTGAGGACGGATGTGGGCCGGGACAATAGTGCCAAGTCACTGCTGATGAGAGGCCTGTGTTCACCTCCTCCCAGCCACCGCCTGAAGTCCATTTCAGCTACTGTCGTTGCTGTCACACACACCCGTCCCAGCACCACTGAAAACACCTGGGATTGTGTCTCAGGAACCAAAAATGGCGTTTCCTTCCTCCTCTGGGGTTTCCTCAAGGGTACTTGAGAGCACAACCGCTTTCTGAAATTCGATTCCCAAATGCCCAGGATTTCCCCTGTGGTTCCAGAGAAAGGGAGATATGTGGCTTCTGTGAACACCTATTGAGTGGGATCACAAGGAAGCATCCCGTGACCTTTCTTCTATTTTGAGATGAGGACGTAGGTGGCTGTGCTGCTGACCAGTGAGTGAGTCAGTGGGCCCAGGGACTGAACATTGTGTATAGGTGGAGAACTTGGGAGGCAGAACCACATTTAAAGAAATGCTTCTGGTCATTCTGGTCTAATTTGGCAATCAAATAATTTTAAAACTGAAGGAGTCCACAGAGATTTGTATACAAGAATGTTTATCGTAATGTTTTAGTAGTAACAACCTAAGTGTCCACCTGTAGGGGACGGAGGAGATCAACAATGGCTGATCTCTACAAAGGAAAGCTATGTTGTCATTAAGCAGTGTGTGGTGGATCTATTAGGTGTGGATACAAAAAGGTGTTCAAGACTGTTAAGAGAACAAAGCAAGACACAGAACAGTGCATATGTGTATATGCAGAAGTGTGTATATGCTTCTGTGTAGCCATGGGTGATTTCCGGAAATGCCCATGAGAAACTGCTAACTTGAATTGGCTTACTTTCAGAGTAGGAATGGGGGTTTGGGTGGGGAGTGAGACATTTACTCTTCACTTTACACTCTTCTGTACTTTTACATTTTTTAAAGTAATGAGCATCTATTGCTTTTATAATACAATGATAATAATAAAGTAGAAGAAAGAAAGGTTTAAGAAGGCTCACAAACCAAAGGTACCAAAACAATTCAGCATAGCATCCAGGAGTGCTGGGGGCAGGAGGAATGATGAAGTGGGGTCGGAGATGAACTTGCATGTTGGAAACTGTCCGTAGCCACTGCTTGCAGAGCTATACTTTGAACAATCAAGGTTGGTCACAGAGGCAGGGACTGGCAGGAAATCACTATTTGCAAGGCTGATCAGTGACAGAAAGAATAAAACAAAGTCAAGGCCAAAGTTCAGCTCCAAAAACAGGGATTGAATTGTCTATTAAAATAATAGCCAAGGCCGGGCACTGTGGCTCATGCCTGTAACCCCAGCACTTTGGGAGGCCAAGGTGGATGGATCGCCTGAGGTCAGGAGTTTAAAGCTGGGGAGATCTGCTGGAGGTGTGAGAATCTCCAGGTGTGTGATCTTGGCTCACTGCAACTTCCACCTCCTGGGTTCAAGTGATACTCCTGACTCAGCCTCCCAAGTAGCTGGGACTACAGGTGTGCGCCACCACGCCCAGCTAATTTTTGTATTTTTAGTAGATATGGGGTTTCACCATGTTGGCCAGGATGGTCTCGATCTCCTGACCTCGTGATATGCCCACCTCAGCCTCCCAAAGTGCTGGGATTATAGGCGTGAGCCACCACAACTGGCTGATGAATTCAATTTTCATTCCAAACCCCCTTTCTTCCCAAGATGGTAAAGACTAGAACAAGAATTCGTAAGAACTCTTTCTATGCTCCTAATATCAAAGTGACTTTTTCCCCCTAAAGCAATCCTATTCTCTGCCCTAAAGTCTGGAGCATGCACCAACTGGTAAGGGCATTTGTCAAACATTTTATTATAGATTGTATCTTTTAATAAAAAATACTATTGTGACCATTAATCTATTTATTTGTTCTATAAATATTTATTGAGTGGCACTATGGCTGTGAATTTTCAGCTGTCGTGCTCACAATTGAGTGGAGGACACAGACAAGTTAACAGGTGGTAATGATATGACAAATGAGCATATGAAGAGGATAAGCACCAGGTGTTGTGCGATCTCCTTGGAGGCATATCCACCTAGCCTTGGAAGGAGAGGTGACAGGAAGGGAAGTTTCCCTGATAAGAATAATGAAGTGTTAGCTACACCGGTATAAGGGTGAGGATGGGGATATGTGTTCAATTGCGGGGGGAAAAAAACCCTTCTAGTTTAAAGACCTGGACACTGGAGAAGCCTAGGCTTATCGAGGAACAGAGGAGGTGGTGTCAAGGAACAATTTATAATTTAGAGGCTGGGAATGGTAGGGGAGAGTGGGAAATAAAGAGTGGTTGATTAATGGGGACAAGTATATACTTGGAAGAAATAAGACTTGGTGTTCAATAGATCAGTAGGATGACTATAGCTAACATCAACCAATTGTACATTTCAAAATAGCTGGAAGAAAATAATCAAATGTTCTAAGCAAAAAGAAAATATCAGTATTTAAGATGATGGATATCCCAATTACCCTGACCTGATTATATGAATACATGAAATTATCACATGTACCCTGAAAATATGTACATTTATTAATGTAGCAACAACAAAAAAATGAAGCTAAAAAAAAAAAAATCTAGAATTTTATACCTAGCAAAACTATCCATCAGAATATGAAAACAGGCAGGGTGCAGTGGCTCACATCTGTAATCTCAGCACTTTGGGAGGCCAAGACGGGCAGATCACCTGAGGTCAGGAGTTTGAGACCAGCCTAGCCAACATGGTGAAACCCCCGTCTCCACTAAAAATACAAAAATTAGCCAGGTGTGGTGATGCGTCCTTATAATCCCAGCTACTCGGAAGGCTGAGGCAGGAGAATTGCTTGAACCCTGGGGGGTGGGGGTTGCAGTGAGCTGATACTTACTTCTGTGTATCTCTTTCCAGGAAGCTAGTAGAAGATTTGTACCAACAAAACCAAGGAGTAAACAACTTGAGAATAACTGCATGAGCTCAGGTAGGCAGGGGCTGGATCAAAAGTGTTGTATAGGCATAGTAAGGAGTTTGAACTCCATTAAATGCCAAAATTACTTAAAGTCATAATAGAATGATATTCTAGGCCAGGCGTGATGACTCACACCTGTAATCCCAGCACTTTGGGAGGCTGAGGTGGGCAGATCACCTGAGGTCAGCAGGTCGAGACTAGCCTGGCCAACATGGAGAAACCCCATCTCTACTAAAAATACAAAATTAGCCAGGCGTGGTGACGCATGCCTGTAATCCCAACTATTTGGGAGGCTGAGGCAGGAGAATTGCTTGAACCCGGGAGGCAGAGGTTGCAGTGAGCCGAGATCGTGCCACTGCACTCTTGCACTCTAGCCTGGGCAACAAGAGCGAAACTCAGTCTCAAAAAAAAAAGAATGATATTCTAAAATTGTGATTTGTTTCCTAGGACCCCTTTTGAGCAACATTGTGATTGGCTTCAACCGGAAACAATAGTTTTAATCTCGTTTTCATATTTTGCATTCCTTTAAAACGCTTCTGCTGCTTTTTTAAAAGTCTAGAAGCCACTATACTAGAAAGACCTTGAAATGTGTATAACACTAGTTAAACAGCCTTCTGCAATTTGGCAGGGCCCCCAGAAAATCCTGGGATCAAGAGGTTATAGGAATTTTAAGGTCTATGTAAGTGGTCATAGGTTTATGGAAGTTCCTGGAGCAATACACTGTGGGAGGGGTATGATAGGGAGGTGAAATTCTTACTGAATTTCAGCAAGACTCTATTGGTCATTCTTCCTTCAGGAGCAAAAGTGATCCCTAGAACATTTCTACTAGAACAGCTCTGCTTACCACTTAATTGCTAAAGCTGCTTTTGACTTTCCAGACTGCCAGCAAATACATTTTAGAAATGCAAAATGAGGTGGGGGAAAGACAATATGGCCAACGTTCTTCTTCTGCAAAATGCTGCCACAGCTGGAATAAGGCAATATCTGTATAAATGTGTGTGTGTGTGCATGTCTGTGTGTGTGTGTGTGTGTGTGTGTCTGTGTGTGTGTTCAGTGGGCTCAGAAGAAATTTATGGGTATGTTATATTCTAGCAAATCAGGGTTGAAGCCAGAGCAGGGATCCAGGTGTTCCCTAAATCTGAAGCCAAAGAAACTTTTTATTTATGGTTTCAGCAGACAGACATTTTCTTTCCAAAATCTGCGTTGTAATCTGTATCTACAAGGGTAAAAGATCTGCACACAAACCAAGCCCTATGTTATGATGTTCACTGGTTTTCCTGGCCAAAAAGAGGGCATTCTCCAGTTCCCCATCAGCTGGGAGAAATCCTTTCCCCACCCTCTCCTGAACAAGTGCTTTCCCTCCCCACTAAGCAAGTGAATTTTAAATACTACTCTAAAGTTGTTGGCTGGTGACCCGGAAAATTCCTTTTGCTTTGTTATGCTGTTAATGGTCCATCAGTTTAAACCTCATATCCCCAGAAAGTTTCCTTCTCTTAACTAGATTGGAGAAGGAGGACGAAGTTTAAAAAAAAAAAAAAAGAATTGCTGTTTCAAAAGGCTTGGGGAAGATTCAAAGGTGGTGTTGGGAAAATTGGATATCCATATGCAGAAAAATGAATGAAAAATGAAACTAGACCCCTATCTTTCACCATACACAAAAATAGATTCAAACTGGATTAAAAACTTAAATGTAAGACCTGAAATTATGAAACTACTAGAAGAAAACAGGGAAAATGCTTCAGATCTGGGCAAAGATTTTATGGGTAAGACCTCAAAAGCACAGGCAACAAAAGCAAAAAGAGGCAAATGGGATCATATCAAACTAAAAAGGTTCTGTACAGCAAGGGAAGCAGTCATGAGTAAAGAGGTAATCTGCAGAATGAGAGAAAATATCTGCAAACTATTCATCTGACAAAGGGTTAGTATCCAGAATATACGAAGTACCTAATAACGAACCAAATAATCAGATTAAAAATGGGCTCATGATCTGAATACACATTTCTCAAAAGAAGACAGACAAATGGCTCATGCCTGTAATAATCCCAGTACTTTGGGAGACTGAGGCAGGCGGATCACCTCAGGTCAGGAGTTCAAGACCAGCCTGGCCAACATGGCGAAACCCCGTCTCCACTAAAAATACAAAAATTAGCCAGCTGTGGTGGTATGTACCTGTAATCCCAGTTACTTGTGAGGCTGAGAGAGAGAATCACTTAAACCCAGGAGGTAGTGGCGCCAAGATTGCGCCATTGCCCTCCAGCCTGTGCGACAAAGCAAGCCTCCGTGTCAAAAAGGCCGGGCACGGTGGCTCACACCTGTAATCCCAGCACTTTGGGAGGCCAAGGCAGGCAGATCGCAAGGTCAGGAGATCAAGACCATCCTGGCCAAGATGGTGAAACCCCATCTCTACTAAAAAATACAAAAAATTAGCCAGGCGTGCATGGTGGCATGCACCTATAGTCCCAGCTACTCGGGAGGCTGAGGCAGGAGAATTGCCTGAACCCAGGAGTTGGTGGCTGCAGTGAGCTGAGATCATGCCACCGCAGTCTAGCCTGGCCATAGAGTGAGACTGTCTCAAGAAAAAAATAATAATAATAAAGAAAAAATGCTCAACATCACTAATCATCAGGGAAATGCAAATTAAAACCACAATGAAAGCTGGGCTTGGTGGCTCATGCCCGTAATTCCAGAACTTTGGGAAGCTGAGGTGAGTGGATCACCTGGGGTCAGGGGTTCAAGACCAGCCTGGCCAACGTGGCGAAATCCTGTCTCTATTAAAAATGCTAAAAATACAAAAATTACCAGGCATGGTGGCAGGCGCCTCTAATCCCAGCTACTTGGGAGGTTGAGGCAAGGAGAATTGCTTGAATCTGGGAGGCGGAGGTTGCAGTGGGCCAAGATCTTGCCACTGCACTCTATCCTGGGTGACAGAGCGAGACTCCGTCTCAAAAAAATAAAACCACAATGAAGTATCTTCTCTTCCAGTTCAAGTGACTATTATCAAAAAGACAAAAAACAACAAATGCTAGCGAGGGTGAGTAGAAAAGGGAATTCTTATAAACAATTGGCAGGAATGTAAACTGGTATAGCCATCATAGAGAATGATATGGAGGTTCCTTAAAAAACTACAAATAGAATTACCATGTGATCCAGCAATCTCACTGCAGTATTAATCCAAAGAAAAGGAAATCAGTACGTCAAAAAGGCATCTGTACTCCTATGTTAATTGCAGCACTATTCATAAGAGCTAAGATATGGAATCAGGCTGGGCGTGGTGGCTCACACCTGTAATCCCAGCACTTTGAGAGGCTGAGGCAGGCGGATCACAAGGTCAGGAGATCGAGACCATCCTGGCTAACAAGGTGAAACTCCGTCTCTATTAAAAACACAAAAAATTAGCCGGGCGCAGTGGCGGGCACCTATAGTCCCAGCTACTCGGGAGGCTGAGGCAGGAGAATGGCGTGAACCCGGAAGGCAGAGCTTGCAGTGAGCCCAGATGGCGCCACTGCACTCCAGCCTGGGCGCAAGAGCGAGACTCCAACTCAAAAAAAAAAAAAGATATGATATGGAATCAACCTAAGTGTCCATCAAGGAATGAATGGATAAACAAAATGTGCTATAAATAAACAATGGAATACTATTCAGCCATAAAAAAAGAATGAAATCCTGTCATTTGTGGCAACATGGATAAGCTTGTAGGACATTATGTTAAGTGAAATAAGCCAGGCACAGAAATATCAATACCACATGTTCTCATTCATATGTGGGAGGTAAAAAAGTTGACTTCATACAAGCGTTGAGTAGAAGAGTGGTTCTTAGAAGCTGGGAAGGGTAATGGGTAAAGGGAATAGAGAAAGGTTGGTTAATGGATAAAAAAATTACAGTTAGGCTGGGTGTGGTGGCTCACGCCTATAATTCCAGTACTTTGTGAGGCCGAGGTGGGTGGATCACTTGAGGTCAGGAGTTCAAGACCAACCTGACCAAAATGGTGAAACTCCTTCTCTACTAAAAATACAAAAATTAGCTGGGCACTGTGATGGACGCCTGTAATCCCACCTACTCAGGAGGCTGAGGCAGGAGAATTGCTTGAACCTGGCAGGTGGAGGTTGCAGCGAGTTGAGATTATGCCACTGCACTCCAACCTGGGTGACAGAGTGAGACTCTGTCTCAAAAAAAAAAAAAAAAAAAAATTACAGCTAGATGGGAGGAACAAGTCCTAGTGTTCTGTAGCACTGTAGGGTGAGAACAGTTAACAATTACTTATTATATATTTTCAAATAGCCAGAAGAGACAATTTTGGATGTTCCCAATACAAAGAAATGATAAATGTTTGAGGTGATGAATATGCTAATTACCCTGATTTGATTATTACACATTGTTTACATGTATCAATATATCACACTGTATCTATAAATATGTATAATTATTATGTCAATTAAAAATAAAATTGAAAAATGCAGTGAAGGAAATGGTTCTGTAACTACTGATGCAGAAATATTTATATTAAACAAAACACATTGCAAATTAAATTTATTACAAAGCACAAAATAACTTTCAAACTCTTTGATTTGCCAAGTTTTCATAAGACTAGAACTTGGAATTCTGAATTGCAGTCTCAATAAGACAACTCTATTTTGTCATAGAAAAAGTAATTGAAACAAGAATAGATAAAGAATAACAGCTTAGCTTTTTAACAGCTTAGTTCTTTCATCTTTGTTTGAATACAAAGGCCAAGGAAAAGAGTCTATGTGTTATTTTCAGGAAAATTTTCTGTATAAATTATTGTTATTGAAGCACTAATTTTCTATTTTATGGTCAGGTTGCATGCCTTGGAAAGGATGTAGTATATGATGAAATTGCCCAAATCATTTGAATGATAATAAAAGTTAAAAAAATAAAGGTGACTAGGCTCCAGATGAATGGAAGGAAAGAATTTCATCTATTTCAATCTGTACAGTGGCTAGCACTAGGGCATATGTAAGTAGGTAAAAAGGGCCTTATTAAATGATTTTAGATAAAGGTGATAATTTTTTTTTTTTTTTTTTTTTTTGAGACAGAGTCTCGCTCTGTCACCCAGGCTGGAGTGCAGTGGTGTGATCTGGGCTCACTGCAAGCTCCGCCTCCCGGATTCACGCCATTCTCCTGCCTCAGCCTCCAGCGTAGCTGGGACTACAGGTGCCCGCCATCACGCCCGTCTAATTTTTTGCATTTTTAGTAGAGATGGGGTTTCACCTTGTTAGCCAGAGTGGTCTCGATCTCCTGACCTTGTGATCCACCCACCTCGGCCTCCCAAAGTGCTGGGATTACAGGCGTGAGCCACTGCGCCCGGCCTGAAGGCGATAATTTTTTAATGAAGTAATTGATCAACCATGTAGGATTTTGGTAGACACAGGTCTTCTGGAGGACCTGTCATTCTGGAGGCCAAGATTCAGATTTCGATTTGAGATGTGTAAACTAGTAGGTATGTCAGTGTTGATGAGCCACTTAACTCAGTCACCTTCCTTATTCTTATTTGTAAGGTACAGTTTACCACCTTCTTGGATCTTGTTGTTGTTAGTTACATACCACTTACCGTGTGTGCCAGGTTCAGAGCTAAGGGCTTTTCCTGTATTAGCTAATTTAATTCTCACCAACACCTCTGTAAGGTAAGTACTATTATTATAATATATTACATATTATAATGTTATATATTATATATTATATAATCTCATTATATAATATATAATTATGTCATATTATATATTAATATATTAATTATATATTTTATATAATTATATAATTTATATAATTATATATTATATTTATATTAATTACACATTAATATAATATACAATTAATGTTATATTAATTACACATTAATATACTATACAATTAATGTTATATTAATTACACATTAATATATTATACAATTAATGTTATATTAATTACACATTAATATACTATACAATTAATGTTATATTAATTACATATTAATATACTATACAATTAATGTTATATTAATTACATATTAATATACTATACAATAATGTTATATTAATTACATATTAATATACTATACAATTAATGTTATATTAATTACATATTAATATACTATACAATTAATGTTATATTAATTACATATTAATATACTATATAATTGTTATATTAATTACATATTAATATACCATATAATTGTTATATTAATTACATATTAATATACCATATAATTAATGTTATATTAATTACATATTAATATACCATATAATTAATGTTATATTAATTACATATTAATATACCATATAATTAATGTTATATTAATTACATATTAATATACCATATAATTGTTATATTAATTACATATTAATATACTATATAATTAATGTTATATTAATTACATATAATTAATGTTATATTAATTACATATAATTAATGTTATATTAATTACATATAATTAATGTTATATTAATTACATATAATTAATGTTATATTAATTACATATAATTAATGTTATATTAATTACATATTAAAACAGTATATAATTAATGTTATATTAATTACATATTAATATACTATATAATTAATGTTATATTAATTACATATTAATATACTATATAATTAATGTTATATTAATTACATATTAATATACTATATAATTAATGTTATATTAATTACATATTAATATACTATATAATTAATGTTATATTAATTACATATTAAAACAGTATATAATTAATGTTATATTAATTACATATTGATACAGTATATAATTAATGTTATATTAATTACATATTGATACAATATATAATTAATGTTATATTAATTACATATTGATACAATATATAATTAATGTTATATTAATTACATATTGATACAATATATAATTAATGTTATATTAATTACATATTGATACAATATATGTTATATATAATTATATATTAATATAATATATAACATAATAATATAACATATATTATATAGTATATTATTATATTATATACTCTCTCTCTCTCTCTCTCTCTCTCTCTATATATATATATATACTTTTTTTTTTGAGACAGAATCTTGCTCTGTCACCCAGGCTGGAGTGCAGTGGTGTGATCTCAGCTCACTGCAACCTCTGCCTTCTGGGTTTGAGCGATTCTCCCGCCTCAGCCTCCCAAGTAGCTGGTGCCCGCCATCATGCCCGGCTATTTTTTGTATTTTTAGTAGAGACAGGGTTTCGCCACGTTGGCCAGGCTGGTCTCCAACTCCTGACCTCAGGTGATCTGCCCGCCTTGGCCTCCCAAAATGCTGGGATTACAGCCATGAGCTACTGTGCCCGGTCTGTATTATGTTTATATATAGAATATTATAATTATACATTTACATTATATAAATATTATCTATATTATATAAATATTACATATTATATAAGTAATATTATTCCCATTTCAGAGAAGAGGAAACTGAGGCTTAAAAAGTTAGTGAAGCTAGAAATCCCACGTGGGTTTTCTGTCTCCTTAGCTCATGCTCTGAACCATGCCATTATTCTGTTTATAAACAGCAAAGATCTAAAAAAACATAAATAAAAGGAAGCACAGAGTGGCCAAACAATTCCACCCTAGAGCATGACATTTCACCTTCTGCCAGTTGCTCAGGTCATATGTTTGCTGAGTTATCAGCTCCTAATTGGAGGGAACAGTTCTGCACATAATGTTGTAGGCAGACCTCCTACCCCTAGGCTTTCAGATTTTTGCAATAAGGTCTTTACCACAAAGCACTATTGTTTTTCTTCAGGGCTTGGACTGTCAGATTCCATTTCTAAGCTTCCAGAAGAGCGACACATAGACACTGGGGAAGTCAGAGCCTTTGAACTCCAATGCCATCCCCGTCACCCACCTCCACCACCAGCACCACCACCGAATGGCACTTTGGACAATTTTTCCCTCTCATGTGACTTTTGTCATTTCTTACGTCAGTTGGAGCCAGCACCTCTCAAATCCATCTTCTAAAACCCAGAAAATTGTGTGTAACACATGATGACTGAAAGGGAGTAGGCTGACCAGTTAAGAGCCTGCCACTGGAATGGAAGGCTGTGGGAAGGTGAGGGGACGGTGGACATCAACCGGGAAGAGCTGAAAGATGGCGTTACCAGGTATCTACCCTGCTACCCTGCATAGAATTCCCAAGACCCAGGGTGGGTTTTTATGCTTCCCCGTTTAATATTTATTTTTATTATTTGTCAGTAGAAGTGTCTTTATCTTAAAAAATTAATACATTATTGTTGTCACCAATTTAAATAATATGGAGATGAATAGAAAGTAAAAGTATAGATTTACACTACACACACCCCTTTACGACCCTCCCTCATGCCTCTGCCCAGCCATCACTCCTAACCCTAACCCTTTGGAGTCTATCCTTCCAGATGGTTCTGGGTGTGTGTGTGTGTGTGTGTGTGTGTGTGTGTGTGTGTGTGTGTGTGTCGTTTACAAAAATATCAGTGAGAGGACTCTATTCTGCACCTTGTATATTACAAGCATCTTTCTGGTCTATCAGCTCTCTTATTATTAACAGCAGCACAGTGCCACACTGTAGGAATGCATCATCTTCCTTTTCTTCTTATCTTTGGTTTCTCAGATCTTTTACTTTCCTGGGGAACCTGTCCCAGCTCATGCTTATACTCTCCCTGGGTCCTCCCTCAGGGAACTGCACAAATGGGAAGGTGGTCAAAGGTGAAAAGGGCATGGGGTGGGCCCTAGAAGGGAGAGTGAGGAGGGTGGGGGAGTGTATCCTATCCTGGTTATTACTGGGGTACACAGGGAGTTCCTTTTCCTCCTCACCTTGCCAAATGTTTCCTCTGTCTGGCCAAGGCATACCTTTAACAATTTATGGGAATCATCTCTGAAAACGACCGAGAGGATTAGCACCAAGAAACATAAAAGTCTGTTTTCTTTGAGTTACAATCTCTCTTTTAAGACCTGAACTCTGGGCATCTAGGCCAGTCCGCTGCCTCTGTCCAAGATGTATGAGCAACCTGGGCTTATAGCACCCCATGCTCTTCTCTGGGTAGCTACTCTGCCTTATTAACAACCCCATTAGGTAGAAATTTGTTCCTTGCCACTGGAATGGCATTTCAGCTTACAGGATACAGACAAGACCACTTAATACCTGTGTGCCCTTGACCATATTTTGTGTCATCCCTGTACCCAGTTTCCTCATCTGTAAATAGGAATAATAATAATATCTAAGTTGGTAAGGTTTTTCTTTGTAACTTAAATTAGATAAAATACATATGTAGCTTACTTAGGGTATTATATAGCAGCTGCTAAGCACTCAATGAACGTGGATGATTATGCCCTGAATTGAAATAGCTCTTCCTGCACTTTATTTTTATTTATTTTTTTGAGACAGAGTCTCCCTCTGTCGCCCAGGCTGGAGTGCAGGGGCACGATCTCGGCTCACTGCAACCTCCGCCTCCCAGGTTCAAACAATTCTCCTGCCTCAGCCTCCCAAGTAGGTGAGATTACAGGCGCCTGCCACCATGCCTGGCTAAACTTTTTTTTGTATTTTTAGTAGATACAGGGTTTCACCATGTTGGCCAGGCTGGTTGGCCAGGCTGGTTTCAAACTCCTGACCTCAGGTGATCTGCCCATCTTGGCCTCCCAAAGTGCTAGGATTACAGGTGTGAGCCAGCGCGCCTGGCCTTCTTACTGCACTTTATTTTATTTTATTTTATTTTATTTTGAGATGGAGTCTTGCTCTGTCACCAGGCTGGAGTGCAGTGGCGCGATCTCGGCTCACTGCAACCTCTGCCTCCTGGGTTCAAGGGATTCCACTGCCTCAGCCTCCCAAGTAGCTGGGACTACAGGCGGTGCCACCACGCCCGGCTAATTTTTTGTATTTTAGTAGAGACGGAGTTTCGCCATGTTGGCCAGGAGATGGTCTCCATCTCCTGACCTCATGATCTGCCTGCCTCGGCCTCCCAAAGTGCTGGGATTAACAGGCGTGAGCCACTGCGCCCAGCCACCTTACTGCATTTTAAACCCAAACTTTAAATATCATCTAGGTCAGTGGCTCTTTTTTTTTTTTTTTTGAAACAGAGTTTTGCTCTTGTTGCCCAGGCTGCAACGCAATGGCGCCATCTCAGCTCACCGCAACCTCCACCTGCCGGGTTCAAGTGATTCTCCAGCCTCAGCCTCCTGAGCAGCTGGGATTACAGGTGCACGCCACCACGCCCGGCTAATTTTGTATTTTTAGTAGAGACGGGGTTTCTCCATGTTGGTCAGGCTGGTCTCAAACTCCTGACCTCAACTGATCCGCCCGCCTCGGCCTCCCAAAGTGCTGGGATTACAGGCGTGAGCCACCGCGCCCGGCCCTAAGTCAGTGGCTCTTAACCCTGGTTGTACACTAAACTCACTTTTGAAGTCTTACAGAAATGCCAGTGCCTAGGCCCCATTACCAAAGATCCTCATTCCCTTTGTCTGAGGTGGGGTCAGGGGTGTCAGTGTTTTTGAAAGCCTCCCTGGGAATTCTCATTTGCACCTAGGTTGAGAAGTACTGTATCTAGTTCAGTGTCTCATTTTCCTTATAGGAAGCTGTGAGGCCGAGAGATGAAAGGAAAGGCTCAGGCGATATAGCAAGAGCAGAAGGACCCAAGCCCCTTATCAAGGCTTGTATTCAAGGGGAAAATGCAGCCCTGGGGCTGCCCTTCACTCGGTCTTTGGGATGAGACTTCTGAGCTCTTTCCTGATAATAATGTTTGGACCTTTCCAACCCAGTTCTTCCTAGCACCCTTGCCTTTTCATCCTTGGATGCCTCAGGTCAGACCCCTCAGAGAGGTGTCCCTACAGAAAGCCGCTGTTCTAGAATGTGACCCATTAAAAAACTCATAGCACTTGTAGATGTGAAATAATCCTGTTCATTCATTTTTGAGAATCTAAGCCCCCTGTGGGCAGGAACCGTATCTGTGTTGTTCCTGCGGTGCGGGGGCTTAGAGTAGTGACCAGCACTTAGTAAAACATACTCATTAAATGACTGAATGAACGAAATCCCAGGAGGCCAGTTGAGTAGTTTTTTTTTTTTTTTTTTTTTTTCCTGGTCCCGACCATCTGATTCTCATTACTTCTACAGCTCGGGAAGTCTCTGCTTTGGCATTTTATAAACCTCCTGTGCGTACGTCGACATTTTAACCATAAATCCAGAGTTTTGGGACTGCAAAACTCGAGGCCAGGGGATTGGGGGAGGGGGATAACTACCCGGAGGTCCGAAGCCCGGCGGAGCTGCCCTGGGGTTGGGGGGAGGGACGGGAACCCTCGGGAGGACGCCCCTCCGCCCCCTGCCCACCCCCTCGGCGGGACATGGCCCCGGGCCGGGACGTCCTTCAGATTGGTGCGCCGCCGCCGCGGCCGTCTCCTCCCGTCGGGCGGGGTGGGGGGTGGTGAGGGACGCGATCCAGGTCGTGGCCTGGCGGCGGCTCCGGCCACAGCCCCCGCATTCCGGCCGCGCGCCCCCGGAGGTGACGCCTTGAGGAAGCTGTATTTTTTTGGGGGGGAGCCGCAGGGAACCGTTGGGAGAGGGGCCCTGTGTGTGTCCCTTTAAGAGCCGGAGCGCTGCCTCCGCCTCGCAGGCGCCCGGAGCCTCACAAAAGAACAGGATGTTGTTGATTTGTCACCAAACCACAGAGAGGAAATGATTGTAAATTTCCTTTAAACATCCCCACCGCGCTCCGGCCGCCCCCGCTTCCGCCTCCTCCGCCCCCGCCCGGTTCGGCACAGCGGGGCCTCAGCGCTCCCGCGGGGCGCCTGCTCCCCGGCCGGGCCACGGGCCGAGCGGCTCCTGGGCGCCTGCGGGAGGAGCCCCCGGCCCGGCCGCTGCCCCAGCTCGCGTTCCAGTTGCTTTTTCTACAGTTGCAGCGGAGGAAGGTCCTGGGCTTTTGTGTGAGCCCGCGCGCCGCCCTTCTCTCCGGGAGCGAATGGGAACCGCGCGCGGGGAGCTCCGTGCTGTGTCTAGGGAGCGCCTTAGCGCGCCATCCCCGTTTAGCCTCGCAGCTTCCCTGTAGAGGCAACAACCGTTATCTCCTTCGTTAGGGTCTGGAGGGAAACTGAGGCCCAGGTTAGTTACGTGAGCCGAAAGTCACCAGCTCTTGGAACGCTTTGGGGGCTCTTGGAACACACCATGCAGGTTTAGGTCACCCCAGACCTTATATTTGTGAATCAGTGAGCGACCGGAACATTCTAGAATCCCCAAGTCATCAAAAGTGGCAATTTACATTGCGAAGTCCAAAGCAATGATTGCCAAGTCCAAGTTTTTTCGTGGGGGAACGTCCCTCACCACTTCCAGCCGGGCATCCACTTTTCAGAAGCTGTTTGGGTCTCAGTTTCTACTTTCACTCCATTTGCTTGTAAGATTTCAGGAAGCCTCTGGTGGAGTAAGTGTTTGCTCCCAACCTGTGGCCCATGTTGGAGTGGTGTGGTCTGTGGTCTAGGAAAGGGCTGCCTTTGCTGTACAGAGTGTTCTTTTGGAGCAAGTAATGCTTATTCCGGCATAGGCTGCACTGGGCTTCTTGAACTAAAAGCAGCAGCTAATGTCCTAGACACCGCTGAACAGAATTCTCTCATTTCATCCTTTGACCAGCCCCAGGAGGTAGAGGTTGCTTTTCTCTTTAAACAGTTGAGGAAGCAGGTTCAGAGAGGCTGAGGAACCGGACCAGCTTGCACATTGTAAGTGGAAGACAAAAGACTCATTTAGTTACCACATTCTGATTACTGGTGATGTCTCTCTTTAATACTTTGTCTTATTACTCGCTTGCGGAGACAGGTGGTGAAGAGAATACAGGATATTTTTGTTGGGTCTTGTTACCTCAACTTCCAGGGAGCTCTGGGCCGGACTCCACTTTCTGGGAATAGAGTTAGGTGGCCAGTGCTCTCAGACTGGAATCTTCCCTTTGCCAGCCTTATGAGAGGTCCTGAGTGGCTTGGGGACTGAGGTGGAGTTCTTTTCACTCTACTTGAATAGGAAAATGGGCTCCTTTAAACGATTACCTGGAGTTGGATTTCTAAGGCTGAATAGCCCCAGTCCAATGCAAGCCCTTCTATTCAGATTTCTCAGCTCTAGGGGGCAATGGTAAGAGCTGGTGAGATGTATGGAGGGTTGACTTTGAATATTAAACGTGCGGTTCCTAACAGCTAATGTTTTCGTGTGCCTGCTATGTGCCATGCACTGTGCCAGGTGCTGTGCACGTGTTTTCTCATTTGATCCTAAGCCACGAAAAGTTGGTACCCAGAGAGGTCGTGCACCTAGAAATGATGGAGCAGGGGTTGGCATTTTTCTCCACAGAATCCCCTGTGTCTGTGCAAGAGGTCATCCAGGCACCCCAGAAATGAGACCACAGTTGCTTGCCTTCAATCATTTAGAAAGCCAAGAGGGTCCTTGGTGCGGGTGGATTTTGAGAGAGAAAGACAGTGGCCTTTGGCTCCTTTGTGCTGCAGCTGTCTGCAGTTCCTCAACTCTGAGGACATTTGTTGATGGATTTCCAGAGCGGACTTCTGTGTCTCCACCTGTCCTTTTTGCTTTTATAGAATGCCAGTCACTGGGACATCCACATCCTGACACTTGGGAGGGTGAACCATCTCCTTGTTTCCATTCCTCAGATGAGGAGCACAGGGCACCAACCTGCTAAGTTGTTGTGGGCACTGAATGGGCTGACTTGAGGCAGAGCAAAGCCACTGAAGTCAGGGTCCCTAGTCCCCGCCACTCAGTTCTGGGGAAGCTGGAACCATAGGGCAGGTCATCTGATGCCACCTGGTCTGAGTTTCCTGGCCTGTGAAGAACTTTGGTCTAGGTGGTCTATGAGGGCCCTTCCAACCATTATAGAAAAAATAGCTTCTATTTACTGGTCCCGTTAATAATATTTATTAAACATCCATTACATGCCAGGCACTACTGTTACAGGCGTTGGAAATACAGTGGTCAACACAAGTTCTGCCTTCTTGGAATTTAGGTGAAGATGCCCGAATAAAATAATTTTATATATATGTAAGTGTATGTATATGTGTATATGTCTATACATATATATGTGTACAGTCGTAGGCTGCATAATGATGGTTCAGTTAATGATGGACTGCAGATAACGGCGGTGGTCCATAAGATTATAATAGAGCTGAGAAATTTCTGTTGCCTAGTGAGATCATAGCTATCCTAATGTCTTAGCTTAGTGCAGTGCATTACCTTTTCTATGTTTAGATACACAAGTGTTTATCACTGTGTTACAGTTGCCTACAGTATTCAGTACAGTACCATGCTGTACAGGTTTGTAGCCTAGTAGCAATAGGCTGTACTGTATAGCCTAGGTGTGTAGTAGGCTATACCATCTAGGTTTAAGTAAGTACACTCTAGCTCTACGATGTTCGCATAACGATGAAATCGCCTAACGAAGCATTTCTCAGAACATTTCTCAGAACTTACCCCAGTCGTTAGGCGACACGTGAATGTATGTGTATATATGTAAAATGTCAAGGAGTACTTTGTTATGGACAAAAATGAAGCATGTAAGGGGAAATGCAGTGTGTGTGATGGGAGGGCTACTATTTTATTTAGGGTGAGGAAGGCTCACTGATAAGGTAGAAGGGAAGGAGTGAACCAGGCAGCTTCCTGGGAGAAGCTTACTGTAGGTATTTGAAATGGCAGAGATAAAGACTGGAGATGGGACTGTGTTGCATAGCACTTGCTGTGTGTTGAGCACTGTGCTAAGTGCTTTGTAGTCTTATATGTTTAATCCTGCTTATCACTGTTTTGTTTTCTTTGAAGTGTGAGACTCAGGTTAAATGATTTACCCAAGGCCACACAGCTAGTATGTAGCGAAGGTGATATTCAAATGCTAGTTTTAATCATCATGCTGCTTCCCACTAGGGACTCTCCTTTTTGAGCTGGACCTGGCATTTCATTCATGACCTGGTTCTTTTGATTTCTTGGGGATTAAACAGCAACAGTGGCCAAGGTGACACCTGGCAACTGAGTTGCATGGTTGACAACAGCTTAGGGCCTGAAGTTCCTTTTTGTGAGTGGAGGAAGGTGATAAGTTTAATACTGGAAAACCCCATGTTGTGTTTATGGCAGAAGGGGGGAGAAACACCTTTGGATTATTGTAAACAAGAGAAACGGGAGAACGGGGTAGCCTGAATCCCTCTGTCTCCCCCTCCTTTGTTTTAATTTCCCTAAGATAGTCCCAGCACAGCATGTTGTATTATACAGCGATAATTAAAACACTTGGATTTGTGAACTGAGATTTATAGGGCAAACAGGAGCCAGAGGAGAAAACGACAGTCATCTCTTTTATTTGCAGGCAGATATCCAAATTGCCACTTGCTTGCTTTTTCTTCCCGACACTATCACCTACTCTGCTTAATTAGATCCTTTCTTTTCCATATCATTTCCAACTGCCCGCTCTCCCTGCTGCACTGCAGTTTGTGAAGCCACACACTGAACACTTTCCCACAGCCCAGGGAAGATGTGAGTCAGAAACGCAGCAGCAAACAAGAGCGGAGGAGGGCACCTTTGCATCGATCGATCGGGCTGTCCCGCCTGCCTGTCCATCAGCCTCAGGGAGCAGGGACGGGAGGAACCTAACCGAGGGATAAGATGAGAAAGTGCTAGACATTTTCCAGCCTTCCTAAGACAGTTTTCTACTGAGTGCCCATTTGTTGTGGGGAGTGGAGAGGAGAATGAATTCCCCAAACAGCAGGCCACCCCCAAATCACATTGCAGTATCAAATAATATTTTGCTATGTTCAAAACTGTCATTCTAAACTTGAAACAGGGAGGGATGGGGGGCAGTTATGGGGACTGAGATGAAGAAAATGCTGTCAAATTTAGAATCTAGTAGAAAGGACAGTCAAAAATAGCTAATGAGAATTTTTGGCTAAATTAATTTGTTTTGGGCAAAATATTTATTGAATACCTTGAGTATTTGCTGATACTATGTGTCAGACATTGTTTTAGGCACTGAGGGGATACAGCAGTGGCCAAACACCAAGAAATCCCTGCCCACATTGATTTACATTCTACCTGGGTAAAGGAGGGTTGTGACTGTTAATTTCTTACCAAAGAGCATAGAAACTATGCAGAAAAATGAAGTGAAGGGGCCAGGCATGGTGGGCTCCCACCTGTAATCCCAGCACTTTGGGTGGCCGAGGCGGGTGGATCACTTGGGGTCAGGAGTTCGAGACCAGCCTGACCAACATGGTGAAACCATGTCTCTAGTAAATAAAAAAAAATTATCTGGGCATGGTGGCGCATGCCTGTAATCCCAGCTACTTAGGAGGCTGAGGCAGAAGAATTGCTTGAACCCAGGAGGTGGAGGTTGCAGTGAGCCAAGATTGCACCATTGCACTCCAGCCAGGGCAACAGAGCGAAACTCCATCTCAAAAAATAAAATAAAATAAAGCAGAGAAAGTGGCTAGGGAGTAGTACCGGGATTTGTAATTTTAAAACAAAGTGAAGACAGTACAGTGTGTAGATTGACAGACCCGATCTTGAATCTGGGCTTTGACACCTGCCAGCTGTGTGTGACCTTTGAGTTTCTGTAATCAACCAGTCTGAAACTTAATTTTTCTTATTTGCAAAGTGGGTCTAGTAATAAGGGGTTACATGAGTAAAACTATATATATACATATATATATATACGTGTATATATATGTATATATATATGTATATGTGTATATATATATAAATAATTTTTTTTCTTTTTGAGACAGAGTCTCACTCTGTCACCCAAGCTGGAGTGCACTAGCGCGATCTTGGCCCACTGCAGCCTCCACCTCCCAGATTCAAGCGATTCTCCTGCCTCAGCCTCTTGAGTAGCTGGGATTACAGGCATGCGCCACCAGGCTCGGCTAGTTTTTGTATTTTTAGTAGAGACGGGGTTTCATCATGTTGGCCAGGCTGGTCTCAAACTCCTGACCTCAGGTGATCTGCCTGCCTCTGCCTCCCAAAGTGCTGGGATTACCGTCATGAGCCACTGCGCCCTGCCAGAGCAAAACAATATAAATTTACATATTCAATCAGGGTTTCATTAATGTTAGCTGATATTAACTAAGTGCTTATAATATAGGGTGATGGGGGAGCCGAAGGAGGAGTGACCCATCGCATTTGGAAAACGGGTTATTGTCCCTGTCAGCTGTCTTTTTTCCAGTAATCCTAGTTCGACCATACACCAAGAAGGCAGCAGGAGTGCAGGAGAACTCTTGCAGCCAGGATTAAGGTTGGGAAGGATTTAGATCCTGGTTTGGTGTGTGGGACATAGGCTGAAGTTAGAGTAATTGTCAGTATTTTAGATTCTGTTTCAAAAATTATTTTCTACAAGCTTTGTGTTCAGCCATATAGTTCACAACAAGCCTGGTGGGGAGGCTGGGGCTGTCCACTTGACAAACGGGAAAACAGGCACAGGATGTGAGTGCCTGGCCAAGGTCACCTCTAGTCTCCAGAGGAGATCTCCTGCCGGCCCAGTGATGAGTCATGCTGGAGTGTTGCTCCCGGGGTGAAATCACAAAGGAAGGCAGGCTTGGATTTATTGCAGGCAGCAAGGGGAAGTTTCCTGTTCTTGAGAAATCTCAGAAACAGTAACTCCTCCACCTGAAGGGCCTTACTGAGTAGCCCCCAAACCCACACAGGTACAGGGCCTGGTTTAGGGTGAGGGAGAGGCCTTTGGCCTGTGCAGAGGATAAGCAGTAAACAGTAGAAAGAAAAAAGAAGGGGCTGGGCACGGTGGCTCACACCTGTAATCTCAGCACTTTGGGAGGCTGAGGCGGGCGGATCATGAGGTCAGGAGATCAAGATCATCCTGGCTAACACGGTGAAACCCCGTCCCTACTAAAAATACAAAAAAAAAATTAGCCGGGCGTGGTGGCGGGCGCCTGTAGTCCCAGCTATTCAGGAGGCTGAGGCAGGAGAATGGCGTGAACCCGGGAGGCGGAGCTAGCAGTGAGCCGAGATCAGGCCACTGCAGTCCAGCCTGGGAGACAGCGAGACTCCGCCTCAAAAAAAAAAAAAAAAAAGAAAAGAGGAAACTTGTAGTGGAGAGCTTGGGCTGTAGGCCCAATGGACCTTGGTTTGCTGATTCTGCCCCTTACTGGCTTGGGCAAGTCCTATAACCCTTTCTGAGTCTCAATTTCTTCATTGGTTAAATGGGATCATCACAGTGCCTGACAGGTTTAATGAGAGAGTGAAATAACGTATGTTCAGGTTGCTTGATCCTAGGAGTTCAAGACCAGCCTGGACAACATAGAGAGATCCCTGTCTCTACAAAAAATACAAAAATCAGCTGGGTGTGGTTGTGTGTGCATGTAGTCCTAGCTAATCAGGAAGCCGAGGCAGGAGGATGGCTTGAGCCAGGGAGGTCATGGCTGCAGTGAACTGTGATGCCACTGTACTCCAGCCTGGGCAACAGTGCGAGACCCTGTCTTAAAAAAAAAAAAAGATATGTGCCAGGTATTCAGCACCGTGCCTTGCACGCAGCAAACCCTTATAACATTGGTTGTTATTTATGGAGAGGAAAAGGATAAAGGGGTGGGAAGGCAAGAGAAGAGGGCTTAGGGTACTCTGCCCTCTAATGCTGGACCATTCAGATGAGGTCCTGATGAAGCTCTGTCCACCTGAAGCTTTTATTTTTATTTATTTATTTTGAGACAGGGTCTCGCTCTGTCACCCAGGCTAGAGAGCAGTGGCATGATCTTGGCCCACTGCAACTTCCACCTCCCATGCTGAAGCGATTCTCCCACCTCGGCCTCCTAAGTAGCCGGGACTACGGGCACGCATCATCATGCCCAGCTAATTTTTCTATTTTTAGTAGAGACAGTGTTTCATCATGTTGCTCAGGTTGGTCTCAAACTCCTAGGCTCAAGCAATCCACCAGCCTCGGCCTCCCAAAGTGCTGGGATTATAGGCGTGAGCCAGCACACCTGCCTTGTCTGGAAGCTTTTAGAGTCACTCACACAGGAAATGCCGTCTTGGCTCTCCAGGGGTTCATGCTGGATCCAGCAGAGCAGGACCAGACAAACACCCGACATCTTCCCGTTTTCACTCACCCTCCCTGGCATCATGGTTCAGTGGTCACGGTGGGCCTGGGAGGGCCCCCCTTGGTTCCCCCTGTTTCCCTTACCTTAACCTTTGCCTCTCTGACTGAGACCCATTATGCCTCCTGTCTCTGTTGACTCCATATAATGAAAATAATTGAGCCTGTCTCCACCGATAACTGTCTCGAAACAAGCCCCGCCCCGGTCATCTGCCTCTGACTGAACACACCCCGCCCACTGCACAGGGCCTGCCGTAGCCTGCTTCCAGAACCCAAGCAGGGAGAACCCGTAGGCGAGGTGCACGTTTCACAGTGAATGAAGGAACTGGGGCTGACACCCTGGTGGACAGCCCTGTGGTTTGCTGAAGGGTGTCTAATGGTTCTGAGACTAAGGTTCAAAATCTCTGAAAGCGCCTCTAAACAAAACGTTAATTACGGTGTTTTTGCATTTCGACTTTGCCCTTCATCCTCAGCCTTCCTTCCTCGATGCTTCCTGCCCTGGTTTTGTGTGGAAGATTCCTTTTTTTTTTTTTTTTTGAGATGGAGTCTTGCTATGTCACCCAGGCTAGAGGGCAGTGGCACGATCTCGGCTCAGTGCAACCTCTGCCTCCTGGGTTAAAGCAATTTCCCTGCCTCAGCCTCTCGAGTAGCTGGGATTACAGGTGCCTGCCACCACGCCTGGCTAATTTTTGTATTTTTAGTGGAGACGGGGTTTCACCATCTTGGCCAGGCTGGTCCCGAACTCCTGACCTTGTGATCCACCTGCCTCGGCCTCCCAAAGTGCTGGGATTACAGGTGTGAGCCACCGCGCCCGGCCTTTATGGAAGATTTCCTTAAGAAAACAGGTAATAGGCAGGGCTAAAGAGTTGCATGCGCTTGGGGAGGAGAAGCTACAGAGGCTCATAATTTCTGATTTCTGTGTAAATTGTCCCAAGAGCTGACCTCATACTTGTAAGCACAGCACCTCCCAGGATGAGTGAGAAGGGCAGGGTTGTCAATTAGAGGAAACTTATTTAATTGTATAACTCTAGTTCAAAGCCCTCATTTATGTTTGTATACTTTGTTGAGATATTGTAACAACCTTAGATGAAAAAATTGAAATTCTTATAATGTTTCAGTGTCTTAAATGACCCTGCCCATTTGCCTGGGGTCTCTTCTCGTCTTTATCCCTGCTCCTACACACATCTGCACATGGTGTGAGTTCTTTCACCATGGGCCTGGGTTGTGCTAAAACCTTTTACATATTTTTCACCGAATCCTTGCAATAACTCTAGAAGGGAGGAATTATTATCCCAATTACTCTGTTGGAGAAGCGGAGGCTCTGAGGGGTCCTATAGTCACAGTTGGCAGAGCTGGGATTCAAACCCAGGTCTGATTCCATCCAAAACCTGCCAACTTTGTGGTCAGTATGATTTTGTCTGTGTTTTTCACTCAGTATTGTATTATAGATATTTTCCTTTATAGTTTTCGTACTTATTGTTTAAAATGAGAGCACAGAATTCCGTGAACCATTATTTGTGTAACCATTTTCTCCTCCTGGGCATTTGCACTGTCCTCGGTTTGTCACAGTTATGGACAATGCTCTAACGCACATTATGCTTAAGGCTTTTCTCCTCCCCTCTTGCCCCTCTCCTCAACCCACATGTTGGGTGACTTATTCACCTAAGTTTCTGATTCCCCTCCGGGGAGTTGCTTAAATATAGAAGGGAAGGCAGAGCCGCTCAGTGGTTCAGAGCACAGTCTTTACAGTCAGACAAAGCTTGGTTTGAAAATCAGTTCTGCTACTTCCTGGCAATATGAACTTATGCAAGTTACTTAACCTCTCTTTTGTCTCAGTTTCTTTTTCTGTAAAATGGGGATAATGTCTGTCTCACAGGATATGTTGTGAGGATTATATGAGATGACACATGCAAAGAACTTGGGGCCAGCGTATTAAATACATATTAGGCACTTGGTACTTAGAAATTGCTGGACTTGATCCACAGATGTGTTTAATTTGGTCTCCATAGTGTGAAGTTTTAAAAAATTAAATGGCCAGCACTTAAAAATTGGCAGTTTTGGCCAGGCACTGTGGCTCATGCCTGTAATCCCAGCACTTTGGGAGGCCAAGGCAGGCAGATCATGAGGTCAGGGGATCGAGACCATCCTGGCTAACATGGTGAAACCCTGTCTCTACTAAAAATACAAAAAATTAGCTGGGCGTGGTGGCGGGCGGCTGTAGTCCCAGCTACTCAGGAGGCTGAGGCAGGAGAATCACGTGAACCCGGGAGGCAGAGGTTGCAGTGAGCCAATATCGCGGCACTGCACTCCAGCCTGGGCGACAGAGCAAGACTCCATCTCAAAAAAAAAAAAAAAAAAAAAAAATCTCTAGACTCTCTTGAAACATCAGAATGTCTGGAAACATTGCACCTGCATCTTCACGTGGTTGGATAGGCTGGAGCTGAGCAGCAGCTGCCCCCTTTAGATGTGGCATGAACTACCAGGTCTTTTTTTTTTTTTTTTTTTTTTTTTTGAGACAGAGTCTTACTCTGTTGCCCAGGCTAGAGTACAGTGGTGTGGTCTCAGCTCACTGCAACCTCTCCCTCCGGGTTCAAGCGATTCTCCTGCCTCAGCCTCCTGAGTAGCTAGGAATACAGGCGTGTGCCACCACACCTGGCTAATTTTTGTATTTTTAGTAGAGATGGGGTTTCACCATATTGGCCAGGCTGGTCTCGAACTCCTGACCTTGTGATCCGCCTGCCTCGGCCTCCCAAAGTGCTGGGATTATAGGCATGAGTCACCACGCCCGGCCAACTCCCAGGTCTTTTATCTTAGGCTGGGTTACCCAAGGGCAGACCCTGAAACAGCAGAAGCTGACAAGGGAGTGAGGGAATTGGGACTGGAAAGGGGAAGAAACCAAGCAAAGGTGCAATTTCATGCAAAGGCCCTTGGAGGGTAGCTTCAGCCTGAGCCTACAGGGAACTCCAGAGTTGTCTTGGCCTGAGGCAAGGTCATTGGCTAAGGTCTACTGACTACCTGGTAGTGGTAGTAAAGGGACACAGCATAGGAGGTCTAAGGTTTGGGCTGTTGGAATTACACTGATGTTCAGAGGGGCTGACAACTGGCAGAGGGTTCTGGGTGAGGCACCGACAGTATCGGCTACATGTCATTCATTCATTTTTGCATCAGACACTTGAGTTTGCAACCCCTGCACTACTTGGTCATTATTATATGTGTGCAAATTGGGTCACAGCTGGGTCAGAGTGGCAGCAGTTCTCTGCTTGGCTAAAGGTGGGAGGGAAGGAACAACTCTCTTGCAGTGGACAGGAAAGGTGTTTTTATCTCTGTTTTCCAGATAAGGAAACTGAGTCTCAGGGAGGTCAAGAGACATGCCAAAGCACAGCTTGGAAGTGGTAAGGTGAAGAACAGAGTGCTGGTGTTCTGCTTCCTGGTTTGTCTCTCTCCCTCTGGTTTATGTCATCCAGCCCATTTCTCCCTGTACCTGGAGATGCTCCCTAAGCAAACTTTTCTGTGCAGATGCAGATTGAATACAGATGTTACAATAGGGTTAGTCCCACATAGCTGAACTCTTTCTAAAGAAAGACAGAATCGTTTGCAGAGAAAACCAGAGCTTGTTTCCTAAAAACTTCCCTGGTAGAGGGTGGGTTTTTGTCTTTTTGGCCCAAGACAGAGATGGTGGATGAAGCTTCTCCTTCAAATCTTCAAGATTTAAAGAAATTGCTCCGCCTCTTTGCCTGGAGGAATGCCGTGCTGCTCAAAACACACTTTTGGACACGGCACATTTTTCTGTCACAGTGGAAAGACCTGACTCCCTCAAAAGGGTGTTTGCAAAAAGCATCGCGTTCTCAGAATGACAAAACAGTTTTAAAAGAAAAAAACATTGTGTCAGCCCTGCAGCTTATCAATATAAAATGAAGACTAAGATTCATTTATGTGAATGGATCATTTTTTGGGGGAGGGAGTTGTTAAAAATTCATATATCTTGGCTAATGGAACCACTTCCATATCCACAATGAAAAAAATTAAAAAGGAGGCTTATAAAACCTTTCCTGGAACAACCAGAAAAGGAGTGAGTCCCTGAAAATACAAATTGGTGGTGTTATCTTTGCATATTTGCAAAATTCTTTGAACTTCTGAATAGTCTGTTGTGGACCTAGTCTGCTGTTACTTTGACACAGGGTCTTGCTCTGTTGCCCAGGATGCAGTGCAGTGGCGTGATCCTAGCTCACTATAGTCTCAAATTCCTGAGGTCAAGCACTGCTTCCACCTCTGCCTCCCAGGTAGGTAGAATTACAAGCATGTCACCACACCTGGCTAATTTTTTTTTTTTTTCTTTTTGAGTAAGTGTCTCACACTGTTGCCTAGGCTGGAGTGCAGTGGTGTGATCTTGGCTCACTGCAACCTCTGCCTCCTGGGTTCAAATGATTCTCGTGCCTCAGTCTCCCAGTAGCTGGGACTACAGGCGTGCACCACCATGCCTGGCTAATTTTGGTATTTTTAGTAGAGATGGGGTTTCGCATGTTGGCACAGGCTGGTCTCGAACTCCTGTGCCTGGCCCTAGTTATTTTTATATTAACAGTAATGACCAAGCTCTGAGAGGTTCCTTAATATTAGTAGCAAAGGTAGGATTCAAATGCAGGTCTGGATGACCCATAACACATATCGTTTTGCACTACTCGGTTTGCCTTAAATTAGCCCCTTCTTTGGAATAAAGCACCCTGTTAAGAAGACAAGTTGAAGGCCGGGCGTGGTGGTTCATGCCTATAATCCCAGCACTTTGGGAGGCCGAGGCAGGCAGATCACGAGGTCAGGAGTTCAAGACCAGCCTGGCCAACATAGTGAAACCCCGTCTCTACTAAAAATACAAAAATTAGCCAGGCATGGTGGCGCATGCCTGTAGTCCCAGCTACTTGGGAGGCTGAGGCAGTACAATAGCTTGAACCTGGGAGACGCAGGTTCTGGTGAGCCGAGATGGCGCCACTGCACTCCAGCCTAGGCAACAAGATCAAAACGCCATTTCAAAAAAAAAAGAAAAAAAAAGGCACCTTGAATGTCACATTTGTCCTCTTCAAGGTACTTGCTATCTAAGGTGGGGGTGGAGAATCCTTTATTTTACAGAAACAGTGATTAGTTCTTAAGCCTTACTTCATAGATAAGGAAACTGTGAATCAAAGAGGTCAAGTGGGGCAGGCGCGGTGGCTCACGCCTGTAATCCCAGCACTTTGGGAGGCCGAGGCAGGAGGATCACGAGGTCAGGAGATTGAGACCGTCCTGGCTAACACGGTGAAACCTCGTCTCTACTAAAAAATACAAAAAATTAGCTGGGTGTGGTGGTGGGCACCTGTAGTCCTAAGTAGCTTACTTGGGAGGCTGAGGCAGGAGTATGGTGTGAACCCGGGAGGCGGAGCTTGCAGTGAGCCGAGATTGTGCCACTGCACTCCAGCCTGGGTGACGGAGCGAAGACTCTGTCTCAAAAAAAAAAAAAAAAAAAGAGGTCAAGTGATGTGTTCAAGGTCACAGCTATGAAGTGACAAGACCTTTTTTTTTTTTGAGATAGGGTCTTGCTCTGTCACCCAGGCTGGAGTGCAGTAGCGTGATCCCCGTTCGCTGTAGCCAGCGTCAAGCTCCCAGGCTTAAGCAATCCTCCCATCTTAGCCTCCCCAGTAGTTGAGACTACAGGCACTTATCACTGTGCACCACTAATTAAAATTTTTTTTTTTTATTTAGAGATGGGGTCTATCAATGTTACCCAGGCTGGTCTCAAATTCTTGGCTTTGTGATCCTCCCACATCAGCCTCCCAAAGTGCTGGGATTACAGGCATGAACCACCACGCCCGGCCTTCACATATTTTACTTACTTCCCACTTCCCTCCTTACCTCCCTTCCCTCTTAATTTCTGGCTGGTCAGTGAGCCCAGTAGGGCTATCCTGCTGCAATCACATCTGCAGTGACAGCGTTTCCCTGCTTCACACTCTGGGCTCCCTGGTGACTGTCCTGCTATGTACGAAGTTCATTGGAGGTGCACACATTAAGGGTGAAAAAATGCTGGGACCTCCTAACATACAGGGGAGGTGGGCTAGTGAGGCCACTCTGTATTTGGGCTTTAGAGTCACCCAGCCTGGGTGTTAATCCTGGCCTGTGCCACATTGGCAGTGTGACCAAAGGTATGTTATTTAATATATCTGTGCCTCTGATTCTGTATTTGCAAAATGGGGATGAGACCAGTACTTACCTCGTAGAGATGCAGGAAGTTTTAGAAGCATTAGTTCATGACAGCCCTGGCACTGATAAGTGTTAGGGACTATTATCCAAAACAAACACAAAACATTAGGTCCTACCTTGTTAGTTTTAGAGTTAATTGATTTAATTAACTGACAATAAAAACAACTAATAATAACAATAGCTAACATGTGCCTGGCATAGTGCCAAGTACCTTTAATTATTAACTTGTTTAAAAATCTGAAGGTACAAGAGGGATATGTCTCCCTCCTACCCTGTATTATTTAGGGTTCTACAGAGAAACAGAACCAATAAGATATAGAGAGAGGCTGGGTTTGGTGGCTCACACCTGTAATCCCAGCACTTTGGGAGGCTGAGACGGGCAGATCACCTGAGGTCAAGAGTTCGAGATGATCCTGGCCAACATGGTGAAATCCCATCTCTACAAAAATTAGCCGGGCATGGTGGTGCACATCTGTAGTCCCAGCTACTCGGGAGGCTGAGGCAGGAGAATGGCTTGAACCCAGGAGGCAGAGGTTGTAGTGAGCCGAGATCACACCACTGTGGTTTAGCCTGGGTGACAGAGTGAGACTTTGTCTCAAAAAAAAAAATATGCATAGAAAGAAATTTATTATGAGGGATTGGTTCATGACATGGAAGCGGAGAAGTCCCACATTCTGCCATCTGTAAGCCGGAGAATCAGGAAAGCCGGTGGTGGAGTTCCTTTCCAAGACCAAAGGCTGGAGGAACACAGAGCAATGGTGTAAGTCCCAGTCTAAGTCTGAAGACCCCAAAACCAGGAGTGCAGATGTCTAAGGGCAGGAGAAGATGGATGTCACAGCTCCAGAAGAGAGAATTAACTCGTCCTCTGCGTTTTTATTCCATGCAGGTCCTCAACAGATTGGAGGATGCCAGTCCACCCTAGTGAGGGTGATCTTTACTCAGTCTACTGATTCAAATGCTGATGTTGGCCCCAGTACAGTGGCTCACACCTGTAATCCCAGCAATTTGGGAGGCTGAGGCGGGCGAATCGCTTGAGCCCAGGAGGTTGAGACCAGCCTGGGCAACATGGCGAAACCTCATTTTTACAAAAAATACAAAAATTAGCCAGGCGTGCTGGCGCATGCCTGTATTCCCAGCTACTCAGGAGGCTGAGGTGGGAGGATCAGTTGAGGCCGGGAAGTAAAGGCTGCGATGAGCTGTGATTGCACCACTGCATTCCGGCCTGGGTGACAGAGTGAGACCCTGTCTCAAAAAAAAAAAAAAAAAAAAAAAGCTAATGTTTTCTAGAAACACAGACACACCCAGAAAGTATTTTGCCAGCTATCTGGGCATCCCTTATCCCAGTCAAATTGACACATAAAATTAACCATCACGCCCCCATGGTTTCCTCCATGGAAGCAGCCATTATTACCAATACTCTGCGTATCTTTTCAGATATCTTCTGTGCAGACGATTATTTAAATATCTTTCTACCCCTTCAGCTTTAAATGTAAGGAAACGGGCTCAGAGAAGTCATATAGTGAATTGTAATAATAGCTCCTATTCTGTGTGTGAGGCTCTGCCCTGGGCACTGTGTGATTTTGAATCCTGGCTACAACCATGCAGCATGAGACTTATTGTGTAGAATAGATGCTCCAGGCCTCAGTTTGCCTCAGTGGGTTGACTGAGGATTAAATGAAATAATCCATGTAGAGGGGCTTCTCAGATCCTGGCACATCATAACTGCTGAGTAGGTGATGACTGCAGGGGAGGGGAGGATCCGAGGTTTTTTTTTTTTTTTTTTTTTTTGAGACGGAGTCTCGCTGTGTTGCCCAGGCTGATGCACTTAGATCCTCGGCCGGGTGCGGTGGCTCAAGCCTGTAATCCCAGCACTTTGGGAGGCCGAGGCGGGCTTATCATGAGGTCAGGAGATCGAGACCATCCTGGCTAACACAGTGAAACCCCATTTCTACTAAAAATATAAAAAATTAGCCGGGCTTGGTGGCGGGAGCCTGTAGTCCCAGCTACTCGAGAGGCTGAGGCAGGAGAATGGCGTGAACCCTGGAGGCAGAGGTTGCAGTGAGCCGAGATGACGCCACTGCACTGGGCGACAGAGCGAGACTCCGTCTCAAAAAAAAAAAAAATACTAGGAATGTAAGTGAATATTTATTTCAAGTGAGAAACAGAGCTCTAACAATTTACACATTTTATCTTTTTTTTTTCTTTTTAAAAGTTTTTTTTTTTTTTGGCTGGGACCGGTGGCTCATGCTTGTAATTCTAGCACTTTGGGAGGCCGAGGCAGGCAGATCAACTGAGGTCAGGAGTTCAAGATGAGCCTGGCCAACATGGTGAGACCCTGCCTCTACTAAAAATGCAAAACTTAGCCAGGTGTGGTTGTGTACACCTGTAATTCCAGCTACTTGAGAGGCTGAGGCAGGAGAATCATTTGAACCTGGGAGGCGGAGTTTGCCATGAGCAGAGATTACACCATTGCACTCTGGCCTGGGCGACAAGAGACTGTCTCAAAAAACAAAATTTTTTTTTTTTTCTTTTGTAGAAATGGAACCTTGCTATATTGCCTGGGTTGGTCTCAAACTACTGGGCTCAAGCATTCCTCCCACCTCAGCTTCCCAAAGTGTCCGGGCCAGTTTACACATTTTAAAAGCCAACAAATACCTCAAACACTACACACTCCAGAAGAATAATAGGACATTTTTTCTTAATTTACTGCCTGACACACTTCTGTAGCACTTTTTATTCCTATATTATCCAGCTTCATACTCTTTGATCACTTCTTCATATGATAATGATTTTCTAAAATAATTTTCTGTAGAGCGAATAAAAGATAATTCAGTCTTTTCTCTAGCATGGGTGATCAAAATTTGCTTTTAGTTATTGATAGTCTAGACGCAAAAAATAAAGACATTCATAGACACAAACACTGTCTGTAGTATTACTACGTGTTTGTGTCTCTCAGAGGAATTTTAGTAAATTCAGTTTTGTGTTATTCCCACCAAAAATGAAAAAAGAATCTAAGGTGGGCCAGGCGTGGTGGCTCACGCTTGTAATCCCAGCACTTTGGGAGGCTGAGGCAGGTGGATCATGAGGTCAGGAGATCGAGACCATCCTGGCTAACACGGTGAAACCCCGTCTCTACTAAAAATACAAAAAATTAGCCGGGCGTGGTGGTAGGCACCTATAGTCCCAGCTACTCAGGAGGCTGAGGCAGGAGAATGGCGTGAACCCGGGAGGCGGAGGTTGCAGTGAGCCGAGATCGTGCCACTGCACTCCAGCCTGGGCGACGGTGCGAGAGTCTGTCTCAAAAAAAAAAAAAAAAGAATATGAGGTGCATTACAATTAAATGCACGTGTTAATAGAGTGTATTTCTTTTTTATTGTTATTATTTATTGAGGCAGAGTCAGGCTGGTCTTGCACTCCTGACCCCAAGTATTCCATCCACCTCGGCTTCCCAAAGTGCTGGGATGACAGGTGTGAGCCACCAAGCCTGGCCTAGTGGAGTATATTTCTGACAGACGAGAACTTCCATTTTGATTGACTCTTCACCTATTTTTCATGTCTAATAACGGGAAGCATTTTTCACAGGCGAGCATCTAACTATATACATTTTAAACCTTCCTTCTTCCCCACCACATCCTTCAGGATTGGGCCCTGTAGGATGTGTTCATATGGTGATACAACTTCTGATGAGGTGTCAGGACCTTGGTGGGGGGTACTTGCTACTGGAGTTTTACTGGGAGCTGTTCCTACCCTGGGAGGGTTAGCAATACTCAGCTTAATGATCTGCTAAACTCAATGTACCAGCGACTCAACTCCCATGTGCGTGCATCCCTGAATGCCCGTGGCCACTCTTAACGTCACACAACAGGAAGGGAGAAGGGGCAGAAGGGAGACTGGAGTGGAGAGAGATGGAGGTCTTTCCACTTGTGGTTAAAAGACTTGATGCTGGCAAATGTTAGAGAAACCAAAGACCATCCGATGGATGCTTTTCTTTCCGGGCCCTTTGCAAGACCTTGGAAGGGGCTGATCCAAGCAGGGATCCTGAAGCTTCAGCTGTGTTAGCCTCACGGTGGACCTGGTTAGTTATCACTTATATTCATGGTTCAGGGCAGTGTCATTTGAGAGCGAGCCGTGGAGCCCACTCAGGAGCTGCAGGCCTCGCTGGCATGTTAACATGCTCCATAAACCTTGGTTCCTCAGCAGGAAGCATGACACTATTAATAGTCTCCACCTCACTGGGAATATAAAGTCCACGAGGGCAGGCACTGGTCTGCTTATTGCTGTGTCCTTGGTGTATAGAACCCATGGGCCGCACTGAACATATGGTATGCTAGGTGTTGGGTGGCTACCCCCAAACTCTCAGAGAAAAGGAAACTGAGGCACAATGAGCTTACATACCTTCACTTGAAGCCAGACGTGTCCAGCTCCAAATTCCTTTTCCTGTACAACATGCTGCCCCTAGTCAACTGGATGGAGATCCGGGGTCTCGGCCTCCTTTCCTTCCTGCATATTCTCCCATGCAAACTGAACAAGCAGGGGAAACTTAGCCCACCTCTGAGTTCCTGAGATCATCATCTGAGTTATTCTCTCCCTTATGGATCTGAGAAGGAGTCCCTGGGATTTGTTCTGATCCATGGAATACATTGTTCTAGAGACTCTTTGGACTCCAACCTGAGTCCCTGGGAATGATGTGAGGTAGGAGATGTGGAAGAACAAAAATGAATGGTTTTGAGCCATAAAATAGTGAGCCTGAAAAACGAGTTTGGAAGATGAATGGCTTTGGGGCTTCTGGAACTTAGCAGGGGCTATCCTGGGAATTACTGACATTTCTGCCTCAGACCTCTGGGAGGCCACTGGTAAACCAGAGGCCACCCCCCTCCCTTCACAGGTCCATTGGATTCGAAGGGGTCCTCACACGAAGCAGGAAGTCACCCTGTATCTCAGAACTGTGGAGATCTCAGTCCGTGGTCATCTTGTCATACATGACATGGCAGGAGCCATGGTCCAGGGAACCAGGTGGCTGCCAACTTGCAGAACAGGCGACAAAACCCCAGCCTGGACCCCCAGACCATGCACTTCTCCCTTTGCCCTGCTTCTCCTCTGCCTGGTACAGGTTTCCAGCCAAGCTCTGCACCGGCTTCTATGTCTGTTTGTTTTCCTTAGAAGCTTCCTATAGAAAGCACCAGGTAAGGCTGAAGATGCTCACTTCCCCCTGTTGTTTAACAACGCAACTGGGATTTTGCAGCCTCTGCTTCCAGCCTAATTCTCCATTGAGCCCTGGGATAATATTTACACACAAATGCTGGCTCTAATCTCCACCCAGGAAAACACTAGCTGCTATTGAAAATCTTTTCACCCGTGATAGAAAGCAGAGCGGCCAGGCCTCACGCAGGCACCCTCGAGCTTCTCTGGAGAGTGTTAGGGAACAGCAAGTGTGTTTTATTTATATTTTTTTAAAGTCATCCCAGGGCTGTGTCCAGGCAACTGAGGGCCTGTCAAAGAACCGAATGTCTAATTCCCTTTAGAAAAAACAAAGGGATTAGGTGTCCCTGGGACTTTAACAAATGCATTGTTGGTGGTTTTGATTTAGGTTTCATTTAGGGAAGGCAAGTGCAGAAACGAGGATGCCAAAGATCCAGGCTACCAGTGTTGCGAAGATGCCTGGAGACAGGCATGCATAAAATGTTGGCGGGGATGTAAATTAGTGCAGCCTTTTGGAGGGAAATTTGGCAACATCTTTCATAAAAAATGAGCGTGACCTTTGATGCAGTAATTTCATGCTTTGTAAACTACACTACGTTAATAGTTGCACGTGTATACAAAAACCTATGTTAAAAAATGCTCACTGCAGTGACAAATAGGAAATCACCATGAATCTATCAGTAGGGGCCTGGTTTGATAAATTATATTTTATCCACAGAGTGGACTACTACATGGCCAGTAAAGAAAAGAACAAGGTGGGGCCGTGTGCGGTGGCTCAAGCCTGTAATCCCAGCCCTTTGGGAGGCCGAGACGGCGGATCACGAGATCAGGAGATGGAGACCATCTTGGCTAACATGGTGAAACCCCATCTCTACTGAAAATACAAATTAGCCGGGTGTGGTGGCGGGCGCCTGTAGTCCCAGCTACTCGGGAGGCTGAGGCAGGAGAAGCGTGAACCCAGGAGGCGGAGGTTGCAGTGAGCCAAGATGACACCACTGCACTCCAGCCTGGGTGACAGAGCGAGACTCCGTCTCAAAAAAAAAAAAAAAAAGAACAAGGTAGATTATAACAATGGCCAACATACATATAGCACTTACTGTGTACACACTAGTCTGAAAGTTCTATGTATTTTAGAATATCTGCACATTTATAATATTAACTCATTTGATTTTCTCAACAATTATCTGGTTACTATTACTAGAATTTTTTTAAATCAGGAAAGAGATGTTAAGTAACTTGTCTAAAGTCACATAGCTGGCGAGTCGGGGAGCTGGGCTTCAAGTCATCTGGCCTCAGGGTCTGGGTCAATAACCACTACCCAAATGCCTGTATGTACAGGCATGGAAAGATGCTTTTGACATATGATTAAGTGGAAAATTCAAGTAGCAGAGAAGTAGGAGCTTATCTTTTTCAGGTAAAAAGAAGCTGCATGTGTGCATGCCTACGTGAATATATTTTATATATTTGTAATAGTAAAGGTTCTGGAAAAATACGTGTTCAATCAGCAATTCTCAACCAGGAAGGGAGGTGAGATGGGCTACATAAAGAGGATTTTGGCTGGGGGCAGTGGCTCATGCCTGTAATCCCAATACTTTGGTAGGCCGAGGCAGGCTTGAGCCCAGGAGTTCCAGACCAGCCTGGGCAACATATTAAGACCCCATCTATAAAAGAAAAAAATTTTTGGCTGGGCGCAGTGCCTCACACCTGTAATCCCAGCACTTTGGGAGGCCGAGGCGGGCAGATCATGAGGTCAGGAGATCGAGACCATCCTGGCTAACACGGTGAAACCCTGTCTCTACTAAAAATACAAAAAATTAGCCAGGCTTGGTGGTGGGCACTTGTAGTCCCAGCTACTCGGGAGGCTGAGGCAGGACAATGGCGTGAACCCGGGAGGCGGAGCTTGCAGTGAGCTGAGCTTGTGCCACTGCACTCCAGTCTGGGTGACAGAGCGAGACTCCATCTCAAAAAAAAAAATAATAATAATAAATAATAAATAAAATAAGTGCAGTGGCACAATCTTGGCTCGCTGCAACCTCCATCTCTGGGGCTCAAGCAATCCTCTCATCCCAGTCTCCTGAATAACTGGGACTGCAGGTGCAAGCCACCACCCCTAGCTAGTTTTCATATTTTTGGTAGAGACGGGCTTTTGCCATGTTGCTCAGGCTGGCCTCGAACTCCTGGGCTCAAAGTGATCTACCTGCCTCAGCCTACCAAAATGCTGGGATTACAGGTGTGGGCTACTGCTTCCCGCCAAATTTCTTTTTTTTTTTTTTTGAGATGGAGTCTCGCTGTGTCACCAGGCTGCAGTGGTGTGATCTTGACTCACCAAAACGTCCGCCTCCGAGGTTTAAGCGATTCTCCTGCCTCAGCCTCTCAAGTAGCTGGGATTACAGGCATGCGCCACCACACCCTGCTAATTTTGTATTTTTAGTAGGGACGGGGTTTCACCATGTTGGTCAGGCTGGTCTCGAACTTCTGACCTCATGTGATCTGCCCGCCTTGGCCTCCCAAAGTGCTGGGATTACAGGGGTGAGCAATCATGCCCAACCATTTGGTTTTCTTTTCTAAATGGTCCTTTCAAAAGAAGACTTCCTGTTAATCGTGGGCTCAGAGTGACACTTTTGATTAACACCAAAGTAAGAGATGTGGAGCCAAGCCTAATAAGTCTTGCAATAAATTGGATGAAGGTAGACCAATTAATTGTTGTTCTGATTGGCTGAAGGGATCCTGAGATAATGACTCTTGTCCTCATTACCCTCTAGTCTTGCCTTCTCCTGGAAGCTTTGGCCCAGATGTTGGAAGAGTAATGTTGATTTTCTTGACATACAGCCCCTCCACATTCCATCTTCACTCCCATGCCCCCCTGCATTTAATGTGTTCATTTAATGCATTATTGCACCTCATGTAAATACCCCTGGTACTTTACTTGGGCTGTTGTTTAAACCACTGTCCCTTCAGGGTCATCCAGTAAAAACCGGACTCAGGCTGCCTTCCATTTGCAGGCACTTTACAATCTCCTAATCTTGTTCCCATTCATTATTTTGGTTAACGGGGTGGAGCCTTGTCACTTTAATGCAGGTTGTGCAATATCTCTTTCAAAGTAAAACTAAGCAGGGTCTTAGGAGAGGGTCTGATGAGGACAATGAGGGTTATCAAAATTTTAATCCCCATTTTTAAACCCCAGTGTTTAAACCTTGCTTTGTGAAGTGTAACCTATCACAGTGAATATAGAAAAATGACATAACAGCTTCTACTTACTGTGTCAGGTCAAAAAGCACCCAAAGTTTCCATGTGTTTTCTCAGTTTTGTTCTTGCAGCAAGTTTAGGGGGTACTTTTTTTTTAAATCTCCCATTATCTCCATAAGGAAGCCGAGGCTCCAGGAGACTAGGTAATGTCCTCAACAATACACGTGTGGAAAGTGGAAAATGGATTTCTCAACCAGGTTTGTGTATCTGTCTGCAATTCCCAGTGCTGAGCCTCTCAATGGATGAAATAATTGAGAAAAGAAAAAAAGTGTAACTCAAAAACCACCCCCCTAATAGATAGTAGTACTCATATACCATCTCCCTAACATACTGTTAGCAATTTAGGTTTATTTCCTTTGTGTTATGTATCTAAACAAAATGAAATTTAAAAAAACAACTTGGTAACTAGAGGATATGTAAAATGTTTATATCCTGTTTTGATTTTTTTTTGTCCTACTAACATTGTCATCGTAACCATCTTCCTTATTGCTTCGTGTCATCATTTTAAATGGTTGCACTCTATTTAGAGAGTGGTGGCCTTGGGGGAGAGATTCCTAGATGTGGAAATTGGTAGGTCCAAGAGTATAAATGTTTTTATGGTTTTTGATACACATTGCTAAATTGCTTTCTAAAAGATCTATTTTAATTTGCACTTCAATCAACAATTTTGAGAGTGTCATTTTCATCACATTCTTGCTGGCATTAGTTATTGTTAGAAAACGAAACCAAGGCCGGGTGTGGTGGCTCACGCCCGTAATCCCAGCACTTTGGGAGGCCAAGGTAGGTGGATCACGAGGTCTCAAGATCGAGACCATCCTGGCCAACATGGTGAAACCCCGTCTGTACTAAAAATACAAAGAAAATTAGCCAGGCGTGGTGGTGTGCCTGTAGTCCCAGCTCCTCGGGAGGCTGAGGCAGGAGGATGGGTTAAACCCGGGAGGCATAAATTGCAGTGAGCTGAGATGGCGCCACCACACTCCAGCCTGGGCGACAGAGCAAGACTCCGTCTTAAAAAAAAAAGAAAAAGAAAACAAGGCCAGGCATGGTGGCTCTGGCCTGTAATCTCAGCTCTTTGGGAAGCCAAGGTGGGTAGATCACTTGAGCTCAGCAGTTCGAGACCAGCCTGGGCAACATGGTAAAACCCTGTCTCTACAAAAAAATACAAAAATTAGCCAGACATGGTGGCACGTGCTTATAGGCCCAATTACTCTGGAGGGCTGAGGTGAGAGGATCATTTGAGCCTGGGAGGTGGAGACTGCAGTGAGCCACGATCACACCACTGCACTCCAGCCTGGGCAACAGAGCAAGACCATGTCTCAAAAAGAAAATGAAAACAAGAAAAAGTCCTAATATCTACCAAATTGTTCACAGTAGTTAGTGTCGAGAGTGGGCTGGGGCTGGTGAAGTGAGGAGGTGTCTATTTTCTTTTCTTTTCTTTTTTTTTTTTTTTTTTTTTGAGACAGAGTCTTACTCTGTCACCCGGGCTGGAGTGCAGTGGCATGATCTCCGCTCACTGCACCCTCCACCTCCAAGGTTCAAGTGATTCTCCTGCCTCAGCCTCCCGAGTATGTGGGATTACAGGTGCGTGCTACCACGCCCAGCTAATTTTTGTATTTTTTTAGTAGAGACAGGGTTTCACCATGTTGGCCAGGATGGTCTGGATCTCCTGACCTCGTGATATGCCCGCCTTGGCCTCCCAAAGTGCTGGGATTATAGGTGTGAGCCACCGTGCCCAGCCAGGTGTCTATTTTCTCCTGTATCTAATGTGGTATTATTAAAAATATTTTATTATAGGCACATATTACTTTTGTGTTTTTTATATATATACGTATATATATACACTTTTTTTTTTTTTTTGAGACGGAGTCTCGCTCTGTCGCCCAGGCTGGAGTGCAGTGGCGCCATCTCGGCTCACTGCAAGCTCCGCCTCCTGGGTTCACGCCATTCTCCTGCCTCAGCCTCCTGAGTAGCTGGGACTACAGGCGCCTGCCACCACGCCCGGCTAATTTTTTGTATTTTTAGTAGAGATGGGGTTTCACCATGTTAGCCAGGATGGTCTCGATCTCCTGACCTCGTGATCCACCCGTCTCGGCCTCCCAAAGTGCTGGGATTACAGGCATGAGACACCGTGCCCGGCCTGTCATATATATTTTAAACTTTATTTTGAAATAATTTGTCTCATAGAAAAGTTGCAAAAATAATGCAAAGAATTCCCTGTATACCCTTTGTAACACATATTTTTTTGTTTTGTTTTGTTTGTTTGTTGAGATGGAGTCTTGCTCTGTCACCAGGCTGGAGTACAGCGGCGCCATCTCGGCTCACTGCAACCTCTGCCTCCTGGGTTCAAGTGATCCTCCTGCCTCACCCTCCCAAGTAGCTGGGACTACATGCCCGCGCCACCATGCCTAGCTAATTTTTTGTATTTTTAGTAGAGACGGGGTTTCACCATGTTGGCCAGGATGGTCTTGATCTCTTGACCTCGTGATCTGTCCACTTCAGCCTCCCAAAGTGCTGGGATTACAGGAGTGAGCCACCGCACCCAGGCTGTGATACATATGTTTTTTTGAGATGGAGTCTCGCTCTGTCGCCCAGGCTGGAGTGCAGTGGCGCAATCTCTGCTCACTGCAAGCTCCACCTCCCGGGTTCACGCCATTCTCGTCCCTCAGCCTCTGGAGTAGCTGGGACTACAAGTGCCCACCACCACGCCCAGCTAATTTTTTGTATTTTTAGTAGAGACAGGGTTTCACCGTGTTAGCCAGGATGGTCTCGATTTCCTGACCTCGTGATCCACCCGCCTCGCCTCCCAAAGTGCTGGGATTACAGGCGTGAGCCACCATGCCCAGCCACTTATTTTTAAATATAAAGTAATTAAAATAAATGTTTTCTAAATGTCAGTCCTTACATCAACTTGTAAGTTGAGATTTCTTCATAGGTAGGCTAGGGCTCAACAGCAACTTGGGGAAATGCTTATTAAAAATGTAAACTCTTAGGCCTGAGCAAGACATCGAATCAGAATGTTTGGGGGTGAGCTTGGAAAATCTTTCAGTAGCCCTTCTCCTGCCCTCTGAGGCCCATCAGGGGCTGAGAACCAGTGTCAGACAGGTTCCTCTTTATTTCCTCCAGCAATATTGTGGCTTCTTCACCTTGAGAGCCCTCCAGTGTGCAAGGGTTTGGAAAAGTGAGTGAAATCTGAGCATCTTTGTTGTGACTTTTCCCACTTGGTGCTGCTACTGCTCTGCTCCAGCCAAGCTGTCTGTAATTTGTTTTCACAAGAGCCTGCTCTCTCCCTCAAACTAGAAAAGACCCCTCCACAGGAGGCCAGGTCCGGAACGCAGGTTTAGGTGGTGTAGGCCCTTCTCACCCTCACCCCTTCTGTCCTGAGTGTTCCAGGTGGATGCCAAGGAGGTGGAGGAGGCTTCCCTGTCTCCTGGCTCTCCTGGAGGAGCAACTGTGAGGCCCCGAGATGGGGAGGGAGCCCAGATTCTGGCTTTTGGTCTTCCTGCTGTTTCTTTTGTCTGATGCTGGTGCATTTCCATGGACAGTTTATTTCCCTTGGACACTGTGGGCTTGGTTTTTCCATGAGTGTGTGACGCTGTGGTCATTCACCAGGCCCTGTTGGTGGTCTCGGTGGGGGCCACAAGGCTCAGATCTCACCTGCCCCTTTTCCTACCTCCTCCACTCTTTGCTCAGCCATCAACATTCCTTTCTGTCCCAGAAGTGTTCTTTCCAAAATGCAGATCTGCCCATGTCCCCTAATGACGTCACTTATTGACTTCGCTATGGAAAAGGAGCGATGGGGAATGTGGCCGGAAGGACAGCAGAGAGCCAGACTGTGGAGACCTTTGAATTCCAGAGGAACAAAAGTATTTTGGGTGGCTCACACCTGTAATCCCAGCACTTTGGGAGACCAAGGCGGGCAGATCACCTGAGGTCAGGAGCTTGAGACCAGCCTGACCAACATGGTAGAACCCCATCTCTATTAAAAATACAAAATTAGCCAGGCAGGGTGGGGGGTGCCTATAATCCCAGCTGCTTGGAGGCTGAGGCAGGAGAATCGCTTGAACCCGGGAGGCAGAGGTTGCAGTGAGCCAAGATTGCACCAGTGCACTCCAGCCTGGGCAACAGAGTGAGACTTGGTCTCAAAAAAAAAAAAAAAAAAAAAAAGACCGGGCGCAGTGGTGGCTCACGCCTGTAATCCCAGCACTTTGGGAGGCCGAGGCAGGCGGATCACGAGGTCAGGAGATCAAGACCATCCTGGCTAACACGGTGAAACCCCGGCTCTACTAAAAATACAAAAAATTAGCTGGGCGTGGTGGCGGGTGCCTGTAGTCCCAGCTACTTGGGAGGCTGAGGCAGGAGAATGGTGTGAACCCGGAAGGCAGAGGTTGCAGTGAGTCCACATCATGCCACAGCACTCCAGCCTGGGCGACAGAGCAAGACTCCGTCTCAAAAAAAAAAAGTGTCTTATATAAAAATATATACATAAAATATAAAAATAGGCGGGGCACAGTGTCTCACACCTGTAATCCTAGCACTTTGGGAGGCCAAGGCGGGCAGATTGCCTGAGCTCAGGAGTTTGAGACCAGCCTGGGCAACACAATGAAACCCCATCTCTACTAAAATACGAAAAATCATCCGGGCATGGCGGCGGGCGCCTGTAGTCCCAGCTACTCAGGAGGCTGAGGCAGGAGAATCGCTTGAACCTGGGAGGCAGAAGTTGCAGTGAGCCGAGATCGCGCTACTGCACTCCAGCTTGGGTGACAGGGCGAGACTCCGTCTCCAAAAAAAAAAATATGTATACACACACACACACACACACACACAATATACAAAAAATATACTGTTTTATGTATAAACATACATAAAATATACATATACATGAAAACATACATATCAATATACATAAGTATATTATGGACTAATACAGGCAATTTGGAAAAAAAGAAAGTAGAAAGTAGGGGGAAAAAAGTTGCTAGTCGTTCTGCTAGCCAAGTAAAGCTGCTGGCTGCATTTGGGTGTGGTCGTGTGCAGGATAAGGGCACAGGCCCTGAATCAGGTGAGTCTGGGTTCAGATGCCTTCCTTCTTCCTTATTAGCTGTAGGCAACCATCGGGCAGCTTAATTATCCTCTGGGTGCTTCAGTTTTCTCATTGGTGAAGTAAGGATAAAAAAAAGTTCCTAATGTGTAGGCTTGCCTTGAAGATGAAATGAGGTAAGTATGGAAAGCAGTTAGCTGGCTGCTTCCTAAGTGTTAGTTCTGTTTAATCTTGTTCATTTCCTTTCAGTCCTTTTACTCTAAAGAGGGGTGTGTGTGTTTGGTTTGTTTTCACATAGTTGTGATCACATTGTCTATATAATTTTATTTACTGCTTGCTTAGCATAACATCTGTAGCCAAGCATTTTCCATGTTATTTTCAACTCCTCATAAACATGCATCTTAATAGTTGCATAATAATCCGATGGATGGATATATCATAGTTTAACCATTTCCTTATTGTTGGCCATAGGAATTGTTCCAGGTTTTCATTGTTACAGAAAACTCAAGGCATGACTGGGCATGGTGGCTCACGCCTGTAGTCCCAGCGCTTTGGGAGGCCAAGGCGGGTAGATCACTTGAGTAGATCAGGAGTTTGAGACCAGCCTGGTAAACATGGCAAAACCCTGCCCCGTCTCTACTAAAAATACAAAAATTAGCCAGGCCTGGTTGCAGGTGCCTGTAATCCCAGCTACACAGGAGGCTGAGACAGGAGAATCGCTTGGACCTGGGAAGCGGAGGTTGCAGTGAACCAAGATCAAGCCACTGCACTCCAGCCTGGGCGACAGAGTGAAACTCCATCTCAAAAAAAGAAAACTATAGGCATGAACACCTTTATGTGTCAGATATCACCAGCAAAACCAGCCCCACTTTTCCCAGCCTGTTAGAACAAGTTCCTTGAGAAAAATTCTTAGAAAGGATGTTACAAAGTCAAATTATATGAATATTTATCAAGATTTGTGACTTATCCTGCCAAATTCATTCCTGTAAAGTGAGTTCCCACTTCTATTTCCAAGACAGTGGATGAGACTGTGGCTGAGGGATGTGGATTTTGTTCTGCAGTGCTGCTGGTGAGGGCATGAGACCAGGGTTTTGATGGATTCATCCAGCAGCCATTGGGTGGGTGGCTGGGCAGAGTCGGCGTTAGGAGGCTCTCAGCGGTGACTTAACTATCTGCAAACCTGGCCCCATCCCCATGATGACTAGAGCTCCCATCCGTAGGAGAGGGAGGCCCTGTGGTCACAGTGTCACATTCCTTTTCAGTCCAGCATAAGCACTTTCACATTGTTTTTTCCCTCCGTGATTCAAATGACAAGAACTCTTCATCTTTAGGGATCACAGTATAAGACAGTGAATAAGTTCATGAGCCTTGGTGTTATCCTGCCTGGATTGGGATCTCAACTCTACTATTTATTAGCTGTGTGATTCTGGACCTCAGTTTCTCAATCTGAGACATGGTACTCACCTCCTAGGATTAAATTAAACAGGTATTTTATACACAACATAATAAGTGCTGAATGCTTCTTAGATCTTCTTATCTATCTCCCTCTTTCTAAATGAAAGCGCCTGGTTGAAAGAAACTAATTGAACCTCTGTATTCACCACTTTCCTCCTCTTGAAAATGCAACAAGGGAAGCTGTATAAAGAAACAATACTGGGCCAGGCGCGGTGGCTCACGCCTGTAATCCCAGCATTTTGGGAGGCCAAGGCGGGTGGATCACCTGAGGTCAGGAGTTCAAGACCAGCCTGACCAACATGGCAAAACCTCATCTCTACTAAAAATACAAAATTAGCCAGGGGTGGTGGCACATGCCTGTAATCCCAGCTACTGGGGAAGCTGAAGCAGGAGAATTGCTTGAACCCAGGAGGCAGAAGTTGCAGTGAGCCGAGATCGCGTCATCGCATTCCAGCCTGGGCAACAAAGAGCGAAACTCCATCTCAAAAAAAAAAAAAAAAGGAAAAAGAAACAATACCAGAAAGCCCATCTCTACATTGCTAGGCAACCTTTCCAAGGTGTGTACCCACCCTGAAACCATGGGGATGAAGGGAAGGAGGTTGGGAGGCTACAGTGGTGCATGACCAATCATCTCGGGACATGGTACTGTCAGTGCTAAGACTGGGACAGTCCCTGGCAAACCAGGAGTGTTAGTCACCCTGGCATGGTGAGAGTGGGTGAAGGATCTGGTAAAGTTGTCCAAGGGTGGGAGAACAAGACTCTGGAGCATTTGAGAAGGGTTTGCTTTTCCTTTAATTATTGTTTGGCAAATCCCCTTGAAGCTCATTTCACCTGCAACTTCTGGGAATGAATTGGCTGCCAAAAATAAGACCCACGTGGGGTGGGGGCAGGGGGGTAATTAAGTGCCTCCCAGGAAGCAGGGGCAAGGATACTTCAATATCTTCCAGATTCCTAGAGTGTGAATGATGTGAGCTTGCCTTGGGGTGAAGGCTGCTGGAGTCAGCTCTTTCCGATCCTGGCTAGTTTTCTGCTCCTAATAAAGGCTTCTTTCATGGCTGGGCAAGAGGAAGACTCAGATGGCCCTCCGTGGACAAGGGTTGGTTCCCGAATCTGTCCCAGGTAACTTCTTGTTCCTCTGGGTCTCTGTGTGTAATATCCCCAGAGACAGAGGCCAAGAGAGGGGAAAGTGACTACACTTACACTGCAGGCCAGCGGAGGGGGTGGTCAATAGCTGGTACTTCCTCTTCCAGCTCTTTTAAAGCATTTTAAAATTGGATTAGTGTTTCAACAAACACTTGAAGGTTTGCTTTCCTCGGAGAGGCCCGAAGGGCTGAGGAAGAGCCTTCATCTGTTTACTTTTTCTTTATGTGGAAATCTACTTGGGCTGTTTCTACAACTAGCTTGCCCCTCTCCCTTGGTGCCCCCTCCACCAGGTAAACCTCACCCCCTAACTTCCAGGCAGGTCTGCATTCACCCTCAGGGCCCTGGCCCACCATGGCTTTCTGGGTTGGCTGAATCCTCGTGCCCTCCAGGAGCACTTTGGAGCAGCAGGGCTCAGGCAGCTCTCTCTGACCTGTGCCAGCCTTGAAAGTTTTCCTGGAATGAAGAAGTGAGCTGACAGTGGACAGTCCTGTGTACTTCATCTGCTTCTTGCAGGGAAACCAACAGAAGCGGTCTCTTTCCTCCTGTGGGTAGAGAAAGCCAGGAAGATGGGGCAAAGCCTTGGGAAAACAGGTGGCTCTCAGCCCCACCAGAGCTCTTTGTCCTCATCCTTTTTATTTAAGCCCCTGCTTGGAGCCAGGCAGTGTGTGTGTGTGAGAGAGTTGTGCAAACAGATATGTGCATGGATGTATGTACAGAGGAAAAAAAGACTGGGGCAGGGCATTGTGGAGCTCTGAAAGGGAAGGAGGGCAGGCGGTCAAAGTAGACTTCTATGTTTTATTCTGTGTATTAGTATATTATATATGAACACATTTAAAGTACATATTGAATAATAAGAGAATTATCCTCTGAGATCCATGTGATCACTGTTAACTGAAGTACAGGGTCAAGCCTTGGAAGATTCAGGAATGACTTCCCAGAGGAGGTGGCGGGCAAACAGAGATCACAGGATAAGTGGAGGTAGCTGGATTCATTTTATAGACATTTGTTGAGTGTCTGTTGTGTGTCAGATACTATTTTTTTTTTTATTTTTTTTGAGATGGAGTCTCGCTCTGTCTCCCAGGCTGGAGTGCAGTGGCATGATCTTGGCTCACTGCAACTGCCGCCTCCCGGGTTCAACTGAGGCAGGAGTGCCTCAGCCTCCCGAGTAGCTGGAACTACAGGTGTGTACCACCACGCCCAGCTAATTTTTGTATTTTTAGTAGAGACGGGGTTTCACTGTACTGGTCAGACTGGTCTTGAACTGACCTTGTGATCTGCCTGCCTCGGCCTCCCAAAGTGCTGGGATTACAGGCGTGAGCCACTATGCCCAGCCCCAGATACTATTTTAGAAGCAAAGGATCTAGCAGAGAATAAACACATAAAGATCTTGCCATTGTGGAACTTACAGTCCAGTGGAGGGAGAAAGATGAACAAAAAGATCATATGATGTCAGGTGGTATTAAAGAAGAATTAACACTTATGGTAAGGAAGACTTTATTCAAGACTATTGCAACAGGAGTTGACTTTTTTTCTTTTTTTTTTCTTTGAGATGGAGTCTCTGTCACCCAGGCTGGAGTGCAGTGGTGCGATCTCGGCTCACTGCACCCTCTGCCTCCCAGGTTCAACCGATTCTCCTGCCTCAGCCTCCTGAGTTGCTGGGATTACAGGCACATACCACCACACCTGGCTAATTTTTGTATTTTTAGTAGAGATAGGGTTTCACCATGGTGGTCAGGCTGGTCTTGAACTCCTGACTGACCTCAGGTCATCCACCCTCCTCATCCTCCCAAAGTGCTGAGATTACAGGCATGAGCCATTGCACCCGGCCTAGGAGTTAACTTTTGCAATAGAGGAAGGAGGTTGAGTTCATCACTGAATCCAGCAAAGACCTAGTTGGGCATTTATAATCAGAGTGAGGGGGTCATTGGGTGGAAAATCACTAAGAGAAGACACGAAGGGTAGGGGAACTCTTGCTAAACCAACTCAACAGGATTCTGTGGAAGGCAGGCCAAGGACTTACACATTAAAAGTGGGGGATGAGGAACTTGGTCAGATATTGAGGGTGGGGGAATGACTCAGCTGAATTATTTGCTAAAGGCAGGCCACATGAAGAAGAGGATCTAGAGGAGCCTGTCTAAAGTTTGGTCAAGGAGAGAGTCTTTGTTGGTGCTGTGAAGCAAATGAAGCAGCTGTGGGATAGTGAGGCTACAGAGTGACAGGTTAGGCCCTTTTTTTGTTTTTGAGATGGGTGTCTTCTTCTGTTGCCTGAGCTGTGGTGCAATGGCTTGATCATAGCTCACTGCAGCCTCGAACTCCTGGGCCCAAGCAATCCTCCTGCTTCAGCCTCCTTACTAGCAGGGACAACAGGCACCTGTCATTGTGTTTGGCTCATAGGGGTGCTTTTTAAATTTAATTTAGTTTTATTTTTGAGGTGAAGTGTTCACTGTGTAGCGACACGATCTCGGCCCACTGCAATCTCCGTCTCCCAGGTTCAATCAATTCTCCTGCCTCAGCATTCTGAGTAGCTGGGATTACAGCCGTCCTCCACCACGCCTCACTAATTTTTGTATTTTTAATAGAGACAGGGTTTCACTATGTTGGCCAGGCTGGTCTTGAACTCCTGACCTCAAGTGATCCACCCGCCTTGGCCTCCCAAAGTGTTGGGATTACAGGCGTGAGCCACCGCACCCGGCCTGCAGTGCTTTTTAATACTCAGTGTTAGCAAGGTCTTTAGGGCTGAAATCTGGATCATGTGTCAGAGCCAGACTTTCAAATGGCCCCCCTAGAGGGTGTGTTCTGGGTAAAGGAAACAGCCTGTACAAAGGCCCTGAGGGGTGTGTTCAGTGTGTTTGAGCAACAGTGAGGAGGAGGGGGTTTGTAGGGGAAGAGTGATAGGAAATAAGGTTGAAGAGGGTGGGGTGAGAGTAGATCATGCAGGCCTTATAGGATGTGATAAAAAAGGATGAGAAAGAAAGCTGGGAGGAAGGATAATTTGGATTTAGGGTAAGGGACAGCGTTGCTCATCTACAGGACCACAAGGGGTTCTGTGCTGCAGGGGCATAAGAAGGAGCATGTGCCATGTGGGGAATGCAGGGAAGCAGGGCAGAGGGACGTAGGAGAGGAAGATTAAGAGCCAAGGGGGAGGGGCAGGCAGGCAGGTCCTTTTCCATCTTTTCAGTCAGGGTTTCTCAATCATTTTAATGAGAGCCTCAGCCCTTGCGTAAAAATCAAGCAATAAAGGGAGGAATGCCTCTCTGTTTAACTTGAAGGAGAGCTACAGAAGATGGAAAAGAGGGTTAGTTGAAATAAAGTTGGAGCTGATCTCGCTTGGCTGGCTGCCCTTTCTATAAATATCGCCCTCCCAGTCCTGGAAATGCAGCAGTTAGGGTCCTTGTGAGCTACTGAGGAACATCCTTCCTGTTCAAATGCCCAGGACTTGGCTGCCTGTGCACTTCCATATGCAAAGTGCCTAGAAGCTGGGGAGAGGGAGAGTGCAGGGTCAAAAGTGGGGAATTCTGAGCCCACTCCTTTTACCCCCTGGGGGTGGCCTCACTTCCTCTGGGGGCTCTGACAGCTCTCTGGCCTGTCTTCAGCTTAGAAATCTGCAAAAGTCATTGGCCAGGCTCAGGAGAACTAATCCTTTGTGCCAGAGGTATGGTGGTATGGTGGGGAGCTAGCTCCTCGCTGGTGCTGAGCCCTGCTGCCCCTGGGGTTTTACTGGGAGAGAGGGAGAGGGTGGAGGGGCTAGTGTAATTCGGCAATTTGTGAGTTAAAAAGCAGATGAGAACCCACAGAGTAACGAGACATTCTTCTCTTTGCATGCAAGATTCTGCTGAATGTTGGAAGAGGAAGGAATATTTTTCTTGCTTTTCAGACATGACATCCTGTGAGGGGAAGATTTGGAACAGATGGGGGCCAGGGGAGCCTCACTGTATTTGCTTGTTTCACCACCACCTCCTCCCTCCCACAACCAGAAATGTCTTTTTCTTCCCGCCTAGGGAAGTTAATGTAAAGGCAGGTAGGGGGGATGTCCTGTAGATTAGGAAAGTAAGTTATCAGGGGTCAGGGAAAAATAATCCATTAGGTTTCCAGAAAGAATCCACTTTTCATTGCAGTCTCCTTCTAGGTCCAAAGATAGACAACTAACTCAAAATTGTATCTTCGCTTTAATCACTGCTCTGGTGATATTTGCATTAATGAAAGAGAAAAGAAAGCATCCCCAACAGATGGAAAAGGCGGCTCTCTGACTAGTGAAAGGTAAGGAATTTTTCTGAAATCTTGGGTGCACAATGTGGGAAAAACAAAATTGGTAATGTCTCATGGGATCAGCGCAGGCATCTGCACAGTTTTCACTCCGACTTCTGTCTGTCAGATTGACTGCATTAGAGAAGACCGTAAATGTGGTGATGGAAGTGGGCTGTGACACACTTGACTGGCTGTAGCAGTGTTCCTGGTAGAGCCACATTCCCAGCACAGCTGTGGGTAGCTGGGCAGCTAGTATGATGTTAGTCCCCAAATCACAGCCGATTCTTTCTGCTGTCAAATATACAGCCCCTGAGCCCCCTTCCCCTGAACCTGGAAGGGGGTTCTGCTGGTGAAGTCAGATGGCCTTGTTAGCCAGGGTGGGCCAGTCTAACTGCCTGTTGCATCTTGTCTGTTCCCCAAAGACAGCTTGGCTTGATGTGATGTGAAAAGGATGGGGCAGAAGGAGAAGGGGACAGATTCTGTGCTTTCCTTCTGTCGTTCTTTTTTGGCTGGTGGGAGCCTGTGTTGTTTTTCTCTTCCTTCGTAGGAGGGGATTTTGAGTTCTGGGGTCTGGCTGAGGAGACACGTGCCAGAGTGTCTGGCCCTTTTGGGTCAGGCTGCCTGACTCTGGCACACAGTTCTGGAAGGATGTCCTGGAGAGCTGGTTTACTGAGGCAACAGCTGCAAGCTAACTAGGGAAAGAGAAGAGGAAAGTACTAGGTTGCTGTGTGCTCAGGATCCCCGGTTGAGATATGGAGAATTATGTCTGGGGAACAAAACCTAACAGGCTGTCCTCATCACATGAGATATGTTCCCAGGCTGGAGTGCAGTGGCGTGATCTTGGCTCACTGCAGCCTCTACTTCCTGGGCTCAGGAGATCCTCCCACCTCAGCCTCCCAAGTAACTGGGACTACAGGCACGTGGCACACCCCATGCTTGGTTCTTTCTTTCCTTTCTTTTCCTTCTTTTCCTCCCTTCCCTCCCTTCCCTTTCCTTCCCTTTCTTTCCCTTTCCTTCCCTTTCCTTCTCTCCTTCCTTCCCTCCTTCCTTCCCTCCTTCCTTCCTTCCTTCCTTCCTTCCTTCCTTCCTTCCTTCCTTCCTTCCTTCCTTCCTTCCTTCCTTCCTTCCTTCCCCAGGCTGGAGGCTGGAGTGCAGTGGCACAATCTTGGCTCACCGCTGAGATCAAGCAGTTCTCCTGCCTCAGCCCCCTGAATAGCTGGGACTACAGTTGTGCACCACCGTGCTTGGCTGATTTCTTTTTGGTATTTTTAGAGATGGGGTTTCACTATGTTGGCCAGGCTGGTCTCAGAACACCTGACCTCAAGTGATCCACCCACCTTGGCCTCCCAAAGTGCTGGGATTACAGGTGTGAGCCACTACGACCGGCTGTCTGGCTTTTTTTTTTTTTCTGTATTTTTACTAAAAATGGAGGGGGCGGGGTTTGCCGTGTTGCCCAGGCAGGTCTCGAACTCCTGGGCTCAAGTGATCCACCTGCCTCAGCCTACCAAAGTGCTAGGATTGCAGGCGTGGGTCACTGCACTCGGCCAAGGAAAGACATAGTTGAAAAATCACTTGCTGGCCAAGCACGGTGGCTCATGCCTGTAATCCCTGTACTTTGGGAGGCTCAGGCAAGTGGATCACCCGAGGTTGGGAGTTTGAGACCAGCCTGACCAAAATGGTGAAACCTTTCCTCTACTAAAAATAGAAAATTAGCTGGGCATGGTGGCAGGCGCCTGTAACCCCAGCTACTTAGGAGGCTGAGGCAGGAGAATCGCTTAAACCCGGGAGGCAGAGGTTGCAGTGAGCTGAGATTGCACCATTGCACTCCAGCCTGGGCAACAAGAGTAAAACTCCATCTCAAAAAAAAAAAAAAAAAAAGGTCTCTTGCTAACAGAGTAATGTGGCCTGTGTGCCTAGCTAGGATGAGATTTCCCATCTTGATTCTTTACTCTTCTAACAACTAGACAATGTAAACTTGATACATTTAGTGGGAGCTCTAGGCTCTCCCTCTCTTCTCTGTTGTTACAGTTCCCATAGGCATGTTATCTGCCCATTGGAAAGGACGATGGAAAAACAAAAAACCTGTCCTGGACCCTGCAGTTAGGACTTCAGGGGACACATGAGTGAATATAAATAATACAGGTCCGCTCCCATAGAACCCAAATGTAAATATAAGAACATTTAACTCGTAGTGGACTTTCTAGGGTCAGGCAAGGATATAAGCAACAGACATAATTAGTTAATTCAAGAAATATTAATTGAACCCTCACTATTTGCTAGTCCCCATGGATACAGTGAAGAATGGACAGACACAGCCCCACCTTTCTGGACCTGTGGTCTTGTGCTGTGTATGCAGACTTGTAGACAGGCTTTTGCGATACACTCTGTGAGAGGTGCTGAGATACAGGACATAAGAAGAGTTGTGGGCTTTTATGGAGTGGGGGGAATCGGGAAGACCTGCCCAGAGGAAGTGATGTTGAAGTTAATCCACGAATAAGCAGAGTTGACATTGAATGTTTATGCTTAGTTGACCTGCTACAGGCCTTTGGTCCTGGTATAATTTTTATTTGCACCATCTTTTACTCTGAAAAGTGCCTGGTTTGGATGGTGAGCTCTTTGGTGCCCTAACTATGTGCCAGGCATTGCTCCAGGAGCCCCATCATAAGAATAGCCCTGGCTCATAGTGAGTGAGTAAAACTGAGCTGTTTGCCAGTCACATGATTTATGTCATTCAGTCCTGAGCTGGGCCCTATTTTATTAGTTAGGGATGCTTTGGGCTGCAAATAAGGGGAAACTCTGTGAACAGCAGCTTTAATCAGACTGGTGTTTATTTTATTTTATTTTATTTTTTGAGGCGGAGTCTCACTTTGTCCCCCAGGCTGGAGTGCAGTGGCGCGATCTTGGCTTGCTGAAACCTCCGCCTCCCAGGTTCAAGCGATTCTCCTGCCTCAGCCTCCCAAGTAGCTGGGACTACAGGTGCGTGTCACCATGCCCAGCTAATGACAGGGTTTTACTATGTTGGCCAAGATGGTCTCGATCTCTTTTTTTTTTTTTTTTTTTTTTTTTTTTGAGATGGAGTTTTGCTTTTGTTGCCCAGGCTGGAGTGCAATGGCATGATCTCAGCTCACCGCACCCTCCACCTCCACCTCCCCCTCCCCCTCCCAGGTTCAAGCGATTCTCCTGCCTCAGCCTTCCCAAATAGCTGGGATTATAGGCATGTGCCACCAAGCTCCGCTAATTTTGCATTTTTAGTAGAGATGGGGTTTCTCTGTGTGGATCAGGCTGGTCTGGAACTCCTGACCTCAGGTGATCCGCCCACCTTGGCCTCCCAAAGTGCTGGGATTACAGGTGTGAGCCACCGCGCCCGGCCAAAGGACTGCTGCCTCCTCCTCAGGGAATCGAACCCCAGTCTCCCGCGTGACAGGCGGGGATACTCACCACTATACTGATGAGGACGACAGTCTTGATCTCTTGATGTCGTGATCTTCCCGCTTCGGCCTCCCAGAGTGCTGGGATTGCAGGCATGAGCCACCGCACCCAGCCTCCAAATTACCTTTTTAAACAAGCTTTTTCTTATAAAATGTTCACTGTAATCTATTAAAAGTAAAAGGCAAAATACAAGTTAATGTTAACGTTTTGATCAAAATTATTTCAAAACTAAAGAAATAACATTTTGAAAATTTAATCTTAGTTTTACTTCAATGAGATATTTAATACCTGAAATTCCAGTGCTTAATGTCCATTTAATTTCCAAAGAAAAGAATTGGCATTGGCTGGTGCAGTGGCTCGTACCTGTGATCCTAGCATTTTGGGAGGCAGAGGCAGGCAGACTGCTTGAGCTAGGAGATCAGCCTGGGCAACGTGGTGAAACCCTGACTCTAACAAAAATACAAAACTTAATCGGGCATGGTGGTGAGCGCCTGTAGTCGCAGCTACTTGGGAGGCTGAGGTGGGAGGATCACTTGAGTCCAGCAAAAAAAAAAAAAAAAAATCGGTGTTATTGGTATTATGCATCCTTCAAGTTTTATTTTATAAATATATTTCCCATATCTATGTGAGATAATGTATCTGCATTTATGATACATATGTATGCAATGTGATATAATTTTGCAAAATATCCCTCTGCCACCATGTGCAACTGGTGCTAATTTAGTAGCACTGATTTGTGAGTCCTCTGGAACCATGAATAGGAACAGAAGCAAAAAAATGGATATTCAGTTCTCCTGAATATCCTATTCATGCTCCTATTCATTTTGCAAGAATGTATTGCATTTGTGCTGAGAGGAAGGATTTGACAAGCTAATTTGTCTTTTCTTTTCCCTAAGTGCTCTACCACTCCAATCCTTCCCACACTCCACTGCAGCATTGGTCTCTGGTGTTGGCAGTGGCATAATCCACAAACCTTCTTATTTAGACACAGTTACCTTTTGTTTTGAGGGGACAGGGGAAGAGGTGTGAAGTGTTTCTCTGGGGCCTGACTGGTGTTAGGTGTTACTTGTGCTAGGTGTTACTTGTGACAACATCATGCCGTGTGACCCTCGATGACAGAGGTGCCCACGTGTTGTTTAACTTTTACGCATGTGTTTGAAATAGGTGGGACCCTGAAGCACAGGGCCCAGGGCAGGGGCCTCTCTTGTCTGGTTCTAAGGGCAGTACTCTTGTTTTCCAGAAACCCTCAGTAGGCTTCCTTTTACATTTCATTAGATAGAATTAATCACTGCCAGAAAGAAGGTAAATTTCTGTAACTTCCTTCTGCCAATCATGAGTCATTCTCTGGGATGAGCACATGGTCTCTGGACAAAATTGGGGTTCTGTTAGTGAGGAAGAAGAAATGGCTGGACAGTCAACCAGTGATATCTCCACAATTATTATTCCCATTTTTTTGAAGGGGAAATTGAAGCTTAGAATGGTTAAGGTTGTATACCTGGAAGTGGTGGAACTGTGGTTTGAACCAAGGAAGGTTGGCTAAGGAATCTAACTTAACCACTCTACTTGCTGTTTCCCATGGCTGAGGAGCAGGAGTTAGCTGTACTGGAGTTTGAGAAAATCCCAGGCAGAGGAAATAGCATGTGCTGCAGCCCAGAGAAGCAAGGGGTGGCATGGTCTCACTGCAGATTGAGAGATGCCGAGTGACTCAAGTCTGTTGTGTGAGGGGAGTGCTGGGAGATGAGGCTGGAGAGGGTGTGCATCTGGGGCTGCTGAGTGGAGATGGGAGGGGACAAGATTGGGAATGGCATGGGCTGGAAGACTGTTGAAAGATTTTACTAGGGAAGAGATCCAGGTAACCTGAAATAGGAGAGGCAGAAGGGAAGGCATGCAATCAAGAGAGATTTAGAAAGCAGAATTGGGATTTGATGATATGAAGGTGGAGGAGAATCACCTGAGTTTATGGCTTGGAAATGGGTTACCATTCAGAAACAGAAGGCAGTGTTACCAGTGGAAGGTCTTGACCATGAGTTGTCCAGGTTCTTGGCATTTTGAACAAAGAATTGGACAACACACACAAAGCAATGAAAGAATGAAGCAATGAAAGCACAGATTTATTGAAATGCAAGTACACTCCACAGAGTGGGAGTGGGCTGGAGCAAGCCCTGGTTACAGAATTTTCTGGGGTTTAAATACTCTCTAGAGGTTTCCCATCGGTTACTTGGCTACAACCTATGTCAATGAAGACTTGGTCCATGACCAGTCTGTTTGGTTGTGGGAGGTGACCAATTAGAGGCTGAAGTGAAGTTACAGAGTTACAACCTATGCAAATGAAGACTTGGCCAGGGACCAGTCTGATTGGTTGTGGGAGGGGACCAATCAGAGGTGCTTTCCATTTTTCATTTGCAATGCAGAAAGGGGGTGGGGTTGCAAAAGGAGTAGCCTCTGATCCTTTTGTTACTTGGGCGTAGAGAGGTAAGATTTTCCTTTTGATTCAGTTCTAGGAAGTCAGCACAAATCAGCCTTAGGTTCCCTACCTTCAGACCCTATTCTCCTGCCTTAACAGTACCAGGTGAGGGCATAGGGGAGAAGGAGTCCACTTTTTATTTTTTGAGTCTCATTTTGGACATGTTGAGTTCAAGGACATAGAGTGGAGCTGTCCTGTAAACATTAGAGTCTGAAACTCAGGAGAGACATCTGGACTAGAGAGAAATGTGGGCTGCTTCAACACGTAGAACCCCTGGGTTCCATGGTGGGTGAGAGTGTGTAACACATGAAAAGAGAGTCTAGGACAGAGCCGTGTTTAAGGAAAGGAGGCCCACAGAGGAAACCGAGAAGACATGCCTCACATAGAAGAAGCCAGGAGAATTTGGTGACACTAACACTGAGGAAAGGGAGTTTTAAGCAGGAAAGAAAGATAAGGCCTGAGAAGTACCACAAAGGTCATTGATGATGACAGCAAGAGTGTGACAGCCAGATAACAGAAGGTTGATGGGAATGTAGCTCCTTCATTCAAGATATTAAATATGAAGGGAAGGGTATGTGAGGATCCAGGAAAGCTTTTTTTTTAAAAAAAACAAAACAAAACAAAACAAAAACCATGCAGGAAGATTGGAGCATGTTAAATTGCTTCTGAGAGGTAGACTTCTGGTAGAACAGAAGTTGAAGATAGAGACGAGGTGGGTAGTGGAAAGTGTGAGGACCTGAGAAGGTGGGGAAGAGTATGGGATCCTGACTCAGATAGAAAGAGGACTCCCATTGGAACAGGTAGAGTAGAGACCAGGAGAATGGGTGGGACTGGGACATTGAGGAACTTCCTTTAAGATGGTTTGTTTCCTATATAAAGTAGCTGCAAGAGAGGGAGTGGTGGGTCAGATGTTTAGGGAAGTTGAATTGCAATTGTCTCCTGTAAGGACAGGAGAGCTGAGTGGGGAGCAGGGCTGGCTTCATGAGTGGGCAGCTTGAGCAGTCGCACGGGTCCCTACACTTAAAAGGGCTTCTTGCTTTGTATAATGCTCTGGCATCACTGTCTTGAAATTGTTAATGATTTTTGAACACAGGCCGCTTCATTTTCATATTTGTTTTGAGTGTAAGTGTGTCCCATGCAATATCTGGGACATACTGAGATTAACAGTTACTCACAGCTGGGCACGGTAGCTCACGCCCGTAATCCCAGCACTTTGGGAGGCCAAGGTGGGTGGATCCCCTGAGGTCAGGAGTTTGAGACCAGCCTGGCCAACATAGCGAAACCCCATCTCTACTAAAAATACAAAAAAATAGCTGGGCGTGGTGGCGGGCGCCTGTAATCCCAGCTACTCAGGAGGCTGAGGCAGGAGAATCGCTTGAACCCAGGACACAGAGGCTGCAGTGAGCTGAAATCGTGCCATTGCACTTCAGCCTGGGCAACAAGAGCAAAACTCAGTTTCAAACAAACAAACCAATTACTCTTTATCTGGAATTCCAATTCGGTATCCTGTATTTTATCTGGCAACCCTAACTGGGCGCTACAAATTATGTAGCTGGTGCTGCTGGGAAGACAGGAGAATTGCAAAGTGGTGTCACAGGCCCTGGGGAGGTTTCCTCTGTGAAGTATCTGAGAGTGGGGAAGTGATGGGTGTAGAGATTGGACTTGTGGCTCTAAGTTGTGGGGCTGTGGAATGGTCTCCAGCAGGGCCAGCCACCTGAATGTCTAGACAGTGCAGGAAAGGCAGGTGGCTTAGAATATCTGGGTTGTCTCCAGATATCTCACTTGGGTGAGACCGAAAGCCCTTACCTTGGTTGGTGAGGCCCTGCCGTCCCTCTCACCCTTGCATATAGCAGCCCGCTGCTCTGCTGGCTCTTCTGCAAACACCCTTTGCTCCCTTAGTCTCAGGGCCTCTGCTCTGGCGGTTCTCTCTGCCTGGAATGTTCTTCCTGTAGTATCCCCAAGGCTCATGCCCCTTGTTCCCCCTGGGAACCTGAGAGGCCTTCCCTGATTACTTTATTACTTCCTGCTCCATCTTTCTTTATGTCACTTCCCACCTCCTGACATATTATATATGTGTATTTTCTGTCTCTTTCCATTAAAATGAAAGTACTGTGAGAATGAGAGGTTGGTCTTGCTCACTGTTGTTGAACTGATATGTAAAATAATGATACATGGGCCAGGCAAAGTGGCTCACACCTATAACCACCACTTTGGGAGGCCGAGTTAGGTGGATCACCTGAGGTCAGGAGTTCAAGACCAGCCTGGGCAACATGGTGAAACCCCATCTCTACTAAAAATACAAAAATTAGCCAGGGGTGGTGGTGGGTGCCTGTAATCCCAGATACTTGGGAGGCTAAAGCAGAGAATTGCTTGAACCCAGGAGACGGAGGTTGCAGTGAGCTGAGATCACGCCACTGGACTCCAGCCTGGGCAACAGAGCGAGACACCGTCTCAAAAAAAAAAATTAGTTGGGCATGGTGATGTGTGCCTGTAGAACCAGCTACTCGGGAGGATTGCTGGAGCCCAGGAGTTGGAGGCTGCAGTGAGCTACGATTGTGCCACTGCACTCCAGCCTGGGTGACAGACTGAGACTCTGCCTCTTAGAAAATTAAAAAAAAAACAAAAAACAACAACAACAAAAAAATTATTACCTAGATTTTGGTAGTAGTATTTGGGCATTTCTAGTGAATGTTAGCTAATAACTCACTTTGCCTGGGTGACAGAGTAACCCAGCCCTGTGGCATCACTCATGCTTACCACTGCCAATGAATGTCTGTGCCAAAAATCAGATTTGATCTTAAAGCAGGAGAGATTTGTTTAGGTGGAAATCCGTTTTTGGTTTCCTTTCCATTATCGCTCATTCCGTCTGGGAAGAGAACACCTTTTCTTGTGGAGTTGGATGGGGCTGACCTTTGCCCTGTGTCCTTAAGAGTAGGCAGGTGGTCTGAGTCAGTTGAGTCCTTCCTGGTACTTCTCTGCCAGAGTTGTTGGGGAAGATGGTCTATTTCTGCTGGACCTGGTAGGATGTGAATGTGAGGCTGTTGATTAATATCCTGCTCACTAAGTGGAGAAAGGGCAGGGAGAGCTGATGTTTGAGGCCTTAGATCCAGCCACTCCCTAGTGACATGAGCTAATGAATTCTTTTTTTTTTTTTTAACTTATGCCAGATTGACTTTAGTTTCTGTCACTCACAGCTGAGCAAGCTCTGACCCATACATGTTATGTTGCTCAGGCTGTAATGCAGTGGCTATTCATAGACATGATCAGATCATAGTGCACTGCAGCCTTGAACTCCGGGGCTCAAGCAATCCTCTTGTCTCAGCCTCTCAAGTAGCTGGGACTATAGGCACACGTCACTGCACCCAGCCCACACAATTTCGATTGAAAAATTAGAACAACTTGACCTGTGAGATAATAGTAGAAGATTAGACAGTTAACTGAATTAATGAGTTGTGAGAGGAGCTTCTCCTGATTTCCCTGATTCTTTTTATTATGGGAGTGGGAGCAGGGGCAGAGGGTAGAGATGGGGATGAATGAAGGAGACTAAAGTGAGCCCACAGGTGTGGCCTTTGCCAGATGGCGGTGGGGATGCTGGGGCCCCAGTTCCTTCCCAGCTGTGGCTCGCTGGCAATGGCTGAGGAGCCTGGGGTCAGCAGGCAGCTGGATTGGAGAGAGCTCTCCACTGTAAGCCAGCTCCGGGCTCCTGTCCTGTTTCTGTGTCTGCCTTGGGGCACATCTTCAATTTCCTGAGCCCTTGCTTTCCATTTCCTAAAGTGGGAGCGCTGACAGCGCCCTGCCGACCTCCGAGTTTGTGAGAGAGCCTCCCAGGAGCTGATGAGAATCTCTGAAACCATCGTGAGAACTATCAGGACTCTATAGCTGTAAGGTCGTTTGTCTCTCTCATTTGATTGAAGGCTGGGCTAGACAAGTGCTAGGAAGACCCTCAGGACTTGGGCTGGGATCTGACCTTCATGAATTGCAGACTATAGACCTTAGGTAAAAAGTGGGCAAGAAGAGGCCGGGCGCGGTGGCTCACGCCTGTAATCCCAGCACTTTGGGAGGCGAGGCGGGCGGATCACGAGGTCAGGAGATGAAGACCATCCTGGCTAACGCAGTGAAACCCCGTCTCTACTAAAAATACAAAAAATTAGCCGAGCATGGTGGCGGGCGCCTGTAGTCCCAGCTACTCCAGAGGCTGAGGCAGGAGAATGGCGTGAACCCGGGAGGCGGAGCTTGCAGTGAGCTGAGATCACACCACTGCACTCCAGCCTGGGCGACAGAGCGAGACTCTGTCTCTAAAAAAAAAAAAAAAAGTGGGCAAGAGGAAGCCTAAAATGTATGGCCCATGGCCTGAAAGTTCTCAGGGGTCATGGATGAGGATGTGAAAGAAGTTTGCTGGGCAGGGCAGTCTCTGGCCTGGGGCAGGTTTCTGGCTGGAGTAGTTAATTCAGTGCCTTTTACTTGTTAGAAAGACAGAAAGATACTTTTTCCCCTCTTTCTTTTAAAAAGTAATAGGGTTTTCTGAATACAAAAGAGTCACATATCTATTTAAGAATTTTGGGCTGGGCACCGTGGCTCACGCATATAATCCCAGCACTTTGGGAGGCAGAGGTGGGTAGATCTCCCAGGAGTTCCAGACCAGCCCAGGCAACATGGCGAAACCCCCTCTCTACAGCAAATACAGAAATTCGCTGTGCATGGTGGCACACGCCTGTAGTCCCAGCTACTCGGGAGGCTAAGACCAGAAGATGACTTGAGCCCAGGAGGTCAAGGCTGCAGTGAGCTGTGTTCACACCACTGCACTCCAGCCTGTGTGACAGAGCGAGACCCTGTCTCAAACAAAAAAAGAACTTTGAAAATAAAAAGACGTGTAAGGAAATCAAAACCACTCATGATTATCCAACTCTCATAAATAACACTGGTAATATTTTTGTCTATCTCCTGGTATTTACTTCATTGTGCCTATGTGTCATGTATATGAGAGATGGCTTACAAAATTTGATATGTACAGCTTCAGAATCTGTTTTGTACATAATGTAAACATCTTCCTGTATCTTTAGATTTTTCTTACAGCCTGATTTTTAGTTGTTATGTAACAGTTTTAACTGTTCTGCCATATATAATATATTCCTTTTATTGGATAGAAGACTTTCCAATTTTTTAGCATTATAAAATCATATTGTGGTTAAATCTTTACAGATAAATCTTTGTGCATGTGGAATTACAGGGTCGAATGGGATGTCCATGTAAGAATTTTTGTATGCTCTAATTGACCTAAAGAAATGCTAATTTGCCTTCCTATTGTTGTGTGAGGGGGCATAATGATTCTCTGAATCCTGGCCCTTGCTGGGTATTATTGGATTTTTAGGACTTCGCCAAATGCTAGATGGGAGAAGCTTTGCTTTTTTTAATTTTTTTTTTATACAGGTCTTGCTCTGTCGCCTAGGCTGGAGGGCAGTGGTACAATAATAGCTCACTGCAGCTTTGAACTCCTGGGCTCAAGCTATCCTCCTGCCTCAGCCTCCTGAGTAGCTGGGACTGCAGGCATGCCACTATGTCTGGCTAAATTTTTATTTTTGTAGAGACGGGGCCTCACTATGTTGCCCAGGCTGGTTTCGAACTTCTGGTCTTGAGCAATCCTCCCACTTCGGCTTCCCAAAGTGTCGGCATTACAGGTGTGAGGCACCATGCCTGGCCTTGTTTTTATTTTATTATGCCTTTTTTTCTGGTTCCCAGTAAGGTCATTTTTTTCCCCCATATAATTAATAGCTATTTTTATGTTTTTGTGAATTGATTTACGTATCCTTTATTCATTTTCCTATTGGGGTGCTTGTATTTTTCTTACTGATTTATGCAGACTCTGTAATAAAAATATTAACCCTTTGTGGGGATCAATACATTTTTAATAGTGTGATGAAATATTTTAATAATGGATCAAAGCAGAAGGCTTGATTCCAGGGGAAAAATTTTTTAAGCTACCCGCCTCTTTCCCTACACATAAATCCAGAGATAAGTAGTATCTTAGTACTTAAACATGTCTTAAAGCATGGACAGGCTCCCTTCCTTCCTTCCTTCCTTCCTTCCTTCCTTCCTTCCTTCCTTCCTTCCTTCCTTCCTTCCTCTCTTCTTCTCTCTCCTCCTTTCTGTCCTCATTTCTCTCCTCCTTTCTCTTTCTCTCCTTCTTCCTCTTTCTCTCCTCTCTTTCTTTCTTTCTCCCTCTCTTTCTCTCTTTCTCTCTCTTCCTCTTTTTCTCTCTTTCTGTTTCTCTCTCTCTCCCTCTCTCTTTCTCTCTCTCTCTTTCTTTATTTTTTTTATTTTTTATTTTTTTGATGGAGTCTCGCTCTGTCTCCCAGGCTGGAGTGCAGTAGCACGATCTCTGCTCACTGCAACCTCCATCTCCCAGCTTCAAGCTATTCTCCTGCCTCAGCCTCCCGAGTAGCTGGGATTACAGACGTGTGCCACCACGCCTGACTAATTTGTGTATTTTTAGTAGAGATGGGGTTTTGTCACATTAGCCAGGCTGGCCTCAAACTCCTGACCTCAGGTGATCCGCCTGCATCGGCCTCCCAAAGTGTTGGGATTACAGGCGTGAGCCACCGTGCCTGGCCATTACCTTTGTTTCATGGGTGAGTTAGTCTGGCAACTAGACTAGGGCAACCCACCCACCCCACCCCTAGAGCTGGTCACAGGCACAGCTGAGCTTGAACTTGGGCTTCACACGTGTGTTTACACGCACCACTTGTCATTGCCTGTGACTTTCCTGTCCCTGCTCCTCCTCTTTCAAACACTCCCTGGAGCCATTTAGTGCCTAGATGATGCGTGTTTTTATACCAGCCACTCTACTCGAAAGCAAAATCTGTTTGAAAGCTGTGTTACAGGTTTTTCCAGAACTTCCAGTTTTTAAGAATCTCTTCCCCTTGCTGCAGCTTCCTTTGTACCATGCAGCCACTGGCTCCAAAGGGACCTTCTACCAGGGAATTTGATTACTTGGATAGAGCCCTTCTGTCGACCACTGACCTCAGGGCTAGCTCCCCAAAACGTCGCCTTCTCTACGCTCGTTTCTGCAAAGTAGCAACAGGTCAGTTAGGATGTGGATTTTCTTGCTCTCTCAAAGGTTCTTTTATTTAAATATGTTCATACATTTTTCTCCTACCGCTCTCTTTCCTGAAAGAATGAAGTTAGAGGATTAGGTTGCTAAGTTTAGCTCTTGCTGACGCACTGGCCTCTCACTAGCAGTCTCCTCGTGTCTCAGTGTTTCTTTAAGCCTCGCTTTTTTGCTGGTAGACGCACACCATCACATCCTACATAATATTTAGCTCTGAGGCGTTTCCAGATGGGAAGTGCGTTTCTGTATTTTCATAGCCGTGTTCTCTACGTGAATGGACTGGCGTGAAGCTGGGGGCTGACGGCTGGCAGGGCAGGTAGGGAGGCTGGCAGCGGCCTGAGAGAGGTGAAGATCCCCGGGGTGGTGGCGGGGAAAGCAATGCAGTCCTTGTCAGATGTTTGCTTGCTGTGAGGAGAGGGAGATGGCTATGAGAGGAGATCTGGGGATGGTATTTGACTGGGATATGAATGGAGCATTTTCAGGCAGGGGAGGCCCTCCTACTTGAAGCAAGCCTGAGTGTTGTTAAAGAAAAAAATTATTCTGGCACTTGTAAAAATGGTAAGGAAGACTTTAGTCAGGAGTCTTGCAACAGGGTTATTGCAATAGGGGAGAGAGATGGGGCTCAACTCTAAATGCAGCAAGACAGTTGAGGATTTACAGCTAAGAAACAGAGAAGAGGGGGTCAGTGGATGGAAAGTTACTAAGAGGAGACATCAAGGGAACGGGATTCTCACTAAACAGACCTAAAAGGACTCTTGCTAAGGGCAGGCCAAGGACTTACACACCCAAGGTAGGGGATGAAGCGCTTTATCAGGCATCAAGGGTAGGGGACTCCCTAAACTGAATTTGCAGGATTCTTGCTAAGACTGGGCTCTGCAGGCCTGGCAAGGACAGGAGGGACACAGAAGGCCAACGTTCAGAAGAAGGCTCAGAAGAGCCTAACTAAAGTTTGGTCAAAGAAAGGGTTTTTGTCAGTGCTTCCTCTCGTTCAAGGAAAGAAAAATTCTTCTTTTCTCTGAGTAATATAGGTCAATTTTTTGTTCGGTCGCCTTTTGTTCATTAAGGACCAGCTTGAATGTCTGTTGGGGCCTGGCGGTAGAGGATACTTGATGGACAACCATCAGGCATTTAAACGAGGGAGATTCATGGTCTGCTGTGGTGATGGGTCCTTTGAAGTTTATGTCAAGTCACCCAGCTTGCAAGCCTAGTTTAGATCTTGGGGGGAAGATCAGCTATAAGACAGCCTAGAGTTGCAATGAGGATTTGGGCAGTCAGCCTTTAGCTCTCAGTGACATCAGGAGGGTGGGAGAAAACGTAAAAAGTAGAAAAATTGAGAAGTTGGTAAGAACTGATGAAATGTGCAGAATGGCAAATCCAGTCCAATTCACAGTAGGTAACAAAGTAAACAGTAAAATGTAATTTATCAAGAGGTGAAAAAAGCTCAAAGGCAATGAACGGGACTAGAATTCGATAATCTGCAAGGATGTGCTATAGTTTTCTATTGAAATACAAACAAGCACTGGTCCCTGGATGGGCGTGTTGAAATGTCAGCATGGAGGGTGGCCTGGTGTTAGACAGGTCTCGGTTCAAATCCCATCACCTTGCCGGAGATGCTGGGCAGATTGGTTGCTCTCCTAGTGTCTGTTTCTTTAGCTGTGAGACATAATGAAAGCTAACATTTATTATTTCTCATGTGCCAGGCACTGCCATAAGCATTTCACATGCTTTACCTCGTTTAATCCTCACAACTTAGTGAAGCAGGTTAATCATCATCTCCATTTCGCAGAAGAGTAAACTGAGGCTTTAATATATCCTATAATATGTCCACAGATGTTGCTAACCTGCAAGTAGAGATTGAAGCTCATGTACTTAAAATGAGTTTGGCACTTTTCAGGTACCTGATAAATGTAAAACATTTTTTTCCTCCAAAGTATATGTGGGAAAACTGAAGCTATAGAGTGTGCCTGAGCCCAGCCAGATTCAGTAGGCGGGGCTCTCCCCCAAAAAGGGAAAATCCTGAGACACTCATCAGTGGAGGGATGGAGCCTACTGTGAGGGTTCTGGCAGAGCCCCTGCGTTTTGTCCTCTGGGGGCAGCTCTCCTGGGAGTTGGAGAGAGGCTTTGACCCAGCCTTTGCTGGCCACTGGGCAGGACCTAGCTGGGAGCAAGTGCCAGGGCCAGCAGAGGCTTGTCCAGAGATGACTCTCGCTGGCTGTGCTGTGTTTGCTGTGTGCCTGGTAGGCACGCATCTCAGTTATTCTCACATCTCTGCAGTAGGTATCCTTCACCTTCCCATGCAGATGGAATTGAAGCTCCAAGAGGGTAACCAACCGCCCAGACACATTTGAAGTAGTGAGGCAGGGATTTGAGCCCAGGTCTGGTCCCTGAGCCCATGCTCTCTGTTCTGCTGTGCACCTTGGGTGATCAGGGAAGCAGACCCAAGCTAGGGAAGAAGTCATGTGGGCAGGGCTGAGGCACTGGAACAGAGTGGGTAACGCAGGATCTTGGGAATCTGACACACTGGGGTTCAAATCCTGGCTCTGCCACTTCGTAGCTCTGTGAGCTTGGAAGTGACTTAATTTCTCTGATCCTTGGGTCCCCATCTATAAAAGAGGAGAGCCATAACTACCCAGAGAGTGTAAGGATGACATGAGAATGTATATAGAGCCTTGGCATGGGCCCTGGGGTGTGATGAGCATTCAGTAAATGCTGGCTGCTGTGGGCACATGGGAATTGCTGGGCACTTTCTCATCCACTTGATCTCCTTGGCTCTTAGGGAAGGCAGACGCTGGACGGCAGGTCTCTCAGACACAGGAGAGACCCTTAGCTTTATTTATCCACCCTGGGATGTATCCCTGGGAGCTGTGTATCAAAATTATAGCCACTGAAGGTTGGAAGGACAAAGGGGAGGCTAGGCCTGGATATAGCATCTTTACAGTGGTCCAACTTCCCTCTTGCTGGTGATGTCCAAAGAGAAAGGCCAGCACAGCGGCTCAGATGGGCGTAGCGGGACTGCCTGGAGGAGCCTATGCAGTGGGCTTGGGCAGGGTCCAGAGTTACTGGTGGCGGGGGTGGACGCTGTCAGTGTCTCCCCCAGACTCCACTGAACCTTTTATATCAGGTGCCCTAGAGTAGCACCTGTTTACCTAGACCTGCCTTCCAGAGACACTGTCTCCCCACCTTGTGAGCTCCTGGCTGCCATGACCTCCGCACTTGCCCTGAGAGGCTGTGAGGATGAAATGCTGATGTACATGAAGCTCTTAGCCTAATACTTCACATTCAGCGAGCGCCCACCTTCTGACTGTGGCCATTAATTTGTGGATTCAAGTAATGTTTTAGGTTGAGAGGTCATAGTTATGAAGAAAACAGTCCCCACCCTCATGGAGGTCACACGCTAGTAGGGAAGATGGATGAGAAACATGTAAGCAAGTAGATTTGATTGTAATATTGGAGTGAAGAACAGTAAAGCAGGGAGAGGGAACAAAGACATCGTTGGTGTGGCTGGGAAGGAAGGCTTTTATTGGGAGATAACAAGTGAGCAGAGACCCTGGGGATATGGAGGTGCCAATCATGAGAATGTTGGGGGAGGCCAGGTGCGGTGGCTCATGCCTGTAATCCCAGCACTTTGGGAGGCCGAGGCGGGTGGATCACTTGAGGTCAGGAGTTCGAGACCAGCCTGGCCAACATGGTGAAACCCTGTTTCTACTAAAAATACAAAAATTAGCCAGGTGTGGTGGTATGCCTGTAATCCCAGCTACTGGGGAGACTGAGGCAGGAGAATCACTTGAACCCAGGAGGCAGAGGCTGCAGTGAGCGGATATCATACCACTGCACTCCAGCCTGGGCGACAGAGCAGGACTCTATCTAGACAGACAGACAGGTAGGTAGATAGAATTAATGTTGGGGAGCATCCCAGCAGAGCCTCCAGGTGGGACTGAATCTGGTACAACAAGACAGAGAGGAGGGATAACTAGGAAATGAAGCCAGGGTGGAGGCTACCAGGTCACATAGGACCTTATTGTTTTCAACAATCATTATTTCTAGATGTCGCTGGGCAGGATCAGCTGTTCCTTCTCTTGTGCTATTCTGCGTGGTATGCACACAGCCATTGTAGCAAGTCACCCTTTGTTAGGACTGTGTATTTTACCACCACACTGGGAGCTCTGGAGGCCAGGGACTATGGCTGTTTTGCATATACCCAGCACCTAGCATGGGAACTGTTTATCGAAATTATAGCCACTGAAGGTTGGAAGGACGAGGGGGCAACCAGGCCTGGGTATGGTATCCTTAGAGTGGTCCAACTTCCCTCTTCCTGGTGATGTCCAAAGAGGAAGGAGCATGGAGTCTGTGCTTCACACATTTAAAGATAATGAATCTTAGTGGCAATGGATGCTGTCTATTGGGGGTTTCTGTGTGCTATCCACAGCAGTTAGCATTTTATATTTCATTGTCTCATTGAATCAATACAATAGGCTTGGCCCCAAAGTGTCATCTCCATTTTACGGATGAAGAAATAAGCTGTAGAGGCCGTCCCATGCCCCAAGCACACACAGCTAGGAACTTGCTGAGCTGAGATTTGAAGCCAGGACTCTAAGGACCACACTTTCAACTCTGACCAAGCTGGAAGGTCGACTGCCTCCGGCAGGGGCTTGGCCCAGGCCTGCCCTTCCAAGGGCTGTGGTGTTTACTGCCGAGGGTTTTGGCATCCTTCGGCCTTCTTGGTCCCTCAGGGGTCACCTTGCACCCCAGCCTTCCCTGTAGTATCCCACGGAGCCTGAGGGGCTGTCCCTCAGACTTCCTCACAGCTTTGTAATCCACAAATGGAAAAGTGGCACTTAAAATGAATTTATTCAGGTGGGAGCTGTGTAAGACATGAAAATAAGGCTTTTGAGCTCCTCCACATAAACTTGAGTGTAAATGAAAAGCTTTTTATTTGGTTTCTGAGCCAGACTTTGAGAAGCCAGTGGTCCGTGCGGTCTGGAAGCGCATGTTATGGGCGCTGGGTCGGAACAGGGGCCACTTTGAATGGCAAGGAGGGAGAATCGCTCCAGCGAAGCTGGAACGGCCAAGAAGCTGGGATGTCAATAAACACAGGCAGGACACAGAAAGCCTTTTCCGAAGAGATGGAAGGCGGGGAAGCGAAGGAAAGGCAGTGCCTCACTCCCGGTGCATTTGAGAAGGAAAATGCTTGAGGTAACCCGTGTTGGCAGCTTTTATAGCTTCCTCTCGATAATGTGCTGGGCAGACCCTGAACAGGCTGGTGTTTTATTTTCGTGTAACGAAGCCGAGTGGACCAGGGGCAGCTCTCCAGCAATGGCTGGCCTGGGGCTGTGCTCACGGAGAGAGGCAGGGCTACCTGAGACCTGGGGCAGGGGCCAGCCTCCTGCCTGCTGGGCAAACTGTGGGGAAGGCGGGGACCAGGATTTCTGACTTCCTCTGGATGATGTTTGGTTTGTCACAATCCTTAGACGTAAGGCCCCTTTATGTCCAGTGCCAGTGAGGGAGGTGGCAGGCAGCCGTGGGAAGGCAACTGCTCTGAGAAGGAGGGCACAGGTCCACGCTGTCTAAATGTTACTGGTTGTGAACTACACAGGAACCTTAGCATGGGGAACCCACAGAAAGGTCTTTGTGCCCTTTGCTGCCTTTTGCCAAGGTACTTTCTGTGACTAGATTTACCTTGCATTTATATTCTCTTCTCTTTGGTAATATGTACATATGTGTGTGAGGTATATTTGGACCTGGGATTATGTGTGTGGTTAAAAATATACATCAGTACGTTAGTGACCTGCATAGGTGCATTAAGCAATGTATTTTGAGAGCCATGGGCTGGAAGGAAACACCCAACTAGCTACTTTGAGACACTAGCAAAGCCCAAAGTAATTCTGTTAGATGAGCGTATGAGCTACTGTTTTATATGTTTGTTACAGATTTTTTCTTCCTGTTTTCTCCTGGATATTATGTGAAAACAATGTATGTATTTAAACAAAATTTTAAATTTCAATCTTAAGAATTTCAGGGTTGGTTTGTTTGTTTGCTTTGAGATGGAGTCTCATTCTGTCACCCAGGCTGGAGTGCAGTGGTGCGATCTCGGCTCACTGAAACCTTTGCCTCCCAGGTTCAAGTGATTCTCCTGCCTCAGCCTCCCAAGTAGCTGGGACTACAGGCGCGCTCCATCACGCCCAACTAATTTTTTGTATTTTTAGTAGAGATGGGGTTCCACTGTGTTAGCCAGGCTGGTCTTGATCTCCTGACCTTGTGATCCGCCTGCCTTGGCCTCCCAAAGTGCTGGAATTACAGTCGTGAGCCACCGCACCCAGCAAATTTCAGGGTTTTTTTCAACCCATGTTTATTTTGAAAAATTGAAAATATCAGGAAAAATAAGAAGATAAAAGTCTTCTGCAATGCTATCATTCAAATAATTGCTGCTGTTCTTTAGGTATTTGTATGCTCTTCCAGACATGTTCCTAATGAGTATATATTAATGTAAAATAAAATATCAATGGCGAACATTTGAGTGTTACCATTTGCCAGCATTTTGCATGTAGGGACTCACTTCATCCTCAACAATTCAATGATTGGTTTTATTATTAAACTCATTGTACAGATGAGAAAGCCGAAGCCCAGAATGATTACCTTTCTTAAGATCACATAGGTAAGTAGCCAAGCCAGGATTTGAACACAGGCAGTCTGGTTCCAGAGCCTGTGCTCTTAAGGCACTTGCTATACTAACTTGCAAAAGAATTCGGAGAATACTATCCATACCAATTTGTAACCCGTTGTTTTTCCCACTCAAAATATTATGAACTCCCTTCCATGCCAATAACCTTATATCTAGAACATCATTTAAAATGGCTCCGTTGTGATGCATACATCCCCAAAATGCAATGCTGCAATGCTGTTTCCCTTTGTGGCTGTTTTGGGTAATAATAACAATTAAACTTAAAAATAGCAAATATTGAGGTTCTGTGTCTGGTGCTGTCCTAAGACCTGTTTACATCTCATCTAATTTAATCCTTGTGATAACTCAGGCTTCTTACAGGGGAAGAAGTTAGGGAAGAACAGGAAGAAATTTGCCATGACATCTTCCTTACATAAAACCTCAAGGTTAGATTTTTGACATCGTCTTCAAATAAAATTATATATGTAATAATGTTTTTGTGTATTTGTTAATTTTTTTAAACTTCTTATTTGGAAATAATTTGACTCACAGGAAGCTGCAAAAATAGTACAGAGAATTCCCGTGTTCCCTTCACCCAGCTTCCCCCAATGATATCTTAAATAACTAGTATGCATCAAAACCAGGAAATCGACATTAGCGTTTCCTGTTAGCTCAGGTTGTATATTTGTTACTAATTTTTTTTTTTTTTTGAGATGGAGTTTCGCTCTTGTTGCCCAGGCTGGAGTGCAATGGTGCTATCTCAGCTCACTGCAACCTCCGCCTCCCCGGTTCAAGCAATTCTCCTGCCACAGCCTCCCAAGTAGCTGGGATTATAGGCACCCATCAACACGCCTGGCTAATTTTTTGTATTTTTAGTAGAGATGGGGGTTTTCATCATGTTGGTCAGGCTGGTCTCGAACTCCTGACCTCAGGAGATCTGCCTGCCTTGGTCATCCAAAGTGCTGAGATTACAGGTGTGAGCCACCATGCCTGGCCTAAAATTTTTCTTTAAACACTTAAAATACGTCACACTATGATAATCTAACTTTTCTGTTCTTTGTTGTGAAGTATACAGGAGCCTCTAAGTGGAAGTGGCTCAGGGCTCTCTCCTGGCCTTTGAGAGGTTAACACTATTATTTGCTCCATTCAACCAGCAAGGGATTGGAGGTCTAGGGAGGCTGTCACTTGCACAAGGTCACACAGCTGTAGTAAACTTCTGAGTTTGGACTTAGCCCCTCTGCTTCTAAAATCCCCTCTCTGAACCTCATACTCTCCAGCATCTCTTCTAGTTTTTTGCTGTTCTTTGCTACTCAGGCTGAGGCCCCGAATATAAGTAGATGTGTGTTAATAAGTGTCTGTGCATGCATGTACATATACACAGACATTTCCCCTGCTCTCTAGAGTCCCTTCTCCCAGACTGGAGAATGCTGAACTGAAGAGGACCTCAGGTATTGAGCACATAATCCTGACTCCTTATTAAACGGGATGGGAGGATCAGGCCAGCTTGGGGACCATCTGCTGTGTCCTGTGTGGCCTATCCCCAAGGGCTCTGGGCCATATTCTCCTGTAAATCCTCTGCCTTATTCTCATGGTTGCCTCTCCCCAACTCTCCTCCAGTTGCCCCTTTTGCCCAACTTCCAGCCACCTGGCTCTGCATGCTGTCAGTTCCATGCTTGGGTGGCAGTGGGTTTAGCCTGAGATGCCTGGACTTCACTCTCGCATTGCTTCTGTTATCCTCCAGCCTCTGTGCCCCATGGCCAGTGACTGAGACACGAGAAAAGGAGAAAAAGCCACATGTATAGGAAAGACCTAGGAGAAGAAATTTCTCTAAAGTCCCCTCTAGAGGAAAAGATATTTTTACCTCCACCCCAGTCACTCCCTCTCTTTTGTTGCCTTCTCTTCCCCTTTTATTCATAGCTGTAGGTGCCAGCCCAATCCACTTTTGTAACCCAAAAAGCAGACAAAGGCCTCTGCCCTTGCCTTCCCAGACACAGTCATGGTCTCATGATCTGCCAACCTAAGCAGGGCTGGCATGTGGGATTTAAGTAGCTCTGTCCAAGCTTTTACAGGAGTCTGCGCTTGGAATTGTCAGAGTGCAGAGCAGTGTTGTTCTAGATCCCTACCACCCACTTCAGAAAAACCAGATGTGCCTGCCACTCTAGGTTGACCTGACAGTTGTTTGCACGTGTGTGCATGTGTATGAGAGCAACTGACAGCGTATGTGCGTACCTAGTGGCCTGTGTGGGCCTCCTGAACATAGAACTAAGCACTCGCTTGCTGAGCCCTGTGGCTGCTTTTGGTAGAAAAGTGACCCCAGGGCCAGGAGCTGCACCTGGTAGAGACCAGGGTGGGAGATTGATGAGTTTGCAGGAGTGCTGCCTGGAAGGTCTGGGAGCGCTGGTCTGTGAGCTAAGCAGGGGTTGCTAAGCAGCATCGCCACCCCTAACCTCATGGCACGCTGGCTCCTGCCCTTGCCATCCTCTGAAGCAGGTAGTAGGGCTACATTTCCTAACAGGAAGCCCGTCAGGCTGAGAGAAGGGGAAAGAGAGAGGAGTAACTTGCTTTCCCCCTTGGACCTGAACTTCCTTAGCTCCTCAAAGCTTGGTCTGCTGTTGAGATCTCTGGTGTGCAGGGGTGAACAGCTACCCTCCCTAAACATGTGGTGGGTTATAGAGAGAACATTCCAGGACTACAGGTGACAGTCAGGTGCCTGCCAGAGAGGGGCTTTCCAAAGGACAGCTAAGTAAGGGAAATCCTATCTACCTTGTGAGTATATCTGGACTCTTTGCATTTGTCACCACTTCTGTTACCACTACCTTGGCCCAAGCCACCATTATCTTTTGCCTAGATTATTGCGGTCAGTTCCTAACTGCTTCTACTGCTGACCTGCCATTCTCAACATGGCAGTCAGAATGATCCTTCTAAAGTATTATCAAGCCAGGCACTGTAGCTCATGCCTCTAATCTCAGCACTGTTGGAAGGCCAAGGTGGGAAAATAGCTTGAACACAAAAATTTAAGACCAGCCCGAACAACATAGCGAGACCCTGTCTGTAAAAAAACTTTAAAAAAATAATCTAGGTGTGGTGGCACATGCCTGTAGTCGTAGCTACTTGGGAGGCTGAGGTGGGAGGCTTGAGCCGGGGAGGTTGAGGTTGCAGTGAGCCATGATTGCACCACTGAACTCCAGCTTGGGTGACAGAGTGAGAACCTGTCTCAAAAAAAAAAAAAAAAAAAAAAAGGATCAGTAGGTCCCGTCACTCTGCTCAAAATCCTTCAATGGCTGCACATGCCACTCAGAATAAAAGCCAGAGTCTTTAAAACGGCCTTATGAAGCTCGGCCTAAACTGGCCTGTTGCTGCTTTGACCTCACGTCCTGTCACCTGCCCTTTGCTCATTCTATTTCAGTTGTACTGCCCTCCTTGTTGTTGCTACAACATTCTAGACTTGTTACCTAGAATAATTTATTTGTTGTTCCCTTTGCCTAGAATACTTTCTCCCCTGCTACCTACAAGCCTTACTTTTACCTCTATATTAGGTCTTTGTTAAAGTGTCTCCACTCCATCTAAATTTTCATTCCTTTCACTACATTCCTTATCCCGCTCCCCTTCATTGCTTTCCTCCCGACCTCTTGTTGCCATCTGACTTACTAGTATTTTGCTTTTTTATGTTGTGGTTTCTGTTTAAAATGTAAGCTCCATGGAGGCAGGGATATTTGTTTATCTTCTTTACCGCTGTATCCCTGGCATTTAGGACAGTACCCTGTGCATAGGAGAGGCTAAGACATATTTTCAAATGAATAATAAATAAGTCCATATTGGTGAATCATTTAAGATTCAATTTAGAAATAATGAACCTTCAAATCCATGAACATGGTAAACCTCTACACTTGGCTAGATCTTTATTAATCTTTTAGCCATAGTTTGTAGTTTTCAGTGTACAAGCTATGCATATTTCTGTTAAACTTATAGATAAGTATTTTAAGTTTTTAAAAATGCTATCACAAATGGTATTTTAAATTTCACATTCCAGTTGTTTATTGCTGATCTGTAGAAATGCAGTTTACTGTTGCATATTATTTTGACTTTGTATTCTGCAACTTTGCTAAATTTACTTATTAGTTCTGGTAATTTTTTGGTAGATTCCATAGGATTTTCTACATATACAATAATGTAGTCTCCAAATGAGGAGTTTGACTTTTCTTCTAATTTTTATGATTTTTATTTCCTTCTGTGGTTTTATTTCCCTGGCCTGGAATCTAGTACAATGTTGAATAGAAGTGGTGAGAGTGGACATTTTTGCCTTATTCCTATATATAGGCAAGTGCTTTCTCTCTCTCTCATCTGTCTCTATTTCTCTCTCTCTGCGTGTGTGTGTGTGTGTGTGTGTCCATTACTCTTTAGCAAATTTACAGTTGCCTGCACTTACCTAAGCCAAGCTCACAAAGGTTTTTCTCCTATGTTTTTTTTCTAAAAGTGTGATAATCTTAAGTTTTATATTTGGGTCTATGATCCATCTCCAGGAGGCATTTTGGACACTGATGAGGGCATTGTTGTTTGTCAAAGTGACAGGGGAGGGGTTTAACCAGCAATGGATTGGCAGGAATGCTAGATGTACAAGAAATACACCCACCATAACAAAAAGCCTCATGACTCATATGACCATCAAATGTCCTACCAAACATTTATATAGGCAAAATGTTTATAATTATATAGATATCTATTTAGCTTTCATTTCAAAATACCAAAAATTTTAAGGAAGATTTTGACAATATTAATAGAGTCTTTCCTTTCTTCTCTTAAATCCAAAGTTTTTCCTTAAAAGCTCCTATTTCATTATGTCTTTTAGTATATTTGTGCCTGTGAATTTACATATTGAATTAGATATTTTATTATAAACTCATTTCCTTTCACTTCTTTATAATTCAATTATGGCATTAAATTAATTTTTTATCGTGTGTAGCTGGTTATATATTAGCAACATGATGAGATTAAAAACATTGAGCTGAGTGAAAAAAGATTGGAATGACATCTATAAAATACCACTTATTAAAATATTAGCATTTTATAATTAAAAGTTTTGGAAACCTACATACATATTAACTATACACATCTTACAAGAACACGTAGGGAAAGATGCACATTACACACATTAGGATAGCTGCCTGAGGGAAGAAGAAAATGGGAGTAGGGAATGAGTTAGAACAGGAGATAATGACATCACAGGAGAGCAGCCTTGCTCAGCCCATCAAGGAGTAGACTTCATCCCCTGCCCTGGAGCTCGGTTAAAAAAGAAAATATTTTGGCTAGGCACGGTGGCTCACTCCTGTAATCCCAGCACTTTGGGAGGCTGAGGCGGGTGGATCACGAGGTCAGGAGATCGAGACCATCCTGGCTAACAGTGAAACCCCGTGTCTACTAAAAAATACAAAAAATTAGTCGGGCGTGGTGGTGGGCGCCTGTAGTCCCAGCTACTTGGGAGGCTGAGGCAGGAGAATGACGTGAACCTGGGAGGCGGAGCTTGCAGTGAGCTGAGATCGCGCCACTGCACTCCAGCCCGGGTGACAGAGCGAGACTCTGCCTCAAAAAAAAAAAAAAAAGTGTGTGTACATATATGTATTTTTAAATATTATTAAATTTAATTATATATTTTATATAAAATATAATTTTATACAATATAATATATATTTTATATAAAATATAATTTTATACAATATAATATATATTTTATATAAAATATAATTTTATACAATATAATATATATTTTATATAAAATATAATTTTATATAATATAATATATATTTTATATATATATAAAATTGCTGTAGTCCTAGCAACTTGGGAGGGTGAGGTGGGGGAAAAATGGCTTAAGCCTGGGAAGTCAAGTCTGCAATGAGTTGTGATTGTGCCACTGCACTCTAGCCCGAGTGACAGAGCGAGACCCTGTCTCAAAAAAATAATAGTAATAAATAAAGTTACATACCTAGGAAGGTGAAAGCAGCAGGCAGCCTCATAGGCAGGGCAGGAGGAGGAGGACCTAGGCATTGCTCTGCAACACTCCCAATATCACCAAGGGGCAGAGCAAGAGAAAAGCGAGCAAACAGACTTGTATATAAGTATTCATAGCAGCTTTGTCATAGCCAAGACCCATAAACAACACAAATGTCCACTTGCGGATGAATGGGTAAACAAATTGTGATATATCCAAAATGCCCCAGGGTGGTATTTCCCCTCCGAGAACCCAAAATCCAAATTTCTTTTGAAAATTATTTTATTTTTATTTTTATTTTTTTGAGATGGAGTTTCTCTCTTATTGCCCAGGCCGGAGTGCAATGGCGTGATCTTGGCTCACCGAAACCTCCACTTCCCTGGTTCAAGTGATTCTCCTTCCTCATACTCCCAAGTAGCTGAGATTACAGGCATGTGCCACCACACCCAGCTAATTTTGTTTTTTTAGTAGAGACAGGGTTTCACCATGTTGGTCAGGCTTGTCTTGAACTCTTGACCTCAGGTGATCTGCCTGCCTCGGCCTCCCAAAGTGCTGGGATTACAGGTGTGAGCCACTGTGCCCGGCCTTTTTTTTTTTTTCTTTTTTCTTTTTTTTTTTTTTCTGAGACGGAGTCTCGCTGTATTGTGGAGGCCAGAGTGCGGTGGCACGATCTTGGCTAACTACAACCACTGCCTCCTGGGTTCAAGCGATTCTCCTGCCTCAGCCTCACAAGTAGCTGGGATTACAGGTGTGCCCCACCATGCCCGGCTAATTTTTGTATTTTTAGTAGAGATTGGGTTTTGACATGTTGGCCAGGCTGGTCTTGAACTCCTGACTTCAAGTGGTCTACCTGCCTCGGCCACCCAAAGTGCTGGAATTGCACCTGTGAGCCACTGCACCTGGCCTTCTTCATAGATTTTTTTTTTTTGAGACGGAGTTTCATTCTTGTTGCCCAGGCTACAGTGCAATGGTGTAATCTGGGCTCACTGCAACCTCTGCCCCCCTGGGTTCAAGTGATTCTCCTGTCTCAGCCTCCTGAGTAGCTGGGATTACAGGCACCTGCCACTACGCCTGGCTAATTTTTGGTATTTTTAGTAGAGACAGGGTTTCACCATGTGGGCCAGGCTAGTCTCGAACTCCTGATCGTGATCCACCCACTTCCACCTCCCAAAGTGCTGGCATTACAGGCATGAACCACTGTGCCTGGCCAGATTTTTAAGTGTATGATATGGTATTGCTATCTATAGGTACAGTGTGATACAGCAGATCTCTAGGACTTAATCTTGCATAATTGAAACTTTATACTGTACCCATTGATTAGCGACTACAAATTTCCCTTTTGCCCCAGCCCCTGGTAACCCCATTCTCCTCTGATTCCATGAGTTCAGCAATTTTAGATCTCTCCTATAAATAGAATCATGCAGTATTTGTCCTTCTCTGACGGGCTTATTTCACTTGGCACAGTGTCCTTCAAGTTCATCCATGTTGTCATGTATTGCAGGGTTTTCTTCTCTTTTTAAGGCTGAATAGTATTCTGTTATATGTATATACCACATTTTAAAAATCATTCATCTTTGGATGACATTTAGGTTGTTTCCAAATCTTACCTATTGTGAATAAGTGCTGTAATGAACATGGAGTGCAGTTAGCTCTTTCACATCCTAATTTTAATTATTTTAAATAAATAACCAGAAGTGGGATTGCTGGATCATGTAGTAGTCCTATTTTTAATTTTTTAAGGAATTTCCGTACTTTTTTCCATAGTAGTTCCACCATTTTGTACTCTTACTAATAGTGTACCAAGGTTCCAATTTCTCCACATCCTCATCAATGCTTGTTGTCTTTTACAATTTATTTTTGTTTTCTTAAATAATAGCCATCCTGACAGGCTTTTAGTAGTATCTCATTGTGGTTTCATTTTGCATTTCCCTGATGATTAGTGATGTTGAGCATGTTTTCATACACCTGTTGGCCATTCATATGTTTCCTTTGGCAAAACATCTATTTGAGTCCTTTGCCCCCTTTTTTTTTTTTTTTTTGTAGAGATGGGGTCTTGCAATGTTGCACAGGCTGGTCTTGTGTATATACATTTATGTTGACCTTTTATTCCTCGTAGTAACCTTATGAAATAGATACTAATTATTATCTATTTTTAGATGAGGAAAATGGGACATGAAGAGGTTAAATAGGTTGTTAAAAATCACATGCAGGTAAATGGCAGAACTGAGGTTTATAAACCTAGATGGTCTGGTTTTGGAGTTCCTGCTCCTAACTGTTGCACCATATTGCCTCCCAACGTTTAAAAATTAGGAGCTTTCAGCTGGGCGCAGTGGCTCATGCCTGTAATCCCAGCACTTTGGGAGACTGAGGCGGGTGGATCACCTGAGGTCAGGAGTTTGAAACCAGCCTGAACAACATGGTGAAACCCTGTCTCTACTAAAAATACAAAAATTAGCTGGCTGTTGTGGCATCTGCCTGTAATCCCAGCTATAAAAGAGACTGAGGCAGGAGAATTGCTTGAACCCAGGAGGCGGAGGTTGCAGGAAGCTGAGATCGCACCATTTGCACTCCAGCCTGGGCAACAAGAGCGAAACTCCATCTCAAAAATAAATAAATAAATAAAAATTAGGAGATTTCCTGTCAAACCGTGGAGAGCTGGCTTCTCTTGAAAAATCAGAAAAAGAGAGGACACTGGGCCATATCCCCTGAGGTCACAATTGGCTCGTGCTGCATCAGGCCAGTCCCTTAGCGAGGTGGTGTTCTCTGGCTCACCCCCAGCCCCACCAGTCCCCCACTTCCCTGACTCTGAGTTCCTGTTCACTTGACCCAGTTCCTACACTCGTTTGTACCAACAGACACTTTAGTCTTCAACCCCTGGGTTAAGGTTGTATGATAATATTTATAGATATGAATATTTATACAAAGAATATTTATGCAAGCACCAGGCACTTTTGTTCTGAGAGAGGAAGTGTTTTCTTCCCCATTTTATGTGTGAGTAACTGAAGCATGGTGAGGGCCCGTACTCGCATGAGTAACAGAGACAGGGTTTGAACTGTGCAGTGCTTTCAGCTGTATTATCTCCCCTTCCTTTGTGGTCTGGGGGTTCCTGCATCCTGTTAAAGATTCTAGGCTGGGCGTGGTGGTTCACACCTGTAATCCCAGCACTTTGGGAGGCCGAGGTGGGCAGATCACCTGAGGTCAGGAGTTCAAGACCAGCCTGGCCACATAGTGAAACCCCATCTCTACTAAAAATGCGAAACTAAGCTGAGCATGGTGGTGTGCACCTGTAATCCCAGCTACTCGGGAGGCTGAGGCAGGAGAATCACTTGAAACTGGGAGCAGAGGTTGCAGTTAGCCGAGAGTGCACCACTGCACTCCAGCCTGGGGAACAGAGTGAGACTCTGTCTCAAAAAAAAAAAAAAAAAAAAAGATTCTAGGGGTAAAGTTGATCATTAGAGCAGATGAAATTTCGGTACTGAAGGAACCACATGTGAAGAAGCCGTACGAACAGCTCACTTCTGTTTTTGTCTATGCACTGAGTAGATTCTAGCCTTAGAGAGCATAGTCAGCTCTCTAGAACTATTTATTGAATGAAAAATAGACCAGGAAGAGTCACCTGTTGAGAGTCTCATAAAGAGGAGAGAAATCTGACAAAATTTCAAACAGCGAATCAGTACCTAGTAGAAATTAAAAAATTTTATTTACTGAATTTTTTTTAATAACTGGAGGAAATGCCCTGTTTGTTTTTTTTTTCTAGCTAGTATTAAGGATTTTTTGTTTTTGTAAGAAAATGATACAATTCTGGCCCATTTCTCAAGCAAGTTTATTTTAAAATTCCCACAATTCTCTTTAAGTGTTTTGGGAGTTGGAGCAAGTGATAACAAAAGCAGCTGAGAAATGAGGCTTTGGCCTGGTTATTGTCTAACCAGGTGGGTTGAGGTCCCTGAACTTTAAGAAGCTTTTGTGCTTCCAGCTGTACCAGGGGGATTAGTGGCTTAGTCCTACCTCATGGGAGCACATTTTATTGTTACTTCTCATAGAGCTGAAACCATAATGTTATGGTTTTTTATACAGCACCATCTGCTTCAGGCTCTCGACATGCTTAGAGTGTTTCCCCTCACTCCCCCTTCAAGTTTCTCCCTCCACATAAGTTCAGTATCTGGAAGAGTGAATTCACTTTGGGCATAGCAACAGATGTGCATGGTAATATGTAAAATGCAGTCGGTTAGTTACCAATCAGTCATGTGGTCATCAAATGTTTAATGCAGACAAGGCAGTGTGCTAGACTGCTGTGATGGAAACAAAGTTAAGTAAAATGTGGTTTTTGCTTTACGGGACCTAGTGGGGGCATATTATACAAAGACATACAAAAGGTTTAATAGCTGTAGGAAATAAAAAAGTTAATGAACATAAGTAGAAGAGAGTATATGCAGCTCATCATTAATTTCCAAATGAAGGCTGCAGTTGTTAAGTGCTATAGGAAGTCAGTGTTCTCTTTGATAAAGTTCCTTCTTGAGAAGCAAAGTCCAGAATGAATGTGCACAATGCAATTAGAGGGACACTTTGACAGGAACAAAGCTGCTTGTGTAAATGCAAGGTCTCTCTTCAGCATGGTCCGGAAATTCATTCTGTAACAAAGAACTGTAATTCCAAGTCAATGACACCTTCTAAATCCTCTCAGACTATGCCCAAAATTATAGAGAAGGAATGGCGAGTCAATTCCGTTCAGTCAGAACTGGATAGCTGTGTACTTTGCTCAAATGCCTGGGATCTAATGGAGATGGGACAGCAGCCAGGAGATAAAGCAAGTCAATACAGGCCTGGGAGAACTCTGATGCTGGAGCAGATAATGAGGAAGGGGCCAGGATTTGAAAGCGTGACCTCTAAGTCTTCCTGTGTAATGAACGGAATATAATGGAGGGCTGAGATCTGAGACCCTAGTGCACCTGTGTCTGTGGCTACCTGGTCAACAGCCTGGCTTTATCCCTAGATAACTTGGATGAGTGCTGTGGGAACTTGACAACCTTCAGGCTACCATTACTGCTTACTGAAAAGAGTAGAAGGCAAGAAATTTCCTCTAAAGGAAATAGGTGTGGGGCTTCGTGGTTAAGAACTTGAACTTTCATGTCAGGACCTAGCTTCCCCACTCACCAGCTGTGTGGCCTTGAGCAAGTCACTTACCCTTTCTGAGTCTCAGATTTATCACCTGAAAAATGGGAGAAAAAATGATATTACCTACCCTGTTGTGTTATTGTAAGGGTTAAGTAAGACAAGGGATTCAAAAGGCACTTAGCAGTGTATATGGCTCATGTGAGATCACAATAAATTATATGTTATTGTTATTAAAGATGATGAGGCAGGAGGATTGCTTGAGGCTAGGAGTTAGAGACCAACCTGGGCCCTCAGCTAAAAAAAAAAAAAAAAAAAAAAAAAAAATTAGCTGGGTGTGGCAGTACATACCTGTAAGTCCTAGCTAGTGGGGAGACTGAGGTGGAAGGATCCCTTGAGCCCAGGAGTTTGAGGTTACACTGAGCTAAGATTGCACTGCTGCACTCTAGCCTGGGCAACAGAGCAAGACCCTATTCCTCAAAAAAAAAAAAAAAAAAGAGTCATGAGGATAAATATTTTTAAATTACTATTTCCTTGTAGAAGTTCAGGAACTGGCTTAGAGACAAAGCAGGAATTATTCCACTCTTCCCCTAGGTTCTCCATGAGCAACCTTTGAGAAGATAGCTAACTCATGTTAGTGTTATAGTAACTCATGGTAGAGGGTGGGATGAGGTTTTATAGCAGGGCCCTCACTTCTAAAATCCAAACTTACATAAAGCTAAAAGGGCAGCTCTCTGAAGGCATAGGTGCAAGACTGCTGCTGAGGGACCAGAATATTTTTATTTCTCTCCCCTTAGAAAATCTTAGAGCAGTGCTTCTTAAGCTCTGACATGCAGATGAGTCAGAGCTTAAGAAGCACTGCTCTAAGACATGAACCTGAGATTCTGCACTTCTAACAAGCTCCCAGATGATGCCAATGCTACTGGCCCTCAGACTACATTTTAAGTAGCAAAGTCCTAAAAGGCCTTGGGTCATTTAGTCTAGTGGCATGACTGAACCCTCTCTATGACTTTCCTGAAAATGCTAATTCAGTTTTTTATTGAAAACCTGCAGTGATGACAAGCTCCCTACATGCCAGGCAGCCTTTTCTGTTTCCAGATGGCAGGCATGATAGGAAGTCTTTTTACTGAGCCGATGCTCACCTCCATATGACACCCATCCATTGGTTCTGGTTTATGACTTTGGCAAGGGGTGGGCGTTACACAGGTGATGCCTAATCCCGAGGCTCTGAACGCTGGTTTTGGTCTTCTACGGGGGTTGTCTGTGGATGGGCTTTGGCAGTGGTGGTGGAGGGGCAGCAATCCCCTAAAAATGTTTGTAGAATTTGGTTTCCATGTACAATTCCCTGCGGAGAGTTCCCATAGCTTTCAACAGTTTTTCAAGAGAGTCTGTTGGCTGTAGAAGATTAAAAAGCATTGGATTCCTCATGGAATGCCATATCCCTCACAGATCTTCTGTTTGGAAGGCTAGACCTTCTCAAGTTTTTGGATCTCTTGTTTATCTGAGTCTCTCTTTTTTTTTTTTTTTTTTGAGACGGAGTCTCGCACTGTCACCTGGGCTGGAATGCAGTGGCACGATCTCGGCTCACTGCAACCTCCGCCTCCTGGGTTCAAGCAATTCTCCTGCCTCAGCCTCCCAAGTAGCTGGGATTATAGGTGCCCACCACCATGCCCAGCTAATTTTTTGTATTTTTAGTAGAGATGGGGTTTCATTATATTGGCCAGGCTGGTCTCAAACTCCTTACCTCATGATCCACCCGCCACCTCGGCTTCCCAAAGTGCTGGGATTACAGGCGTGAGCCATCGCGCCTGGCCCTGAGTCTCTTTTATTTATTTATTTTTACATAAGTCTCCATGGAACATGGTTTCAGGGATCCTCGTAATCCTGATAGTTTTTCCTAGTATGTCTGTATCCCTCTAATTTTGGTACCCAGAATCATGTACAAGCTAAAAAGCCACCTGACCAGCAGGAAGGGTAAGCTGTCTGTCTTTCATTTGACCCGAGGCTTCTTTCAGTTCTTCCTAAAAGTGTAATATCTGCTTTGGAAACCTTGGTACACTTAATAGTGCTGTCAGTTTGGAATGTTTATGTTGCAGATTAAAAAAAAAATTTAAACAGAATTCGTTGGTGTATTTACAGGGCTGGGGGCAGCAGGGTAGCAGTGTCTTCAGGTGAGACTTAATCCAAAGGCTCAGATTCCTTTATCAAAGATCCAGCTTTCTTTTTCCTTCTTTCTTTTTGAGACAGGGTCTCACTCCATCACCCAATCACCCAGGCTGGAGTGCAGTAGCAAAATCTTGGCTCACTGCAGTCTCCATCTCCCAGGCTCAAGTGATCCTCCTGCTTCAGCCTCCCGAGTAGCTGGGACTACGGGTACATGCTACCATGCTTGGCTAATGTTCTTGATTTTTTTTTTTTTTAAGAGTTAAAGTCTCATTACATTGCCCGGGGTGGTCTAGATCTCCTGAGCTCAAGCGATCTGCCCACCTTGGCCCCCAAAATGCTGGGATTATAGGTGTGAGCCACCGCGCCTGGCTGCCAGCTTTTTGTTCTCTCTCTCTCCACAGTCACCAGAGTCCTGAGTCTTTTTCACATGTACTACATTGAGTCTTTTTCACATGTACTACATGAGTCTTTTTCACATGTACTATCTTCCACCATCCTGGATGGTTTGTGTGGTTTCTGGACTATGTATGCGGGATCTGTTCCTGTTATTTATTTCTATAAAGTATCTTGTTAGTCCATTGTCCTGATTATACCATCTCCCCTCTCAGACTCCCTGCCTAGTTTAGGGTCATCTTCAAATCTGATCAGCATGCCAGCAAATTAATGATGTTGAACCAGACAGGGTCAAAGACAGAGCCAACGACATGCCCCTCAGTTACTCCTGCCAGGGTTGGTGTCACATCTCCTTTGAACATGGATGAGCATTTCTCAAAGCATATTCCTTTTTTTTTTTTTCAATATCCTCTCTTGAGGTCACCTTTGGCAGGCTATTGATTGATTGATTGAGACATGGTCTTGCTATATTGACCAGGCTGGCCTTGATCCTCCTGCTTCAGCCTGAGTAACTGGGACTACAGGCACTGGCCACGACACCTGGTTCAAAGCATATTCTGAAGAATACCAGCCTGAAGGATACTCAATAACAGAGCCCTGTGAGCAACACTGGAGACTCAGAAGGGTGAGGAAGGAGAAAAGGGTGGATAGTGAGAAATTACTTAATGGGTACGACATCCATTATTTGGGTGATGGATACACTAAAGCTCAGACTTAACCACTACACAATATATCCATGTAACAACATTGCACTCGTACCTCTTAAATTTATACAAAACAACCCCAAACCAACCAGAGCCCTGTAATCAAATATGTTTAGATAGTGCTGTCTACCGTAATCCCTTCTGGAAGGCTCATGATGCTTATGAGCATATCACAAACTCTGAGAAGAAGTTGTTAGATGTAATTTTCCAAACGTAACTGACCATGAGGCTCTCCCCTTCCCTGCCATGATAACCTGTATATAAATGTTGTAGAGAGCACAGTCTGAGCAGTGCTCATGTGGATATTCCACCCGTTAACATTCCATTTAGTTGTGTTATCATCTGATTTCCTCTGTCATTAACCACAAGGGTGAAGTGACAGATGACATAAAGTGCCTTGCTGAAAACTGGTGTATCTTGCCAGCCTATCACCGATTCAGAAGGGAGTCTGTCTTCAGTTGGACACGATGCACCTGTTGCTGCTCTCATCCTAAGTCTGCCAGGTTGGCAGATTTAGGCACCCTGGCTGGGTACTTTTCAGGTGTTCTGTTAAGAGCAAAACCCAGACAGGCCTGGAGGCTCTCAGGAAAACCCAAAGCCAGGGAGTGGCCTATCATCAACCACAGTGGTCATAGTAACTGAAATTTAATAATAGTCCACAGTTATTGAATTTTTACTTTGTGCCAGGCCCATAATACATACTTCCTCTCCAAATCCTCACAAGAACCAGATGAGATGGGCAATACGACATCCTTACTTTATAAATGAGGAGCCTGACGCATGCAGAGCTTAGAGAGGTTACTCAAAGGGATACAGCTAACAACAAATGGAGCCAACTGTCAAACTCAAGTTTGACTCACTCTGTAGTCCATGTGTTCATCAGATTCACTCTGTTTTTTTTTTTTTTTTCACAATCGCACAATCATCAGGCATTTATTAAATGTCAGCTTTGGGTCTGGCTCAGTATTTGGTGAAATTGAAGACACGACAAAATATTAATAGACACAAGGAATTGACACTTTATTTGGAGGAACTTTTGTAGTTCAACGGAGAGAATACTTAGCAAGCAAATAGAAGTGAGTGCATGAAAACAGAGTGCCAAATGCCACATAAGTGGCACAGGATATGCTTCCGTGGCCTGCTCAGACCTCAACGGCCAGATCTCTACGGCTTGCTTTTAGAAATCCACTTGCCTATGGATGCCTCACTCCCAGTCTTCCGCTTTGTCCATTCTCACAAATTCCCCTGTTTGTCTTTGTCTTCCCCTTGTGTGACCTCCGCTTGTCCCCAGGGGAAACCACTAACCTCTTGGCTCCTCAGTTCTCGGTCTGTGGTGAACTCCCCGCTGACATCCACAGCGCTTGGAGGTGACCTAGTTTGAGTGAAACGCTGGCTTTTCAGTTATATATCCAGTAGGCTGAGCTGGCAGCTTGTCAGCAGGCTCATGTCACCTAATGACTGTGTCAATTCCCTCCTTGCCTAGCTTCCTGCGAGTAAATATCCTCAGGATGCTCTTGGAATCCAGAAGGTGTAGGAAGCCTGTGAGGTGGCCAAAGAGAAAACAGGAAAAAGAAAGGGGGAGAGAAGCAGAGAGGGCCTGCTCCTCCCTGCCAAAGTCAAAAAGAACGCACACCAGGGAAGAAAATGCTCTAAAACAGAGAGAGAAACTTGTGATGAGGTATCTCCCTATAGAACAGTTTTGCTCGAAAGGACATTTGTTTTTAAACAAAAAAATTTTTTTTGGCCTAGTCCGAGCTCTCATTTCCCCCCTCACGCCATTCCTTCCTGTTTGGCGCTTTTCAAGTGGTATTACTTCTCATCCACAATAGTGACCTGCTGGGAGTCATAGCGGAGACATTTCCTCTCCTGTGGCTCTAGTTGTATTTTTAATCATCGACCTCCCCCCTCTTTCTTTCCCCTCTGGTTTTCTTCATAAACATTTTCTTAAGGCTGGGCAGCAAAGCCTCAGGTGTACCCATCACGTCCCTCAAAGCTTAGCTGTGTTTGGGGTTGATTTTTTTTATCCCCTCTCCAGGGGCTGCGGCATCCAGCATTCTGCACCATGACCTCCCTTTTGCCCAGTGAGCTACAGCCTTGAGTTTGGATGGTGCATACTCAGCGGTTTGGCTCTTGCAGTCGAGGGGAATAGTAATTCTGTGAGCTCATTCCCAGGGGAGCTACTCTCAAGATTCTAGGCCCTTCCAGCCCCGTTGGAGTTGGGTTAAAGGTTTCAAGTGGCGGTAGAGACGCTTGCCTGTCCAGCCTTGCCTGGGGCCACACAAGGTCATCTTGGGAGACTGGTCAGCTCCATGGTCCCCTCCAAAGACTTAAGAAGGCAATGTTTAAGTTGCACAAACCACCAGGACAGATGAATTGGTTAAGAGTTCTCTGTCATTTTCTCCAAACAGGTATTAATAAAACCATGGATTCATAATCCTGAAGTTTAGCCTCAAATTTTTCCACCAGAATACTGCTACTTTTACTGAATGTATATCTCCCAGTGTTGAGAAGCAATTCTTCCCTCTCTTTAGTCCTTCCTTTGATCAGTTCATTTGTTCACTCATTCATCCATCCATCTGTATGTTCAGTCGATAAACATTTGTTGAGCAGTTCATGGCCACGCACTGGGTAAACACAACAAACAAGGCCCTGCCCTTTTGCGGTTTATGGTCCATGGGAAGAGACCGCCAAGATGTAAAACAGGAACATGTGGCCATCCACTGGGAACCCGCTATGGAGGGAATGGTGAGGATGCTGTAGTAGAGAAGCAGAATGGGGAGGCCCATCTGAACTCAGACACAAAGGATGTGAAGGAGCTGACAGGTGGGGAGCTGGTAGGTCTACTGAACATTCCCTGCAGACGGTCAGCAGGTATGCACATATATGGCGGGGGGTGGGGGCAGGCTGTTAGGTACAAAACTTTAGCAGTCTTAATCCAATAGGACCCTTGGGGGAAGAATGTCACCATATCAACTACTCAACTTTTGAATGCCAGGGCCCGCCCATGGCAGACAAGAAAAAGATCCACAGCATCTGCCCCTATTCTGCGTACCCACCTGGCCCCACCAAGTTTTATATCCTTGACTGAGTCTGTGATGAACTGTCGGCAGATGTTCATGTGCTGTCTCTTCAGTCAGGTCTGTAATCTCTTGGCAAGCCCATTCTGTCACTCTCTCAGTTCCTGCTGTTGATCCATTCAAGGGAGTGGTTTCCTGAATCCTATCACAGTTTTATGGTACTTGGAGCCCAAAGTTATAACAAATGTTTGCATGATATATAATATGTTCCTTACAATATGCTCACTTATCTATATTAAAAGGTATTAACCACCATTCATAGCAAATGGAACTATGGCTCCAAGAGGATAAATAACCTACGGAGCTCCAGGCTGGTGAAGGAGAGGAGCTGGGAATCACTCCTGCGTTTTCTGGCTGTTAAGTGACTTTCTCACCAATTTGAGTTGCAATTACTGTCATGGATACCAGTTGGGTACAGTTTCTGTTTGGAGTCTTCTTGGGAAGGGATAGAACAGTCAAGAAACTGCCCCACTATCAAACCCACGGAATCCAAAGAATTTGCATCCACAAATCTCCTGCCTCTCATGAAGCCCATTCTGCTTGTCCCACCCTGGTGAGACTTTAAAGCTGATCCCTGAGCTGAAATGACCGGATGGAGTGAGCATTATGTATTATGTTGTTATTTAATAAAGGGTGTGTTGTTCCCTACTTGGCAGTGGGGCCAAGTCGCTGTTCTAGCAGGTGGTGGGTAACTGAACCCAAGCCCCCTGATCTTCTCTCAGGAACTCCCTGGTCAAGCCTTTGATATCAGAACAAGAGGAGAAAACAGTGACATAGGACACTTCCTGTCCCAAAGGGGATGTGACACAGGACACCTGAAACAACAGGCAGAAGAAAAGTTTCACTGGAGCCGCTTCGGAGAGCTGCCTTCAGCCTGCCCGCCATGAGCCATCTCAGATTTGGGAAGAGTGGGACTGGGCCAGCTGTTTCCATGTTTAGCTCAGTGGATTAGCTTTTGTCCTCTATGGGTTAGGCACTGACATTCCAGCTCCCGCCACTTCAGAGGGTGTGACGCAGTGATGGAGATGCACAAGCAGGCAATAAAAACTAGTATAATGAGGTTCAAGTTTTAATAGAGAAAGTAGAGCCCAGGTGCCTAGACTATCCTGGAGGTCAGGGAAGGCTTCCTGGAGGAAGAGGAGTCTAGGCTGGGTCTTGAAGGATGAATAGAATTTGACCACATACAGTTAGTTGCACAGGCTCCAAAGGTCTTAAAAGAAAAATGAAAGCTTAGGCTTAAGAAATCTGACAAATTTAAGAAATTGAAACTTTAATGCCAGGTTTGTTTCCCTCTGCCCCCACCTCCACACCTTCCGCATCCGCCTATGCCCCAAGTCTCTAGCTCCTCCCTGTTGCTAGAGGCATGGCTCACATTGTGTGGGGCATGTGGAAAGGGCTGATATGTGGTTGGTTGTCTTGGGGCTAGATGTATGCAAATGAGACTTTTATCTTTAGAATCTTGGAAGCAAGAGTCCCAGATTAAAATCACCCAACATGTTTTTGATTTTTTTTTTTTTAATCTGGTTCATATCCAACCAGCAATTCACTTCAGGGCTGTGAAAGTTAACTGTTTGAGACTGTCACAAATTCCAAGTGCATTGTTTTATGCGACAGAGATGAAAAAGATATGGGAGTTTGGATATTTTGGTCATAATCTCAACTCTGCCAGAGACTTTTGTTTTTTAGAGACAAGGCCTTGCTCTGTTGCCCAGGCTGGAGTGCAGTGGTGTGATCATAGCTCACTGCAGCCTCAAACTCCTGGGTCCAAGTGACCCTCTGCCTCAGCCTCCTGAGTAGCTAGGACTACAGGTGCACAACCTTACACTTGACTAGTTTTTTTGTTTTTTGTTTTTTGTTTTGAGACAGAGTGTCACTCTGTCACCCAGGCTGGAGTGCAATGGCACTGTCTTGGCTCACTGCAACCTCTGCCTCCTGGGTTCAAGCGATTCTCCTTGCCTCAGCCTCCCAAGTAGCTGGGATTACAGGCACCCGCCACCATGCCCGGCTAATATTTGTATTTTTAGTAGAGACAGGGTTTTACTATGTTGGCCAGGCTGGTCTCCAACCCTGACTTCCGGTCATCTGCCCGCCCTGGCTTCCCAAAGTGCTGGGATTACAGGCATGAGCCACCACGCCTGGCCACTTGACTAGTTTTTTTTACTTTTTTTTTTTTCTGTGGAGATGGGGGTCTTGCGTTGTTGGCCAGGCTGGTTTTGAATTCCTAGGCTCAAGCAATCCTCCCGCCTCAGCCTCCCAAAGTGCTGAGAGTACAGGTGTGAGCCACTATGCCTGGGCAAGACTATTCTTATGATCTTGGATGACTCATGTCACTTCAACCAAAAAAGAGAACAAAATCTCTGACATTTATCCATCTATTACGTTTGTTTGTTTGTTTGTTTTTAGAGTTTGACTCTTGTTGCCCAGGTGGGAGTGCAGTGGCGTGATCTCTGCTCACTGCAACCTCTGCCATCCAGGTTCTAGTGATTCTCCTGCCTCAGCTTCGGAGTAGTTGGGATTACAGGCGTGAGCCACTACACCCGGCTAATTTTGTATTTTTCAGTAGAGATGGGGTTTCACCATATTGGTCAAACTGGTCTCGAACTCCTGACCTCAGGTAATCCACCTGCCTCAGCCTCTCAAAGTGTTGGGATTACAGGTGTGAGCTACCGTGCTATTATTTAATAATAATAATATCTATTTTATTCCCCCATTTTTTCACTTTGAAATATTAAAAACTATAGAAAAATTGTAAGAATAAAAGAATGCTATATGTGGGTGTATATATACAAGTATGTATATTTTTGCTGAGCCATTTGAAAGTAAGTTGCAGGTATCGTCACATTTCCCTCCTACAGTACTTCTGCATGCATCTCTGCGTTCTCATAACAGTGGAATTCTCAAACTTGGAAAATGTATTATGGATGTAATACTCTTCTTTAAAATTTCCCTTATTGTCTCCATCATGTTCCTTTTCTGTTGTTTGTTTTTATTTCTGACCCAGGCCAATCAAGGATACATATTGCATTAAATTGTCATGTCTCTTTGGTGTGCTTTAATCAAGAATGATTCCCCAGCCTTTTTTTCTCCCATGAGTTGACATTTTTGAGGAGTCCAGGACAGTCATTTTGCAGATGACCCGGCTGGTTTGTTCAACAGTTAGCAGCAGTTGAATACCTCCCACGTGCTGGGCACTGTGCTGGTGATAGGAGAACATCTGAATCAAGGCAGGTGGGGTTGTTTTCCTTTTGCTGCTCACAGTCTAGTGGGAGAGCCTGAGGATAAATAAGTTACAGAAAAGTGAAAAATACTGGGAGAGACTGAAGAGCATTCCCGCCTAGGCATGCATCTGCTCTAAAGATAAATAGGGCCCGAGACAGGCCAGCCTCGGTGCTCACACCTGTAATCCCAGCACTTTGGGAGGCTGAGGTGGGTGGATCACGAGGTCAAGAGATTGGGACCATCCTGGCCAACATGGTGAAACTCCATCTCTACTAAAAATACAAAAATTAGCTAGGCATGGTGGCGCACGCCTGTAGTCCCAGCTACTCGGGAGGCTGAGGCAGGAGAATCACTTGAACCCAGGAGGTGGAGGTTGCAATGAGCCAAGATGGCACTACTGCATTCCAGCCTGGCAACACAGCAAGACTCCGTCTCAAAGAAATAGGGCCCGAGACAAGAAAAGATGAAGTGGAAAATCATGGGGTGCTTTGAAGAAAGGTCTGTCTCTGAGATGGTGATATTTAAGTTGGCGTCTGGGGTGACAGTGGTGGCAGTGGCATTCCAGGCAGGGGAAACAGCATGTGCACAGGCCTGGAGGCTGGAAGTGTTTGGCCTGGTTGAGGCACTGAGCAACAGCCAGTTTGACTGCAGCATGGTGAGCAGGAGGCGGGAGGTAGGAGAGGAGGTTGATGCCGTGGGCAGGGGTTAGACCATGGTGTGGTGGCTTTTCGATCTAATTTTAGGTGCAATGAGAAGCCCTTGGAGAGTTGATAAAGTGGACCCCATGAACTGAGGCATGCTTTAAAAAGATTACCAGCCTCTGTTTGAAGCACCCCTGAAGCCATTTGCTGGGTTGGAATGAAATTTCTTCCACAAATTCAAGAGGATGGATAAATTCAAAGTGGTGTTTGTGAGAATTTAGAGCTATCAGAAAAGGTGGTTTAAAACTCCTGACTTATGTTTGTTATTTGAAATTATACCTGGGTAATTTCTGAGGCATGGACTTGGCTTGGCTTTCCAGAGAGGTGGGTGGGGACATCTCTTGTTCTCTCGTCTTGTCTGGTTTGTCCCCTTCATCAGTGACATCATCACACCCTAGAAACCACACAGTAGTCCCATTGCCTCCCCGGCAGTTTTTAATTTGGACTTCGGCTGGTGTCTCTGGGGAATCCTGCCACCCCTGGCTGAGGAGTGTGTGCCTCCCACCTGCTCTCCCCAGGCGCCCCTTCCGCAGAGCCCACCCACCTTTGCTTCATGGTCCTTCAAGCCGACCACACTGGAACTAAACCAACGCTTAAGAGGAAACAGATTAGCAGGCGCGGTGAGGCCCCTGCCTGTTCCTGGGCAGGCCCCATGCAGCTAGAGGCGTACACGGTGCCTGTGCTCGTTGGCCTCCTGCCTGGGCTCACCCGGCCAGAGTCTGGGGAGGGTGGCCGCCAGGTGTGTAAGGGCCACAAAGATGCTGGCAGTCTGCCTGAAGCTTCGGAATCAGAGACCGAGAGGAAAGACTCCCAGTTTGCAGAAGAACATCTCCAGGGTTTATTGCACTGAAGTTAGAGTTACCTTAACCTGTCTGCTGCAGCTTTATGCTGGTTGATGTGTATTTAATTCACAAACTTGTGTTAATTTCCTCTGCTTTTTTGTCCTCCACAAAGTGTGTCCTTGTCACTGTTCTTCTCATACACGCATTCATCCTGACCTTACTGAGGGCTTCCTGTGTTGAGAGCTGGGTGAGGTCACTGAAGAAAGTGTTCAACCCAGAGTCTGCAGTGGAGGGAACAGCCATGATGCCATGCTGCAGGTGTGGAGATGCTTATCAGATACTTCCTTGCCTGCGGCCTGGCCCCTGCAGCCCACACTCAGCTGCAGGAGCTCTCTCAGGTCCTGGAGCACACCATGCTCCCTGCTTCCTTAGGGTCTTGGCATTTGCTGTTCCCTCTGCTAGAATGCTCTTCCTGTGCCACCTCCTTCACCTAGCCAACTGCTACCCTTCTCTGCCCACCCTGGCAATGCCTGATAACCTTGTCATCTGCATACATAGGACCGTGTCTCTTTCCTTCAGACTACACAGCTCCATTTGGAATAATGTGTGTACGAATGTGTGTGATTATTTGATTCCTGTTTGTCTCCCCTACTTGGGTGTAAACTTTGTAAGGGATGGGAAGATGTCTGTGGTTGCTCATCACATAACCCCAGTGTACCCTAGGCCTAACTCTTTAGTGGTAGAGGGTTCTCTAGAGAACGGCTAGTTACTGATGGAATCTCAGGAAGTGTGTGCACGGTGGGTGGCTTCTGTGAAGTCGGGAAGTCAAGGCTTGCTCTCCCCTGGGCAGAATCCAGTACGATGAAATGAGAGAGAGATGGAATGCAGAGCACTCGAGAGCGTTTGGAGATACTGGGTGTTTTCTGGCATCCTAAACAGCAAGGACCCAGGATACCCACCCACTTGCCTTCAGAGCAGACTACAAGGAATCTTCCTGTTCATTTTCCTGACTGTCTCCCCATATCCCCATTCTCCATATTGAGTTTTTCTGGAAAGAAGCAAGGGGTGTGTTTCATTTTTCTGTTCTGTGCCAAACCTCAACTAGGGAGAGGAAGTTCTGTAATCAGATTTTTCCCTTCTGGGCTCCTTTGTTAGGATGTTGCCCTGAAAGAATGTCTCGTTTCACTGGAGATCTCAGCCAGCCTCAGCATGAGCCCTGTTCCACTTGGGTTGTATTTACTTCCAAATGGTGTGAGACAAATGCACTTCTGTGTCCCCACTTCCCTGGGATGTCCTGCTGTACAACCTTCTGAATTAAAACTTAGGATCTGTGTGGCAGTGGGTGAGTAACTCAGGAGCTGGGTGGGGACACGGTGGTTGCAGTGTGGAGGAAGAGACTATTCTTGTGTGGTCCCAAACTGTGACCCAGGCATTAATATTCAACTAGCCTGGCTCCTCTGCCTTCTGATAAGATCAAATAACAGCAGCATGTGGTCAGAGACTCAAATGCCTACAAAGCCTGGGAAAGTGGAGCACCCCATTAGTTGAAAAACTGTACTCTCCAGTTAACCCTAGTCCCCACCACTCCCAATTGTCCCCAAGACAAAAATGACCACTGGTTTTGAAGAGCAGACTTCTTCGCTGGCCACACGTCTTAGTTTCCATTTTGGTTGTTGGATATTTGGGGATAGGGACTATGGTGAACTAGAAAGCTTGTGCCCCTCTAAGAGGACAGCTACTTCTCAACTCCAGGTAATTGTTGCCACATGAAAATATGGGCCCAATGTCACCAGATAATCTGTTTCTTAAAGAGAAGCCAGATAGCTGGATTTGTTTTTATTTTTACAATTTTTACATTTCTTGTAGAGACAGAATCTTGGTACATTGCCTAGGCTGGTCTTGAACTCCTGGGCTCAAGCGATTCTCCCACTTTGGCCTCCTAAAGTGCTGGGATTACAGGTGTGAGCCACTGGGCCCAGCCAGATATCTGGATTTGTATGAAAAATCTTCTAATTTTTAAACGTTGGGAACAAACACATGTTTTAAGGCTGGGTGCGGTGGCTTATGCCTGTAATCCTAGCACTTTGGGAGGCCGAGGCTGGCGGATCACCTGAGGTCAGGAGTTCGAGACTAGCCTGGCCAACATGGTGAAACACTGTCTTTACTAAAAATACAAAAATTAGGCTTGGTGGTGGGCACCTGTAATGCCAGCTACTTGGGAGGCTGAGGCAGGAGAATCGCTTAAACCCAGGAGACAGAGGTTGCGGTGAGCCCAGATTGTGCCACTGCACTCTAGCTTGGGCGACAGAGTGAGACTCCGTCTCAAAACAAACAAAAACCCCAAATACATGTTTTTAAACAAATTTGTGCTGGGCATGGTGGTGCACACCTATAATTCCAGCTACCCAGGAAAGAATTCAAGGGCAAGCCAGAGGTAGAAGAAAACAGCTTTATTGAAGAGGCAGTGTTATAGCTCCAACAGTGTTACTGCCCCATGACAGCTCCTGCAGAGCAGGGCTACCTCACAGGCAAAGAGCAGCAGCTCAGAGCAGTTTTGCAATAACATTTATACTCACCTTTAATAACATGCAGATTAAAGGGCGGTTTATGCAGAAAATTCTAGGGAAGAGGTAGTAACTTTTGGGTCATCGGGTCATTTCCATAGAAAGGGGTGGTAACTCCCAGGTGTTGCCACGGCACACCAGGGGGTGTGTCTGATTGGAAAGCTGCTTCCACCCAGGCCCTGTTTTTGCTAGTTCTCAGTCTGGTCCGGTGTCTGAGCCCCACCTCTGGAGTCAAGTCCTGCCTCCTACCTCACTATGACTGTACCACTGAACTCCAGCCTAGGCCACAGAGGGAGACCCAGTCTTTAAAAAAAAAAAAAACCATACACACACACATATATATATAGCATATGTCAAATGCAACTTGCGTGTGGGTTTTGCTTTGTTCAAAAGTTGTCAGCCGTCTGTTGGCCAGTGTGGGGTGGGTCATCTGAAAGCAGCCACTTCTTTAGATGGCAGTACATGAGCAAGTGGGTGTAAATGGAGAAAAATAGAAGCCCAAAGAACAGCTGCAGGGAAGCTGCACAGGCTGGTCCAGGGAAGTAAGCCTTGGTCCAGAGAGGCCTGGATTTGTACTCCAGCTCTTCCTTGCACGAGGGTGTGAAGGGCCTGATCACTCCACTTCACCCAGCCCCAGCTTCCCACTATGTGATATAAGATGAGTGGCATTTGTTTCACGGAGCACATCAGGGTGCCCAGCGCAGGGCTCAGGAGCTGTTACTCCAGCAGGCCTCACCTTTAACAAGCTCTAATGAAACTTTTTTGCTGTTTTTTTTTTTTCTTTCGTGACAAAGTTTCGCTCTTCTTGCCCAGGTTGGAGTGCACTGGGGCGATCTCAGCTCACCGCAACCTCCACCTCCCAGGTTCAAGAGATTCTCCTGCCTCAGCCTCCCTAGTAGCTGGGATTACAGGCATGTGCCACCACGCCCGGCTAATTTTGTATTTTTTAGTAGAGACAGGGTTTCTCCATATTGGTCAGGCTGGTCTCGAACTCCCGACCTCAGGTGATCCACCCGCCTCAGCCTCCCAAAGTGCTGGGATTACAGGCGTGAGCCGCTCTGCCCCGCCATTTTGCTGGTTTTTAAATAGCTCCATGTCCCCAGTCCCCAGCTGGGACTCAGCTTTCTCCCTTGACCCCTAGGCATTCCTGGGGTTCTGACCCACCTCTCTCTGCTATCTCTCTTGAATTCCTTCTCACCTCTATTTTTCCTTGCTGCTCGCTCCTGTCATAGTCATTACCTCTACCTGGATGTGGTCATTGTTTCCACACCACCAGTGCTGCTTCCCCTCAAAGCGCTTCACATGTGTCTCCAGTCCCACCTTCCTGAAGTGCAGCTCTGCTTGTGGCAGTGTTCAGACCCCTCCAGCCTATTGGTTGAGCTTCCCTAGCCCTGCTGTTACGAGCTTCCGCTTGACCAGCCTCCATCCCTTTCTCCATTTTCTCCCTTGCCAACCTCTCCCTACCCAGCTGCTGTTACTCTCTGCCTTACTCCCCTCACCTAGCGTACCCCAGCCCTTCAGCTTTCTGTCACTTCCTCCAATTTGCCATTGTCTTTCTACAGTCTGTGCAATTGTTCCTCCTGATACTTGGCACGGTGATGTCTCCTGTGTTCCCCCAGCTAACCTTCATTTGTGTCTTGGGGGGTCTGTCTCAGATAAACTTCTTTCTTACCTGCTCTCATTACACCCTAAACTCCTTCGCTCTTATCCCTAGAATTATTTGTGTATAAACTTGTCCATCTCTGTCTTCCCTATTAGACCAAAGTTCTGGAGAGGCAGTGCCATGTCTGGTTGTTCTGTGCATCTCACATTTATGGAATGAATATAGACTCTCCTTCCACCTCTTTATATACCTCTTCCTGGAGAGAAATGGAACTGCCTGCTATTCCCTGCACACACCTCAGAGTCCTTGAATGCATGAATTCTGCCATTGTCTGCCTAGGTTTAAAGCCTCCCTCTACCCATTCCTGGCTGTACTGCATTGGATGGGTCACTTTACCTCTCTGGGTCTTAATTTCTTCAGCTGTAAAATGGGACTGATAAGAGTGCCTGTCTCATAGAATGCCTGTCCTGCCTCATGGTGGCTGTGTAATGCTGGGCCACTGAACCTCCCTGAGCTTGGTTTTCTTGTCAGTGCGATGTGGATGTTGATGATGATACTATATCATCCCCATTGTGTTGGGGATTAAAGAAGTACAGAAACGCACCGGAAGTGCATGGCCCGATGCCTGGTGCAGAGCGTAGGCTTGTTAAGTGCTTATTGCTGTTATGATTGTTATTAGTCTAGTAGTGGCTCTGGCACAAATCAGAGAGACCTGTGTTTGTGGTTATGCTTTAGGGCCATCTGTGGGGAGGTGTGTTAGATCCTCCTGGGTGCATCCTGTGCTGACCTTTACATTGCTTAGTGGTGAGGGAAGAGAAGAGACTGATTAAACAGAAAGACCCCACCCCCTCTCCAGTCTAATCCTTCTTTTGCTTGGCTCAAGTACTTCATTATTGGGTCTGTTTTTTGTTTTTTTGTAGTTTATTTATCTATTTGTTTTATTTTTTTGCCTAGGAAATAAAGAATTAGCAAGATAATCTGTTTTGTGTGACTGGTGCAGCCTCCGGTTATATATCGCTTCCTCAGGGAAGCCTTCCCTGACCACCTCAACTGAGGGTATATCCCCAGTCACTCTCCATCTCAACACCCACTTTATTTCTTTCATAGGATTTTTCCTAATTGATGACTTTATGGTCTATCCTGTCTCCTAGACTGTAAGTTCCATGAGGTCATAGACTTTGCACTGCTCGCTGGGAGGAAAACTGGAAGGGAAGGAAGGAAAGAAAACCTTTTAGGGGTCCTTGAATATGCTTTAAAAGTCTAAGATTTTAATCTGCTGTTGACTCTGACTTGGGAATTGAAACTATTAAGAGACACAGGGGCCGGGCTTGGTGGCACATGCCTGTCATCCCAGCACTTTGGGAGGCCGAGGCAGGTGGATTGCTTGAGCTCAGGAGGTCGAGATGAGCCTGCACAACCTAGCGAGACCTCATCTCTACAAAAAAAAAAAAAAAAAAAAAAAATTAGCCAGGCGTGGTGGTGTGTATCTGTAGTCCCAGCTATTTAGGAGACTAATGAGAGATGGGAGGATCGCTTGAACCCGGGAGGTAGAGGTTGCAGTGAGTTGAGATTGTGCCACTGCACTCAATCTGGGTCACAGAGCCACACCCTGTCTCAGAAAAAAAAAAAAAGAAGAAGAAGAAGAAAAAGAAACAGAGGAAGGCAGCTCTATTGGTGTCACTGTAGTTTAACTCAGTTGCTGGTGGATTCTTTTAATTTCACACAGATGTTTCTTCTGAGTGTAGCTTGTTAATCTCTAGGGAAGATGCCAAGCCTTCTCACCCCATTCCAGCTGAGGAGGCTATTCTCCTTGGTCAGCTGGTGCCCACGCGAAGCCTCCTGGCCCAGCTGCACCCAGATCCTCTCTGATCATAGGGTTGGAATAGAACAGGTAGTACAAATAATAGCAGCTAACTCTCATCTGTAGAACTTTTCCTGTGTGCTTGGTGCTTTACACAGATTATTTCATTGAATTCCCACAGTAACTCAATGAGGTAAGTACTCTTATCTGATGGAAGAGCAAGGTGAGGCTTGAGGAGCATAAGTTATTAGCCTAAAACAATAAAACTTGTAAAGATCAGGGCCAATGTTGGAACCATGTCATCTGTTTTAAAAGCTACTGCTGTGCTGCCGAGCTGCTGAAGACTTTCGATCATTGAATTTTGGCTTTGGGATGTGTTGTGGGCAGGCAGAGGAGGAGCAGGGGAAGGAAATGTTGCAGATTTATTTTCCTAATTTTGCTTGGCTTCAGCTAATATTAAAATTATTTTGAGCACTCCACTGACAAAGGCGGAAGAGAGAATCCAATTTGATATTAAATATTTGCAATGGAAAATTTGCAGAGTCTTTTTGAATAGAAGATATTTCCGAGTAATTCCCATGGGACTAATTCGGCCAGTTGTTCCCTTCTGCAGCATGCTTCCTGTGGTTGCTTCACTGTTCTCAGAAATGGACATTCCTGACTTTGAAGTCCTGGGGTTATGCTGGGCTAGATGCTGAACTGTGCCTTGGTTTCCCTGGCAATGTATGAATAAAGGGGAGAGGGTTACGAACTGCACTTGTCTGAGTTATAATTCTGTGATCTATGACAATTGCATTAAACCAGGCGTCTTTAGCCGGGTGTGGGCTTTATCATAATAGTAATATTCATAGTAGCTGATGCTGACTGAGCGTTTGCTTGTGTGCTACATAGGACACTGAGACCTTTATATGCCCCCACTGTTTTCATCCTAACAATGACTTTGTTGTGAAGGTCCCATTAACCCTATTTTATAGACTAAGAAACTGGGGATCAGAGAGGTTAAGTTCTGAGCCCAGTTGGCAAGTGTCAGCTGGGACAAGAAGCCAGGATTGTTTGACTCAAAAATCCCATGCCCTAAACTAGTGTGCTGTGTGCCAGAACCATCTTTGAAGGTGTTTTTATTTTATTTTTTCCCCTGAGATGGAGTCTCGCTCTGTCGCCCAGGCTGGAGTGCAGTGGCACAGTCTCGGCTCACTGCAACCTCCACCTCCCAGGTTCAAATAATTCTCCTGCCTCAGCTTCCTGAGTAGCTGGGACCATAGGTGCGTGCCACCATGCCAGGCTAATTTTTGTATTTTTAGTAGAGATGGGGTTTCACCATGTTAGCCAGGCCGGTCTTGAACTCTTGACCTCAGGTGATTCGCCCATCTCAGCCTCCCAAAGTGCTGGAATTACAAGCATGACCCACTGTGCCCAGCCCATCTTTGAAGCCTTAACTGCTTGATGGAAGAGCTGATCCCTTCCAGACCAGTTGCCATGGTGAGCTAGAATTCCTGGCACAGAGTGTGGATATCCTCCTTGTTGGACTTGGTTGCCCTGTCACCTACTGCATTACCACAGATGATTTCCATCTGGCATATAGCCAGACAGATAAGGGAAGAGGGTCTTTCCTCACTGTAAGTTTCAAGGCCCATGCTGTAAGGCCATCAGATGAAGACATCCTTGAGCCTCTGAAGCAGCACTGTCCATTTCCTCATTGCAGTCATGTAGTTTGAATCAATGACAGTTCTACCAAAGTCTAGTTTCTCACTAGGTGAACATCTGGAATGTAAACTCCAGGAGGATGGAGACCTTGCAAATTGTGTTCACAGCTGCATTTCCAGTGCTCAGAGTAGCACCTAGCATGTCACAGGCTCAGCACACATTTGTTGAATCTTTAATCCTGACGGGTCTGCCGCTAGCACTACCAGTTTGTCTTCCTCTGAGCTGGACCATCTCATGCTGTTCTTTGTGCATATAATGCTGTTCCCTCTGTGCAACATGCTGTTCCCTACCCTGCCTGCTTAGTACCCTCTCCCCTTCAGGTCTCAGCCTAAATGTCACCTCTTTAGATGGGCTTTCCTGATCTCCATATAGGCTGTCCCCTATGTCCAAATAGCGTGTCTGTGTTAAATGGTCTCATAACACACTGTACTTTTCCTTCAAGGCATGTGTCTCAATTTATAATTATACTTACGTGAATAGAACTGTTTTACATGTGACCTCTCCTTAAACTTTTAGTTCCATGAGGGCAGAGATCCTATTTTGCTCACTCTTATCCTCCTAGGGCTTAGTAGATGCTCACTAAACATTTGTGAGCAAATGAGTTCTCCACTTTCCCCACCAACACCAACATCCCCCAGAGTGATAGATTCTAATGCATTTAGTATTTACAACTGGATGAAGCCTTTTCTCCCCATCTCTGACCCTCACAACCACTTCCTTGGCACTAATCAGACTCCCTGCTTCACAGACGGAAGGGATTTATTTTCCCTTTGGATCTGCCATAACTCAGGTTCAGGGAAGGCTGTGATCTGCCCTCACTGCAGCTACCTAGCCCCAGGCCCAGGGAGCCAGGGCTGCTGTTTTTAGAGCACCTGAGTAACTTCAAGTTCTCGAGAGTCATCTATAAAAAGTCTTAGTCTTCAACCCTTTATTCTGTGGATAAGGTGAAAAGAGTGGTGCCTCTGCAGACTGCCTCCCTCCTTAGCACACACTCTGCCTTTTGTTCCTTCTCCCTGCTTATGATGTCTTGTTAGCACTGAAATGAATGGATCTTTCACCAGGGAAAATGGGGGAGGTTGGAAACATCAAAACCGGTAATGCTTTTTATCAGGTAGGAGCCAGAGGAGGAGGGAGGCGTGTGAGCAAAGCGTGTCTCAGGCTGTGAACTGTCGCTGGGCGCTGGCACCCTTGGCCTTTTAGAGTCGCCACTCTGTAGGATAAGACAGACGTGCAGAGAGGCCAGAGGTTTCTGCGTGGCTCCCTCTGGTCTCGCTCCTTGCTTCTTTCCCCTTTCTCCTTCTTGACATATGCAGCTCAGACTCCTCCTCACTTGGCCCTTCCTCGTCAGTATTGGCTTTCAGCTCTCCTGGCCCGACATCCTGTGGACGCTGCAGTTCAGACAAATAGCAAGATCATCAAAGAGAGGCGCATGAATGAAAAACTGCTTTATGACATGCCTTCAAAGTGTCTTTTTAGAAGTTCAAAGGATGTGGAGAGGAGGCAGGGGAATCAAAGAAGATGGGGGAGAGCAATGAACTCTCCAAGGAATCATTAGGTTTTTCATTGTATATTTTCTATGACGCTTGTGATGTAAAAATCAAAAGTATTCCCAGCCCTGAAGGGTTCTCAGTGAATAGATCTGATGCAAAGAAGGAAACAACACACCTTGCTGTGGAAGGCTCTACCCTGGCATTCTGAGTCCCCCATTTTGTATCTGCAGTTCCTGTTTGGACCTCATTCGAATACTTTGATCAGGGAAGACTGTCCAGAGATGGAGATTGAATGCTGTTTATGTGGTTCGATGCAAATGAATAATTTAGTCTGTGCAGATATTCCCCATTACCTCTTCCATTTAAAGACGAGCTAGGGTCCGGCTGTAGCGACGGATATGCAGAGCTTAGAAAAGATCTGGCATAGATCATACAATTCAGATACTTTTTTTTTTTTTTTTTTTGAGATGGAGTCTCACTCTGTCACCCGGGCTGGAGTGCAGTGCTGTGATCTTGGCTCACTGCAATCTCTGCCTCCCGGGTTCAAGTGATTCTCTCCTGCCTCAGCCTCCTGAGTAGCTGGGATTGCAGGTGTGCGCCACCACGCCCAGCTAATTTTTGTATTTTTGGTAGAGACAGGGTTTCACCATGTTGGCCAGGCTGGTCTTGAACTCCTGACCTCAGGTGATCAACCCGCCTCAGCCTCCCACAGTGCTGGGATCACAGGCATGAGCCACCACACCCAGCCTGATCCCAGAGACTTCTTTTCTGACACACAGGAGAACCAAGATTTGGCTTGTGGCTGGAGTTGGTCCTGATTGATATGCTGGTGGGAATATCATTGATATTTTCATGCAGGAATGCCTTATGCCCAATCCACCCAGAAGGTTTTGGCAGCTAACACAGTGCCTGGCACATAGAGGGTGCTTGAATGAAATGAATGAATGACCAAACAAATGAACAACTTCGTTTTTGTAACCCTAGAGTAGACTCTTTCTTGGGGATTCTCCTTGGGCCAGTCAGGCCCAGAATACAAGGATATGAGATGAGATCTGAATGACTGCATTAGTTAAATCTGCAAGGGATTTCAAGGCAAGGGACGTATACACCAACTCAAACTGGGTTGAGGCTGAAGGAATTTTGCTGGAATACTATTATTGAAAATGCCAACCTAGTATTTGATAGCATGCTAGGGTGACCATAGTCAATAATAATTTAATGGCATAATTCATTTGAAAATAACTAAAATTATACAATTGGATTGTTTGTAACAAAGGAAAATGCTTGAGGAGGTGGATACCCCATTTTCCATGATGTGATTATTGCACATTGCATGCCTGTATCAAAACATCACATGTACTCCATAAGTATATACACTTACTATGTACCCACAAAAATTTTTTGAAAAAGAAAACTCCAGGGGTAGACTTGACCTCTGCCTCGGCTGGTTTAAGGGGCTCCAGTGATTCCTGAGGGCTCTGTCTTACTCTCTGCATCTCTCCACTCTGCTTCTCTGTGCTTTAGCTCTCTGTTTTCAGGTAGACTCTCCTCTGGGGGTGCCAAGGCAAAGGAAGTATTTGATGGTTAAGAACACAGCCGGCTGGGCACAGTGGCTCACGCCTATAATCCCAGCACTTTGGGAGGCCGAGGTGGGCAGATCACAAGGTCAGGAGATTGAGACCATGCTGGCTAACATGGTGAAACCCCGTCTCTACTAAAAATACAAAAAAATTAACCGGGCGTGGTGGCAGGCGCCTGTAGTCCCAGCTACTCAGGAGGCTGAGGCAGGAGAATAGCGTGAACCCGGGAGGTGGAGCTTGCAGTGAGCCGAGATCACGCCACTGCACTCCAGCCTGGGCGACAGAGCGAGTCTCTGTCTCAAAAAAAAAAAAAAAAAAAAAAAAAGAACACAGCCTCTGGAGTCCAAAACAGCCTCAGTTTAAATTCCCAGTCTGTCACTTGCTAGCTGTACAAACTTAAGTCAACATTTCTGTGTCTCACTGTCCTGGTATGTACCTTAGAAATGATGATAGTCATAGCTAAATTTTATTGAGCATTTGCTGGGTGCCTGATGGTCTTCCAAGTGCTTTACATATAAGACCTTACTAACCTTCACAACAACCCATGGAGTAGGTACTATTATTAGCCCCATTTCATAGATGAAGTAAACTGAGGCACAAAATGTTTAAATATTGCCTGTTACACAGCTAGTACCTATGGAGCGAGAGTTTAAACCCAGGCAATCTGATTCCAGAGCCAGTACTATTGACCTCCAAACTATGCCACCTCATGTAATAGAACTTACAACTTTTGGAGTTGATGTGGGAATTAAATGAGATAATGTTGATATATATAAAGACACTTGAGGCAGTTCTTAGCACATGAGGTGTATTCAAACTCATCAAGAGAAAAAAAGCTGCCAGTAACTTCTGACCTATATTCTGTGCTCTCAGTAACATGAGCAGAGAAAAGCAATTCTTCCTAAGAGATCCTCAGAATTCTCGGAACTGGGTCTTGTTGACTCTCTTTGGGTCCCATATCTGTTGCTGAACCAGTCATTACGGCTAACAGATGTCAGTGTTCCACTGAGCCAGGCTGGTTCATGGGCCCACCCTGAAGCTGAGGGTAGTGTTGGCACCACCTGAGCCACCTCAACTAAAAAGTGAAGGAGGGTTGTTTCTTTGGAGCAAAAAAAAAAAAAAAAAAAAAAAAAAAAGGTAGCATTACTAGAGGTAGAGAAACAAGAAGTCCTCTATATCATGCATTGACACTAGCAAAAGAGGCTGTCTGGATTTCTTGGGGAAAAGACACATTGTAGCTGATGAACTGAACAGAGAGGGTGGCCAGAGGCCCTTCCACTAAGTCCTGTTGAATCCTCCAGCATAGAGTAGGGAGGAAAGAGGGTTGGAGGGGTTTGGCAAGAATCACCATCTTTTTATTTATTTTTATTTTTTTAAATTTTAAGTTCCAGGATACTTGTGCAGGACATGCAGATTTGTTATATAGGTAAATGTGTGCCATGGTAGTTTGCTGCACCTATCAACCCATCACTTAGGTATTTAGCCCCCCATGCATTACCTATTTATCCTGATACTGCCCCCTCTGCCCCTGCTCCCACCACAGGCCCCAGGGTGTGTTTTTTCCCTCCCTGTGTCCGTGTGTTCTCATTGTTCAGCTCCCACTTATAAGTGAGAACATGTGGAAGAAGCACCATCTTTAAGGCTCAACCTGCTATGTCACTAGGGGCAGCATTCAGAGAGGTCGTCAGGAAGTCCATGGTCAGTTCATTGAATCTGCAGGAGGGTAAATAGGACATAATTACCCAAATGGCATGTGGGCAGGCCCCAGGCCATCCTGCAAGAAGTGCTGGGTAAGCATCTGCAACCACTAATGATGCCCCTCAAGGCCCTGGTGCTGCTCAGAGGTGGCGCCGCCAGCCCTGAAGCCCCTATTCCCATGCTCCTGGGTGAGTCAGGCTGTGTTGAAGGAGGGCCCCACCTGATTCACCAGTCCCACTTCCTTTACTTCCTGGTGGTCCCCACCCACACAGCCACCACACCCAGAGCAGCACTGACCAGTAGGACCAAAATTAGCTTCTGAGGCATAATGGGAAAACTTGGTCCAAGATCGGGTGGGCGATGGGTAAATTACAAAGGGACCCCGGGTTAAAGATATCAGCTCACCAGTTTCCACTTAAATCCCTACCACCTTCCACTTACTGGGGCCATTTGTTGCTGGAGTAGGCATAAGGAGACATTTCCTTTCGTGCCAAGTTTAAGCAGCTAACTCCTGTCAAGCATCTAAGGGTTAGTTCAGAAATGAGAGTGTACAATGGCACCAGCACCATAAAAATAACTGGATGGTTGTATTAATCTGTTCTTGGATTGCTATAAAGAACTACCCGAGACTTAATTTATAAAGAAAACTACCTGAGACTTAATTTATAAAGAAAACTACCTGAGACTTAATTTATAAAGAAAAGAAGTTTAATTGCCTTACGGTTCCACAGGCTCTATAGGAAGCATGGCTAGGGAGGCCTCAGGAAACTTACAGTCATGGTGGAAGGCAAAGGGGAAGCAGGCATGTCTGTCCTACATGGCTGGTGCAGGAGGAAGACAAGGGAGAGGTGCTACACATTTTTAAACAACCAAATCTCATGAGAACTCACTATCACAAGAACAAGGGAAAAATCCACCCCCGTGATCCAGTCACTTCCTACCAGGCCCCTCCTCCAACACTGGGGATTACAATTTGACCTGAGATTTGGGTGGAGACACAAATCCAAACCATATCAATAGTAGAGACTCAGCTGCTGTTTCACAACTACTTGTTTACTAGTGTGTGTGTTGGGAGTGAGGGTTCTAGTCGTTCCGGATATTATTTCTCAGGCTCATTTTTCTAAAGATGACTTCTACTTTACCCTGCCTTATCACATTCCATTCACTGATGACCTTGCTTAGTAATCAGTAAAAAATGAGACCAGCAACATCACAGCTTTCTCTCTCTCAGTTCTTCACTGAGACCCCAGAACCAACTCCTCCTGCAAACTCTGGGAACTTCATCCACAATATTTCCTTCTCTCTCCCTCCTGTTTCATCAGTCTGTGTTTTCTAACTCCTTCCTCTAAATCTATACTAAAATGACCCATCCTAAAAATAATCACCTTCCCACAACTTTCCACTCTCCTTGTAACTATCCGTACCCTTCCTCTCTACCAAATGTCTTTTTTTGTTGTTGTTTTAAGCGAAAGCATGTTTATTAGGAAAGCAAAGAAATAAAGAATGGCTACTCCATATGCAGAGCAGCAACTTGGGCTGCTGGACTAATGGTGCTTATAATTATTTCTTGATTTTTATGCTAAAAAAGGGTGGATTATTCATGAGTTTTCTGGGAAAGGGGTTGGGCAATTCCTGGAACTGAGGGTTCTTCCCCTTTTAAAACCATATAGGGTAACTTCCTGACATTGCTATGGCGTTTGTAAACTGTCATGGCTCTAGTGGGAGTGTCTCTTAGCATGCTAATACATTATAATTAGCATATAATGAGCAGTGAGGACGACCAGAGGTCACTGTTTTTGCCTCCTTGGTTTTGGTGCCCGCCACCAAATATCTTGAAAGATGTTTGCCTGCTATCTCCACTGCTCAACTCCAGTTACAGTCTGGTTTCTGCTTCTACCATGGCACTGAAATTGCCCTGCCAGGCTTATAGCAAGCAACTCTGAACTCTCCAGATGTTTTGAGAGTTTCATCCCTATCAGTGAAAACAAATTGAGTATGTGCCTCAACATATGAATATTTATTTATAAATTATATACATATGCTAATGTATAGATATTGTGTCTACTATGAAATATAAACCAAAATAAATACTTTAAGAGATGATTTAATTATAGAAGTTTGAATATTTTCCCTAGTGGATTGTCTTCTGCCTGCCTCTTTGGTCTACTTACCGATTTCAGTATATTTATTTTTTTGTCAGCTTTATTGAGACATAATTTAATGTGGTAAAATCAATTTTAAGTATACAGTTCAACGAGTTTAGACAAATGTATAAAGTCTTATAACCACTACCCCAATCATAATATAGAACATTCCAACACCTCCAAAAGATCCCTCTTTTATTTTCAGTGAATTCCTTACCTCTTCCCCGACCCCTAGCAACCAGCAACCTGCTTTTTAATCACTATAATTTGCATTTTCTAGAATTTCATATAAATTAAATCACACAGTAAGTAGTTTTTTTGTATCTGGCATCTTTCACTTACCATGATGCTTTTGAGATTCATTCACGCTGCTGCATGTGTGGGTAGTTTTTTCATTTTTATGGCTCAGTAATTATCTGTTGTATGAAGATGCTATAATATGTTTACTCATTTACCTGTTGAAGGACAGGAATTTATGACTAAAGCTGCTATGAGCATTGACATATAAATATTTGTGTAGATATGCGTTTTTATTTCTCTTAGGTAAATACCTAGGAGTGGGATTTCTAAGTCATATGGTAAGTATATGTTTAACTTTATCAGAAACTGCCAAACTGTTTTGTAAAGTGCCTGAAAAATTGCATCCTCATCTGCATCTATGAAAGTTCCATTTCCTCCCATATCCTCACCAACACTTAATATTGCCAGTCTTTTACATTTTAGCCATTGAGGGGGATATGTAGTGCTATATACAAAGCTGATTACTGCAGCCTTATAAGAATTTTTGAAATAATCCTTTAATTTTTTTTAAAAATCAAAATTGTTTAGACCTCTCTCCTTTTTTTTTTTTTTTTGAGACAGAGTCTCACTCTAACACCTGGGCTGGAGTACAGTGGTATGATGTTGGCTCACTGCAACCTCTACCTCCCAGGTTCAAGTGATTCTCTTGCCTCAGCCTCCCGAGTAGCTAGGCACACACCACCACAACAAGCTAATTTTTGCGTTTTTAGTAGAGACGGGGTTTCCCCAGGTTGGCCAGGCTGGTCTCGAACTCCTGAACTCAAGTGATCCACCAGCCTCGGCCTCCCAAAGTGCTGGGATTACAGCCATGAGCCGCTGCACCCAGCCCCCTACTTTTTAATATAAATATCTAAATCTGCCATCTTGCTACTTGTTTTCTATTTGTCCCATCTGTGTTTTGTTGTTCCTTTTTTCTTTTTCTGCATTCTTTTAGATTAAGTGCTTTAATATTATTTCTTAGCAACTTTATTGAGGAATAATTTACATACCATAAAATTCTTCCATCTTAAATATACAATTTGGCCAGGTGCCGTGGCTCACACTTGTAATCCCAGCACTTTGGGAAGCTGAAGTGGGAGGATTGCTTGAGGCCAGGAGTTCAAGGCCAGCCTGGGCAACATAGTGAGACCCCTGTCTCTACAAAAAAAAAATTTTTTTAATTAGCCAGGCATGGTGATGTGTGCCTGTGGTCCTAGCTACTTGGGAGGCTGAGGTGGGAGGATCGCCTGAGCCCAGGAGGTTGAGGCTGCAGTGAGCCAAGATTGTACCACTGCACTGCAGCCTGGGAAACAGAGCGAGACCCTGTCTCTAAAATATATATATACATACACACACATTTTTTTTTCTGAAAAAACTTTTTTCACCCCTTGTTTAGCATATAATCAATAAATATAACTATCCTTAGTCCAGTAGCCCAAGTTGCTGCTCTGCATATGAAGTAGCCATTTTTTATTCCTTTGCTTTCCTGATAAACTGGCTTTCACTTAAAAATTAAAAAAAAAAAGACATTTGGTGGAGAAGAAGGGTATGGATAGCTACAGGGAGAGTGGAAAGTTGAGGGAAGGTGATTATTTTTAGGATGGGTCATTTTAGTATAGGTTTAGAGGAAGGAGTGAGAAAACACAGACTGATGAAACAGGAGGGAGAGAGAAGGAAATATTGTGGATGAAGTTCCCAGAGTTTGCAGGAGGAGTTGGTTCTGGGGTCTCAGTGAAGATTTAAAAAGTAGTGGCAAAAACCACGATTACTTTTGCACCAACCAAATATATAAATCATTATATATTTATAATGTGTGTATAAATGCAGATGTGCTGTTCATTATATATTTATAATGATTTATATATAAATAATTAAATTACACACTTCATGATTTTTAGTAAATTTACAAAATTGTGCGACGATCACAATCATCCAGTTTTAGAATATTTCTGTCACCCCAAAAAGATCCCTCATGCCCATTTGTAGTCAATATGATTATATTTTATCTCCTTTATTGGTTTAATTAGCTATACCTCGTTTTTTGTTTTAGAGGTTCTTTTGAGGTTTACAGTGTACATCCTGAACTTGGTGTAGTCTGTCTTCAAGTAATATGTCATTTAACGTTTGTCATAAGAACCTTGCAACAGTATATTTCCACCTCTTCTCCTTCCTAGCCTTTGTGCTCTTCTTGCCACTCATTTTATTTTTATTTCTACATGTGCTATAAACCCCTCAAAACATTGTTGCTATTTTCCCTTTGAACAGTCAAATCTCAAGGTTTGTTTTTGTTTTGTTTTGTTTTTTGAGACGGAGTCTCGCTATGTCACCAGGCTGGAGTGCAGTGGCGCAATCTCGGCTCACTGCAACCTGTGCCTCCCAGGTTCAAACGATTCTCCTTTCTCAGCCTTCTGAATAGCTGGGACTACAGGCACATGCCACCACACCTGGCTAATTTTTGTATTTTTAGTAGAGATGGGGTTTCACCATGTTGGTCAGGATGGTCTTGATCTCTTGACCTCATGATCCTCCCACCTTGGCCTCCTAAAGTGCTGGGATTACAGGCCACCACCCAAGATTTTTAAAAGGGAGAAGAAAAGATATTTTATATTTGCCGACCTATTTTTCATTTCTAGCACTCTTCATTCCTTTGTGTAGATCCAGATTTCCATTTGGTATCATAGCCTTCTGCCTGAAAGACTTCCTTTAACATTTCTAATAGTGGTGGTCTGTTGGTGATGAATTCTTCCTATGTTTAAAATGTCTTATTTCACTTCTGGTTTTAAAAAATACTTTTGCTGGGTCTAGGTTAACCTTTTTTTTTTTTTTTTTCCTTTCAGTACTTTAAAGATACCACTGTCTTCTGAGTTGTATTGGTTATGACAAGGAGTCTACTGTCAATCTTTATTTCTCTTTGTTTTTTTTTCTACTTTAAAAATTTTCTCTTTATCAATAGTTATAAGCAATGTGATTATCATATGCCTTGGTGTAGTCTTCTTTATGTTTCTTCTGTTTGAGATTTGTTAAGCTTATTGCACCTGTGGGTTTCTAGTTTTCCTTAAATTTGGAAGAATTTTGGCTATTACTTCTTCAGATATATTTCTTGCCCCTTATTCCTGTCCTGTTTCTCATGCTCCAATTATATTAGCCTGCTTGACGTTGTCCCACAGCTCACAGATGTGCTGTTCATTTTTTTTAGTTTTTTTTTTCTGTCAGTGTTTTTACTGACAGATGATTTCAATTCATTAACCTTTTTTTTTCTGCAGTATCTAATGTCTTAATCTCATCCAGTTTATTTTACATCTCAGACATTCTATTTTTCATCTCTGGAAGTTTGATTCATAACCTTTTTTTGCCTTCCATGTCTCTCCTTAACACGCTCATGCTTTCCTTTAATTTTCTTGAACGTACATAATTAGAATGCTGTTTTAATGTTTTCATATACTAATTGTGTCATCTGTGGCATCTCGGGGTCTATTCCTCAATAGGGGGTATGTTTTCCTACTTTTTGCATGCCTGTCAACTTTTGATTGGATGCTAAATATTGTGAAGTCTACATTGTGGAGTGCTGGGGTGCTTTGCATTTCCATAAACATTGTTGGACTTTGTTCTGGGATGCAGCGGGATACAGCTGTGTTGCTTGGAATTAATCTGATCTTTGAGTCTAGCTTTTCAGCTTTGTGAGGGTGAGTCTAGAACAGAACTTAGTCCAAGTCTGGAGCTGACAAACTATGGCCCACAGACAAGCTGCCAGTATTGGTAAATAAGATTTTATTGGAACACAGCTGCACCCATTTGTTTGCCTATTGTCTAGGGCTGCTTTTATACTTCAGCAGCAGAATTGGGTTGCTGCAGCAGCAGTGGCTGTTATGAACCATAAGCCTAAAAAAATTTGTATCTGGTCCTTTAAGAAAAAGGTTGCCTGGCCGAGCTTGGTGGCCCATGCCTGTAATCCCAGCACTTTGGGAGGCCAAGGCAGGTGGATCACTTGGGGTCAGGAGTTTGAGACCAGCCTTACCAACATGCAAAACCCTGTCTCTACTGAAAACACAAAAATTAGCCAGGCATGGTGGTGCGTACCTGTAAACCCAGCTGCTCTGGAGGCTGAGGCAGGAGAATCGCATGAACCTGGGAGGTGGAGGTTGCAGTGAGCCAAGATCCTGCCACTGCACTCCAACCTGGGGGACAGAGCGAGACTCCATCTCAAAAAAGAAAAAGGGTTACCAATTTCTCATCTAAGGTAACTTGGGCTCAATATTGAAGAAGTGTTCTCCTGAGGACTCTACTTGATGCTCCGTGTATTAGAAGGTCTTTCCCCTTTGATTGGTTGGAACATGAACTACTCTTGGCCATGTCTTAGCTTTGGGGATTATTCCACCTACTTTATTCCTCCCTGCACTATGGCCTGGAAACTCTATCCAGACAGTGAGCTGGGGCGCTCTCAGGGCTCACCTAATTTGTTTTCTTTTCTCAGGGGATCATTTGTCTTGTGCTTTGTCTAAAAACTTGTCCAATGTCTAAAAACTGTTGTTTCATAAATTGCGTGTGCTTTTCTAGTTATTTAAGGTAGGAGAATAAATCACCCTCTGTTATTCCATTATGGCTGAAAGCTAACATTCCTCACCTTTTTTTTTTTTTTTTTTAACTTTTTGTCCTCTTCTGATTACAAAAGTGGTATGTGTTCCTAACCTACTGGCTTCTCTGCCACAGTGGATCTGATTGGCCACCCCAGCTTTTTGCAGTTACTCCACATTTTTTTTTGAGACAGAGTCTGGCTCTGTCACCCAAGGCTGGAGTGCAATGGCACAATCTTAGCTCAATGCAACCTTCGCCTCCCGGGTTCAAGCGATTCTCCTGCCTCAACCTCCCAAGTAGCTGCTACAGGTGCAGGCCACCATGCACCACTGATTTTTGTATTTTTTAGTAGAGACAGGGTTTCACCACATTGGCCAGGCTGGTCTCGAAATCCTGACCTCAGGTGATCTCCCCGCCTTGGCCTCCCAAAGTGCTCGGGTTACCGGTGTGAGCCACTGCGCCCGGCTACTTTTATGATATCTCTTCCATCTGCAATCTCTTTATTTTATCTGTTCTTTGTTGGTTTTGTCCTTTTTATCTGCCTTAAATATTAGGATATCAGGTAGTAATAATCCCAGTTTCTCACCATTCCTCCATTCTCCTATAGCTTCAACCTCCATGTGGATGGGGATCCCTAGGGATTTAAAGTATACTTTTCAGTTGTTCAGTCCTAAATTGAAATCTCGGTTGTACTATTTGTTATGACATGGGCAGACTCAGGTTTTCTGGAGTTGAGAATAATCTAACATTTTTGTGCTCTTAATACATACCTGGGCTGGGCACAGTGGCTCACACCTGTAATCCTAGCAATTTGGGGGGCCGAGGCGGGGGATCACCTGAGGTCAGGAGTTCGAGACCAGCCTGGCCAACATGGTGAAACCCCGTCTCTACTAAAAATATAAAAAATCAGTGGGGTGTGGTGGCAGATGCCTGTAATCCAAGCTACTCAGGAGGCTGAGGCAGGAGAAGCATTTGAACCCGGGAGGCAGAGGTTGCAGTGAGTCAGGATGGTGCCATTGCACTCCAGCTTGGGCAACAAGAGTGAAACTCTGTCTCAAAAACAAAAAACAAACAAAAAAAGCCATACCTGATGATGGGCTCTATACATCACACATATCTCTAATCCTCCACAGCAACTCTGTGAGGGAGGTACTTTTGTTGTTCCTAGTTTATAATGGAGAAAACTGAGATTCAAATAAGTTAGGTTACGTGGCTCAGGTGGACAAGCTAGAATTTGGACCCAGGATTTTCTGATGAGACCGGGCTGACCAGCTGTCCTTTCTCCCTAAGATCTTCTTGATCTGATCTTCTGTCTTGGCACTGAAAAGTCCTGCTTGCTGGGAAACCCCTCAGTCCTGGAAAAACTGGGGTAGTTCACCAGCGCAGTAAATTGCCCTGTTCTGCCGGGATCGCTTCCCTATATCCACTTCATACTTTGTACAATTTAAACTCTAAATGCATGTTGAGCAGTTTGTATGGTGCCTGACACACAGTAAACGCTTAAAAGTGCAAGCTGTTATTACTGTTCCTGTTTCTAACCCTTCTGAATATAAGTGGTGAACATTTGTTAGTCTTTCTGATGACCCAATATCTGAACATTATTCTATGTGTTGGGAATCTTGCACCTTATGGGACTGAACGCACTTCCCACTCCAGAGTAATCCTTCCCATACTGGCAGCGAGAATGCAGGCATGTGGCTCAGGCCCCACCTGTCAGAAGCCCGTGCTCTGATCCCGATTAGAATCGGGGCCCACACAGATCTCTCCTGGTGAGGATGACAGTGGCAGGATTCTGGAAGCAGAGCCCAAGCCAGGGCTGTGAGCTAGAGTCAGTTTCCAGCGGTATCAACAAGGGGCTCCTCACTGGCTGAGGTCCGGAATGAATTCGATGTTTGCTCCTGGCTGTAAAGGGGCCAACCTTGGTTCTCTGGCTGTTCTGGAAATTACAAGAATTGCCAGATATCCTCTAGTAATTTCCTCTTGTGCTTGAATTAGCCTGAGTTGCTTTCATTTCTCTACAACCAAGTGCACTGATGGATACATATACCATCTGGATATTGTGGGCACTTCAAACTTAATGCATCCCAAATAGAATTCATTGCCTTTCCTCAGAGACTGCCATCTCTCGTATTCTTGGTCACAAGCACAGGTCCTCAGCATTTGCTGGATTTGTGAAATTAAAAACTATAGTCACCTTCAACTCCTCCTTCCTAAACCTCCAGCTCTCAGCATTTATCAAGAAAGGGTCGACCCCTTCTGGGTTTCCCTCTCTGTCTTCTCTGCTGTTGCTTTCACCCAGGCCCTCTTGCCTTGAACGTGGCACAGCCTCGGATCTGGTCATCTTTTTGCCATTCTTCTGCAGAGATGAAGAGCAGGAAACAGAGAAGGTCCAGCGTCACTTGTGAGGGCCAAAGATGAGGACAAAATAGAAAAGAAAAGGAGGTGGATGAGGGTGGATTCAAACTGGAGAAATTAATGCTTGGGATGGAAGAGAAGAAAAATCTTTTTAAAGGGGAAAGAGTGAAAAATACAGCTGATCGGCTGGGCATGGTTGCTCATGCCTGTAATCCCAGCACTTTGGGAGGCCGAGGCGGGTAGATCACCTGAGATCATGAGTTCAAGACCAGCCTGGCCAACATGGTGAAACACCATGTCTACTAAAAATACAAACAAATTAGCCAGGGGTGGTGGCGGGTGCCTGTAATCCCAGCTACTCGGGAGGCTGAGGCAGGAGAATCGTTTGAATGTGGGAGGCAGAGCTTGCAGTGAGCCAAGATTGCACCACTGCACTCCAGTCTGGGCGACAGAGCCAGACTCCATCTCAAAAAAAAAAAAAAAAAAAAAACAAAAACAGCTGATCCTCTTTATTCACAGAGGCCATATTTGCACATTCACCTACTTGTTAACATTTACCTGTAACTCCAAAAATCCATATTTGTAGCGCTTTTGTGTTCATTTGTGGACATCATGGGACCAGAACAAAATTTGAGTCACTCAGTTCACATGGTCCCAGCTGAGTTGGAACAAGACACTCTGCCTTCACTTTTCAGCCCTCATACTGTGGTCAAGTGTCCTCTTAGTATTCTGCGTGTGCTGTGTTTTTCACGTTTTTGTGCTTTTTGTTAGCGATTTTGTTGTTCATTTTTTATTTTTATTTTCAAAATTTTTTGAGACAGGGTCTTGCTTTTTTGTCCAGGCTGATGTGAAATGCAGTGGTGTGATCGTAGCTCACTGTAACCTTGAATTCCTGGCCTCAACAATCCTCCTGCCTCAGCCTCCCACAGTGCTGGGACTACAGGTGCACACCACCACTCCTGGCCTTGATTTTGCTGTTTAAATGGCCCCCAGGCATTGTGCTGTCTAGTGTTCCCAAGCTCCAGAAGGCTGTGATGTGCCTTGCAAAGAAAATACATGTGTTAGATAAGCTTTGTTCAGGCTTGAGTTTTAGTGCTGCTGGCTGAGTTCAGTGTTAATGAATAAAAATATGTATTGAGTGAGTTGTCTTTAAACAGAAACATACATAAAGCACATCGATGTATTGATCAGTTGACAAAAAATGTTGATCCGTTTGGCTAGAGGCTTTAAGAAACCTCCTTCTGTATTTCCCTTGGGAGAAATGGTTTAATATTTGCCAATGCAGTGTTTGCAGTCACTTTATGGAACATAACTACTGCGAGTTATAAGAATTGACTGTGTACTGGTGCTCATATTCAGCCCTTTGATCCTTAATATGCTTGATTTGGAAAAGGGGAAGTGGTTCATTGCACCCTCAAGTTAACACTTCTGAGAAATGTATCAGTCAGAAGTCAAGCAGAGAAGCAACACCAGTAGGAGATACATGTTTTAATAAACGTATGACAAGGAATTGGCTTACATAATTGTGGGGCTTGGCTAAGTAAGCCTGAAACCCACAGGGCATACTATCAGGAAGGAAGAATCACATGGGCATTGCTGAAGCTTGTCCACAGGCAGCCAAATAGGGAAAATCCAGTGAAGGAAAAGCAATTGTGGATCCACCTGCTGTTGGAATCTCTTTTACCAGGAAAAGCTCAATCCCTTTTAATGGCTCACCTGATTGAGTTGGGCCCATCGAATATCATCTCCCTAGATTAGAGTCAACTGATTAGGGCCTTTAATCACATCTATAAAATCCCTTCACAGCAGCACCTAGGTTAGGGTTTGATTGAATAACTAGGAGAAGGTGTGTGTCACAAAAAGGTTGATGCCCATGTATTTAGCCACATAGACACATCTAAAGATCATTGCAATGATGTATCAAATGTAGATTTTAGGCTGGATGTGGTAGCTCACAACTGTAATCCCAGCACTTTGGGAGGCCAAGGTGTGAGGATTGCTTGAGCCCAGGAGTTCAGGACAATCCTAAGCAACATAGTGAAACCCTGTCTCTCTAAAAAATACAAAAATTAGTCAAGTGTGGTGGCATGTGCCTGTAGTCCCAGCTACTTGGAAGGCTGAGGTGGGAGGATGATCAAGCCTGGGAGGTTGAGGCTGCAGTGAGCTGTGATCATGCCACTGCACTCTAGCCTTGGCAACATAGCAAGACCCTGTCTCAAAAAACAATGTAGGTTTTAATGCAAGTTATTTTGTTTCTATAACTTGGAATGATGAGTTCTGCACAAGTAAAGTCACATGATTTCACTTGGCTGTCTTCTTATCAACTGAGGTTTCCTTACTTCTCCCTTCTTTCCTAGGACCAGGCACCATTCCGAGTTTCTTCTATAAACCAGGTACTCTGACCATCCTCATTTTACAAGTGGAGACACTGGAGCATTGGAAAGTTAACTATCTCTACTAAGTTATGAAGCCAGGATTTTAATCCAGGTAGTCTAGGGCCAGAGCCTGTGTTCTTAACCTTCATGCTATGCTGAGTCTCAATATGACATGAAGCAAGTCATTTCTATCAAGACCCTTTCATGTTTTAGGTAGGCAGGTCTGTATGAGAAGCACATGAGAACTCGTGCGGTTCTTGGTTGTCTGGTAGCACAGCGGGGCATATACTCTTGTTAAAGACATTAGTCTGTCTTTCAATACTGGAATCTTGGGCTCTACTCCAAGAACCCCAGTCTGTCTGACCCTTTTCTTAGACCATATACCACCTAAAGTCCCTTGAATTATTTAAAACTTGAAGTCATACAGATTCCCCACTTGCCCCACACTCATGCCTTCTTCCACAAAGTCACACAGATTTGTGTTCTGAGGCTTTAATTAACTCTCCTGACCAGGTTAGACCTTCCCAAAGAACTTTATTATTTGGTTCTGCTCCATCCCCCATTAATTTATTCATGCATTCATGTATTCACGTATGCAAGCAACCCAATGTTTGAGCATTTACTATGTGCCAGGTACATGCTAGGTACTGGGGATATAGTCATTAATAGGATAGACAGCTCTCAGCACCTTGAAAGTGGTTATAGTCCCGTGTCCCAGAGAAAAAGTCTGGGGAGTAGGATCACCTGCTGATATGGTTTGGATTTATGTCGCTGCCCAAATCTCGTCGAATTGTAACTACCAGTGTTGGAGGAGGGGTTTGATGGGAGGTGGTTTGATCATGGGGGTAGATTTCCCCCTTGCTTTTCTCATGATAGTAAGTTCTCATGAGATCTGGCTATTTAAAAGTGTGTAGCACCTCCCCCTTCACCTTCTTCCTCCTTCTCCAACCATGTAAGACGTGCCTGCTTCCCCTCCACTTTCTGCCATGATTGTAAGTTTCCAGAGGCCTCCGTAGCCATGCTTCTCATACAGCCTATGGAACTGTGAGTCAGTTGAACCTCTTTTCTTTATAAATTACCCAGTCTCAGATACTTCTTTACAGAAATGCAAGAATGGACTAATACACCTGTCAAACAGGAAAGCAGGCCCACAATGCCTTGCATGCTGCATTTCTTCCTGATTTGGCAGATATTTGCAAAAGTGTGTGTTTTCCCCTATACAGGTGAATGTGTTAAAATAATTTTACATCAGTAAAAGCCCCTCTTCATCAGCCTCCTTGTTTTTTTCCTCCCCTCCCCTTTCCACTGTCACAGGGATCCTTGGGGGGTCTCTTCGCCAGCCAGAAACCTCTGTGGCCAGTGGTGCCATCTGCCTGAGTATTACTTGCACCCACTGGGTTCATTCTGTCTACTCGGTGTGGCAGGCAGGGCTTGGCTCACGCTAATGGGCTGGATCCACACCTGCCAAGGGTGAGCCAGGTGCAGAGCAGTGAGGGGTGTGTGGGTGAGCAAGTGCGGGGTCTGGCCACTGTGCACAGCCAGGCACATTGGCTGCTGTGGCAAGGCAGGCACCTACAGGCACCAACATAGGTGTTGGCTCTGTGCAAGGCTGTGGCTGGACCAGATGTACTGCATGCAGCTTCTGCTATGGGCACCTGTGTCTTGATGAGGGGAACGTGGTGGCACCCAGAAGCTTGTAAACACCAGGAACCACAGAACCCCAAAGAGGGCGTCACAGTCCTCGCTTGGGAAACTCTAAGTCTGGGCTCCCCTAAGGGCTGCAGCTCTTTTCTCCTCGTCATCTACAATGTGGTGAGCAGGGGGCGTGTTCCAGCCCTATTTGTGTTACAACTCTTTCAGTCCTGTCATTTGGCAGGTCCCGAGTTCTTGTCCCATGTCCAGTAAGAGTGAGGTATACATACAACTGGAGAGTGAGCATGGCAGAGAGGAGCTTCACTGAGCAGCAGAACAGTTTTCAGGAGACCTGAAATGGGAAGCTCCCATCCGCAGGCGGGTCATCTTGACAAGTGTACAGCTCTCAGTGGAGGGGAGACCTGCAGAGGGTAGCTCCTCTCTGCAGGTTGGGGGGCATCCTGACAAGTTCATTCAGCTCTCTGCTGAGAGGAGACCCACAGTGGGTAGCTCCTCTCTGCAGACAGGTCCTCCTGACTTCTGTCAAAGTCTGGTTGAGTTTGGGGTTTTTATGGGCTTCAGAAGGGAGGAAGTGCATGCTGATTGGTCCTTGGGCAGCCATGAGCAGGCCTGGAAAAAGCACTGTAAGTTCTCACTTGAGTCTGCAGAACTGGCAGCCCGGCCCCCAGGCCATCCCTGGCCTGAAGGTGGGGTTTCACTGGGGACCCACCTTTTTTTGGCTGGGAACCTGTCTGCCTCCTGCTGCTGTCCATGGTGCCCAGGCTGTTCATGCTGATGGGTGCCTGCAGGCCCTCACACCTTGCTCAGCCTCCCTCCTGTGCTTATCAGCACCCAAAGTCCAGAGGAGGCTGAGGAAACAGGAGGCTGGTGTGTCAGCACTACCCTAAGTGTCCTGGGTTGTGACAGTGCCTGGGCATGGCCTCAGCTTCACTCTGAAATTGGTGCAGGTGCTGAGAGTGAGGAGAGGCTAGGCAGTGGGAGGAGGTGCTTCTGAGCCTGCAGGGGAAAGGAGCCTTCTCAGGCCCCCAAAAGTGCAGAGATGCCCAGGTCCACAGCTGTGGCTGGGTGGCTGCAGCTGCACCTGGGAGGGTGGGGCTCCCACCCCTCCAACTCGGAAGGGTTGGAGCTTCTGCCTGTTTCTGGCTTCCACCAGCTCTGTGAAGTGCACAGCCCTGGCTGCATCTCCCCCACTGCAGCCAGTGTCATGGCAGTGGCTGCTCCAGACAGGCCACTGCTGCTCTCACCACTCTCTACTCCATCAAACTTTATTCATTTAGTGTATACCTTTCCAGATCTTTCTTCCATGCATTTATAAACAAATATGAATATATCTTGTTTGAAAAGAATTTATAATGGTATACAATATTCCATAAATGCTAATTGGTGGATGGAATCATTTTCACATGTGTTTCTCTCCAGTTTGCTTGCTTCCTTCCCTGATTTCTGTACCTTTTCCAAGTAGAGTGGCTAGGCAGATAAGGAGAGTAATGTCTCTGAATTCCTGTTGTTTCCCATCAGCCATGTTGACTAGATGTGGCCATAAGAGTTTGCTGTGTTAGTCAACTCAGGCTGCCATAACAAAACATTATAGGTTGGGTGGCTAAAAGAATAGAATTTTATTTCTCATGGTTCTGAAGCCTGGGAAGTCCAGCATGGTCAGTTTCTGGTGAGGGCTCTCTTCCTGGCTTGCAGACAGCCACCTTCTTGCTGTGTCCTCACATGGTGGAGAAAGAGAGAGTTCAATCTCTCTCTCTTTTTTTTATAAAGATCCCAGTCCTATTCAGTTAGGACCTCATCCTTATGGTTTCATTTAACTTCAGTTACCTCTTAAAGACCCTATCACCTAATAGTCATTTTGGGGGTTAGGACTTCAACATGTGGATTTTGGGGAGACACGACTCAGTCCATAGCATTGTCCATGATGTCTGTGCATGCCTCAGGGCAACCATATACATAGCTGGGCTGCTCCAGTACACCTAGCTCAGGGCTCTGCCCCCAGTGGGCACTCTTTAGGTTTGTTGACACATGCGCTTCTTAGATTAGAACTGCTCCTTGCCCTGTGTCTTGAGATAAGCTGAGGGCATCCCAATGGCCTCCATCCCTAGCATTCCATTTGAATTAGTGGAAATTTCAGCTACCACTTTGTGAATGGTTCCAGGTGTGCAGGCATGGGGAGACCAAGATAGCTGGAAAGCCAAGCTTAAATGTTAAATCAAGCTTGGGGTGGAGGGCAGTTATCATCACCTAAGGATCTAGGAATAGGGAATAGTACCATCATGGGATGACTCAGGCCTGTTAAAAACAGGGGGATAGGCCTATGTCTTGATGAATCAAGTGGCATGCCAAAGCCAGTTAATTAACCTCACACTTCAGCTCAAATCTTGGTTAGTTTTAAAGGCTCAGAAGGACAAAGAAGCATATAGAAAAGGATATGGAGTCCCCACGGAGTTACTGAGAAGAGAGAACTGTTCACTGGGAGATTTGAGGGCCAATTAAGGCGATTTCAAAGAAGAAAACTGTCAAGTGGCCACACAGGATTCTGTCGTGGGGATTCTGAGTCACTAGGATGCTGTGAGACATGTTTCTGTAGTGGTTTAGATGCTAGGATGAGAGTGTGAAGCAGGGCTTTGGGGTAGATGGAATTGGAGGATGTTTGTAGAAGTATTGGGAGGGAAATGAGCTCCTGGCTTGATATGGCATGAATACTTGCAAGACACGTCAAATATGAAGACTGCATATATTATCTAGAAATGAAATGTCATTCTGTCAAATGAAATGACAGAACCATATGGCAAGTGGGACGGCACAGGTAGATCTGCAAAAACCAGAAGGTTGGTTGAGAGTAGGCAGAGGACCAAGACTGTGAGGCTAGTAACCTGCTCTCATTGTGGGGTGACTTCTGTCAGCCATGAATGTGGACAGTTGTTCAGCTTGAGAAATTCATATTTGGTAGCTACACTGTGGAAAATCACTGTGCATCATCAGGCAGTGAGGAAAGAAGGTACCAGAATGGTTATAATCCTAGACCTTGTAATCAGACAACCTCCAGGACTTTCTGAAGGCTAGTTATAATTTCTCCAAGCCTCAGTTTCCTTATCTGTAAAGGTGGATAAAAATAGTACTGATATGGTTTGGCTGTGTCCCCACCCAAATCTCATCTTGGGCCAATACAAGTACCTACCTGTTAGGGCTTTCAAAAGGACTAAATGAGGCCAGGTGCACTGACTCACACCTATAATCCCAGCACTTTGGGAGGCTGAGACAGGAGGATGGCTTGAGCCCAGGAGTTCAAGACTAGCCTGGGCAACATAAAAGACCTTGTCTCTACAAAAAATAAAAAAATTGACCTGGCACAGTGTCATGTGCCTCTGGTCCCAGCTACTTGGGAGGCTCAGGTGGGAGAATCATCTGAGTTCAGGAGGTTGAGGCTGCAGTGAGCTATGATCACACCACTGCACTGCAGCCTGGGTGATGGTGAGGCCCTGTCTTAAAAAAAAAAAGACTAAATGAAGAAATGCCTGGAAAGGGCTTAGATCATGGTAAGTGCTTATTAAATGTTAGTTATAATTATCACAGTTAAGCAATATAATTTGTGTCCTTATAAGGAAGAACATTCAGTTTCTCATGTCAGAATAGACAGTGAAGAAGGAAATAAACAGAACACAGGTGCACTTAAATGGATTTTGACCAAAATCTTGCAGAAGAGAGCCTAGGAGAGTTTTCAAGCTATGTTAGAAGTGTTTATCAATTCAGAAGCGAGATTGAGTGACATGGGTCTGGGAAGGTTGAAAGGGAGGAAAAAAAAGAAAATGAATTTTATATCCCTGTTATCTTGACTGTCAGTAGCCTGTGTAAAGCACCCATTGTGTGCAGTGTGCCCCATTAGATATATAGGATTGCACAGATATAGATGAGCTGACCTCTCCTCACATGGAGTTGACCATACATGTTGTCATGATCAGTAAAACAAGTGTAGTAATGATATAAGAACTAAACACAGCAAATGGGCAGGATCACAAATCTAGCACAGGCCTGACTGTATCCAGCTGAAGGCACATCACCTCAGGGACTTCATACATCTCTCTGATAAGTTGCATACCCGCTTCTTGTACTGTGCTTTTCTAGATGCTCTAGGAAATTCGCAGCCTTATCCCTGATTTTAGTGTTGTTTTGGAAGGTAACTGGGGAGCCTATTTAGGAAGCTTTGATGATAGTCCAGGTAATAGGAGATAAGCCCAAATGGGGACAGTGGGATTGGAGAACAGAGAGCAGGTGCAGAAGCTGGTGATATTACATTGGTAAATATCAGTAGGACCCAGCAAGAATGAGGGATAAAGGGGCACGTGCTGCAGTTCTAGCCTGGGTGACCACAGAGTCCTATTCGCAGAGCTTGGGAGACACTGGAGGAATTTGGACCAGTGGTTCTCATGTTCTATAGTGTTTAGGAGTCAACTTTGGAGATTGTTAATGCAGATTCCTAGGATCCACCGCAGGCCTACCGAATCTGAATCTCTAAAGTAGACCTGGAAATCTGCCTTTTTAGCAGGAACCCCAGAGGATTCTGATGCAGGTGGTCTGCAGATCACGCCTTGAAAAATGCTGGTCTAGAGAAAATAAACATCTTAGCTTTGGTCCTCCAGAAAGCAGAGTCGGAGGCAAGGACCCTGGTGCTAAAACTTCATCTGGGAGGTGAAATCGCAGGGTGAGGGTGTGTGGGGCACAGGGAGAGACAACGGGATACATGAATTTCTTTCATTTTCTTTTTTTTCTGCTGGCTATCATTTCCAAATAAGCCATGAAGGATCAAGCAGGTCACTCAGCATGCAGGGCTCTTCCAGACAATTTACTGGAGGAATCCGGCCTTAGCATAGCGGGAGAAAGAAGGAAACAGGAATCCAGCTCTTTCCCACTCTGCCCCTGCTCCTGTTTCTCATTGGTAAAGCACTCTTTGGGGGCTCAGGGTTGTATCACCCATCCTCTCAGTGGCCTCTCAGGAAGCTGGACCTCAGACCATTAGGGGTAGAGGGGCAACCAGGACAGATGGGATCCTGGCCTAGAGAGAAAGGAAGAAGGAAGCAGCGGAGGGTGTCTGAGAAGGTACACAGACTTGTTTCCAAAGAGAGTAAAGAAGTGACGCTGGGAAAGGTAGATTTTTTTTTTTCAGTTCTGTAAGTAATTACAGTTTTGAAGTTGAATAAGAAAGTAGGGAACTTGTCTAAATAGAGTTATATTAACAATGGGAATAAGAAAGGAAGCCTAGAATTTGTACCCATCATACATTTTCTTTAAATTTTTCTTTATTTGTATTCCTTTCTTCAGAACAACTTCCAGTAAAAGAAGGCACTGAGGTTTAAGTGCTACGTGGGAGCAGTTGCCGATTTTTGCAATGGGAGGCTGCATAGATTCAAGGTATCACTTGTTTATTTTATATCCTGAATTAACTTTCCACCTTCCCAGTCCAAAGTTCTAACAAAAGATTTCACTTGGACTAGAGAGCAAATGATTTTGTGACTCTCATCCAAAATCCCACAGCTTTTTCTCTGAAGACCTGTAAGTTCCTAAGACACTCTAAAAGGAATATAAAAATAATAATTGTAATTCTTAAGGAGTGCCAATTACATACTGGATTCCAGAGAGTAATAACTTTGCTTAAGGTTTACGTGAAGCTTTCCCTCTGTGTGTTACCAGAACTTGGCTAACATTATATGCTGGCAAATGGCATTAATCTGTCACAGAAATAGGGGGAATTTAGTCACAGGAAGTTTAAATAACTGATCATGTCCTACAAGGCATTGCCAAGAAATGGACAATTAGATTTACTTTCCACTACCATCCTGAACCATGTAAAAATATCTTGGGTGGCTGCGAGATCTGATTCTAGGAAGAAATATCCCTTGGCTCTCGTAAAGATGTTGATAACTCAGTTGTGAGAAATTGATTTTAGCGGGTGTGTGTGTGTGTGTGTATGCATGTTTGCTTGGGGACAGGGTGTAAAAAAAAATAGCTGTTTTTAATGCAGTCGAACTATGTGTGAGGATAGGTTAGAGGATGGGTGACGACGGATAGGTGATTCAGGGTTTCAGTAGAAGTTAAAGGATGGAGAAGTGAACAACGTGTAGATTCTTTTTTTTTTTTGAGATGGAGTCTCGCTCTGTCGCCCAGGCTGGAGTGCAGTGGTGCAATCTCGGCTCACTGCAAGCTCCACCTCCCAGGTTCATGCCATTCTCCTGCCTCAGCCTCCTGAGTAGCTGGAACTACAGGCGCCCACCACCACGCTCGGCTAATTTTTTGTATTTTTAGTAGAGACGGGGTTTCACCATGTTAGTCAGGATGTTTGCGATCTCCTGACCTCGTGATCTGCCCGCCTCGGCCTCCCAAAGTGCTGGGATTATAGGCGTGAGCCACCGTGCCCGGCCAACAATGTGTAGATTCTTAAGTGCCCATAGGTAATGTGGAATCAAGAAGTAAAGAAAAGTTTTGAGCAAAAAAGGAAAGGGCAAAATAGAGAATAGAAAGAAATGAGAAGGTAGTGTCAAGCAAAGAAACGGAAGGAGAGACAAACTGCTGTAGGAGGTGAAAGTAATCCACTCAGGGAATTATTGGAAGAGATACATGCCTTGTAAAAAGAAAAGCAGGCCCGGCGTGGTGGCTCACATCTTAATCCCAGCACTTTGGGAGGCCAAGGTGGGTGGATCACCTGAGGTCAGAAGTTCGAGATCAGCCTGGCCAACATAGTGAAAACCCGTCTCTACTAAAAATACAAAAATTAGCCAGGCATGGTGGCATGCGCCTGTAATCCCAGTTACTCAGGAGGCTGAGGCATGAGAATTGCTAGAACCCAGGAGGCAGAGGTTGCAGTGAGCTGAGATCTCAGCACTGAGCTCCAGCCTGGGTGACAGAGTGAGATGCTGTAAAAAAAAAAAAAAAAAAAAAAAAATGCTGTTTACTAGCTGCATGTTTGAGAGAGAGGTTGGTTATTGGTGACTGGGTCTGTAATGTTTAGTCAAAAAGGTTTTATTGAGCAACAGCCTCATACAAGGCATTGAGGCAGCAAGGGGAAGAAGAATTTGCCTCTTGCTTACTATGTGCTGTCCTTCCTCCCTGGACCTCCAGGTACATACCCACTTAGAGAAAGAAAGTCAGCAATGGTGGTTGAACAGGATGTGTTGTCTCCAAGGTCTCTTCCACCTCTATAATTCTTTGACTCTGGCCGAGGTCTCCATGGCTCCACAGAGGCTTTAGCAAGTGTGTTCTTGGTAGGCTGGATCTCTGTTAGATTGAATAGTTGTTGTTTTAACTTCTGCCTCCTGATCTTATTGCTACCAGATAGGATGATTTTAGTTGCAAATGGACAGAAAACCTAACTGAAGCCAGCTTAAGCATAAAAGGAATTCATTGGCTTACAATACTGAAAGGTCGTGAGTGGATTCATTCAGCAATAGCTTAATCCTGGACCTCAGATGCTATTCCAGTGCTTTTTGTGTGTGCGTGTGTGTGTGTGTGTCTCTCTCTCTCTCCCCCCCCTTCCCGTGGGTTGTCTCCATTTTCAGGTCTGCTCCTTCCTATGGCAGCAAGATGACTGCCACACCTCCAGTCATCACCTTTCAATCCCCAAATTGCACAGAAAAACATAGCTACCCAAGTGTGAGCTCCCACACACGTCCTGAGCGTCATGCTGATTGTACTGGTTCAGGGCAAACACTCATCCTTGAATCAGACACTGTGGCCAGAGGGATTAAATTGATCAGTACTGGGCCACATGCTCCTCCCTGGAGCCCGAGGTATAGCCCTGCCTGAGCCTTGAGCACTGGGGAGTTTGGGATGACATAACTAGGAGACAGGGAAATGGATTCTGGGGAGCCAAAAATTAATACTGGGCTACCCCAGGCTCTGTGAAACCTGGGAAGAGACATGAGGTTCTGATCCAAAAAACAACAGGAAAAGGCCAGAGGGGCAAGAAAGAATCCTGATCCAGAGATGACCCCAGGATTGAATGACAGGTCCAGAGTGGCAGCTCACTGCCCACTCAGGCTGCCCTTTGTTCCGGGCACTGAATCAGGGATTTTGGATGACCCTGGTACATAGTTACTTCCAGGAGATTACGGAGGGGGGGAAATACTCCACTTCCTGTTTAGGATTACACTCTCAACCCTCCCCTCCCACGCAAGCCATATGTTCATTCTAAGCCGCAGCTTCCAGCCAAAAAAGCCCTTTGTGTTTTCTTGGCAAAACTGGAGCCCAGTAATTAAAGTCCATATGCAAAGCTGCTCCCTCCAGCCCACACCAAGTTCTTTTAATTAGTATGTAATTGGTCAGAGAGGTACTATCAAATAGCTCCCAGTTTGGCCGGCTGGAAATGCAGTGTTTGAAAAGTCCCAGACCAGAGAGGGATAATAAATGCTTTAAGTCCCATCTGTTGGAATGATTTGTTTAAGGTATAAATCGCTGTTCTGTTACTATTTTTAACAATTCTGCTTGTAGCATTTCTTCAAATATGGTAACAACTACCAGAGTATTTATTGGAGGTAGGAGTATGAGTAAATGAACTAGAAGAAGGCTGAGCAAATCCATGTTTTCCCTTCAAAGAAATTCATATAATGCAGTGGAGGTGGGGAGACAAAGAGGTGAGTTGGGCATTTGGTTAACTATTTGTGGTTTTCACAATGAAGAGCTCCTATCGCCCATTAACCTTGCTCCAAACACACCATGTGTGAGAGAGTCTGTGGTGATGTGAAGAAAGACTTTGAATGCACCTTGGTAGACAAGGGTCAGCAGTTGCAGAGAAGCAAAAGGAACAAGCAGGAAAGTGGACACTCCATTGCCCCTAGAAGCCATGGCAATCTAGAGTGAAGCTGGAGTAAGGTTTGAGAAGCAACGGTCTAGGGCAGGGGTCCCCAAACCCTGGGCTGCAGACCCTGTTAGGAACCGGGCAAACAGCAGAAAATGAGCAGTGGGCAGGTGAACATTACCACCTGTGCCCTGCCTCAGTCAGTTCAGTGGTGGCATTAGATTCTTGTGAGAGCGAAACCCTGTTGTGAACTGCGCATGTGAGGGATCTAGGTTTTGTGCTCCTTATGAGAATCTAATGCCTGATGATCTGTCACTGTCTCCCATCACCCCCAGGTGGAACCATCTAGTTGCAGGAAAACAAGCTCAGGGCTCCTGTTGATTCTATATTATGGTGAGTTGTATAATTATTTCATTAATATGTTACAATGTAATAATGATAGAAATAAAGTGCTCAATAAATGTAACGCACTTGAATCATCTCAAAACCATCCCCCCAACCCCCTGGACCTTGGAAAAATTGTCTTTTGCAAAACCGGCCCTTGGTGCCAAAAAGGTTGGGGACCACTGGTTTGGGGATCTTTAAAATTCCTTCCAGCTCTGACAGCGCAGGTCAATATTGATGCTATTGATGCTATTCTTTTTTTTTTTTTTTTGAGACGGAATCTCACTCTCTCACCCAGGCTGGAATGAAGTGGTGTGATCTCAGCTCACTGCAAGCTCTGCCTCCCGGGTTCATGCCATCCTCCTGCCTCAGCCTCCCGAGTAGCTGGGACTACAGGTGCCCACCACCACACCTGGCTAATTTTTTGTATTTTTAGTAGAGATGGGGTTTTGCCATGTTAGCCAGGATGGTCTCGATCTCCTGACCTTGTGATCTGCCAGCCTTGGCCTCCCAAAGTGCTGGGATTACAGGCGTGAGCCACCGCGCCTGGCCTATTATTCTTATAGTCGTAGTGATAATATAATAACAGTGCCACCATCATCATCGCGGCTGCCAGCTTTTACTGCATGCTCACTATGTGTCCGGCACTATGCTCAGTGTTTTACATGGATTGTCTCATCTGAGCTTCACAGCCAACTCTGAGGTTGCTACTATTGCTCTGCCTGTTTCATAGATGAGGACACTGACAGGTTTACTAACTTGCTCAAGGTCACCACATAGTAAGTGGCAGAGCTGGTGTGTGACCCCCCCGGCCATCTGACTCGAAGCCTGCGTTCTTACCCACCACGCTTGCCACCTTCTGCCCAGCATCGCGGAGTACCTGGGTTTTGCTTGATGAAAACGCCATGGAATCAGGAAGCTGGTGGAAGGAACGTGGCTGAGCCCCTTCCAGGTTCTTTTTGTTCAGTTAGCCCCTTGGGCAAACCTGTAGGAAAAAACTTATATTTCAGAACAAAAAATTTCAAACTCATAGAAACAGCAGAAAAGCATTTGCCAGGGGCTGGGTGGGGGGCAGAGGATATGGGGAGATGTTGGTCAAAGGGTACAAACTTTCAGTCCTAGGATGAACAGATTTGGAGGCACTGATGTACAGCCTGATATGACTATAGTTAATCATACTGTATTATATATTTGAAATGTGCTGAGAGTAAACCTTAAACCTCATAAAAAAAAAACAGGTGATGGATATGTTAATTAATTTGGGGTAATCAATTTACAATATTTACATCTATCAAATCATTACATTATACTATTTTAATATATACAATTTTTTTTTTTTGAGACAGAGGTTCACTCTTGTTGCCCAGGCTGGAGTGCAATGGCGTGATCTCGGCTCACCGCAACCTCCACCTCCCAGGTTCAAGTGATTCTCCTGCCTCAGCCTCCCTAATAGCTGGGATTACAGGCATGTGCCACCACGCCTGGCTAATTTTGTATTTTCTTTAGTAGAGACAGGGTTTCTCCATGTTGGTCAGGCTGGTCTCGAACTCCCGACCTCAGGTGATCCGCCTGCCTTGGCCTCCCAAAGTGCTGGGATTACAGGCATGAGCCACTGTGCCCAGCCTAAATATATACAATTTTAACAGTTACACCTCAATAAAGCTGAAAAAGATAAAAATAAAACCAAAAAAATGAGGTTTAGAAGCATAGACGGCTATGTGACATGGTTCTCTAGGAGAACGAGTCGGAGGTCCGTCTCAGCACCTTAACTTCCCAGCTGGCCACTTCTAGGTGTGGAATTGAGGAAGTGTTGCCACAGCCCACAGGTGCAGGTGAGAATGTGCGCCTGTGTTGAGGAGGCTGGGGGAGGTGGATGGAGCATTCGGCTCCACGGCCTTGGATGCGCAGACTTGTGGGGCCTTTCTCACTCTGCTTTTGTGTGGCCAGACCCCTAAGCACTGGACTCCTGTTCCCTCCAGGGACCTCTCTCCTGCTGTCTCCTCACTCTCTGCTTCTGAGAGTAAGAGATGGGGCCTATTTTTGCTCTGTCTGCCCTCCTTCCCAGGAGGCTGAGAAATAACTTGGACTGAGGCCTGCCCCATTGAAGAAGGCCTGACAGTTCTTTTTTTGCCCACTTGTCATGTTGTCTGTCTGTTCATTCATTCCCATTCATTCTCTCCAGGGTCCACCCTTACCCTCCTCTGGCTGGAGAGGACTGGGAGAGTGGCCTAGGTTTACTCCGTTCTAGGCATTGGGTCCGTCGCCCCATTTGTCTTGCTTGTTCTTCTTGCTGGTGTGTTGTGGTGGCTGGCTCTGGGTGGAGGCACAGATTTGGGTCTGGGGGTGGGCATTCAAGAAAACCCCTTGGGGCACTCAAGCCTCGCTAGCTCCAGTGAGGGAGCTCGCAAGCCAGCCAGTGTTGCTGGGGTTCTACTCAGAGCCAGAGGCCAACCAGCCAATAATAAGGTGTTACTTTGCCTTGCTCTGTCCTCCTTGCACCCCTTTCCCTTGGGGCCTCATGGGGAAGGGTGGCTGATTTGTGGTAGGATTTGGGTTTTCTGTGTCCTGGCCAGTCCCTTCATGATGCCCTGTTACTCTCACTCCTGCAGACTCTGTGTGCCTATGAGTGATGAGCAAACTTTGTTAGGTGAGTGGGGTCCAGATGGAAAATGATGGGAAAAACCATGCTAATGTCATGATGCATTGAACAGGAAAGCCACTGATGGAGATGAAAGCATTTGTGTAAAGTAGCCTGGAAGCCTGGAAAGGGAGGGGAACTGTGGGAATTGACGGGAAAGGGAAGTCAGAAGGCCTGGCTTCTAGATGGAAGTCCTGTTTGAAGGGAAAATTAGTGATGCTTAAAATACTATGTTTAACATAAATTAAAGGGGATTTTGACTAGAATCTGGAGTAAATCTTATTTGTCTGACACTTAAATCCTTGCTTCTAGAATGCCCTCTCCTTGCAAAATAACAGTATTTCAGGTTTTGGTTACAATGCTGTATGAATAGATCTTGGTTTAGAAGGGCAATTGATCAGCCCCATGTGAGAGTTATTTACAGTACCTTTCCTTTTAGTAACATCTGAAACAAAGGTTGGTTTTTTAAAAAGTCTTTGTAGCATTCCTGACAAAACTTAAGAGACTTGCCTGATGGCACCGCTACATGCAGTTTGGTTTGTAATCTAGGGACAGTTCCAGCATGCAGAGATTCAGAGTGGGTTTCTTTGTGGTTTGTCTGCACCTGCCGGAGATCTGGTGCACCTATTAAACTTACAAGGCAGCTATTAGCCACCAACTGACACCAAGATTATAGGTTAAACTCTGAATTGGTTTAAACGGTGTCATCTGTCCACCAGGGCAGAGAGCAAGGTGGGGGGCATGTGTTTGGCAAATGGTAGGAAGTCACTCCAGCCTGGGGAGGAAAGTCTGATTATTAGCAACGGTAACACACAAAGAGGAGCGGGGTTGGGGTGGGCTTGTTGGAAAAGCCTTGAACCTGGAGTCAGAGAGACCCAAGTGTTGAATCCTGATTGTGTAACTCTGGTAAGCCTCAGTTTGTCATCTTGAAAATGGGAATGATAGGCCGGGCACGGTGGCTCACGCCTGTAATCCCAGCACTTTGGGAGGCCAAGGAGGGCAGATCATGAGGTCCGGAGATTGAGACCATCCTGGCTAACACAGTGAGACCCCGTCTCTACTAAAAATAGAAAAAAATTAGCCGGGCGTGGTGGCGGGCGCCTGTAGTCTCAGCTACTTGGGAGGCTGAGGCAGGAGAATGGCGTGAACCCAGGAGGCAGAGCTTGCAGTGAGCTGAGATCGCGCCACTGCACTCCAGCCTGGGTGACAGAGCGAGACTCCATTTCAAAAAAAAGAAAAAAGAAAGAAAATGAGAATGATAATACCTGATTTACAAAACAGAATTCAATGAATTTGAATTCACACAATTCTTGCTGACGTTCACACAATTCTTGCTGACACATTCACACAATTCTTGTGACATTCACACAATTCTTGCTGACATTCTTGCTGAATTGTGACATTCACACAATTCTTGCTGACACAGTACCTCACACCTGTAATCCCAGCACTTTGGGAGATTGAGGCAGGTGGATCTCCTGAGGCCAGGAGTTCAAAACCAGCCTGGCCAACATGGCAAAACCTCATCTCTACTAAAAATACAAAAATCAGCTGGGCGTGGTGGTGCATGTCTGTAATCCCAGCTACTCGGGAGGCTGAGGCACAAGAATCGCTTGAACCTGGGAGGCGGAGGTTGCAATGAGCTGAGATCGTGCCACTGCATTCCAGCCTGGGTGATAGAGCAAGATTCTGTCTTAAAAAACAAAACAAAACAAAACAAAACAAAAAACAAAAAAAAAGCTACACCGAGCTGCCTTAGTAGAAAAATAGCAGCAGCAGCATTGAAAAGAGAATTTTGTACAAGTCTCCAGCCTGCTGAATAGGGTAATTGAGAGAAAAGTTAAGCGTGCAGCTCTGGAGTCACACAGACTTGGATTCAAGTCTTGGCTGTGATACTTACATATGCTCAGGGTGTGCGACCTAGGGTGACCTCTCTGAGCCACAGTGTCCTCATTAGGATCATGGTAACATACATATCTATAGAGTCATGAAGAGTAAATGACACTACAATACAGTGCTGGGCTCACAGCTCCGGAAATGCTCATAGGCTCCGGAAATGCTCAGTCACCTTCTCTGTTAGTCACCTTGTTCCATCAAGCAGCATTTTTTCCTCTTGCATCACCACTACTTACTCTAAACTGGATTTTACCCTGAGTAGGGTAAAATTTTTCCCCTCTTCCTACAAGTACCCCCAGAAGCTTCCTACAAGCATGCCCCAGACTTTACTAATTGCAGGCCACCTGCCCAATTTCTGCCACCATTGCCTGCCTCCTCCATTGTTATTTAATATTTCTTCAAATTAACTTTTTAATACTTAAATGCATTTAAAGAAAACTTCACATCACTATTATAAGCAAATAGCGAATAGATCTTTAAATAGAATGTCTATGAATCACCTAAAATCCTCATATGTGCTCTCAGACACATCCACGTTATACTTGGGGAAATACTGGTCTGGTCCTTTACTCTTTAAAGTGTGGTCTCTGGACCGCAGCCTCAGCATGCCTGAGAATTGTTAGAAATGCAGTATCTCAGACCCCATCCCATACCTCCTGAATGAGAATCTGCATTTTTAGAAGATCCCCAATGATGGACATACTTTTTTGGGGGGAATTTATTACATTTTTTATTGAAGTGACATTCATATGCACACTTTTAAAGTTTGAGAAGCAGTAGTCTAGGGGATCTTTAAAATCCCTTCCAACTCTGGTGTGTGCCTATAGCCCAGTGACTTGTAACTCTGGAGCAGAAGGATTGCTTGAACCCAGGAGTTTGAGGCCAGACTGGGCAACATAGCAAGACCCTGTCTCTGAAAAAAAAATTCTTCTAGTTCTAACAACAAAGGTCAACTATTGATATTACTCTCTCTCTTTCTGAAATCCAGATCCATATTTCCAACTGACATATTCTACTTCAGGCCTAAACCTTGCCTTTCCCCACCTCCTCATCCTTGTAACCTTAGAAGCATCCATCATTAACTCCTTCCTCCCTGTTCCCTGACATCAGTTCTTGCCAAGGATGCCCAACCCTGTCTCCATCAGCCTCTCTCTGTCCATTCCTATAGCTCCAATTGCACTTCCAGTCCCTTACATCTTAGTGCCTGGGCTGTCACCCTCTCCTTCATTCTCTTTCCTCCAACTCTTGACAGCTCTGTATTCTTTTTTTTTTTTTTTTGAGATGGCAGAGTCTCACTCTGTCTCCCAGGCTGGAGTGCAGTGGTGCGATCTCAGCTCACTGCAACCTCTGCCTCTTGGGTTCAGGCAATTCTCCTGCCTCAGCCTCCCAAGTAGCTAGGACTACAGGTGCCCGCCACCATGCCCAGCTAGTTTTTTTTTTTTTTTTTGAGATGGAGTCTCGCTCTGTTGCCCAGGCTGGAGTGCAGTGGCATGATCTTGGCTCACTGCAAGCTCCGCCTCCCAGGCTGGAGTGCAATGGCATGATCTTGGCTCACTGCAAGTCCCGCCTCCCAGGTTCACGCCATTCTCCCGCCTCAGCTTCCCGAGTAGCTGGGACTGTAGGTGCCCACCACCACGCCTGGCTAATTTTTTGGTATTTTTAGTAGAGACGGGGTTTCACCATGTTAGCCATGATGGTCTCCACCTCCTGACCTGGTGTTCTACCCGTCTCGGCCTCCCAAAGTGCTGGGATTAGAGGTGTGAGCCACCCCGCCAGGCCACATCCAGCTAATTTTTTGTATTTTTAGTAGAGACTGGGTTTCACCGTGTTAGCCAGGATGGTCTCGATCTCCTGACCTCATGATCCGCCTACCTCGGTCTCCCAAAGTGTTGGGATTACAGGCGTGAGCCACCGCGCCCGGCCCAGACAGCTCTGTATTCTTAAGGCAGCGTTGATCGTCTCAGTCCACTGCTCAGTTACCTTTAGTAATTCCCTATTATCTACCACATAGTAGCCAGGCTCCTTGGTCTGTCACTTAAGGCTCTCCACTAAGTGACTGATTGTGAGCTCTCACCTGCATATACCCTGAGCTGTAGATAAGTCAGAGGAGCTATTGCTTTATGTATGCAAAGCTTTCCTGCCCCTGCATCCTTGACTAAGGATTTCTCATTTCTGAAATGCATTTTTCTCCAACCTCCCTATTTGCTATCTCCATCTCTGAAAACTCTTAACAGCCTGAGAACCCTGCTCACATTTCACCCCCTCCCTGAAGCCTTCTGTGGCTCCCCAACTGCATAGCTGTCCTTACACGTCATAGCATGATGATGATCTCTGCCCAGAGGCAGTTACATTAGTACAAACCTTAACTCTTCAATTCTGTGTAGCAGGTGCCACTCCCAGTGCCACAGAGTCAATTTAATTTTCTTATAACTAAGTTTCTTTTCTGAGCTCCCCTTCTGCTTGTGAATATACCATCCCATTCCCCACCCTACTCCCTTTGCCTCAGGGCAGCATCTATATTCTAGAGGATTAGGGCCAAGGCAAGATGGGATCTCTTGCCTTGTGTCATCTGTCTATTTACTAGAATGCATGTCATCCTGTCCAGTCCTTAGTCACAGGGACTGGACAGTATGCTTCTTTGTCCCTTGTTTCCCTCTGCAAGACCTCGTTAGGTCCTGCAACTCTGCTCTTCCTGCATTGTCATCTCCCTTAGGCCCATGGGACCCTTCTTCTGCCCCACACCATGCTGGGGGCAAGGGAACTCTGCATGGTTGCCTAGCACCCGGATGCCTTAATGCAGCCCTGCCTCTCTGAGGTCTTGACAGTTCCCCTAGGGATGGGTCACCTCAGCTCTCAGAGCTTCCAAACCTGTCTGGAATTTTTTGCTGTTTCCCCCTCCCTTGGAGTTCATCCTGTTTGGAGGTTGGTTGGGAGACTTTAATCTCCTGTGGGGTCAGGAAGCCTTGTTCTTACATTATCATGTATTTTCCCCCAAAGTGTTAATTACCAGAGTCCATTCCATTCCCAACAGGGTGTAGTCTTTGAAGCTCAAAAGAAATTTTCTTCCTGCTTGTCATCCATTCCTTCCCTAAGGCAAGAAACACAAAATAGTCCTGCTGACTGAATAGGGCAAGGGCCATGGAAACCCGGAGAAAAATTCAGCATTAACGTTATAAAATATTCTCCTGCTCCATGATTTGTAAACCGCTTGAGGACAGGGAACTTGATTTCATTCATCTTAATATTTCCCTAGGGCAACTGACATAGTTCCTTGCACAGAAAAGGCATTAAATACACATTTTTCAGGCATAAGAATAAATGATGGAGTGTGTTTTAAATTCTGTATTATTAGCATCTAATTTATGATTTTTCATCTCACCGATATTAACAGCTGTCCATCTTTCTATAATGTGATGTTAAAATATGAATAGAAAAAAGTTAACCTAGTGATTGGACTGACTGGATAAAATCACATAAATGGGAATAAAGATATGTAACACATTCCTTTATTTACACAGCCTATATGTTAAGGACTTTCTCTTGCAGGAGGCATTGAGAGATAGCTGTGGATGAAAGATTCAAGGCCCCTGGCAGGGTTGTAGGGAGACAGATAATTAACACATGTTCAAATAAATAGGATATTTTTAGATATAGACAAGTGCTATGAAGAAATTCTTACAAGAAATGTAAAACTGCACAGAAGGAAAGGTACACAGGGCTCTGATACAGTAAAACAGAGATACCTGGGAGGAATTCTTGTGCTGAAATCTAAAAGAGGAGTAGGAATAACCAGGCGGAGGAGACAGTGAAGACGAGGGTGAGGAGGGGCAGAGCATTTCAGGCAGAGAGAATAGCCCTGTGGCAGGAAGAAGCACCTCCCGGCCCTCATGGAGCTCACAGCCAGTTGGTAGAGGGAACGTTCTCTGTGGCAGCACTACCATGGCACACTAATTGGTTTGTTTAATTTCTGCCCGTTATTTCTTTAGGAGCTTGTATCTTGCTAAATATAATTTGTGCCTTTTTTAAAAAAATGACAGCGTGTTCTTGGTGTATGCTGTTTTATGGAATAATGCACTCCTAGTGAGAATATCACTGGTCGGTGAAATAATTCATGAGAGTGAGATGGACAGGGCTAACACAGGTATAGTGTGTTGATTGCATTAGTCTGTTGATTGACTTAGACTTATAACCTCTGACATGGTCTTGGGAAAACTCAGTGTTTGCAAATGCCAGAGTGAGGCTGCATGGGGGACATGGGTAAGATTTGAGCTGTATATTAGTTAATGTAACCCTAGCTGCTACTAACGTATTTTGGTGGCTTAATACATACATGTTTATTTCTCACTGGATGTTCTAATCAGCAGGTGGTTCTCCTCTAAGCGGTGGTTCAAGCTCACAGCTTCCTTCCATCTTATGGCTCCACCATTGTCAGCGTGTCTCTTCCAAGACCATGCAGAAGGGTAAAGGGCATGGTAGATTATGCATGAGAGGTTTTAGTGGGCCAGGCCTGGAAGTGACACTCATCACTTCTGCCCATATATCTCTGGCCCGAACTCAGTCACATGGCTGCAGCTTACTGCAAGGAAGATGGGAAATACAGTCTAGTGATGGGCCCAAGAAAAAGTAGAGACTGCTTTAATGAAGCATGAACATCCCTTCTGCAGTTTAATCCTGACACCCCTTCTACTTGGGTTCATTTTCTTCTATGGCCTCTGTCTATTTCCTTAAAAAATAAAAAAAGCCACATTTGGAAAGTAAGTATGTTCATATATGGCATAAATAAATGGTACTCCCCAAAATTGCTCATACTTTTACTTTTCTTTCTTCTGTTCATTCATTCATTCTTTTTTTTTTGAGACGGAGTCTTGTTCTGTTGCCCAGGCTGGAGTGCAGTGGCACGATCTTGGCTCACTGCAAACTCCACCTCCCAGGTTCATGCCATTCTCCTGCCTCAGCCTCCCGAGTAGCTGGGACTACAGGCACCTGCCACCACACCCGGCTAAATTTTTGTATTTTTAGTAGAGACGGGGTTTCACCATGTTAGCCAGGATGGTCTCGATCTCCTGACCTCATGACCTGCCCGCCTCGGCCTCCCAAAGTGCTGGGATTACAGGTGTGAGCCACTGCGCCCGGCCAAGAGTCAGGAATTTTTATTAATTTTTTTTTCTGAGATGGAGTCTCACTCTGTCACCCAGGCTGGAGTGCAGTGGTGCGCTCTTGGCTCACTGCACCCTCTGCCTCTCAGGTTCAGGGATTCTCCTGCCTCAGCCTCCCGAGTAGCTGGGATTACAGGCACATGCTCGTACGCCTGGCTAATTTTTGTATTTTTAGTAGAGATGTGGTTTTGCCATGTTGGCCACACTGGTGTGGGACTCCTGACCTCAAGTGATCCGCCTGCTTCAGCCTCCCAAAGTGCTGGGATTATAGGCGTGAGTCATGGTGCCAGTGAATTTCTATTAATTTTGATTATTATTTTATAAGTTTGAATATAACCAACTCACCTTTCATATATTTATAAGTCTAAAAAAGTCAATGGACAATGTATAATTTGGAAATCACTTATTTCCATTTGGAGGGGGATCTCAGGGGGATATAGTTAGCTTTGGAGAACATAAGATCATTTGGTTTTAGAGGTCACCTTATCCTGATCGCATGAAAGGAAAGGATGGAATTCAAGCTTTTTATGACCTAAACCCTCAATGTCTGTCTCTATCCTTAGTAAGAAATGGGGAAGGGGAACAATAACGGGAGCATTATTGAGAGCTGTTAATTTACTGCTTGATTATACAGGGCTATGAAATATGAAAGACATTGGGGACTGTGAGCATGGTTCCCCTAAATGCCCCGTTGCCCACAGGGAACCAGCCCAGGGACTGGGTTGGCTTCAGAAGACTGGACAGGTGGCTTGGTAATTAAAACCTTTCCCTTCTAACTGCAGGCCTTGTTTTGCCAGGAATCTGAGGTGAAGAAAATGTTCTGGTTATATGCCTCTACCAGCTGCTTTGAAAGCTTCCTCACAGCTGTCTTCAAACCACAGCAGACAGCCACATCTCTACTTTCAAAATCTTGGGGGCTTAGTGTTATTTGAGATGGGATAAGCAGACATGGAGGTGAGGGAAGATTTATTCCTGAACTCAAATGTTCTGAGCCCTTTTGAAGAATCAAACAGCACAGAAGAAAGTCTGGCATGCACATGTTTCCTCCTTGTATCAGCTCTATGCGATGGAGGCTATTAGTCTTTGTTTCATGGATGAGACCACTGAGGCACAGAGGATTTAAGTAACTTGATCAAGATCATGCAGTTGAGTGTCAGAGTCAGGACTCAAATCCAGTCCGCCTTGACCCCAAGTTCAGGCTTTGGTAATCTCCACTCTTAAGAATGTTCAAAATTTAACTCTCAGTTTTTCTCCAAATACGGGCTCTACCCTCAGTTTTCCTCCATCTCAGTTTGTAGCCATTCAGCCTTCCAATTGCTCAGGCCAAAAACCCTGGCATCATCTTTGAGGTGTTTCTTTCTCTCATGCCCAAAGTAGAATTTATCAGGAAACCCAACTAATTGTATCGTCAAAATATATCAGGAATTTGACCACATCTCACCATTTCCAATGCTATCACCTTTGCCAATGCTCCTGTCTCTTGCATGGGTTTCTGTAATAGTCTTGACACTGATCTCTGCTTCTTGCCTTACAATCCTCCAGTCTCTTCTCGTCACACCAGAGAGATCCAGGTTAGTAAGCAGCTCTACTCTGCAAGATCGTTGTGGGACTGAAACTCCTTCCATCCTATTGTTCACCTTTCTTAGGTTTCTGTGCCCACCAGTATGGTCAGAGCTGGTACAGCTCCAAGTCTGCATTCAGCCCACAAAAATGGGAGCAAGAGAGGAAATCCTGGGAAGCAATTTCCTTTTAAGCAAGTGATGTAAAATTTGCATGCATCATTTCTACTCACATTTTACTGGCAAGTGTGTGGTCACATGGCCAACCTAGCTGCAAGGGAGTCTGTGGATGGAATGCTGTATTCTCAAACCCCCACAAAGAGGAGCACTGTGCCACAGAGTCCCAGAGGGCCAAGGGGGTAGACCAGTTGTAGAGCTGCTCAGGAGCCAGGGTGAGTGTTGATGATAGCTGAACCTAAAGAGGAGGCAGTGGAAGTGGGGAGAGCCAGGCAGGTTTGGGATGTATTTTGGAGGTAGAGTTGACCCAATATAAAATGGGGTGGGCATAGAGACTGAGGAGAAGCAGGAATTAAGGATGATTCCCAGCTATTTCTGCCTTGAGAGAGAGGGTGGTATCATTTTCTGAGGGAGCAGTCATACCTGTCTCTGGAGCAGCCACCGTGGACTAGTGCATGAGCCACCTCTTAGGGGGTCCATCTTGTGTCACAGTGGAGGCAACCATGGAGGTTGGAATGGCCCAGAGGTAGAGTCTGAGGGGTAGTCTGCCTGATCCATCAAATGTATTTTGTCTTAAAATGCTTCAAAGGAAGAGGGGGGCAGGTCAGCCTCTTCTTGGTGCATTGATAGACGAATGTGCTGGGCAGTGTGGAGGTTGAATAAAAAAGACCAGGCACCCTAGAAACCATACTGCATGTGGTTGAAGCCCCTGTTGGGTCTGGATAGCTGTTTGGGGGTTGAGAGAAGGGAGGGGCTGGGTAAAGTCCCCTACATTTCAACACCTGGGTCAGAGGGGTCATGTTCCCAGCACCTTGGTGCCCTTGACCTTGAGGGCTTCCAAGTGTTTTTCGGTCTCTTGTTTGTCTGGGTTGGAGCATGTAATAGGGAACTGTGTTTGCTATTAGAGTAGTTGAGAGGCTGAGGGTCTGGAAGGATGAATAATAACTCACACAGCAGGGCAGTTACAAGAGGAAGTAAGGAAAAGGGGGTTGTGGTAGGCTCAGAGGTTGGACACACCTCACTTTGAGCCTGGAATGAGCCCAGCTACTGCTGTCCCCTATGAGAACGTGCCTGGAACACTGTCAGGTTCTAAAAATGTTAGCTAGTTTAAAAATGCTGCTTAATAGTAGTTTCCAGGTCTCTCAGGATTTTGCCATGTAACTTTTTTTTTAACCTCTCTATTTTACAATGGAGAACTTAATTAAGGTTAGGGAATTAGTACAAAGCACCATGGTAAGTAAGGAGAACCAGGATTTGAACACTTGCTCATAAATACTCTGATGTTCAATTCATATCCTGGGTCTTCTAGTGTCTAGAGGGTTAAGTGTTGACAGGACCTGGGTAGCTCATAGTGTCCTTTAGGGAAAGAGCTCCAAGGCATGGGATTGCAGCATGGGTTTGATTTCAACTCCACCTTCACTGGCTTCTGGGACCCAGAGCCTCCAGTCACTTGTGTAGCCTCCTGGAGTCTGTTTCTTCTTCCTTAAAAGGGGAAGTAACCATTTTCCTGCTACCTTTGGGTATTGTTGGAAGAATTCCATGAAATGGCACCCACAAAGGCACTTGGATGTTGGTCAGCCACAGATCTCATAGAAGTGACCAAAATATGGACATGGGGACCCAAATGCCTGGGCTTAGGCTAAACCTGTGGATGCTGTTTGTGAGTAGGGAAATGTGGTTAGCTGTTGGAAAACCCAAGTTGTGTTCATGGTAAACGGGGGAAAAAAAAAAAAAAGAACTTTAGATAAGTGCCAAGATGAAAAGTGAGGAAAAGTCTTAATTTCCCTCTGAAGATTGATGTGTTATTGAGGGGTGACCAGAACTCCTAGATCAGTGGATTTGTCTATATAGCCATGATCTCTCCTGATTGTCCTCATACCTGGGACATGTAGGAATCATCATTTTCCTCATACCATAGATGAGGCAAAGGCAGAGCTGGACCTGCAAATGCTGTGGCATCCTCAGTCTAAGGCCTCCCTCGCAGGCTTCCTGGCTAAGGAACCTCTGTCTCACCAGTTCCTCCAGCACGGATCAGGCTTAGGGGACTCACCTACTGGCAGCAAGACCCTGAGCCGTGAACAGAATGCTAAATTATCAGTGGAAGGATGGAGAAACCATGATAATTGTTCTGGGAGTCTCAATTTCAAAATCCAGTAACTGAATCAGTCTTAGCAAGCCTGAAATCAAAGCAAGAAGCTAGGGAGTCTTTGTGGGATATTTTATCTAACCTGTCTGGATGAAGACCATTTGAGCTTCCACTTTGTCATTTATCTTCCAACAGACCAAAACTCTCCAGCCCATCAGATATAGGGCCTCCTGGGTAAGCTCTGACACGTTCTTCTTACCCAGTTCTCCCTTTTTGGCATCTGCCTTTGAGTCACCAAAAACTTCTATCTTTGCAACTCCTCCTCCTCACATGGTATGACAGTTTCTGAGGCCAGACCTTCCGTGCCATTAGCTGAATTGAAATCAATGTCTTCCTTTTGAGCTGAATTGAAATCAATGTCTTCCTTTCGAGTTTTTTTGAGTCTAGGAGCCTTTAGGATGTACCCTTGTCACATGAGCCATGCACTTAGGCATCAATGCTTATGTGGTAAGTTTCTGGAGGAAAATGTTCATTCAGCTAACTACATTTCTTTTACGCTGGTCCCTTTTAGCTTCCACACCAGCATAAGGCATCTTCTAATCTCCAAATTCTAGGTTATGTCCTCTTTGGGAATGCCCTCTCCTCCGCACTGAATATATTTATTTCAATCCGGTGAATATTTGTTGAGGGCCTCTCATGTATATGACACTGTGGTGGCCACTGTAGGCTTAGCAAGATTAGAATAATGTTTTGGTTAAAGGGTACAGGCTTTGGAATCCGACCTGGGTTTGCGTTCTAGCTCCATCACTTATTGGCTGAATCAAGTTACTGACTTCAGTTTCACCCTCTGTAAAATTGGGATAATAGTACTTACCTCAATAGATTTTTTTGTGAGGATTAAATAACGAAATGTATATGAAGTGCTTAGCTCAGCGGTTGTACATAAGTGCTTAGTGAAAATAAGCCAAACTTAAAAATACAGACAATGCTCTGCACATCCCCAAACACATGTGTATGGAGTTCCCTCCACAGGCCAGACTTGTTCTAGGTGCTGCAGATCCACAGTGGTGAAATCAGAGTATGTTTGTGTCCTCATCAAGCTCAAAGTCTAGTGGGGGGGTGTAAATAGTAAGCAAGTAGACTCACAAGTATAATGTCAAACAGTGAAAAGTGCTTTGAAGAAAAATAATGTGGAGTAAGAGGACAGAATGACAGGGGTAGGTGGAGTGGGGGTCTTGCTTCTCATGCTTGCCCCTTAACCTAGAGCCTTTGTATCTGCCGTGTCCTCTTCCTGGAGGTTTCCCACTTCCCCATACCCTCAGGGATTGCTTTCACTTCTTTCAGGTGTCTGCTTCTATATCACCACCTCCAATGGGCACACCTAATCTAAACAATTACACACAAACTCAAAATATGTAAAGAGATGCCATTCCTGCCTTTGAAGTTTATAGTTCAGCAAAATTGATAAATGACTCCATGCTCAGATTAAGGTAATTGACTTATTTATTTATTTATTTATTTATTTATTTAGAGATGGAGTCTCACTCTGTCTCCCAGGCTGGAATGCAGTGGCGTGATCTCGGCTCACTGCTACCTCCACTTCCCAGGTTCAAGCAATTCTCATGCCTCAGCCTCCCAAGTAGCTGGGATTACAGGCGCCTGCCACCACACCTATCTGATTTTTGTATTTTTAGTAGAGACAGGGTTTTGCCATGTTGGCCAGGCTGGTCTCGAACTCCTGACCTCAAGTGATCTGTCTGCCTCGGCCTCCCAAAGTGCTAGGATTACAGGCATGAGCCACCGTGCCCAGCCTGTAATTGCCTTATGAGAAGTACAAATAAAATTCAGTGAAGGGAATCGGGAAATGTGATATTTTAAAAATGGTACTTAAGATGTTGCTTGGTATAAAAAGACCAGGGACTTTGGAATCAGAGCAACTGGGTTCAAATCCCATCTCTGCCCTTCACTACCCTGGGGATCGTAGGAGTCACTCAGTAACACAAAGATAAGAAAGCTACCCCCAGGGGCTGCTGTGTTATGTGAGAAACACTTTAAGCCCCCAGTGCCTGTGGTAGTACCAGAGGTCGGCTCTCAATGGCACCCCTTTCCATAAATCCGTATTGTTAATTGTAGCGTTTGGTTTTGGTTTTCATCAACATTCTACTCTCACAATGTGGTATTGTCTTGGGATGGTCTATCTGGGCATCTGGCTCTGCCAGGAGAAGATGAGTTTCTTGAGGACATGGACTGCCGTGTCCCCAGCGTGGGTGGCCATGCCTGTCGTGCAGGGGACTGTTGATCAATGATAATGGGTGCATGCATCTAGCAGAGACACAACTGTTCTGTACGGGCAGGAACCCCAAGGGATGGTCTGTTCTGTTCTCCGTCTCTGCACCTCAATACCCCAAAATTGTTTCTGACAGATGGATGTTTAGCATGTTCTTGAAGGAAGAAGCGTCTGTGCCCCCTCTAGGGAAATGCACGCTGGGTTTAACCGCATAATTCAAAACAGGTGAAATGATGCCGGCATACCCACCTCTTCTAGCCTGGATTCTGTTTTAATGCCCTAGCTTTTACAGGAATAAAAGAGTATTGATTTTTCCACTGCAAGGGCTGTAGCCAGATTTGTTATTATTTTTAAATCAGAGATACTTTTTAAAACATGGAAATTTTTATGTTAGCTAAATCCTAGTTATCCCAGGAATGCCTAATGTCAAATAGTAGCCTTTCCTGGCATATTTCTCCTCCTGCATTTTTTAAAAAGAGCTTTCTGTTTGTTTGTTTCTTTTTGCCTCATAGCAGCTCTGCCATTAAATACATAAGACACAAAAGAGAGACAATCTAAATAATTATCCTTAGGAAATTTTATTAAGATACGGGTGGGAAGAGGGGGCACAGAGGCCACTGCCTCCTTGCGAGCTCAGATGCTCACCGATGTTGCTGTGTATCACCCCTCGCTTCTGCTCGCCCTGTATCAAAACATAGTTTAGGGAAAAGGTCACTGTGAATTTAGAGATGACATCTGGAATTGTATGTCAAGAAGCTTGAGTGTGTTGTGAGTGCTCTTCTGGTGGGCAGTTCCCTACTCCTCAGGGTTCCTCCCCTGGATCACAGAATGTGGACCACCAAGACACCCATGCTCTGGGGTCTCTGGCAGCCCTGTAATGCTGCAGCCACAAACCATGAGGGGCTTCTCTTCTTTTATCTTCTTTGTCATAATCAAAACCTTGACCTGTGACAGTGAGCTGCCAGGGGACTCCATTGCCTTGGAGTCTCCCTGGCTCCCCAGGATAGAAAGCTTCATCAGAAAAGAAATGCCCACTGAAAGTTGCTATGGCAGATGTCCCCCGTAAAAGAAACCTGAAGACCTTGAATAAAGGTGGCACCCAAGTGCCTACTCTGTTTAAAGAATGTGTGCAGCATCCAGCAAACAGGAATGCATGCTCATTTTCTTTATGTGGATTGGTGTTAACGGTTGGGTGACATGCTGGGGCTTTGATGACACCACTTGCATCTGTGAGTTGATGGGGCATCTGCAAGAGTGGAGTTAAGTTTAGTCCATCTTGGTTATGGTGGATGCTTCTGGAGTGAGTTAAGCACAGGAAAAGGGGCGGAACACTCACCCAAACCAGGATGTGTACCAGAGAGGGCTCCATTGTCTACAGCTCTCAAGGCTGTGTGTGATGCTGTGACTGCCTCCCCTCCCAGAGCTTCCTGCCTCCCAGGAAGAATGATCATTCCACTGTGCCTGCACATTCCTTCCCCTCTGCTGATAGGAACTTAGCCTCCAAGGGTTTGAAAACCAGCCTCCAGGGCTTGCTCTGCTCTTTACCCATTGCTGCTTATAAGTCAGGACCTGTGAGTGATAAACCTCTCCACCCCAGCCTTCACACCAAATGGAAAAAGATGGGCACCTTGGAGTATTCCTTTGAAAGATTACTGATTTCTCCACCCCACCACCACCTCCATCATGAAAGGTCCATCGATAGCCATCAGATTTCTGAACACACTCAGGTTTAGTGTCCCCTGCTATGCACCAGCCTTGGAGGCCTGGACACCCCTCCTGTTATTGGTGGATCCAGCCAGTGGTGCCTGACTCTTTTGCTCCTCACCTCCACCACCTCCTCTTGGACTTGGTTCTGTTGTTCATCCCTGTGTGGTACATGTCTATGGCCTTTCTTTCACCAGTGGCTTATTTCTCCCATTAAGATGTCCAAGTCTCACTGATCCTTAAAAGGGACCATCCCATGGCCCCATATCCTCTCTAGCCTCCACCCCAACTTTCTTTTCTCTTTCTCACCCAAGTAGTCTATGTGAACTCTGTCCACTTAACTCTCATCCTCTACCCAACTCATCGCTCTCTGGCTTCTTCCCTCACCATGCGAGGGAGCAACGCTCCCTGTGGCACCCACAGCTCATCTCCCCAGTGCTGTGTCTCCTTTGGCTCCTCCTGTCTTTGGACCTCCCTGCTGCACCTGGCCCAGGTGGGCACTGCCTCCAGCTTCAAACTCTCCTCTCTTAGCTTTTGAGACTTCAAGCTTTCTTGCTTCTGCCCCAATTTATTTGACCATTTCTTTCTCTTCTATATGAATTTCTCTTCTATTTCTAAAAACTTGATGGCCCCAGGGATACTTCCCTGACTGCTTCTCATTCTACTTCATCTCTGGGCAATGGCACCCACAGTCAGGGCTTCTGCTGCCACCTAAATGCCGGTGACTCCAAGATGTATATCTGCAGCTCAGACCTCTTCCCCATCAGAGGTGTCAGATGGAAATGTCCTCAGGGGCCAAGCAGGTAAAGAAAATGAATGAAACTGACTGTGAGTGTGGCAGACCAGAGAGCTGCTGGTTTTAGCCAAAGTGGGTGGCTGCTGCTGGGCTCCAGCCAACTCTTGATGCATAGGAATTCAGAGCCAGTGTCACCAGATTTTCCAATTTTCCCACAGAAGCTAGAAATACATAATCCTATTTGGAATCTCTCAAAGAGTAAATGTTGGTTCAATTTTTTTTTTAACATCTTTCTGAACCAAAGCCCATCCGAGAACTAGATCTGACTATGGACCACCACCCTGGGATCATGGTTTGCACTCCACTGACTGTTCAATGTCTTATTCCAGTGCCCATGGGCACTTCAAATTGAGCCTGCCCCAGACCATCTCTTCCCCAAACCCACCTCTCCTCCCCACCGTGTACCTTATCTCAGTTAGCAAACTTCCTTCTAACCTGCTCACCCAAGCTGGAAATATGGATGAGGGTGTCCTTTCCTTCCTCCTTTCCCTCCTCCTCCCACATTCACTAAACTCTACCAACATAACTTGCTAAATAAATCTTACCTATTCTTACTTCCCCATCCCTTACCACCATTATTGTAGCTTGGGCTGCTAGCATCTGTTGCCTGGCCCAGTAGCCTTTCAAGAGTTTTGACTGATGATTCATAGCAGTTGACTCTCACCATGTGTAAATTATGCTAAGCCAGACATGTAAACTTATCCCCTGACAATGATTGATTTTGGAATGGGGTGTGTGACCCAATCGGGGCCAGTGAGATGGGAGGGAGGGTTTGCTGGGAAGCTTCTGGAAAAGTTATCTTGCTAAGAAAGAGATACATAAAATAGGCCAGGCATGGTGGCTCACGCCTATAATTCCAGCACTTTGGGAAGCCGAGGTGGGTGGATCACTTGAGGTCAGGAGTTCAAGAACAGCCTGGCCAATATGGTGAAACCCCATCTCTACTAAAAATACAAAAATTAGCCAGGCATGGTGGTGTGCACTTGTAGTCCCAGTTTCTCAGGAGGCTAAGGCAGGAGTATTGCTTGAGCCCGAGAGGAGGAGGTTGTAGTGAGCCGAGAGCATGCCACTGCATTCCAGCCTGGGCAATGGGAGTGAACCCTGTCTCAAAAAAAAAAAAAAAAAAAAAAAAAAAGATACATAGAAGAGATGGCTCCCTTCTGTCTATGGTCATCACTGTGCCTGGATGCCTGGATGTCACCCTGGGAACTGCTGCAGCCATCTCTTGAAGATGAGAAAAGGCAGCCTGTAGGCAGAGCCAGCCACAGAGAGAAGTGGAGTGATGAGAAGGAGAGCGGTAGGGAAACTGGGTCCGTGGTGATGTTGTTGAGCCACTGAATAAGTCTTCCGTGTTGTTTGTCATCTCAGAGCTTCCAGCTATACCAGATAATACGTCCCTTGATAAATTCAGCCAATTTCAGTCAGAGTTTTGTGTTTAAGGAAGCCAAAGGCATCTTGGCTGGTACCCCTGTCTCCTGCCTCCAGGCCTGTGCTCCATCACTCCACGTGACATCTGACTGCCAGGGTGGTCCCTCAGGATGCTAATCTGATGGCATTGCCTCCTGCTCATGGCTCCTGTTGCCCATAGGATAAAGCCCCAGGACCTTGGCAGAATATACAAAGACCTCCATGACCAGGCCCCCTGCCTCCACAGCCAAACCAGTTCTCACTCCTTAATGCAAACCTTATGCTCACTGTAGTCTGCCCTGCTTGCAGTTCCCTACATACATCAATGACACTGTTTAACTCTTTCATTCATTTGACAAATCCACACAAGTGCAGACTCTGTGCCAGGAGCAGTTCCATGTGTGGGGATACAGAAGGGAACAATCCGGATGAAGTCCCTGCCTTCACTGATGTACCGGCTACTGCTCCAAGTCCTCTGCTGTCACCATACCCTCTCCCTAGAGTGCCTTCCCCTCTGTCTTGATCTGACAAATGCCTTCTTTTTTCAGTGCAGTGTTTAGCCCTTGAAATAGCTTTACATATAGGTTGAGTATCCTTCATCCAAAATGCTTGGGAACAGAAGATTTTCAGATTTTGGAATATTTGCATTATACTGGTTAAACATCCCAAATACAAAAATCCAAAATCCAAAATGGTCCAATGAGCATTTTCTTTGAGCATCATGTTGGCCCTCAAAAAGTTTTGGACTTTGGAGCATTTCAGATTTGGGGTGCTCAACCTGTATGTGTATTTCAAGTTGTTTACCAAATTTTTTATATTTTATTATATTTTATTTTATTTTATTTTATTTTAGGAGATGGAGTCTTGCTCTGTTGCCCAGGCTGGAGGGCAAATGGCGTGATCTCAGCTCACTGCAACCTCCGCTTCCCAGGTTCAAGTGATTCTTCCACCTTAGACTCTTGAGTAGCTGGAATTACAGGTGTGCACCACCATGTCTGGCTAATTTTTGTATTTTTAGTAGTATTTTAGTTTCGCCATGTTGGTCAGGCTGGTCTCGAAGTCCTGACCTCAGGTGATCCACCTGCCTCAGCCTCCCAAAGTGCTAGGATTACAGGGTGAGCCACCACGTCCGGCCCAAATGTTTTATTTTGAAAAACTTCAAACACAAAGAATTGTACCATGAAATATTCATGTATCTTCACGTAGATTCACTGATTAACATTTTGCCATATTCTCTCCTCACCCCTGCTGTATGTATGTGCGCGCGCGCGCACACACACACACACACACACACACACACACACACACACACAGGAAAACAAATGTTTTTCAGAACTCTTTGAAAGGAACCTATAGATATCATGACTCCTCACACATAAATAGTTCAGCACGTGTTCCCTAAGGCTAAGAATGCTCTTGGCCGGGCGCGGTGGCTCACGCCTGTAATCCCAGCACTTTGGGAGGCCGAGGCGGGTGGATCACGAGGTCAGGAGATCGCGAACATCCTAGCTAACACGGTGAAACCCTGTCTCTACTAAAAATGCAAAAAATTAGCCGGGCGTGGTGGCGGGCGCCTGTAGTCCCAGCTACTCGGGAGGCTGAGGCAGGAGAATGGCGTGAACCTGGGAGGCGGAGTTTACAGTGAGCCGAGATCGCACCACTGCACTCCAGCCTGGGCGACAGAGTGAGACTCCGTCTCAAAAAAAAGAAAAAAAAAAAAAAAAAAAAGAATGCTCTCTGGGAGCCTGAGGCAGGAGGATCTCTTGGTCCAGGAGTTTGAGGTTGTACTGCGCTGTGATCCTGTGATCGCGCCTATGAATAGCGACTGCTTTCCAGCCAGGGAAACTAAAAACAACAACGAAAATGCTCTCCTATATAACCACAATGCCATTATGCTCAAGAATTTTAAAATCAATATAATAATATTTAATATGCAGTCTGTATTCAACTTTCCTCAATTATCAGAAATATGTTTATGGATTTTTTTTTTTTTTCCCTACCAGGATCTTCTGAGCTAAGTTCTCATCTCCTTCTGGGGGCCTTCCTTAAACTCCTTCTGGCACTCACTGCTTCATGCTTCCAGAAAGCCATGTGCAGGTGGCTGTCATGGTCTCAGCCTCTCTTGTTACATGTGTCCACCCCTGTTTATATTGAGTCCCATGCTATGCTCACCTCCGTGTTCTCAGTGCCTGGTGCAGTGTGCGGCACATAGTAGGGACTCAGTACTTTTTGGTTGAGTGGATGATCAAGTAAGTGGCAGAATTAGAGACAAAACCCATGGCCTCATAGCTATTTTCTTGATTCCATATTTAACTGCTTTTTGCAGACAGTGATTGTTAATAATGTAAGAGCGGAAAGTCCTATCTGCCAAATGGTGAGAAGAGAGAGGTAATCTAGAAAGATAATTGTGAACAATGGAAAGAACCAACAATTAATGATGTTCAAGGTCATGCCCTTATAGAAGCATAACCCAGATCTCTGAGAACATCCATACAGGCAAAACCCTGCCTTCTAACAGTTGTTGCAAAGCCTCCGTCGTATTTGCAGTCATATCTTATAAACAGAATCCAGGACTCCTTCCAAGTGAAATGACTGCAAACCCCACATCTACCTAGAGCCACACTTTCTCCCAAAATGAACTTGTTAGCCCTCCAGGATGGGCTGATAAAACCAGGGAAAGTGTCTCTTAGCTTGGATGCATCATTTCTTCCCTCTTCAGTTCTAACTTTAAGTCTGGAGTTGGCTCTGATTTTTTTAAGTATATAACAGCTGAAACCATAATTAATATTTGGATCCAGGGACTCCAAATGTGAACCCAAAGAACATTTCCATTTTACTGGTGACTATTCCCTAACCAAGAAGAATGTGGAGGCAGGATCAAGGTCAGCCAAGTTATTCAGAAAGAGGCTGGCCATTTGTGGGAAGCGACCACTTGCTATGTTTTTTGGAGGACTCACTTTTTCTTTCCTAACTGGCCACAGTGTATGTTGCTTGGTCTCTTAAGACCCCTAGGTTCACTAGGAAAGTTCTTTCCAGCAACCACAGGGACCAGTCTAAAGGCCAAATAACCTGTCCATCTCACACTGTGCTGTGCACAGCTCAGACATCTATTAAGAGCCAGGCATTGTGGATACAAAGGTAAATAAGCCACAGCCTCTAGGAACTCATCATCTATGGGGGTAGGCAGACACACATAGTCCTCCACTTTATGGAAAATGCAGTGGGAGAGACAGGCGTGGACACTACAGAAAGGGTACCAGTCCAACTTGGGGAGGGCAAGTCAAGGAAGGCCTGGCTGGGGAAAGTGGGCACGGACTAGACAGGAATGAGGTAAGCAAGTTGGAGGGCTGTCTAGACAAGGGACATGGAAAGAGGCAATTATGGATATAGTCATCATCCTGATGAATGTGGGGACAAAGTGGACATTCACTATATGTTAAGATGATGCATGAAGAGTTCCATTTTTTTTTTAATCACATTATGCTGACAACAGAAGGCCAAAGACTATCTCCGAGTGGACATGGAAAGTCTTTGCCTCCCTGACACTGGGTGATCCTTTAATGTTATTCCCACTAAGGGTTAAAGGTTGAAGACAACCCCCACCCCCCACAGAAAAATTCAGTGAAGGTAATTATACCACCATCTATTTAGCTGCTAAAGAATTTACCATTCAAGGAGATGGGACCCTGCCTCACCAGAGGCGTTTAACAGGCCAGCGCTATCACATTACCCAGATTGTATAAAGAGTATGAATGATTTCCGCTCACAGACCTCTAATGGAGGTATCTCTTTACAAAGCCCCTACTTCAGGCCAGCTGAATGCCTCAGCAGTGCCTCCGAAATCCCGCGGTCCTAATCCCTTTAGCAACAAAGATCTGTTTCTTTGCTTAGCATGAAGTAGGCCTCAGAGGCCTGTGTGTGTCTTCGCCTGTAGGCCAGAAGCCTCCTGTTTACAATTTCCCTATTCCTGTTTTTAATGTTGTTCTGAGAGCAGCCACAAAGGGCTAGTTTTGTCCAGCAGGAACAAGGGAGCTATTAGAGAGAGAGGGAGGAAGGAAGGAAGGGGGATCGCAGGGAGGACTCCTCGAGGGATTAGCAGACACAGCTGTTCCCGAAGGGAGAGGAGCTTTAGGCTGTTTATAATTTCCGTCACATTTACATGTTTTAATATTTTATTTCCTTATTTTTTTTTTTCTGATCAGTTTCCTATCCACCATGTAAAGCGAGCATCTTGTGGCCATATTGACAGACTCAGAGTACCTGTTTCAAATGTTTGGGTCAGATGCTGCTTTTCCCTTCAGTGCTGTGCAGCTCTGGTGTGTCGGCCTCCAGCTTTTCCTGGGGTCACAGACCTCGCGACCACCAGGTGCCCAAGGAAATCAGTCGTTGAGGCGAACGGCTTCACTTCTTGTCCCATTTGTGTGTGTGGCTGGAATTCTCTAGCCTGAATGATTCATTTAGACTCCATAGACCACCACCTGTATTCACAGAGTCTCAGACCGACTTTTAAGATGCATTTCATTTTTGTCTCAAGGTTACATATCTAACCAGTGTGTTATAAAGGGTATTGGCCACAGGTAGAGAATGTATCATATTCCATATTTCTAAAATGGCTTATGGCAATTGCTTTAAGAGAATTATCCATGATTTCATCCTAAAGCAAACAAGTTTCCATTTGTGTCACCTTGTATTTCTTGTCTATGTACATACTCAGTGTTTGCATTTTACAATAAAACCAAAGATAGAATTTTAGTCTTAATTTTCCATAATATTATGGCATGCATATTATCCAAGAAAATTTGTTTCCAAAACAAAAAATTCCAAAAATTTCTATCCAAGAAAATTTGTTTCTCTTTTTTTAAAAACACCTCCTCCCTCCTCCTCTTACTCTCTTCCCTGTTACAAATATTCGCAGTGGGTTGTACATCCCTCCACATCTAGCTCTGTGCTCAAATAATCGTATAAAAGCTTTTTAAAATCTTGGATTGGAGGAATCATTATTTTATTAAAATGGAATTATATGTTATCTATTTCCCTGCATGTTTCCTTACTTAATATACAGAGGAAAATGCCTTTAATATAATATTTTTAAGCTGACATGGTGTATGCAGGGTCACCTTGCCTGAGAGCACCCTTTGGTTAAAGTTGCAGATGCCTATGTATATGGCAGTTTCATTTGTGCTCTGTTTTTCTTAAGTTTTACTTTTTCCTGGGGAAATTTAGTCAAGAAATAAATGACTTTCTCAAATGTCCAGTCGGCCCATTGCTGACCCTATGGGCTCTCATTGCCTTGGGGTAAGTTTCCAGACTTGAGCATCTTTTAGATCTGGCTGACATGCTACTACTGTTACAGAAAAGTTCCTCACGATAGTCTCAAAAGTTAAGTATATGCGGTTTCCTTTTGCAGGGGCCTGGGATGTGAGCTAATCTTTAAGTAAAAGAGAGAAGGGACAGTGATTAACATTCTCCAAACTCACCGAGGGACAGCTGTTCCAAACCCTTCCTTCCTGCTCAAAGTAGTTTTCAAGAGGAACCTAAGAAAAAAAAATTTTTTTTTAAAGAAGAATATGGAGTTCTTCCAAGATTGCTCAATTTTCTTTCTCTAAAGTAAAATAGTTCAAACCACGTGCCAATCCAAATGCACTTTCTGTATTCGGCCCCACTGGAAATGTGGACCATAAGATAAGATGCACAGCTTCTGGAATATTGTTTTTCAGATCTGGCCAGGAAAAAAAAAGCCACAATTTCAGCTGCTTTGATTTCCCCTCATGCTTTTTAAAGACAAATGCAAAGGATATTTCAGGGAACATGAGCTTCTGTGAGCCCCTGTCATCTCACTGCCCCATTGAATAGCTTTCTTTGGCAGGATTACAGATCTGAGGTGGTGATTATTGTTTTGGTGATAACATGCATTTTGAGGGGACCATTTTCTGATGCAAAAACTTTTTTTTTTTTTTTCACCCAGGCTGGAGTGCAGTGACATGATCTCAGCTCACTGCAACCTCCGCCTCCCGGGTTCAAGTGATTCTCCTTCCTCAGCCTCCCGAGTAGCTGGGATTACAGGCATGTGCCACCAGGCCCAGCTAATTTTTGTATTTTTGGTAGAGAAGGGGGTTTCACTAGTTGGCCAGGCTAGTCTTAAACTCCTGACCTCAGGTGATCCACCTGCCTTGGCCTCCCAATGTGTTGGGATTACAGGCGTGAGCCACTGCGCCCAGTGAGAAAAGGTTTTAAAGATGTCTTTGCATTCCAAGTATAAATTAAAGGTTCTGTGAATTTTACTAAATGCTTTTATTAAAAAATCTAGAATTACCCAATATACACATAACCTTTAGGTTTTGAATGTGATTGTTTCGTTAGCCCATGCCAAGGACATGCCCTTAACAGACGAACTATCTTCCTTCATCTGAAAATGGGGATTCTTTGATGCAAAGTGGTGCACGTATGGGGCCACGATATAGGGCAGGATCTCTGTGTAGCCATCCAAGGCAGCAAAATCAATACTGACCGTCAGTGGGTGGCAGACACCACAGTGCCAGCATCTTACATTCATCAAGACTATGTTAATGAAAATGCAGATGGGAGAATGCGTCAGACCCTTTTCTGGCTTTAGAGTGTGTATCAATTTAACTAACTCCATATACATGATCAAATTATAGGTGAAGAAAACAGAAGATGAAATTTGTCCCTTTTCCTTTTGCCCAATATACAATCTAAAAAATTAACCAAAAGGGCAAAAAGGAAACTTGGTAACATGTTAGTTTTTTTCAAAATTGATTTATTGATTTTTTTTTTTTTGAGACTGGTTCACTCTGTCGCCCAGGATGGAGGCACAATCATGGCTCACTGTGGCCCTGACCTCTTGGGCTCAAGCAGTCCTCCTGCCTCAGCCTCTCTAGCAACTGAGACCACAGGCTCATGCAACCACACCCGGCTAACTTTTAAATTTTCTGTAGAGATGGGGTCGCACTATGTTGCCCAGGATGGTCTCGAGTGATCCTCACACCTTGGCCTCCCAAAGTACTGGGATTATAGGCATAAGCTACCATGCTGAGCCAGGATTTATTTATTTTTTACAGTAAAAACTGCCTTTTCCAGGAAATAATAAAAAACATAATACAGAGTCAAGGAGAGTAAAAACGAAAGTCAAACCCCCCAGATTATATTCCCCAGTAACTACTATTTATGTGAGGTATTAAAATTAAGGAGAAGTACAAACATGCTCTCGTGGCCTAAGTAAAGACCAGCTCTAAATGATGCCAGTTCAATCAATTGAAAATAAAAAAATTCATCCTGAAACAATTTTTTTTTCATGTGATTATCCGGACAGCAGGGAACCAAGAAGAGTATTGGGATGGGGGCAGGAGGATGAAGGGAGGGCTGAGCTTCCAGGAACCCTGCTTTACAGAGCAGTTCTGGTTTTTTTATTTTTTCTTTTTTTGAGATGGAGTCTCACTCTGTTGCCCAGGCTGGAGCGCAGTGGCGCAATTTCAGCTCACTGCAACCTCCGCCTCCTGGGTTCAAGAAATTCTCCTGCCTCAGCCTCCCGAGCAGCTGGGACAACAAGCGCCTGCCACCACACCGGCTCACTGCGCCCGGCTCATTTTTGTATTTTTAGTAGAGACGTGGTTTCACCATGTCCAGGCTGGTCTTGAACTCCTGACGTCAGGTGATCCACCTGCCGCAGCCTCCCAAAGTGCTGGGACTATATGCGTGAGCCACCACACTTGACCTGCTACACTACTTTTAATGCTGCTTCGACTAATAGTATTTAGGCCTTATGTGGGCAAAGTCACAGTTATGGCTATGGATTGATTTTTTAAAAGGTGCATGCTTAGAATCGTCCAGATTTCAAATCTTCCAGGGGTTGGAAGTGATTGGAAATGTTTTCTCATGTTGAGTATTAAGAGAAAAAAAAACAACTCCAAATGCCCTACCATCTGTCTATATTACAAATTGCCCAGAGCTATGAGAATAGTTTTCTGTAGGAAAAATCGTGGTGGCTTATACACATAAAATGTGAACTTGCAGTTGCTGACAAATGCTGCTAGACCACAATCATGGTCCACCAAATTACATTTGTGGAGTGAGAGAATCAGAGGTCTTCCTTCCTATTATTGATTGTTCCCCATGTCTCATTCTGATAAAACATTCTTTCCTTGGATTTTAACCAGTGACATGGTGCAGAATTAGATCCACATGTGTTGATTTTTCCGTTCTATTTTTTCCCTTGGAGTCTGAAGAACGTCAGTCCTGGAATGCATGCATCAACCCTTTAGAGAATATTTTCTATGAACAAATACTCTAGCCTTTGTAACTACAAGTGCTGAAGTTACAGTAAAATATCATCATAATCCCTATTTTCATTTGCTTCTAACTTTCCAATAAGGTATCCTTTGGGTTGAAACTTTCCATGCTTCATTTCATCTCAAAGGTGAATTTATTTTGGAAAGTTCACACTAATTTAATTCAGGGACTTGGAAGGGATGTGAGAATAAAAATATACCTTCTTCTGCTCTGCAAACAAATGTAAGACTTCGGTCATAGATAACTCCAGAGTAGCCAAGCAGTGGAACAATAAACAGGTCTCCGAAAATCTGTTGAAGTAAAGCAGGTTGAAGTGATTAACCACAGATTTCTTGCACGCACTGAACAGCCTGTAGTGCCTTGAGGCTCTCTGGACTCTTCTGAAGGACCATGGCCAAAATGGGGAATCTGGGGGCCTGGGTGGGAGAGATGAGAGATTTAATTTGGGTCAGGGCAAACTACCGTATGGTCCACAAAGTTTTAAAACACACTGATTATTGTCAAAGGCTCTTCTTTTAAAAGAGGAGCTGATTGAAATGCCATAGAGACTAAGTTACTCAAGCCTGTGACATGATGTCTATGAATATAAGGCCAGAGTCCCTAGGACATTGAAATAGAATGGTCTAGAACAAGGTTTCTCAACTTCAGCACTACTGATATTTTGAGCCAGATAATTATTTGTTGGAGGTGGTGGCGGCGGTGGCGATTGTGTTGGTTGTGGTAATGGTGGTGGCAGTGGCGGCAGTGGTGGCAGCAGTGGCTTCAGTGTCCTGTCGGAGGTCTAGCAGCATCCTGGTCTCGACCTACTAGATGCCAGTAGCAATCCTCCCCCTCAACCCCCTAGCTCAAGTCATAACAATAAAAAATGCCACTGGGCATTATCAAATGCTTTTTTGGGGGTAGGAATAGCACCCAGCTAAAAACAGATAGTGAAACTTAAGAGTTTAAACCCATCTGAGCAAGGCATTTACAATAGAATGGAATCCGTGCAGTAGAAAACCTGACTTTTTTTTTTCTTTTTCTTTCTTTCTTTCTTTTTTTTTTTTTGAGACAGTCTAGTTCTCTCACCCACGCTGGAGTGCAGTGGCATGATCTCAGCTCACTGCAACCTCTGCCTCCCAGGCTCACCATGTTGGTCAGGCTGGTCTTGAACTCCTGACCTCCAGTGATCCACCCACCTCGGCCTCCCAAAGTGCTGGGATTACAGGCATGAGCCACTGTTCCCAGCCAAAAACCTGACATTTCTAATAAAGGCTTCTTAAAAACTAGAATCAGCATTGCAAAGAAGTGGCCCTCCCATCCAAAACCTGTCCTCCCCTGAGTTACACCTGGCACAAAGCAGATTCAAGCAGGTTTCAGACTCTAGAGCCCTGTCTCTTAGCCTCTGTGCCATTACACTCTGCCTGTACAACTGTATAAAGCCTTCCTTACCATTATTAAAAGGAAAGGTTTAAAAATACGTCTTTAGTAACCCAACAAATACTTATTAAATATGATAGGGCCCCATACTATACATTGTGTAAGACAATAATGATCACAATGTAATCCCTCCCCACAGTTGTGGCGCATAGTCAGAAGACTTAGAACATAACAGAACAGTGCAAAATGTGAAATGTACCTAAAACAAAAGTACAATCCAAGGACAACTGAAGTAAAAAGACTGTAGAGAACTTTTAACCTGGAGTAGGAGAAAATCAAACATGCAAATTCCCTGGAGAGATGAACACTGTCCTGTCTCCTATGAGACCACACTGTGTGGCAGGCACCGTCCTAGGCACAAGGGATAACAGTCTAATGAGGGTGGCAGATGTGAATCAGATGATCACACAGATTTTGGTGAGAGGTGCTAAATTTGAAAGGGACATGGTATGATGACTGTGAAAATGATTGAACTTTCTTTCCCCCTCCCCCTCCCCTCTTTCGACAGCGTCTTGCTCTATTGCCCAGGCTGGAGTGCAGTGGTGCAATCTCAGCTCACTGCACCCTCCGCCTCCCAGGTTCAAACCATTCTCCTGCCTCAGCCTCCCAAATAGCTGGGATTACAGGCGTGTACCACCACGCCTGGCTAATTTTTGTATTTTTAATAAAGAAGGGGTTCCACCATGTCGGCCAGGTTGGTCTTGAACTCCTGACCTCAAGTGATCCTCCTGCCTTGGCCTCCCAAAGTGCTGGGATTACAGGTGTGAGCCACCACGCCCGGCCTGGACTAACTTTAGATGAGTGGTCAGGGACATGATGGCTGACCTGAGTGCTGAAGGATAAGTAGGCGTTTGCCAGGTGAAGGAAGTAGGTATATACATGAATGTGTGTGTGTGTGCATTGTGGGAGTGGGAAGAATGAGGATATTTGAGGTAGTGAGATCAGCATGTGCCAAGGTCCTGAGGTTGAAGAGAACATAGGGCAGAGAGGCAACAGGAATCCAGTGAGACCAAGGCAGTGAGGGGGAGTAGAGACGAGAGCCTGCAGGGCCATATACGCTATGGTAACAATGTTAGTCTTTATTGAAATAGCAGTGGGACATCATTAAAGCATTTCAGGGAGATGAGTGACATCATCTGATTTGAGTTTTCAAAAGATCCTTCTGGCCGCAATGTGGAGAATGGATTAAAAGGGGCCAGAGTGGGCTGGGGCCTCTGTGGTTGTTCAGATGAGAAACCATGTAGCACAGAGGCCCATGCACGAGTTTGCTTTTGTTCTTTTTCATGGAAAGATCTTGCCTTTTTATAAGAAAAAAAAAAAAATGAGAAGACTCCAAAGGAGTCCTCTGTTGAGCTGGATGGTTCCATACCTCTGTCCCAGCTTCTGGCAGGTGCCAACAATGCTTGGGATTTCTTGGCTGGTGGATAACATTGCTCTGAGCTCTGCCTCTGTTTGCACACATTGTTCTCCTCTCTGTGCGTATTTGTATCTCTCTGTCTCTTTTCTTTTCTTTCTTTTTTTTTTTTTTTTGAGATAGAGTCTCGCTCTGTCTGGCCCAGGCTGGAGTGCAGTGGTGCCAATCTTGGCTTACTGCAGTTTCTGCCTCCCGGGTTCAAGTGATTCTCCTGTCTCAGCCTCCCAAGTAGCTGGAACTACAGGCATCTGCCACCACACCTGGCTAATTTTGTATTTTTGGTAGAGACGGGGTTTCACCATGTTGGCCAGGCTGGTCTCGGACTCCTGACCTCAGGTGATCCACCCGCCTCGGCCTCCCAAATTGCTGGGATTACAGGCGTGAGCCACCGTGCACAGCCTCTCTGTCTCTTTTCTTAAAGGACACAGGTCACTGGAGTTAGGGCCCACTCCAATCCAGTATAACTTCATTTTAATTTAACAAATTACATCTGCAAGACCCTATTTTCAGGTAAGGTCATATTCTGAGGTTTCTTGTGTATAAGTGGAATACAATGATTCAACTTAGTACACAGCCCATCCTGACAGTGTCAGGACATTGGGTATAGACTTATTTCAACCAGAAGAGATCTGCAAAGAACTCCATTCAAGAAAAGCATCCTGAAGTTAACATCATCAACTGGAACTGAGTGGCCTCTCTCTCTAGGCAGGCAGGGACCCTCTGGTTATCATGTAGCCTGCTTTGTTCATTTATATTATCTGGCTGGCTCCCATAGACATTTGAGTTTGTGACCCCAGGTTTGCAGTAAAAGTGAACAATATTATAATGTGGGAACAACTGGAGGCTGCCGGGGAGTGTGTGACAGGGGGACCGAATTTAGTAAAGGTTGCGGAATGGGTGAATGGCTCTATTTGAAGGCTGTAGTGCAGTTGTTCTGGCAACTTAATCTCTGGAAGACCACAGATGATGTCTATTATATCCCTATGCACCAGCTATGACCTTGGAAACAGGCCATCCTGACAGCATGTCAAGGAAGTTGTTATAGGGAATTATTTCAGCCAGAAGAGATCTCTGCAAAGCAATCTGTTCCAGCCTACTGTGTCATGGAGTAGTCCCCACGTCCCCAATTTTTTTGCTGGAAATGCAGCGGCAGCCAGCGTGAAGCCTACACCTGTCATGAGCTAATGTTTGATTCCTGCCAAAGTTTGCACTTGGGTTCCATTACCAGGGTAGAGAGTCCTTCCAGGGAAGCGTGTTAATGTTTAACCCTTTACCCACAAATTCTGTCTGTCTCCCGGAGAAACCTACCACTTGCCAAACCACTACCATGCCCTTTGGAATTTTGCTTTTGCTTTTTAACATTTTTTGGTTTTGCAAGCAGACTAGAGAAAGGAAAATTAATAGAAACTGGGCTTCACATGCAAGGTCCATAGGCCGTTTTGAAAAGTCAAGGAAGAGTGAAGCTCATCCTTGGCCAGGAGAATATGCATTGGCAGAAATGATATAAAGCCTGATATAGGAAGCAAACCTGTTAGTGTGTTAAATGTCTCCTTTCTTGCCAGCTGCAGCCTGAGCAGGACCTATGGATGCATGGTTGGGAGGTTAGCAAATCCAAGCCTCAGAATAACAATCCTATTGCTGTGTCTAGCAAGGGGCGGGAAGCCTTTTTCAGATGGAGATTTGCATTTCACTGTGTATGTCCCTACTATGAGAGTTGGGGGTGGTCTTAGTGGGGAAGACCACTCCACATTCATTCCTAGCCTTTGTAGACTTGAGAATGCTCTCATCAGGTCAGGGTTGGAGTCAATGAAGTGGAGCTAAGTGGTACAGAGGCTAATGGTTATCTTAATATTTGTCAAGGAATTGCTGAGTGCCTGGGAGAATGAGAGGGCTGGGGCTCAGGCTAAGAGTTGGGAAAGCAGAACTGGCGGTGGAAAAGCACTTGGGACTAAGACATGATTATGTGGAGTATTAGGGAATGAAGAAACTCTGGAGTAGGAGGCTCTGTGTTGAGAGAAGAGATGTTTACAGAACTGGGCCTGCACATAGTAGGCCCTCAGGAAATATTTGTTGAATGAAGAGTGAATGATGAATAGAGAAATTGTCAGCTGTCAAGTTGAGGTTCCTGGAGCCGAGAAGAGTTACTTTGTTTTATTTTGTTTCTTTTATGTATGTTGGGGGAGAAGTCCCATTGCTAGGAAAGACATATCCAATTTATTTAAACATCTTAAAATTATTTCTAATTGTATAAGTGATACATAAATACATCGTTCTTATAAACAAAATCAGAAAATGTCAAGTAAGACTGAGGTCCTTCACCACTAGTCCGAATCCCAGGGCCCTTTCCTCATACTCTCCAGAGAATCTGAGGTTTTCCATTTGTGCTTAGCCTTGAAGACCTTGATGAGCCTTTACAAGTATATTCATGGCTATTTAAACATGTTATTTTGTTTATTGGTGAGAAATGATTATGTAAATCATATGGTAAGTAGTAGTCTGCCACTTGCTTTTGTCACTCAACAGAAGTGACCTAGATCCCTCTCCATATTAGTCCCTATATGTCTTCCTCATTCTAACTGCAGCATAAATGTTCCGTGGATTGACTCTACAGGTTGAGTATCCCTTATCTGAAATGTTTGGGAACAGAAGTGTTTTGGATTTGAGATTTGTATTATTTGCATTCTACTTACCAGTTCAGCATCCTAAATCTGAAATCCAAGATGCTTCAGTGAACATTTGCTTTGAGCATCTTTTTGGTGCTCAAAAACTTTTGGATTTTAGAGCATTTTGGATTTTAGATTTTCAGATGAGAGATGCTCAACCTGCACCACAGTTTGTAGAGCCATCCCCTATGGATGGACATTTAGATTGTTTCCAGCTTTATGCCATGACAAATAATGGTATGAAGAACATCCCCATACATGCCTCCTTGTCAGGTACATGAATTTAATTTCATTAATTACTCATCGGAGGTAAGGCTGGCATCCTGAGATGCCTGGCACCCCCTAATAGTTTTAAACTTTGACATTGGATGTTACAGAGAAGGGGTAAAAGAAGAGAACTGACAAGAAAAAGATGGCTACCCCAAGGCCAGGATCTTTAGAGAAAAATAATCTGACCCTTTGCCTGCCAAGGTTCTCTAGATGACATGTGCAACATAGTTGTTTGCTTGTATGTGCTTGTATATATCTGTATTTGTATGGGGAAGTTGTGTGTGTGTGTTTGTATGCATGCTGTGGTCTGAGTGCGTCCCCCAAAATTCATGTTTAAACTTAATCCCCAATGCAACAGTATTAAGAGGTGGGGCCTTTAGGAGGTGATTAGACCAACAGACCTCATGAATGGATTAGTGCCTTATAAAAGGCTTGAGGGGATGAGTTCGCCCCTTTATCCCTTTTGCCACGTGAGCACACAGAGTTTGTGCCCTCTGGAGGATGCAGCAAGAAGGCACCATCTTGGAAGCAGAGAGCAGCCCTCTCTAGATACTAAACCTGCTGGTGCCTTGATCTTGGGCTTCCCAGCCTCCAGAACTGGGAAAAATAAATTTCTACTGTAAATTACACAGTGTGTGAGTTTTTATTTTTTACAATAGCACAAATGGAATAAGACAATATATAACCAGCAAACCCAAATCTTCTTGTTTGTTATCACTACATATGTTGTCAGGGATGTTCTGGTCATAAGCAGGGGAAGTTCCTGATGGCCTTTGACACCTTCATTTGATACGGGATTAGTTTTGCATTCCATCTAGGCAGAGGTTGGAGCTTCCCTCGATAGGATCTAACCCACTCACTCTATTGAATGAGAAAGACTGATTCTGTTTTAGATACAGAAGGAGTAAGTTCTCTTTGGTGATCTCTTGTCAGTCTAAGGCATTCTGATTTTCTATATAGTTTACCAAATTGTCTTAGCCTCTTTGGTGGCCTGTGCAGCCCAACAAGTCTGCAAATCATTTGTGGATCAGGTTAATAATCTCATCACTAACATCCTCATAATCTTTAAAGCATTCTGTAACACGTATGATCCTTGTAGATAACAAGTGGGTATATTGCCATTTCTTTTGTGTATGTGTGCTAACTGCATAGCCCTGATCTGTGGAGCTTGGTGCTAAAGAAACAGGGTAAAGAGGTTATTGGCAATGGCAATATTTTCTTTTCACTAGGTCTTTCAAAAGATTAGCATAAGTGGCCGGGTGCAGTGGCTCTCACGCCTGTAATCCCAGCACTTTGGGAGGCCAAGGCAGGTGGATCACGAGGTCAGGAGATCAAGACCATCCTGGCCAACATGGTGAAACCCTGTGTCTATTAAAAATACAAAAATTAGCCAGGCGTGGTGGTGTGCACCTGTAGTTCCAGCTACTTAGGAGGCTGAGGCAGGAGAATTGCTTGAACCTGGGAGGTGGAGGTAGCAGTGAGCCAAGATTGCGCCACTGCACTCCAGCCTGGGTGACAGAGCGAGACTCTGTCTCAAAAAAAAAAAAAAAAAAAAAAAAAAAAAAAAAAAATTTAGCACAAGTGCAGATTTGGCTGTTCTGTTATTAATGAAAATTCTTCAATGATCACTTCTAACCATACCATTTAACATCTTCAAAGATGACACCAAAGAACAGGTTATTATCAGTTTTTCCATCTTTAATCATCTTCGATGTACTTCTCTTAAGCAACAGTTTACTGCAACGAAACTTTGAGTTCCAGAGGGACCCTTTAATACCCCTCTATATTTTTACCTGCCTTTCATATTCCTGTCCAGGCCCAGGAAACTTCAATGAGAGGCCTGCTCAGCACTGTCACTAAATAAATCAATGTTTTTTTCCATTGGAATTCAGTGAATCATCTATCTATGCACTTGTAAATTTCCTACCTCGTATGCTGAAATCTCCCCAAATTATGAAAAAATATTTATGCCATGGAATCTGGCTTGGCTTAGGTATATAGGAAGGTGAAGCTTTCAAACCTTTTCACCTGTTTTCCTTTGTTGCACCTCAAGACACCCTTGGTAAATCACTCTGTGCTGGCTAATATAAGGCTCTGGAGTAATAGTCATCAGTTTGAAGTCTGGCTTCATCACTTATCAGCTGAGTTTGTCATTTAAAATTTTAAACAACAGGTTTATCACCTGTAAAATGCTAATAATGATTGTGTCTACATTGTAAGTATATTGTGAGGATTAATGAAGCAATATGTATAAAATATGCCAGGCATATTGTAAAAGCTAAAACAGGAGGATGGAAATGATGAAGAGTATTGTGGGGAAATCACCAGACAGGAAGCTGAAAGCAGAGGTTGGAGGCGGGCATAGTGTGATGGTTAATATTGAGTGTCAACTTGATTGGATTGAAGGATGCAAAGTATTGTTCCTGGGTCTGTCTATGAGGGTATTGCCAAAGGAGATTAACATTTGAGTCAATGGACTGGGAAATATAGACCCACCTTCAATCTGGGTGGGCACTATCTAATCAGTTGCCAGAGCGGCCAGAATAAAAAGCAGGCAGCAGAACATGGAAAGACTAGACTGGCTGAGTCTTCTGGCCTCCATCTTTCTCCTGTGCTGGATGCTTCCTGCCCTCGAACGTTGGACTCCAAGTTCTTCAGCTTTGAGACTCTTGAACCTTCGACCACAGACTGAAGGCTGCACTGTCCGCTTCCCTACTTTTGAGGTTTTGAGACTCGGACAGGCTTCCTTGCTCCTCAGCTTGCAGACGGCCTATTGTGGGACCTCACCTTGTGATCATGTGAGTCAATACTCCTTAATAAACTCCCCTTTATATATACATCTATCCTATTAGTTCTGTCCCTCTAGAGAGCCCTGACTAATACACATAGCATGGGTGGAAAACAATGGTTAGTTTCCCTCTTCCCCAATTTTGCATAGCTGTGTTCTTCTTACATGCCTGCAAGTGATGAGAGCCCCACTGTGTCCATCTTCTTATGCCTTTAGGGTTTTTTTTCTGTTTTTTGTTTTTGAGATAGAATCACACTCTGCCACCCATGCTGAAGTGCAGTGGCTGAATCTCGGCTCACTTCAACCTCTGCCTCCTGGGTTCAAGCAATTCTCCTGCCTCACCCTCCATAGAAGCTGGGATTACAGGTACATGCCACCACGCCTGGCTAATTTTTGTATTTTTAGTAGAAACAGGGTTTCATCATGTTGGCCAGGCTGGTCTTGAACTCCTGACCTCAGATGATCCACCTGCCTCGGCCTCCCAAAATGCTGGGATTACAGGCATGAGCCACCACGCCTGGCCCGCCTTTAGGTTGTTTTGTAGAAAGTTTCAATGCCAAGACCTACAATAGGTAAGATTTTCTGTAAACCCAAAATTCCCTTTATAAATTGGAGGGAACACATACCGAACCCCTGTCCCATCCCTTGTTTCTGCTGAAAAACTGCATGTTCTTGTTTTACGGGATCTTCCTGGGTGTGTTTCAATAGAACAGATTCAAGAGTCCACCCACTGGTCATTCACTGAAGTTAGAAAGGTTGGTATTGATGACAGATCACAGAGATGACCAACTAAGGCAGTTAAAAAATGATTGCAGAGGCTGGGCGCGGTGGCTCACACCTATAATCCCAGCACTTTGGGAGGCCGAGGTGGGCGGATCACCTGAGGTCCGGAGTTTGAGACCAGCCTGACCAACATGGAGAAACCCCATCTCTACTAAAAATACAAAATTAGCCAGGTATGGTGGCACATGCCTGTAATTCCATCTACTCCGGAGGCTGAGGCAGGAGAATGGCTTGAACCCAGGAGGCGGAGGCTGCTGTGAGCCGAGATCGCGCCATTGCACTCCAGCCTGGGCAACAAGAGCGAAATTCCATCTAAAAAAAAAAAATTGCAGAACTCAAGACCTGTGAAGTCTCTGATTTAGCCTGAGTCACTAAAAATGGCAGCCTCAGTCTTTGGAGGGTTTTCTTATTGTTTGTATCAGCTGCTGAGGATATTCCGAGAAATCACTTTACATCAATCAAGAGAATAGAAAGAGGGTGAAAATGTCTCCCTGAAAAAGGCATTTCTCCAGCCCACCCCACCCTGGCCCAAATATTTGATGACTCTCAGAGCCAAGATAATCTGTTGGTAGATTTCAAGCTAACCTGATGTGGTCCACAGTGAGCAGTATTGAGGTTGAATGATTTCCTGTCTCTTTTTCAATTTTCATCTTCAGCCTTGGCACAAGCACCTGAAAACCCATGGAAACTATTGTACAGTGCTAATGCTTTTCAAAATTTTTGAGTTTTTTGTTTGTTTGTTTTCTTGATCCAACATCCTAATCCTGTAGGCAGGGTCTGGAGGCGGGGGTACAGACACATATTGAATACCACCGTGGGACACAGTTTGAAGACCAGTGTGATAGGTTGCTGTAACCCAAATCCAAATGATCAGAAATATGATAACAGCTGACTGTAGGACCAAAGGGTTCTATCCCAAGGTGAACTTGCTGTACAGCTTGACTGATGGCATGCACAGTTTTTCACCTCATAGAAAATAAGTTGTGTCTTGCCAAGCAGTAGAATTTGTTAATGGTTATCAGACAGAGTTTCCTTCTGGTGCATTCCCCCCTTAAGGTGAGTCAGCGGAGCTGAAACCACATTGTTGGCCTCTCCCAAACCTTCCATGGTGGGGACTGTGTGCTTCCCTTTTCTTTGGAGATCTTTTCCCCTGTTCATCTGTAGAACTAAAATACATGCAAAACTTGCACAAGGAATTTGTTTCATTCTCCTTTGAAAGCTTCTGGTGGTTGAAAAGATGCAGGGAAGGAGGATGTTGAAGGGTCAAGGATGCTGTTGTGGAAAAGAGAAACAGACCATGAACCTGGGAAAGGACAGCGAAGGAATCCTGAACCATGCAATGCTGGAGGAGAGCAGGAGGAAGGGTCCTGCTCTCTTTCCTACTGGGATGTCACAGAAAGATGAAAATCAACTGGGAAACCTCAGGAAGGAGTTCCCCTTCAGAGAAGGAAATTGCTTCTCAGCTCACAGAGGCACTGATAAAATACATCAGTGTCTATTCAAAACACAGCTGAATTTCTAGTCTGCATTGCCTGAAGCCAGATATTGGGGGCAATAGGTGGTCCAGAATGTAATTCAGAGCCACTATGTTTACTTTTACATGGAATGTGTTAATGTGAAGAAAGGATGAGCAAAATCATCTCATGACCATCCAAAAGCTATTGCTGCTTCTCTCTGCCTGTGGTCCCCTTTGAGTGAATCATAATCGTGGCAGGCTCAGGAGAAACCCCTACCCATGAGGGAGAAGTCCCTGGCCGAGTGGTGCATCTCTCCTGCCAGCAGTTAACTTACAATTCAAATGGTTACACCCTTGGCACAGAGTCAAGCAGACTGCCTTCTTATTCACATTGAGTGAGGATGGCTACGCTCTATATGTCACAATCAAATAACTCAATAAGGATGATGGATGGAACAAATAATTATTGACAAACTTAATACATGTGTTTACGTATTCCTCCCAAAAGAAATAGCCTATGAGAATGATAGGTTCTGCTTGTGATCATTAGCGTATAGTTTAATTTCCTCAAATATATTTATCTTAGAAGTTCTACATTTCATAAAAGAAAACCGAACACATCTTTTTATGAACTGATGTGAGCATTTGGAGTTACAGGAACACTTTTACATATGTGAGCGTTTCTTGCTACGGCCATTTTCAGTGTGAGCTGTGTCTTGTGTATCTTTCACAAAGAACACAGTGCCTGAGGTGAAAATTGTAATGGATGGAGGGAGAGAGAAAGAAGGAAGGGAAGTTTCCATCATTAACAAGAGACAGAAGAGTGTTTTTTAGACTCTAGAGGGCATGTGAATCCCCAACAGAGCTACTTCAGAAAGGTAGATTCTCGAGCCCCACTCCCAAGAAATTTTGATTCAGCGATGGATATTGTCAACAAGTTCCCCCGGTTTTTCCGATACAGGTAGCCCGCAGGCCTCACACTGAAAAATGTTGTCATAGGAACTGTGACTATGACTAATCAGTTTTACCCTGTGGAGCATGAAGGTGGGTGTATTAGTCTCTGTCAATGTTTTCCAGAGTTATAGTCGCCTCTCTCTATAGAGAAGGAGAGTTGTTTACAGAATTATGCAGACTGCTGGTGAGGGGACAAACCGATTCACCATTTCTGCTTTCAGCCGGACTCAGAGTTGTAGTTGCTGAAATGTCAGTATCTATTATTCCTCAGGGACCTGATGACTACAGAGCTGACGACTACAGACCTGACATTTTCCTTTTCTCGAGGTTCTTAGCTTTCTTTCAGATTCAAGCCAACCACGCCACATGACTTTCTTGAGGGAACAAGAAAATCTAGTATATCATAAATATTAACTTTTCAGAAGTCTCCACTGCCAGAGCGTGTTAGGCAGCTTATTCAAGGTGCCGATGTTATTGTGCTATCTGCCCCATGCTCAGCTCTTTTCTGTAATTCATATTTCTTCCAAAGTGGACTCTGCCACTGACTGACTGGATTCCTTTCCAGACGTTTCGATCTCCTTCCTGTCTGACATTTCTTGGCTCTCAACCCCCCACATCAAGTTGTATGTGGCCGCTGTCGTACAGCTAGATTAGATGATGTTTACTTTGTTCTGCAGGAGTGTTTGTCAGGGTTTTATGTAAGATTAAAGAAATCTCCGTAAGTTAAGACACCGTGCGCCGGGCTGCCTTCCATGCACTGGCCTTTGGCAGTCGCAAAAGATCTTTTACCCTGTACCATCTTTGGCTGCTTGACCGAAGCAAATGCCTATTGCTTTTGGCTTTTTTATGTTTGTTGCTGTTAGAGAACTCAGCAGAAACCTCCAGATAAACGCTTTAGTTGTCCAGGTAGGAAACCAAAGTGGACCCTGGGCAGTTTTATTTGGAGACCTCTTCTGCTTTTGTGATTGTGTGTGTGCTGGTGGTACTGGAATACAGGTCTCTGGGTTGGAGAGCTTGTGTTCCGGATGCTGGCAATTTGATGTGAATGTGCTAGGGGAAGTCTGTATAGATTATCTTATTGGAAAGGCCAGATGGCAGCAAGCTCTAGAGTTCTAAGTCCCACTTTGCTCAAAGGTGCCTGAGGAATAGCAGCCTACTGACAGCTTGAAGTATGGTGCACTGGATAATTGGCTTCCTCATTTAGTAATTTGTCTGCTTTCTTTCCTCTTCCTCTGCTTCCTCTCTTCTTGTAAACTGATAGCCTCCTGCCTCTTCAATAGACTGATAAAGAGTCCCTGAGCAGCAGCTAAAGGGAGGGGGTGGCCAGAGCCCCAGGTGGAGAGAGTCATTTGGAAAACTGACACAGAAAATTACCATCCTTCTTTTCTGCTTTTCCTCTGCTTCGGTATCTCGATTTTAGTCTCTCCCTTTCATTTTCCTGTTATCTTCCATCACTGTCCCTTGCCACTTCATCTTATATATATATTTTTCTTTTATGGAAAAGAAAATTTCTTTGCTATTTTGTCTCTTTCTTTCTACTTTTTTCATCTTTCCCTTTTTTTTCTTTTATCCCCCTCATTCTGTTCCCTTTGCCTTCTTTGCTTTTGCAATTGTTCTAGTTAAAACTTAATTCAAAACAGGAAATTGCATCACATTTATTCAGGTTAAATTACCTTTTCCTTTTTTCATGTTTTTCTCTCCAAGGAAGAAAAAAAAATTGAAAAGCACATTTCCGGCTCCTTCTGGCACCTCCATCCCCTCAAATGTGTTTATCTTTAGGTGTTGGAAGTCTCAGGACACAACATTTCTGCTTCATTGAAAGTGCAGATGCACCCTCAGAGCTTTTACCCTTGGACCTGGAGAATGACGTCTGCTTTCACTTAATAAGTCATTTTGTTCTCCAGGTGGAATTCAGATTATTCCGTGGCAAATTTAGGAGAAGACCTGCCCCTGGTGCTGGAAGAGTTGGGTCAGATGCCTTAGCCTGTTTGCAGTCTGGAGGGTTGACATTGAAGTTCACCAGCTCCTCAAAATGCCCCCAGATGTTGAGCCATCCTGACAACAGAGGTAGAAGAAGGTCTCTGCCTCTGCCTTGTGGTAGACCAGTTGACTCCCCGGTCACCTACTGTTCCTTCTACCATCATAAGGCAGCCTGAGTGAACACCACTGACAAGGGACCTTGTTCAGAGGTAGGGGGACAGCTGCTGCATTCCACTACTCATCCCCATTTTTTTTTCTTATAGTTTACAGAGGCTGCCTGGGCCAGTGGCTCCCATTTTGTTTTAGAGAGCAGAGAATGGACCCTGGAGTCAGGATACTCCAGTTCAAATCCCACCTCTACCAACTGTGCTGTGACCTTAGGCAAATCACTCTGCCTCTCTGAACCTCAGTTCCCACCTGAGCTTCATGAGGAACTTTTGGCTGTTTTGTTCATAGCTGTATCCCCAGCATCTATCATACCTGACACATAGGAGGTGTTCAATTAAATACATTCCAGGGATGAATGTAGTGGTTAAGAACAAGGACTTCATGCCAGATTGCCTGAGTTCAAATTCCAGCTTGCCACTTACTAAGTATGTGAACGCGGGCAAGTCACTTCATCTGCTGGGCTCAATTTCTTCATCTGGGAAGACATAAACGATTGGCATTGATGTCCGAAGCCTACCGTAACAGATTACCACTGACTTGGTAGCTTAAAACAATAGGAATGTATTCTCTCAGTGGCGAAGGGCAGAAGTCCAAAATCAAGGTGTTAACAGAGCCATGCCCGCTCTGAAGGCTCTAGGGGAGAATCCCCTCTTGCCTCTTCTAGCTTCTGGTGGCACCAGGTGGTCATTGGCTGTGGCAGCATCACTCCAGCCTCTGCCTAGTTCTTCACTTGGCCTTTTCTTCTTCTCTGTGTCTTCTCCTCTTCCATCTCCTATAAAGACATTTGTCACTGGGTTTAGGACATGCCCCAATAATCCAAGTTAATTTCATCTTGAGATCTTAACTTAATTATACCCACAGATATCCTTTTTCCAAATAAAGTCCCATCTACGAGTTCTAGGGGTTAGGATGTGGTCATGTCTTTTTAGGGACCACCATTCAACCCACTACAGGGTTGCCGTGTTGATCAGTTGAGCTAATATATATCAAATGCTTAGTTAGGACAGTGCCTTGCATGCAGTAAGAGCAAATTAAGTGCTTTTTAAATTTTATCTTCAATTTTTTAATTTTTTTTTTTTTAAGAGATAGGGTTTTGCAATGTTGTCTAGGCTGGACTCAAACTTCTGGGCTCAAGGGATCCTCCTGCCTCAGTCTCCTGAGTAGCTGGGACTATAGGTGTGAGCCACTGCACCTAGATTAGTGCTTTTTCAGATCTTACAATAATCCTATAATAAAAGCTGAGACAGAAGTTGTAAATTACTACAGTGTCTGGCACATGGTAAGTGCTCAGGGGATGTTAGTTATTAATTTAACAATTTTGGACCAAAGGCCTACTGTGTGTCAGGTATTCTGTTCTAAGTGCCAGGAATGCAGTAATAATAAATAATAAGTAATTAATAATAATAAAGGACAAAGAACACCAAAAAGGCTTTCCCCTTGCCTGTGCTTACATTCCAGTGTTTTTGTGAATACAATTCTCACCAGCCCCACCATCATCATAAATGCCAGCCTTGTAATACCAAGCTACCCAAACAAGATGCTGAAGAATGAGTTTCCTATGTGGAAGGGGTCAATGAAGACAGCCCATAGTCAAACCAAATTTCTGCTTGTGGTTTCAAAAGGATGAAAGATCCATTTTAGCTTTAGTAAAACAGGGTTCAAAGGTCTGGAGTTTGGTTTACTAGGGAGTTTTTTTGTTTTGTTTTGTTTTGTTTTGTTTCCAATTTGTTGAGATTTGGTAGACAAGCAAGGGGCATCAGTCTTGTCTGAAAGTTCTGTCAGCTCATGGTCTGGAGGTGGTGCCCAGGCTGCTGGTGGGGAAGGGCCCAGTGGAGGCAGGGCTGTTGGGGATGAGGCTGAGAGGCCTATGGGCAGAGGGCCACAGGGTGCATTAACCTCAGAGAGCAGCAATGCTGGTCCCTGTTGCTGTGACAACAGCAGACCGCGCCAGGAGACCCAGAGGATGAATTAAATGGAAGGAAATTGCTGGTGCCCTCAGAAGAAAAAAGAAATTAAAGCAAGCTTCTCAGGAATCTGTGGATGTTGCTGTGACCTCCACTCGTGTTGAACATGTCAGCAAGGAACATTCTTGGCGATGGGGTTGGGAGGACCTGCCTTGCCCACAGGATGTCCTTCGGAAAAAGAAGATTGATTGCACAAATCACAGACGCTAACTTTCCCTGGCTGGCCCTGGAACAAGAAACCCCCCTCCACAGTGAGTGCCAGGCTGTGCTCAGCAATGGCAGGATGGCCCATTTTATCTTCCAGCTTATCCCACATCTGTTGAGTTTGCCCCGATGGGACATGGTGACCTGGAAACTCACACAGAGCTCAGTTTCGGGATGGATCGTATAGAAAATAAACACATGGGATAAATACAGCACAGGGCAGGAAGAAATGGTTTTAAAGTTACCAGGAGAACTGCGGGTGAGGTCAGGTTCAGAAATGGGACTGATTTCGGAGGCCCTTAGTACTGACATCACTCAAATTGCTCAACAGAGACCTCCAAGTGGAGCAGTGGCTTTTGGAGTTTGCCCAGCTCTATGTGTGCTACCAGGCAGAAGTGCTCTGACCTAGTTTTCTTTCTTTCTTTTTTTTTTTAAAGAAAATTTTACTGCTTGTTGTGAGGCCTCCAACAGGGCACTGAACTCGAGTAGATTTTTTTTTTTCTTACTATTTTACATGTCAGGTTCCACATCTCTCTCACAGAGACGTGCCGGCCTCCAAATGGGCTGCCTGGCGACAGGACCAAAGTGAGAGCCTGGGCATGGCGTCAGCCTCTGTCCTTTTGCTCCCTCAGCTCAGGCTGCATCCCAAGGCACTGGGATTCTGTGTTTAGGGCTCTGCCCTGCTGAGAAAGAGAGAAAATGGCCTTTTGAGGGATTGAACCAGAGGGCAGCCTGCAATACAACCTCCTGGTAATTGAATCGTGAGTCCTCAAGCCCTCGCTGCAAATACGCCAGCAGCTCTCCTTTGCATTTAGAATAGCATCCAGACTCTTCATCATGGTCTCTGAGGCCCTGCCTGACCTGGTTCCTGCCTACTTCCCCGCCCTCGCCCTCCAGCACTTTGCCTTCCTCCTGCCTTTCCAGCCACAGGCATGCTCTTTCTGTTCTTCAAGTTCCCCAGGCTCATTTCCTCCCCAGGATCTTTGCACGTGGTCCTGACCTCTGCTTGGACAGCTCTGACCCCAGATTCCCATGTGTTGACTCCTCATCTGATTTGCACTCAGACATCACTTTCTCAAACAAACCTAGGCCACCACCTTGTGCAAAATGGCCCTGCCGCCCATGGGTCACTACTGGTCACAGCCCTGTGCTTGCTTTCCTTCTTGGCATTTATTGCTATCTGAGGTCATCTTATTCAGTTATTTGTTTACTCCTTTGTCGTAGCCCCCCATCCTACCCCCCAGTGTAAGCTCCGTGAAAACAATGAGTCTGTAATTCTTGTTCAACATTCTTATCCCAATCTCTAAAACAGTGCCTGGCTTATGGTGGGTACTTAATAAATATTTGTTAAGTGAATGACTGCTTACCAAGAGAGTGACCTTTCCAAAATCTTGCCAGGAGAAGAAGGATTGAAAATCCTCAAGGAATGAGTTTCCCTTGGCCCAATAAGCCCGATTTTAAAGGATACAGGCTGTCTCCACAGAGATGCTCTTGCCCAAAGTCTCAGTTAATTGAATCTGATAATCACTGTTTGGGGTTGGAGTGTACCTGTTAGGACAGTTTCTGCTACAAGAAACAGAAAACCCGATTAAAACTCACTTAAATAGTTAGGACATTCACTAGATCACTTAACAGGAAATCCTAGGGTAGGGCTCTTCCAGGGTCAGTGAATTCAGTGGCTAATGATAGTATCAAGGATTCGAGTTCTTTCGATCTGTCCATTCTGCCATTCTCTATCTATAGCTGTTTCTCTTAGGTTTGTCCTCTCATGTCACAGGATGACTGCATTAACCAAGGGTATCATCTCAATAGTCAAAAAGACCAGAAGAGGGAATGAGCCTCTTTTCCTTTTTAAGAGCAAAATGAGTTTCTTAGCAGACTTTCCTTCCTGTCCCCTTGGCCAGAGTTGTAACACATACTTATTCCTAAAACACTCACTGGCAAGCGGAATCCTCCTCTATTTGGCTTTGACTAATAACAGTTCATCTCCTGGGATGAGAGAGGGGCCTAACTTCCCCCAACACACCTAGCCTCCAGATACATGCGTCAGTTGGAAGCTGTTAGGTTGACATCTACAAGCTCTACTATAAAATGAAAGGCCTTCTGACTATAGCGCTTTTTAGAGCACAGATCACCCTGTTAGCAGGTGATGGACTTGGAGAAATCCTTAGACACCCAATTAAGTAAACTTTAAGGCCACATTAACAAAAGCAGAGTGTCATAGGAAAGTGGAGAAAATGGGATAAAAATAGAAGTAAAAGGGGAAAGAGGAAGTATGAAGTATTCATGGTCCGTGATGATAGAACTTCATCTAAAAGAATTAAGTGTCGCATAGCTTCTTTGTTCATTGACCTCAGTTGTCCTCTATTTATTGGGGCTGTGTTGTTAAGTTTAAACAATGCTCACTGAACATCTACTTCATACTAGATTCTGGTCCAGAATTTTGTTTTCCCAAGCAGCGTTTCACTCAATCATGTCTGTTATTCATTCTCAAAAATTTCTAGAAAAGGAGATGCTGTCATTAACCTTATAGCCCTTAGTCTGTGACTTCAAGGAAGACTTTTTGCCTCGGAAATACCTAAGAGAAGAGTAAACCCTTTGGGTCTCTGCATACAATTTCTCTGGAGACCAATCTTTGACAGCCTATGGCCTGACCAAATGTATTTTCTCAGGATATCACAAGGGATACTTTAGTTTTCAGTATTTAACACTAATGAGATATTCTCATCTCTTTGTTTTCTTTGGTGCTATTTTCATGGCAGATTTATTAAGAAAAAGTACAACCACATTATCTCCTGGCTGCTGAAAACATTTGGTATCAATATAGCATTCTACCTTTGTTATGATCGGTATCTCCATTCCTCTATGAGTAAATACTACTACTCATATTTTGCTTTAACCAAATCCTATAGGAGTTAGTCCTCATAAAAATATTTTTATTCCTGCTTCCCACCATCTTTCTTTGAAAAGACTGGTGACCTAAACTATTCCCCCTCTTTCCATGCATCACAGTGAGAAGCAGCTCACTGTGCACTGGTATCAACTTGCCTCAGTCTGGTGAGACAGAACACCCGTACATACAATGAGTTACACAGAGTGGGTTTATTACTTTTGGATAGGCAGCAAGGGACAGCAGAAGCCTAGGATTCAGGGTGAGACAGTCCCCCAAGGCTCAGGAAAACTGTCCGGGGCAGTTGGGGTCTCAACTGCACATGCCCCACTTGGATAATAGCTGAGGGACCCCAGAAAACAGCTCACCCTGGTTTCATACACAGAGGTCACATGATTCACTGGTATAAAGCATTGAAGGACATCCTGTTTCTAAGTGGGGACTGGAACAGAGCCTGGCTGTTCTAGCCAGCTCACTCTTATCTCAGAATGTTGAATTCTCAGCCCATCCTACAGTTATTCATGAGAACTACAAGTGAGAAAAGGGAGAGAACCGGGTCAGTCCAAGGACACCTGGAAAACTGTCCTACACCCAGGACTGTAATGGACTATGTCAGTCTTACCTAATAACAACTTTGTTATTTTTTTTTATTTTTGTTCATTTTTGTTTTTATTGTTTAATTATTAAATACTTCAGCCTACACAAACAATACAACAGACATCCATTTACTCATCACTCACATTAACAACTGTGTTAACATTTTGTCATATTCACTTCAGATCTTTATTTATTTATTTATTTATTTTATTATTATTACACTTTAAGTTTTAGGGTACATGTGCACAATGTGCAGGTTTGTTACATATGTATACATGCGCCATGTTGGTGTGCTGCACCCATCAACTAGTCATTTAGCATTAGGTATATCTCCTAATGCTATCCCTCCCCCCTCCCCCTACCCCACAACAGTCCCCAGAGTGTGATGTTCCACTTCCTGTGTCCATGTGTTCTCATTGTTCAATTACCACCTATGAGTGAGAACGTGCAGTGTTTGGTTTTTTGTCCTTGCAGCACTATTCACAATAGCGAAGACTTGGAACCAATCCAAATGTCCAACAACGATAGACTGGATTAAGAAAATGTGGCACATATACACCATGGAATACTATGCAGCCATAAAAAAATGAAGAGTTCATGTCCTTTGTAGGGACATGGATGAAACTGGAAATCCTCTTTCTCAGATCTTTATTTTTTAAGGCAAGAAACATTATAGCTAAAGTCCTTTCCTCCATCCCCAGAATAAACCGTTAACTGAAAGTTGATGTGTGATATGATTTGGATCTACGTCCCCACCCAAATTTTATGTGGAACTGTAATCCCCACATGTTGAAGGTGGGACCTGGTGGGAGGTGATTGGATCATGGGGGTGGATTTCCCCCTTGCTGTTCTCGTGATAGTGAGTTCTCATGAGATCTGATGGTTTAAAAGTGTGTGGTACTTCCCCCACCTTCCTCCTCTGCCATGGAAAGATGTGCTTACTTCCCCTTCACCTTCTGCCATGAATGCAAGTTTCCTGAGGCCTCCTAACCAGGCTTTCTGTTAAGCCTACAAAACTGTGAGTCAATTAAACCTCTTTTCTTCATAAATTACCCAGTCATAGGTAGTTCTTTATAGCAGTGTGAGAACAGACCAACACAGAAAATTGGTACCGGGAAAGTGGGACATTGCTATAAAGATACCTGAAAATGTGGAAGTGACTTTGGAACTGGGTAATGGGCAGAGGTTGGAACAGTTTGGAGGGCTCAGAAGAAGACAGGAAGATGTGGGAAAGTTTGGAACTTCCTAGAGACTTGTTGAATGGTTTTGACCAAAATGCTGATAGTGATATGGACAATGATGTCCAGGCTGAGGTGGTCTCAGATGGAAATGAGGAGCTTGTTTGGAACTGCAATAAAGGTCACTCTTGCTATGCTTTAGCAAAGAGACCGGTGGCATTTTGCCCCTGCCCTAGAGATCTGTGGAACTTTGAACGTGAGAGAGATAGTTTAGGGTATCTGGCAGAAGAAATTTCTAAGCAGCAAAGCATTCCAGAAGTGTCCTGGCTGCTCCTAACAGTGTACAGTCATATGTGTTCACAAAGAGTTGATCTGAAATTGGAACTTAGATTTAAAAAAGAAACAGAGCAGAAAAGTTTGGAAAATTTGCAGCCTGGCCATGTGGTAGAAAAGCAAATCCCATTTTCTGGGGAGAAATTCAAGGCTGCCGTAGAAATTTGCATAAGTAAAGAGGACCCAAATGTTAATAGCCAAGATAATAGAGGAAATGTCTCCAGGGCATGTCAGAGACTTTCACAGCAGCCCCTCTTATCACAGGCCCAGAGGCCTAGGAGGGAAAAGTGGTTTCATGGGCCAGGCCCAGGGCCCAGCTGCTCTGTGCAGCCTTGAGACATGGCACCCTGCATCCCAGTCACTCCAGCTCCAGCTATGGCTAAAAGGGGCCAAGGTATGGCTCAGGCTAAGGCATCAGAGGCTACAGGCCCCAAGCCTTGGCAGCTTCCATGTGGTGGTGGGCCTGCCAGTGTGCAGAAGGCAAGAGTTGAGATTTGGGGACCTCCACCTAGATTTCAGAGGATGTATGGAAAGGCCTGGATGTCCAAGCAGAAGTGTGCTACAGGGCAGATCCCTCTGGAGAACCTCTACTAGAGCAATGTGGAGGAGAGGAAATGTGGGGTTAGGGTACCCACACAGAGTCCCCACTGGGGCACTGCCTATAGGAGCTGTGAGAGGAGGGCCATCGTCCTCCAGATCCCAGAGTGGTAGATCTACCCACAGATTGCTCCGTGCACCTGGAAAAGCTGCAGGCACTCAATGCCAGCCTATGAAAGCAGCTTGAGGGGCTGTACCCTGCAGAGCCACAGGTGGAGAGCTGCCCAAGGCCTTGGGAACCCATCCTTTGCATCAGTGTGGCTTGAATGTGAGACATGGAGTCAAAGGAGATCATTTTGGAGCTTTAAGAGTTAATGACTGCCCTGCTGGGTTTCAGACTTGCATGGGGCCTGTAGCCCTTTTGTTTTGGCCAATTTCTCCCTTTTGGAATAGGAGCATTTACCCCATGCCTGTACCCCTATTATATCTTGGAAGTAACTAACTAGTTTTTCATTTTACAGGCTAGTAGGGGGAAGGGAATTACTTTGTCTCAGATAGACTTTGGACTTGGACTTTTGGGTTAATGCTGGAATGAGTTAAAACTTTGGGGGACTGTTAGGAAGACATAATTGTGTTTTGAAATGTGAGAAGGGCATGAGCTAAGAGGAGCCAGGGTGGAATGATATGGTTTGGCTTCCTGTTAAGCCTTTCAAACTATGAGCCAATTAAACCTCTTTTCTTCATAAATTACCGAGTCTCAGGTATTTCTTTATAGCAGTGTGGGAACAGACTAATACAATGTGCATAATTTGCATCCATGCTTTGTACTGTTTATTACATGTGATTGTTCACATAATAATATATAATACTATTTGTATTTTAACCAATTTACTTAAATGATATTGTTCTGTATATATGCTTTTGAAACATGCTTTTCTTTGGACATTATGTTTTGTAGACTTATCCATGTTAATTCAATATACTTATTTCATTTTAACTGCTGTAAGTAATTAGCTATATGAATATAGCACAGTTTGTCTATTTACTACTCTATTGATGGATATGTTGGCCTTTTACAATTTTTTTATAATTATAAACATTGGCAAAATGAACATATTTACATACATTCCTTGTGCACATAGATGAAATTTTCTTCATTATGTATCTAGAAGTTGATGGGTCATGGAATATGTGCATTTTAAAATTAACTAGAGGTTAAGAAATGGCTCTGTAAACTCATTAAATGAATTAACAATATCATTAGCAATGTAGAAGCACTACCATTTCTTAACCTTCTTGCAAACTGTTAACATTATTAGATTTTAAATCTGATCTAATATATGTGAAGATAGTATCTAACTTTTAAAATTTGCATTTGCTGGTTTGCTGGATTGTTAGTGAGACTGAGCATCTTTTCATTTGTTTATTGGACATTTGGGTTTTCTTCTTAGTGAATTGCCAGCTTTTATATCCTTTGTCCAAGTCTGTAGTATTAGGTTATATATTTCCTGATTTGTAGGAGTTCTTTAGTAAGTATGGATGGCAATTATCTATCAGAGTTGTGTGTTTCAAATATCTTCTTCCAGTTATTTGCATTTCTTTTATATTTTGAGTCATTTATTGTAAAGACTTCTAAAATTTTCATGTAGCTGAATTAATCATTTGTTTATACTTTGTGGGGTTTTTTTGTTTTGTTTTTTGTTTTTTGAGATGGAGTCTTACTCTGTTGCCCAGGCTGGAGTGCAGTGGCACAGTCTCAGCTCACTGCAACCTCTGCCTCCCAGGTTCAAGCAATTCTCCTGCTTCAGCCTCCCGAGTAGCTGGGACTACAGGTGCATGCCACCATGCCTGGCTAATTTTTTATATTTTAGCAGAGACTGGGTTTCACCACGTTGCCCAGGCTGGTCCCAAACTTCTGAGCTCAGACAATCTGCCCGCCTCAGCCTCCCAAAGTGCGGGGATTACAGGCCCATCGTATACTATGTGTTTTTTGTAGCTTGTGGTCCTTCTCTACCACAATATGAAAAATTCTTTTTTTTTCTTCTAAAGATAAAGGATTGCTGATTTTTAACAGGCAGATTTTTCATTCATCTAGAGTTGAATTTTGTGTATGGTATGAGGTGGGAATCAAGTTTTTATTTTTCCTCATGGATAGCCAGTGGTCCTGGCCTCGTGTTTTGAACAATTTCACCTTTACTATGTATCTTTAATAGGTGTTGTGCGGTAACCTTGGCCTATCTGAAAATATGGATGAAGGAAATGTATTTGTTTTATTCCAGGAGGCTTGACACTATAGTGTTAGTGATTTTCCAACTCCCAGGCACTTAAAAATTACTAGAGGAGCATGTTGAACATGCAGATTCCCAGGACCCACCACAGGTCACTCAGTCTGAACTTACCGGGTGGGGAGTCCAAGCACCTGTATTTTTAAAAATTTCACTAGGTTTGGGGGAACAGGTGGTGTTTAGTTACATGGATAAGTACTCCCACCCTTCCCCTTGAGTGTCCAAAGTTCATTGTATCCTTCTTATGCCTTTGTGTCCTCATAGCTTAGCTCCCACTTATAAGTGAGAACATACAATGTTTGGTTTTCTATTCCTGAATTACTTCACTTAGAATAATGGTCTCCATCTCCATCCAGGTTGCTGCAAATGCCATTATTCCATTCTTTTTTATGGCTGAGTAGTATTCCATGGGGTGTGTGTGTGTGTGTGTGTGTGTGTACCACATTTTGTCCACTAGTCGATTGATGGGCATTTGGACTGGTTCCATATTTTTGCAATTGCAAATTATCAAGCATCTGTATTTTTAACATACATGAGTTTGGTGCAAATCACCTATAAATTACACTGAGAAACCTTCCTCTTAACAGCAGAAAATACTTTTCCCTTCTCCATATTTTACATCTTCCAGGAGACACAGCTTAAAATATTATGCTCTTTCTCTCTCTCTTTTTTTTTTTTTTTTTGGAGATGGAGTCTCGCTCTGTTGCCAGACTGGAGTGCAGTGGCACCATCTTGGCTTATTGCAACCTCTGGCTCCCGGGTTCAAGCAATTCTCCTGCCTCAGCCTCCTGAGTAGCTGGGACTACAGGCACATGCCACCACACCGGCTAATTTTTGTATTTTTAGTAGAGACGGGGTTTCACCATGTTGGCCAGGATGGTCTCAATCTCATGACCTCATGATCCACCTGCCTCGGACTCCCAAAGTGCTAGGATTGTATGTGTGAGCCACCACGCCTGGCCGTGCTCTCTTTTACACGCACGTTCTTATAGTCATATGCGAAAGGATAACCCCTAACTCACTCCTTTAATGAGAATAGGAAGAATCTCAATCCTAAATTTTCTGTGATTGCTGTGGACCCTTTAATTCTCCTAAGCCAGATAATATTAATTAGGCCGGTAAAAAATGAACAACAGGGAGTCCAGAGAGCCACAGTACATATGCCAGTGTTCTGCTCAATTTGACCATCCATCAGGAATATTTCATGCTGTTATCCCCTCTCTGTACAACTTTGCTGTTTCATGCCTAATCTGTGCTCTTCATTCTGGTTGGAGACCTCAAAGAAGTTTTACAACTTGGAAGAAGACCATGTAAACAATAATAATTCACCCATAAGCACTTACCCTTGGTAGTGGTTTTCATTCCAGCAGGAATGAGCCACAGGGGCCGGCCTGTGTGGCCGATGATCTAAGCCCTTTCCTGGGATACCTAAACTCCTCTTTACCATGGGGCCAGGCAGCCTTTTGTGTTTCAAAAGCAGGAAGATTGAGTTTCTCATACTTGCATGTATGTGTGTGTAAGGGGCAATGTGGATGAGTTGCTGATGGTCACAAAGGTTTGTCTGCTCATTGTGAATGTTAAAGAACCCCGAAAAGGGATGTTTCTTAATGCAAGAGCACATTTGCTCCATTTCCTGGCACAGGGTTTAAAACTAGATAAAAACTCAAAAGCCTCACCTGGAATATTTATTTTTTGACTTGTAAGAGAGGGCCTATTTTCTCTTTTTCACTTTGAAGTATATGATTAGTTTGATACTGCGATGGTTCTGACTGTCAAGAGAGCACGTCAAATATATGCAAATCATTACAAAACATCTATTCTCCTTGTTGCTTTATTTTCAGGCAAATTTCAGACCCCAAAATGAGAACAATGGAATAATGCCTCTCAGTATAATTTCTAGAAACCAAAGATTATCACTCTCAGAGCTCTTCCTTTGACTTGAGATGGGAAATCTGATCCTTTCCGTTGATGAGGATTGTCCTGTCTTTTAATAGGTTTCAGGGGAGATTAAATTTCCATTTTTTGTCTTTGTTTTGAGTATTACTAGCTCAGATAAGCAAGGCAGAGGGGCAGAGAGTGACTCGTGTGCACAAATATGACCCGTTGTTGGGAAACCGGTAGGAAATCCTAGGAAAAGGGTAATCTTTCTAACAGGTGCATTTCTCTTTGACTTATCTGAGTCTCTCTTGGGAAATGCTTTGCTGTGTGTTTGCCTGGTGTCGACAACACTGAGTCCACCTCCCTAGCCACAGATAAAATAGAGTTGTTCATTATTAACCTCTCAGACTTTGCACGGACACCTGCTTATGCAATTTAGCGATCCTTGGTGGCTGGAAACCCTTGGAGGTGCGGACTGTCTTCACATCTGCCAGGCAAACTGAGTGCCTGGCTTGGGTCACCTGTATTCATAGTTTTCCAATGCTGAGGTAGATTTTAAAGTGGTTACAGTATATATTACCTACAGTTATATGTACTGAGCAGTCATTGAGTACAAGATTGGAAAGTCAGATATGGTATTAATGAAGTCTAGAAGACAGGCAAATATTTGGCTGGGATCTGTATTTATTATCTATCGCATTAAAAAGAAGCAGAACCAAGACTTAAAACTTAGGTATGTGTGATACTAAAGTCTGTATTCTTATCATTAAACTATATTGTTCCCCTTGGGATTCTAGGAAAGTCCTGTATAATTCATAATCAAAAGGACTGACTGACCATATCACCAAGAGAAAATACCCTTATTTTTATATATGTAGCTTTTGCTACATATATAAAAGATTAAAAATATACATGGGATGTTAAATGTAGAATCACTGAAATCAGTGACCATAAGTGCCTGTTCATAATCAGATAACAGTGGGATTTTGTTCTCATTGATAACTACATAATCTGTTTTTATCTGTTTTAAAAATAGCAAAATATAATTAGCTGGGTGTGGTAGCAGGTGCCTGTAGTCCCAGCTACTCGGGAGGCTGAGGCGGGAGAATGGCGTGAATCTGGGAGGCGGAGCTTGCAGTGAGCCGAGATCGTGTCACTGCACTCCAGCCTGGGCAACAGAGTGAGACTCCGTCTCAAAAAAAAAAAAAAAAAAAGCAAAATATATCCTTTCCCCCTCTTTGGGAACATACGAAGTAAGAAAAGGAAAGCCAAGAATAGGCAGGCTGCATTTGGATACAGTTATGTTCATACAGTCAAGACATAGTGGATTTTCCTTATTAGTATATAAACATGTTCTTGTAACTCCAACATTAAGCAAAGAAAACTTTCCTTGACCTAGATCCTCCTTCAGCCACTGCCCCTTTCTTTCCCCATTCACAGTGTAACTTCCATAAATACTCTCCATGGTCACCATCTTGACTCCCCACTGCCTTTCGTTTTCTCCTCAACCCACTCCATGTGGGCTTTTGACCCTCATTCACCCCTCACACACTGCCAAATCTGTTGTTTATTTGTTTGTTTGAGATAAGGTCTGTCTGTCACCCAGGCTGCTGTGCAGTGGTGCAATCACGGCTCACTGCAACTTCTGCCTCCTGGGCTCAAATGATCCTCCCACCTCAGCTTCCCGAGAAGTTGGAACCACAGGTGTGTGCCACCACTGCTGGTGAATTTTTTTTTTTTTTTTTTTTTGAGTCTCGCTCTCGCCCAAGCTGTAGTACAGTGGCGCCATCTCCGCTCACTGCAAGCTCCACCTCCTGGGTTCACGCCATTCTCCAGCCTCAGCCTCCCGAGTAGCTGGGACTACAGGCACCCGCTACCATGCCCGGCTAATTTTTTTGTATTTTTAGTAGAGACGGGGTTTCACCATGTTAGCCAGGATGGTCTCGATCTCCCGACCTCGTGATCCGCCTGCCTCGGCCTCCCAAAATGCTGGGATTACAGGCGTGAGCCACCGCGCCCGGCCTGCTGGTGAATTTTTGTATTTTTTTGTAGCGATGGGATTTTACCATGTTGCCCACACTGGTCTCAAAGTCCTGAGCTCAAGTCATCTGCCCGCCTCGGCCTCCCAAAGTGCTGGGATTACAGGCATGAGCCACCACGCCCAACCCCACACTGCTAAATCTAAAGGTTATTCTATATCTCATTTTTCTCAAATTCACAGCAGCATTCAGTTGACTTATCATTTCTTATTAAAGCATTTTTTTTTTTTTCTTGGAGGCTTTTCTCCTATCTTACTTGAAACTTCTACATTTTCTTTTGCTTTTTTTTCTTTTATTCAACTTTCAAATTTTGGCAAGTCCAAGAGCTTGTTCCTGAGACCACTTTTTTTCATCTTCACTTCCCTCAAGTAAGCTCATCTAATCCCATTTTGTTGTATACCACATATAAGCTAAAGCTCCCAATCTATACCTTTCACTCCAACCTCTGCTTTGAACTTCAGAGTCAAATATCTGGCCACGTACTTGCCATTTCTTCTTAAATATCTAATAGGAACCCTAAACTTAATATGTCTTATTACAGCCTACTGTCAACTTGCTTCTTCCTAAATTTTCTCCATTTCATTAAAAGACACCATTATCCACCTAAGTGCTCAGGAGTCATCCTAGGAGTCATCCCTAGGAGTCATCCTAGAGTTGTTCCTTCAGTCACTACATCTAATCCTTTAGCAGATACTGTTGACTTTACCTTTACATTTGAATCTGTCCACTTCTCTTCCTTCCTCCTGTTCCTACCGTAGTACAAGCTACCACCAACTTTCTTCTGGACTATTGCAATGGCCTCATCATTGGTTTCCGTGTTTCTCCCATTGATCCCTGCTACAATACATTCTCCCACATAGCAGCCAAAATTATCTCTTTAAAAAGTAAATAGGCCGGGCATGGTGGCTCATGCCTGTAATCCCAGCACTTTGGGAGGCCAGGGCAGGTGGATCACCCGAGGTCAGGAGTTCGAGACCAGCCTGGCCAACATGGTGAAACCCTGTCTCTACTAAAAATAATAATAATAAATAGAAGATCAAGAGAGATATGACAAAATGGTTCAGTCCATTACCGAGTAATTATAAATATTCATGCTCCTGATAATAGAACTTCGAAATATATGAAGCAAAAATAGAATTAAAGGGAGAAATAGACATAGCCAGATTTATTATTAGAAAACTTAACATTACTCTCTCAGCAACTGACAGAACTAGACAAAAATAGAAATAAAACCACATAAGATATGAATAACATCATCAACCATTTTGATGTAATTGATATTTATGCAACTGCAGAATGCACATTTTTCAAGTGCATATGGTACATTCATTAAGATAAATGGTATCTAAGCCAGAAAATAAATCTCAATAAATATATGAGGACTAAAGTTATACAGACTTTATTTTCTAACTACGGTGGAATCGAATAAGAAATTGGAAACATATCTAGAAAAACTCCAAGTATTGGGCCAGACGCGGTGGCTCACGCCTGTAATCCCAGCACTTTGGGAGGCTGAGGCGGGCAGATTACGAGGTCAGGAGATTGAGACCATCCTGGTTAACACAGTGAAACCCCGTCTCTACTAAAAAATAGGAAAAATTAGCTGGGCGTGGGGGGCGGGCGCCTGTAGTCACAGCTACTCAGGAGGCTGAGGCAGGAGAATGGCGTGAACCCGGGAGGCGGAGCTTGCAGTGAGCCGAGATCCCGCCACTGCACTCCAGCCTGGGCGACAGTGAGACTCCGTCTCAAAAAAAAAAATAACAATAATAATAATAAAGAAAAACTCTAAGTATTTGAAAAACAACACGTTTCTTATTGGCTTCTTCTATTCATCTGGGGCTCAGTGAAGCTTTCCATGACCACCAAGGTAAGGGAAAGTTGCCGGTGAAGTCCCGCTGTATCACTCTGCTGTACTTTGTTGTTGTACTATTCACAGATATTTTTTCTTTAGCCATTGTTTTAATGGTTTTCCCACTAACATGTGAGTTCTGAGGGGTAGGGACCTTGCCTTTATTATTCACTGCTAAAATGGTAGCTGAAACACAGTAAATGCTCAATAGCATTTCATTGAATGAATGAAGAGTGAATATGAATCCTCCACATTCCATCATAAGCTCATCTGGATGGTGATAATGAGAATGATGATAAGATCACTACCATAAAAATAATACTCTGCTGGTGTTGTTATTGCTCAGGCACTTTAAGTGCCTTATCTCATTTAGTCCTCACAATTGCCTGTGCAGTAGATCCTTCTGTTATCCCCGTTTTACAGAGGGAGAAGCTAAGATACAAGGAGGTGAAGTAGCCGATGCCATTTGGGTAGTAAAGAGTGAGCCAGGATTCAAATTCAGGTTGTCTAATTCCAGAACACTTGTTTTGAGTAACCGGTAGTGAATTCATGATGGGAGAAAGGAGGCTGGTGGTTATATATGCGTATTTGTAAGTGAGCCAGCATAAGCTCTGTCTAGTCTTAGAATCAAGGCTCTGGTCCTCTCTCTTGAAGCCACAACTGACTTTTAACTAAAAATATGGAAGAATCTCCTCAGTGTTAAGGTCAGTATTTTGTTTCTGTGGCATCAGTCCTGATAATGGCAGCATTTTAAACCAGTGGAGAAAGGATAGATTAGTCAATAAATGGTGTTGACAAACTAATATTTGGAAAAATAAAATTAGATTTTTACTTTACGTAATAAATATAAACAAATTCTAAAAGAATTAAGGATTTAAATTTGAAACATGAAACCATACACAAATATATTAGGAAAGAATATAGGTGAATATTGGCCAGGCTCGGTGGCTTATGCCTGTAATTCCAGCACTTTGGGAAGCCAAGGCAGGCAGATCATCTGAGGTCGGGAGTTTGAGACCCACCTGGCCAACATGGTGAAATCCCGTCTCTACTAAAAATACAAAAATTAGGCCGGGCGCGGTGGCTCACGCCTGTAATCTCAGCACTTTGGAAGGCCAAGATGGGCAGATCACGAGGTCAGGAGATCGAGACCATCCTGGCTAACATGGTGAAACCCTGTCTCTACTAAAAATACAAAAAAAAAAAAAAAAAAAAAAAATACAAAAATTAGCCGGGTGCGGTGGTGCATGCCTGTAATCCCAGCTACTGGGGAGGCTGAGGCAGGAGAATCACTTGAACCTGGAGGCAGAGGTTGCAGTAAGCTGAAATCATACCACTGCACTCCAGCCTGGGCAATAGAAAATGTCTCAAAAAATATATATATTTATATATATAACATATGTATGTGAATATTTAAGCTTGGATGGGAATGGCATTTCTAAGTGTGTTAGTATGTCCTAGCTGAATCTGAATCAGGAATTTGGGTGCCTTTTGGTGATCTGGTGAGCCAGCATAGACAGTGCAAGGTAGGATCTGGAGGGTTAGGAAGTAATTCCTTCACCTGTGTTTGGTTCAGCCCTTTCTCATTGCCTTTTGCAGCTGTTCCAGCCTTCCCTGGACTCAGCAGATGATTCATCCTAATGTCCAGAAGAAAAATAGACCAGGGTTTTAAAGTATAAAATAATAAATCTCATCATTTATCCTTCTCATGGTTTTCAGAGAAAGTAGTGTTCATCTTCTTGACCTAAGCCAATCCTTCTACAAGTACTTTAACATGTATTAATTTACAGTGAGAAATATTACTATGAAATACACAGGAATGCTCACATTAGCTCTTCAATGCATTCTCTCCCTGAAAGACAGTAATATGGGAAGCCAAATGATGACCTAAAGGTTTCCTTGTGGGCAAGGACCTATCCAAGCCAAGGGTGTGAATGGGACGCTCTTAATGCCTGGGGCAGAGTGTGACAGGCTCAGGATCTAAGACTGCTACAGGGGTTGTGTCCACCAGGACCTAGAGAAACACTCTACTGACTGGTGTTAACCAGTTTAAAAGAAAAATAATGGTTTGTTTCACAAAATCAATATATGTACATTGTTGAACCATTAGATAAGGAACATGAATTAATATAAATAACATTCATAATGCTTTATTTCAAAATATGCCATGGCAAATACCTTGTATATCCTTTCTAGGCAAATGCCGTATATACCTTTTCTAGCCTTTTTCTCTGCACATCTGTTAAACTGCTTAATCCCCTTCTAATTTGTTTCCTCCCCAAAAAGATGATTACCCTTATGAAAAATCACTCTAGGTAAACTGCCCGTATTGTTTGCCTCTCTAGCAGAGTTCAGCTTCTTATTTCAGCTTCTCTAACCATAAACAGTATGAGAAGACCTCTCTAGCTATAATTGTTTCACTTTTTCACTTCCTGCTTTTCAGAATTATTTCTTTGTAAAAACCCTTTGTATTGTAAACAAACAAAAAGCCAGAAACAGAAAATCTTACAAAACAAATATACAGTTTAATGAATTATTCTAAGGCAAACCCTTCCCAGGTCCACAAACATAACTGAGCTGCCTCCTCCAGAAGGTCCACCCTGGGCTCTGTCCAATCCTACTCCTTCCTTCCCCCAGAAAGTTCCTGCTGGCCCGACTTTAATCACTTCCTCATAGTTTAGAAAATAGTTTTATCACCCAAATATGTATTCCTATATACTACAGCTTGGTCTTTCCCTCTTAAAACAATTTCTTAAAAGATTCTTTAACAGATTTCTCACCATTCTTTTCTTTTCCTTAGAATTTATCTGTTGAGGCCAGGCACAGTGGCTCACGCCTGTAATCCCAGCACTTTGAGAGGCCAAGGCAAGGGGATCACCTGAGGCCAAGAGTTAGAGACCAGCCTGGCCAACATGGTGAAACCCCGTCTCTATTAAAATTACAAAAAATTAGCTGAGCATGGTGGCGGGTACCTGTAATCCTAGCTACTTGGGAGGCTGAGGCAGGAGAATTGCTTTAACCCCGGAGGCGGAGGCTGCAGTGAGCTGAGATTGCCCCTCTGCACTCCAGCCTGGGCAACAAGAGCGAAACTGCGTCTCAAAAAAAAAGAATTTATCTGTTGAAAAATTAGAGGTACTCAACCCGTAGAGTTGCCCACGGTCTGGAATTGGTCCATTTCGATCCCATGGTGCACTTCAGCGTGTTTGCCTATGTCCTTTTTATTTCCTGCAAATTGGCAACTGATTCAGAGGCTTGATCAGACTTATGGCTGATCCCTTGGGCAAGACTATAAATGGTACTGCATTTCTTCATCAGGTGGCACATCAAGTTTGCTTGTCTCTTTTTTTTTGTAATGTTAGTAGCTGTTGGTGCACATTGCCTCAGTCTTTTTGTTTGTTTGTTTGTTTGTTTTTTTGAGACGGAGTCTCACTCTGTTGCCCAGGCTAGAGCGCAGTGGTGCGATCTCAGCTCATTGCCAGCTCCGCCTCCTGGGTTCACACTTTACTCCTGCCTCAGCCTCCTGTGTAGCTGGGACTACAGGCGCCCGCCACCACGCCCGGCTGATTTTTTGTATTTTTAGTAGAGACGGGGTTTCACTGTGTTAGCCAGGATGGTCTCGATCTCCTGACCTCTTAATCCGCCCGCCTCGGCCTCCCAAAGTGCTGGGATTACAGGTGTGAGCCACCGCACCTGGCCGCCTCAGTCTTAATTCATTGGGGTTATAGGCTGCTGATGATTCTAGTTCTTTTTTCTCATTCATTCACTGGAATACTTTTTATTATAAAGAGGTGCTGTGCCTCATCTAATATTTGCTTACACAGTGGCACAATTCATATAGGAAAGGCAGAATAAATGCTTTCTCTTTATTCATCAAGTTTTTTCTTTTTTTCTTTTTTTTTTTGGAAACAGAGTCTGGCACTGTCGCCCAGGCTGGAGTGTAATGGCATGATCTCAGCTCACTGCAACCTCTGCCTCCCAGGTTGAAGTGATTCTCCTGCCTCAGCCTCCCGAGTAGCTGGGATTACAGGCGCCTGCCACCACGCCTGGCTAATTTTTTGTATTTTTAGTAGAGATGGGGTTTCACCATGTTGGCCAGGCTGGTCTCGAACTCCTGACCTCATGATCCACCCGCCTCAACCTCTCAAAGTGCTGGGATTACAGGCATGAGCCACCATGTCTGGCCTATACATCAATTTTTAAGATAATGAATTGATTCCCTGTCATCATCAAAAACTGACTTAAAAAAAAAACAAAACAAAACTATGAACTCATGGAGGTGTCTCATCATTAGGGAGGTGAGTCAGGTTGTTCAACAAGACCAAGGCTGTGGAGTCAGCCAGTGTTACTTCCTCTACATTCCATTGTTGAAAGCAAGTCCAGACACAAAGAGTGGAAGGATAGACTCCAGCTTTTGATGTAAGGAGCTGCAGAGTATTTGCCACCATTATTTAATCTGTAATATCTAGTTTTGCTGTAAATGCTTCCATGCTTTTTTGGTTTTCTGTTTCAGTGTGAGAATTCGAAGAGATTCAAAGACTATATCACCACCATGGTCTTGCCAGAATCTGCCCTCTGAGTCATTTCTTAATCTACTGATTATCTGTAGAACCAGCCTTATATAAACAAGGAAGCATCTAGCAGGTGAGGTGGCCACAACTTCTGCTCCTGATCCTCATGCGTGGCAGGCTTTGCCTCCATACTACTTGCATTACCTTGTAGACCTCCACGAAAGCCTCGAGTCCTTGTGCTTTCAGGCCCAGAAGGCCTTCTGGGTGCTCAAATGGTCCCTTCCATGCTCATTGTGCTAGGGCCACACTATGTTCCTAACAGAACTGTCCCTACTTCATGGGCACTCAGATCTGGTCCCTGGGGCCAGAAGCCTCTTACCATAACCTGTGTCCATTTCAGTCAATATCTACCATTAACTCCTTCCTGCCACCTCACCTCCTGAAGGCCTGTTTACCTGCAGACAAATAAAATCCCAAACTATATATTTGCTCCCAACCCACACTGGCTGTACGAGCCTGCCCAGTTCCAAACAGAGCCAAACTCTGAGTCCCAGTTCAGGCTCAACTGGGACATCCTAATACACGTAGAAAAACCATCCCCATCCAAGATCATATTACTATTTCCCTATATACTTTTCTGATAGCTTCATATATTATTTCATGTCATTGATTTACATTTAAACCCTAATCCATTTGGAATTTGTCTTAGTGTATTATAAGAAGTAAGAATCTAAGTTTTCCTCTAAATGAGTTGTCAGATATATTTAGACTGCTTGTTGACTAAACTGTCTTCCCCAACTGATTTGAAATCATATCCCTATTTCATTTACTGAATGCTTAGACACACACACAGTGTACTCTCTCTCTCACACACACACACACACGCACACATACACACACTTGTGTCCACCTCTGCAGCTCTCACTGTGACGTGGGCTCTGAACTTCTGAGCCTCCCGATGGCTGCCCCCAAGCACCACGTGTCACGCCATTACCCTTGCCACAAAATGGATTATGCATGTTACTCTTGTGAAGATAAGTCTCTCTGATTAGAGAAGACTGATCATATACCTTCACTCCATCTTCAAGGAAGGCCAGGAATGTGGGGCAGCAGCTTCTCTGAGAAGTAGGACTTAATGAGGTAAGTAAGCAATGTCCCAGACTTGGAAACACCCAGAAGTTACTTACACTTAAAAGGACAGCTGTCCAGCAGATACATTTATTACATGGGCTTTAGGAAGTCAGCTGGACCTTATCATACAAGTGTGTGTCTTAAAGCTGAGAGACCTCTCTGAATCCAGACCTTGAATTAATAGTCACTAACACTCACTCCATGCCAGGCCTTGTGCTAAGCTCTTTACACACATTTTCCATTAGACCTCACAACAATCTTATGAAGTGTCTACTGTCATCTCCAGTATGTATTATTATCCCCATCTCACAACTGAGGAAACCAAGGCACAGAGAGGAAGTATCATGTTCTATATCATTCAGGTAGTAAGCAATAGGCATGGACTTGAACCCAGTGGGCTGCGCATCGTTCTGCCTTTGACAAAGCCGTTTATTGTGTTGAAGACCAAATCCTGGTGCTGGGACACCACTACACTTTCCTCAGTTCAGAACTCAGTTCTGATGCCAAAACCAAAGAGAATTTTACAGGAAAATAAGGTCAACCAGATTTGAAAGAATCATCATGCATAGTTCTCTTAATGTTTTCTGAGATGAACGGGTTTCAGTACAAGGATGTTTTATTATCTTTGTTAAAATGGAAGTGTTGTCCAGGCGCGATGGCTCATGCCTGTAATCCCGGCACTTTGGGAGGCCGAGGTGGGCGGATCACCTGAGGTCAGGAGTTGAAGACCAGCCTGGCCAACATGGTGAAACCCCGTCTCTACTAAAAATACAAAAATTAGCCAGGTGTGGTGGACATCTGTAATCCCAGCTACTCTGGAGGCTGAGGCAGGAGAATCACCTGAACCCAGGAGGCGGAGCTTGCAGTGAGCCAAGATTACGCCACTGCACTCCAGCCTGGGTGACAGAGTGAGAGCCCGTCTCAAAAAAAAAAAAAAAAAAGGAAGTGTTGAACATTCTTGTTGGTTTTGTCCTTCTTTACCCTGTTATACTGGGAATTGTGTCCCGAAGGAATAATGTCACATGAACTTAGTTCCCAGGCCCCAACTTCAGGGTCACTGTAGAGTTCTGGAAACCTTTGTAGAACAGTTCCTGTTCTCACCCCTTCATATGCATTCTTTCAGTTTTTCCAGACAGAATCAGCGGCCAATTTGGAGACACAAATACTTAAAACAATCCCACTTCCTACCTTGCCATAAATACATGAGCATAAGCTCTGGTTGTGAAATTCAATGCTTATTTGGCTCAAGGTTAAATTGTAAAGGAGCTTTAAGGGCCCCATTTAGGATGGAGATAAATGCACAAATGAAAATGCACATAACTCGGGGAACACACGCAATTAATGATGGCCACTGGAATACCCTGCCTCCTTGGGCCAGCAGCTCTCCTGTTTTGGAACTGCTTAGATAAAATTGGCGGGAGCCAGGAAGGAGGGGACGCTGTTGCTTCAGTGCAAGATGACAACTGAAACCAGGAGGGAAGTAAGTGGGAGGAGAGGCTAGAGCAGAGGGCCATAATTTCATTATGAATTCCTGCCTATTCTGAGCAATTGTCCCCAAATCTGTCATTGAAAGTGCAGTTTCCTCTATGAAAACTGTCTTTCCAAGAACCTTGGGAAAGATTATGAGAACAGGAAGTAGGGTATCCAATTCTTGTTGGTAATGAACTTTATTCTGTATTTGTTATTTATGAATTCTGTGTGCTGTTCAGTCTTGTCTGGTAATAAAGTTAGTATTACTTTTTATTCCTTCATTTGTCCAGCAGACACCTGCTGATGGCTCACTGTGTGCCAAGTGCTGTGCTGGGCACCAGGCATATTGAACGGGTCCTGGTTACTGCCCTCTGGTGCTTACGCTCCATCAAGAGAAGTAGACAGGAAGCATCTAATCACAGACAGAAGTTTCATACTTATCAGGGTGATGTGTGCTATCAAGAGTCAAAGGATGTGATGAGAGCAGGCAACAGAAGTGACATTTGAGCTGAAACTAAGGACAAATAGGAGAAAAGTCGGCAAAAAGATAAGGGAGAGAGAAATAGGGAAAAAAAGCGATCAAATGCCAGAAATGGGGCTGAAAAGATGTAGAAGTGGTTTCTAAGCATGGGTTTATCATCTCTTTTCTCATCTTTGCATCAACTACATGAGTTTTTCCAAGCGTGGTCTGTGAGTCTCTTGCATCAGAATTCCCTGGAAGTACAGTCAGTCCTCTGTGTCCACCAGTTCTGCATCTGCAGATTCAACCCACTGTGGATAGAAAATATTGGAGGCTGGGTACAGTGGCTCATGCCTATAACCCCAGCACTTTGGGAGGCCGAGGTGGGTGGATTACTTGAGGTCAGGAGTTTGAGACCAGCCTGGCCAAGATGGTGAAACCCTGTCTGTACTAAAAAATACAAAAATTAGCTGGGCATGGTGGCGCACGTCTGTAAATCCCAGCTACTCAGGAGACTGAGGCAGGAGAATCACTTGAACCTGGGAGACGAAGGTTGCTGTGAGCCAAGATCGTGCCATTGCACTCTAGCCTGGGCAACAAGAGCAAGACTCTATCTCAAAAAAAGAAAAAGAAAATATTCGGAAAAAAACCCAAAACAATAAAAGTATATATAATAATAATAAGTACAAGTAAAAAATGGTGTAACTATTTATATATCATTACCATTGTATTAAGTATTATGAGTAATCTAGAGATGATGTATATGGGAGGATGTGCCTAAGTTATATGCAAATACTAAGCCATTTTACACAAGGGACTTTGAGCATCCTCAGATTTTGGTATCTGGGGTCCTGGAACTAATCCCCCACGGATACCAAGGCACTGCTGTATGTTAAAAAATCAGGGCTGGGTGCGGTGGCTCACACCTGTAATCCCAGCATTTTGGGAGGCCGAAGCAGGTGGATCATTTGAGGTCAGGAGTTCCAGACCACCCTGACCAACATGGTGAAACCCCATCTCTACTAAAAAAATACAAAATTAGCCGGGTGTGGTGGCACACACCTGTAATCCCAGCTACTTGGGAGGCTGAGGCAGGAGAATTGCTTGAACCCAGGAGGCGGGGGTTGCAGTGAGCCGAGATCACGCCATTGCACTCCAGCCTGGGCAACAAGAGCGAAACTCCATCTCAAAAAAAAAAAAAGAAAAAATTCAGATTCCTGGGCTCCACACCAGGCCACTAAATCACAATCTCTAAGAGTAGGACCCAATAATCTGCACTTTAAACTCAGCCCACACCCCTCCGCTTAGGTAATTATTTTACATACTCAGTTTGATTTGAGAGCCACTTCTTGTATTAGAGATTTATAATTTCTGCCAAGACTACTGTTTATGTAATACCATTTGATCCCCACAGTAACCTTATATGGAATACAGGTATAGGATATATCATCATTCCACTCTTACAGATGATGTAGCTGAGGCCTGGAAAAGTGAAGGGATTTACTCATTCATGTGCCTTCTGCCCTCCTCACACCAGCAGGCTCTGCCTCTAAGTTAGATTATAAAATAATCCCACTCACTTTACAAATATGATGTCATATACCCAGGCATAGTTAGCTTGAAGGCATACTTCTATTTCCTTTACAGTGTTTGTTTTTGGCATAATATTACCTAGTAGTTCAGCAGGTTTAAAGTCAGAAAGACCTGGAATTGAGTCCCAGTTCCGCCATTTACGAGCTGTGTGACCTTGTGACCTTGAATAGGGTACTCACCTCTCTGTACTTCAGTTATTTCATTTGTCAAATAAGGATGAATAATAATGCCTACATCACTGAGTTGTTACAGAGACTAAGTACTGCATGCAAATACCATGTACAGAGTTTTTTGAGCACTTGGTAAATACTAAAAAAAATTGGCAACTATTTTACCTATAACATTTAGGACACATTGAAGATGTAGTAAGTGTTACTTACTAATTGAAACCCAGATAAGTATCACAAGAGAGGTTACACATGGAAGGCTTAAATAAATGCTATAAGTCATTCAGGCAAAGACATGTAAGAAAACCCAGTATCAAACCCAGTATCAATGAGCACATCTAGTATCCTGATTTTGGTATCTAAATACCATTTCTCACAAAGCCAAGCTAGGCCTCCTTGGAGAAATATTGATTTAAGGTCTGAAGAAGGGAAAGTACAAAGTGAGTCTGAAACATTTTGTGGCCAAGTGCTGTGTCTGACACCTGTAGTCCCAGCACTTTGGGAGGCTGAGGCAGGTGGATCACTTGATTCCAGAAGTTCGAGACCAGCCTCAGCAACATGGTGAAACCCCATCTCTATAAAAAATACAAATATCAGCCCCATGTGGTGGTGTGTGCCTATAGTCCTAGCTACTTGGGAGGTTGAGGTAGGAGGATCTCTTGAGCACGGGAGGCTGATGTTGCAGTAAGCCAAGACCACACCACTGCACTCCAGCCTGGGTGACAGAGGGAGACCCCATCTCAAACAAACAAACATCTTATTGTGCCACTGTGATATTGTGAAACAAATATATATTCAGTCATGCATTACTTAGCAAGGGGGATACATTTTGAGAAATGCATCACTAGGTGATTTTGTCATTGTGCAAACCTCATGGAATGTACTTACACAAACCTAAATGGTGTAGCCTACTGCACACTTAGGCTATATAGTATACAGATAGACTTTTACTCCTAGGCTACAAACCTGTACAGCATGTACTGTACTGAATACTGTAGGAAATTGTAACATCAGATATTTGCGTATCTAAATATATCTAAACATAGAAAAGGTACAGTAAAAATGTAAAAGACTTTTAAAAGTGGTTTGCCTGTATAGGGCAGTTCCATTACAATCTTATAAGACCATCTTTGTATATGTGGCCCATTGCTGACTAAAAGTCACTGTGTGGCACATGACTATATACATTTATGTGTATATTTTTGTTTTCATGTACAGTTCCTGACTCGTGGCTTCTAAAACCCTTGTAATTTTCTAAGTGATGAGAGCAATTGGTATACCTTTTGTTAAAATATTTCGCCCTTTGTCTTGGGCTTCTGAAACAGGTGCAAGGTGAAAGTTGTGTCTTTGGTTGTACATAACAAGCCTCTTTCGACTACAGTGAACTTATTTTAATGATGTGATTTTTGGAAAGTCCCTAGATATCCACGGCATGGGGGCTGGTTGCCAGGGGAATCAACCATGTAATTATAGGGTCCAGTTATCCAGCCTCCTCCACCTTTGGGAACGGGAGAGGGGCTGAAGGTTGGTCACCAGTGGCCAGTGGTTTGATCAATCATGCCTATGTAATGAAGCCTCCATAAAAACCCAAGTAAGACTGGGTTCCTGCAGCTTCCAGGTTGGTTAACAAGAATGCATTCAAGTGCGGGCAGGGTTGTGCACCCCAGCTCCACAGGGAGGGAAGCTGCTACACTTGGGATCCTTCCAAACCTCACCTTATGTCTCTTTTCTTCTGGCTATTCATTTATATCCTTTAAAAATACTTTGTAATAAAGAGGTAAATGGAAGTAACTTGTTTTTTTGAGTTCTGTGAGGTACTCTTGCAAATTAATTGGACCCAAGAAGGGGGTTGTGGGAACACCAATTTATAGCTGATTGCTCAGAAGTACAGGTCCCAACCTGGCGTTTGTGACTGGCATCTGAAGTAGGGGGCAGTCTTGTGGGACTGAACCCTTAACCTGTGGGATCTGGCCATCTCTTCAGGCAGAGTGTGTCAGAATTTTTTATTTTTTATTTATTTTTATTATTTATTTATTTATTTATTTTTTGAGATGGAGTCTTGCTCTGTCGCCAGGCTGGAGTGCAGTGGCACAATCCCGGCTCACTGCAACCTCTGCCTCCCGGGTTCAAGCGATTCTCCTGCCTCAGCCTCCCGAGTAGCTGGGATTACAGGCGTGCACCACTATGCCCAGCTAATTTTTGTACTTTTAATAGAGACGGGGTTTCACCATGTTGGCCAGGATGGTCTTGATCTCTTGACCTTGTGATCTGCCTGCCTCGGCCTCCCAAAGTGCTGGGATTACAGGCGTGAGCCACCGCGCCCGGCCAAGAGTGTGTCAGAATTGAATTGAGTTCAAGGATACCCAGAATATCCAGGTGTCTGCTGGAGAATTGCTTGGCGTATAGGAAAAAGCCACCTCCACACATCTGGTGTCAGAAGCGAAGTGTTTGACTGTGTAAGAGAGTAAGACACTCTCTCCTTTGTTTTTTCCCATCTTTAGACACATAAAGCAAAGAAATACTTAAAGACTGATGGGAACACATCAGAAAAGATAGATGAGCTAACTCAAAGTGGATCCCATTTCCCAAATTTGGGACAAATGATGTTGATTATAATGCATTAAGTTGAAAAAAAAAACTATGAGTTCACAGTGGAGATTAAAAAGATGGTGGCTCACGCCTGTAATCCCAGCACTTTGGGAGGCTAAGGAGGGCAGATCACGAGGCCAGGAGATCGAGACCATCCTAACATGGTGAAACCCCGTCTCTACTAAGAATACAAAAAATTAGCTGGGCATGGTGGCGGGTGCCTGTAGTCCCAGCTACTCGGGAGGCTGAGGCAGGAAAATGGCATGAACTGGGAGGTAGAGCTTGCAGTAAGCCAAGATCACGCCACTGCACTCCAGCCTGGGTGACAGAGTGAGACTCTGCCTCAAAAAAAAAAAAAAAAAAAAAAAAGATGGGATGGAGCAGGGAAAGCATTTTTTTTTTTTTTTTACAAAATGCCCATGTCTGTATATAGAAGGAATTATAGAGTCAGAAAAGCCAGAAAATTGCTATTTTGTAACACCATTATAATAAGGGATTCAGGTAACAATCATAGTTGGGTGTTAAAGCCATTGGTTAAAGGTTGTTGGGAAACAAGATATTCACGTGGTCTTAAATATTACTTAATTTCACTTATTTTAATATTATACAAAGAGAAAAGTGTATCTTTCTGATAGGGAGATCTGGTAAATACCATCTAACCAAATAACCAAATTTAGCATCACCTATCATCGGACAGACTGACATGACGTGTCTTCTGATGTGATGCAACAGGAAGTATGCAACCTCACCCATGCAGTAGTGTTGCCAAAATTGTCTAATCTGAGTCAAATAATGGAAACAATCAGACAAATCCAGAAAGACATCCTTCAAAACATCTGACTGGTACTCTTCAAAACTTTTACTGTTGTAAAATGGGAAGAATGTTCTAGGATCTAAATCTAGATTAACATTCTAGAATTAATGTTGTAGCATTTGGATTAAAGGAAACTAGTGACTGGCAACTAAATGCAGTGTATAGTCCTTGATTGGGTCCTGGCTTTTAAAAACAAGTATAGCACAATTTAAATGTCTACCCACTATCAAATAGATAAAATATAGATGAACCCTGAAAACATTATACTAAGGGAAAGAAGCCAGACACGGACACATATTCTGTGAGTCCATTTCTATGAGATTTCCATAATAGGCAAATCCACAGAGACAGATTAGTGTTTGTCAGGAGCTGCAGGGAGGTGAAGAATAGGGAATGACTGCTAATGGGTGCAGGATTTTTTTCTAGGTGGATGAAAATGTTCTAGAATTAGATAGTAGTGATAGTTGTGTAACCTGTGACTGTTCTAAAAACCTGAGTTGTACCCTTGAAAAGGGTGAATTTTATATGTGAATTATATCTCAATTTTATAAAAATATCTGAAATTTTAAAATCAGAGACAAAGTTTAAAAGGCTATAACGGGGCCGGGCGCGGTGGCTCACGCCTGTAATCCCAGCACTTTGGGAGTCCGAGATGCATGGATCACAAGGTCAAGAGATCCAGACCATCCTGGCCAACATGGTGAAATCCTGTCTCTACTAAAAATACAAACATTAGCCGGGCGTGGTGGCGTGCACCTGTAGTCCCAGCTACTCGGGAGGCTGAGGCAGGATAATCGCTTGAATCCGGGAGGCAGAGGTTGCAGTGAGCTGAAGTCGCACAACTGCACTCCAGCCTGGCGACAGAGTGAGACTCTGTCTCAAAAAAAAACAAAAACAAAAAAACCCTATAATGGACATTGGGACAATTGGGGAAATTTGAATGAGCTGTCTATTAGGTAATTTTTTTTCAATGTTAAATGTCTTGTATGTTCTACCTTTTAGGAAATATTTAGGGATCATTGTGCTTCACTTTCAAATGTATCAGAAAAAATTATTGGGAGAAAGCAAATGTGGTAATATTGTAATACAGTTGAACCTTGAATAACAGGTGTTTGAACTGCTATGGTCCAGTTATGCTTGGAATTTACTTCCACTTCTGACATCCCTGAGACAGCAAGACAACCCCTCTTTTCCCCTCCTCCCCTCCCTCCTCCCCTCCTCCCCTTCCTGCTTCCCCCCTTCCCTCCCTGCTTCGCCCTCTCCCCTCCTTGCTTCCCCCTCCCCTCCTTCCCTCCCTGCTTCCCCCTTCCATCCTCCTCCCCTCCCTGCTTTCCCCTTCCCTCCTCCCCTCCCTTCTCCCCCTCCTTCCTCCCTCCCTCCTCCTTCTCCTCTTCTTCCCTCCTCTTCTTCCTTTTCTGCCTACTAAATGTGAAGACCTTTATGATGACCTTTGTGATGATCCTTTTCCACTTAATGAATAGTAAATATATTTTCTCTTCCTTATGATTTTCTTAACATTTTCTATTTTCTAGCTTACTTTATTGTAAAAATACCACATATAATACATTTAACCTACAAAATATGTGTTAATCAACTGTTTATGTGATTGGTAAGACTTCCAGCCCACAGTAGGCTCTTAGTAGTTAAGTTCTGGGGGAGACAAAAGTTATACTCCATTTTCGGCTGTGTGGGGGTCTTAACCCCCATGTTGCTCAAAGTTGAACTGCAGTTGGTGATTTAGGTAAAATGCATATAGGAGTTCATTGTATTATTCTTTTAGTTTTTTTGTAGCTTAAGCTTTTCAAAATAAAAAGATGGGGGTTGGTGAGACCACTTACTGAGTGTCTATGGCAAACCAGATAGGAGGTTGTAGATTCCTGTGGATTGTGACAGGGATATTAGGAATATTAAGGCATATCTCTACCTCCTTTTTGAGTGAATCCTCAATGGAGAGTGAATTGTATGCTTCCGTTCAAAATTTTCTCTTGGTTCTACCAGCATCAGAGACAGAAAGTTAGGCTGTTTGTCTTTTGGAAAAGTCATTCTGTGCTTGCACTTCCTAGGTATAGTGGGTGTCCTTAATCACGTTGTCTGATTTAATAGCATTGGGGGTCTTAAAAATCTTCCAAATAACTAGTGTTAACTTTATTAATGAAATTGAAAGGGTGATGAGATGCAAGTTGGTCGGGGGTGGGGGTGGTGAAGGTCTAAGAACAACAAAGAAGAAGAGGTGGGCCATGGGCCCCTTTAGTGGGGAAAGCAAATGGTCAAGGCTAAGAACCCAAAGCTTGGCTGTTGAGTTTGGGTAATAAACGGGAAGTGAGGCAAGCCAGTGCCCCAACCCCATCTGCAGGCTCTAAGTAGTAAAATGAATCCATGGGAGCGTCTCTGTTCAGGCCCCAGGTGCTCCTGGCTAGTGGTTAGGAAGCGGGTAAATTGGTGTCTCCTATTGTCCCACCTATTCACAGTTACCCCTCTTAACCACGGAATCATTGTCATCTGTTCAGCCATTTTTCTGTTATTTGATATTTGTTCTTTTTGCCTCAAGGAGGCTAGGAGAGTGCCCTATAGAGCTGAACTAAATAGCATGTACATTTGGACAGAGACTCAGGGTCTCACTTGGGAGCGGGGGCTGGGGGTATGGAAGTGGCTGAGCAGCAGCAGCAGCGACATAAGGAAGTTTTTGTGAGGCTGACTAGGGAGGGTGGGGAAGACTGGATTTCTGGTTCACCCCGACCACTGGTGCTTTCTGTTTTTAAAACAGACGTGCTTCATCCTTCCCAGAGCAGGGGCCAAAGATGGGAACTCGAAATGCAAAGTCCCAGCCGGGGAAATTAAGCTGCAAGAGCTCAACGCCTGAAAAATATTGACTGTTTCTTTTTTTAAGCTAATATTCCAAATTTCTTATGAAAGTCAACTTAGACATCCAGGACACAGGAAACAAGGCAAGAGGCCGCAGCCAGCTGCCTCAGAGGACCCGGGACACTTTCTTAATAACATCCAGATGGTTCCACAGGAATTGCTAACATCTTGAAAAAAAAAAAATCAGCTGTGGGAGAAATCGAGATTCAAGTGGTTTAGGAAGGACAGCCTGGAGGAGACTCCCAAGGGACTGAGAGTGGGTCTGAAATAGAAACCTCTCTGGTGGGATGACTGCTTCCTACAGCAAGGCTGGAGAGGACTGGGTGTAAAAATCCAGGGCTTCTCTTGGAGACTTAGGGTTGGCAAGGAGCCTTGACAGAACTGGCCTCCTAGTCATGTTAATCCATTCACTAGCCTGGGGTTGCAATAACTTTTTACATTATTTTTTCTGTTACATTTACTTCACAATCTACTGTATCTGTTAGGTTCTGCAGGCACAGGGCTCAGGGCCAACAGGTTTTTGAGGGCCTATAGCAATATTTAGCCCTGAAAAAATGTTACATAGATAGTATATATAAAATCCTATATATGATATGCATCTATATAGACAGCAAAATATATTTATTTATTTTTTATTGATTTATTTTTTTGAGACAGAGTCTCGCTCTGTCGTCCAGGCTAGAGTGCAGTGGCACGATGTCAGTTCACTACAACCTCTGCCTCCCAGGTTCAAGCGATTCTCCTGCCTCAGCCTCCTGAGTAGCTGGGATTACAGGCACCTGCCATCACGCCCAGCTAATTTTTTTGTATTTTAGTAGAGATGGGATTTCGCCATGTTGGCCAGGCTGGTCTTGAACTCCTGACCTCAAGTGATTCAACTGCCTCGGCCTCCCAAAGTGCTGGGATTATAGGCGTGAGCCACTGGGCCCAGACTTAGACAGCAAAATATAAATATATTTTCCAACAAATGAAAGAACCCCACCCCCCAAATTTAGTGGATTAAATGCCTATAATAGCTAACCGATTGTATCAACTCCATCAGTTCTTAAGTTTAGTATTCGTTAAAAGCTTTATTTCATTTGGAAACAATCTGTATGTTAGATTTTCTCATTTCTGAGGAATTGTTTCAACATCACCTCCTTGGAGCCCAATAATTTTAAAAGCAAAATTTTTGAATCCTTCCATAGTTATGCTGCATGCTGTGGAATGAAGAGGCTGCGGCTCACCAAGGCTCACAAAGACCTTACCACGATCCCGGGTGTTCAGAAGAGGTGTGTGTTTCTTCCTTCCTCCCTCTCGTCACAGTTGCTGTCCCCCAAGGAAGAGGAAATGACTTGCTTGTGGAATCCGTTTGCAAGCAAATCACTTATTTGGAACCAAAAATGGGGGAGAAGGAAGTAGGAGCCATAGACTCAGGGCTTGATCAGGATTCCGCAAGCCTTAGAGTTTTCCACTCCCCACAACATACCTCTCACCTGGGCCATTTAGAGGCATCTCCTGCCTCCCACTCTGTCTCTGCCTGAGGTCTACACTCCGCGCCCCCCCACCACCCCCCAGCCCGACCCCCACTTTAACAGGATTCAACTCCTTTGTCTGACTGTGACCACAGGTGATGAGAGCTGGGAGGGCGAGTTGGTTGGCCTTTCTTGCAGCTCCCACATTCTAAATCAGGAAGCATGCAGGAGTGGAGAATGAACAGCAAGAATATACACAGCCTGGAACTTCCAGTCTGAAATGTCTAGGGCATTTAGTATGAAAAATCTGTTCATAACTGAAAAAAGAAAACACCTAATGCAGGAACCAGAATTTTCTGCAACAAGCAACATTACCAAAAAAAGACCAGCCAAGAGGGCTTGCCAGAATTGGCTATAGAGCGTTATACCAGGTAAACTCGTCAGATGGAACCATGTCTTTCCTTTGGGAGAACACTGACATTTAGGCTTTGGCTTCTTGAGATTCTGCTGGAGGACTTTTCAGAGGAATGCAATGACTCCTTCCTTCCTCCCTGAACTGAAATCCGGGCTATTACAATTCCAAATGGACACAGAGTCCTGCCAAGTTTATAGGAAATTGGAATGACAGCTTGGGTTCCCACCACTAGGGATAGCAGAAGCTGAATGCTCAGAGAATAAGTAACATTTCCCTGGTGATTCCCAGTGTGTCTATTTTTATTTTAAGGAGTTCTGTGTTTTCATTCAGTTTTGTGAATGGAGGAATCCATATGGAATTTTCACCAACTCTACTAAAATAAAAGCATGTAACTTTTCAGCAGTGTACTGAAATATCCACAAAGATTCAAGGTTAGGTTGGAAAGAATTCCAGACATTCACTTTTGAAGACCTGTGAAAAATCTGCTAACTTCTAATGGGTACCTTCTGGGCATATGACAAAGGACAATATCAGTTGCTAAATCCATCCATGTACAAGAGATATTGTCTTCAACAAAGCACAGCTCATCATTTAATAGAAGTTACAAAGTAGTTACTCTAAGATAAGCAGCTTGTTTTAATAAATATCAAGTATGAATATTTATATATTTTATTGAAAGTGCAGGATTTTGGGGGTGGAATGGGAAAAAGAGACTGATAAGTCCCATGCATAAAACAGGTATATTTTTACTGGTAATTTCCAGTAAGTTTTCTTGAACATGTATATTATTCACGACTATTTGAAATTATCTTGTTTGTTCATTTGTTTGTTTACTGATGGTGTGATTCCCAGCTTCTTCAGTGTCCACCTCCACCTCTTTATTTCCTCTCTAACATAAGCTGCACAAAACAGGGAGCTTATCTATCTTGACTCTCTACCTCCAGACCTAGAAGAGTGCCCGAAACATGGTTCTAAGTAAATGATTTTCTCCCCTCTTCATCCAACCGACAAAAATTTCCTCCTCCTCTTTCCTTATTTTTTTAAAAGGTTAGTAATGAAAAAAGACATTATACATATTCATACAGGTGACTGGGATTTTTGTTACAGTTGTTACTGTTTGTCTTGTCTTATGGTACACGTTAATTGGACAATGTGCCCACATTATTCATGTAAAAAATATGTGTCTTCTCTGTACCCAGCACTGTTCTCAGAAGGAAAAATCCTGTATCCATGGAACTTACATTCCAGTGGAGAGAGACAGACAGTAAAACATAAATATATATTTTGTCAAGTGGGGATAAGTGCTATGAAGAAAAGTAAAGCTGGATTTTAAAGGGGTGGTCAGGGAAGCTTTCTGATAAGGGGCCATCCTTATCAGAAATGAGAGCTTAGGAAGCTAAGCTTGCTGATAGCTGGCGGAAATGCTGCCTGGGTAGCATCATGTGCACAGCTTAAAGCCGGACACATGCTTACCTCCTTTGTGGAGTAGCAGGGAGGCTGGAGCAGAGTTAGCCACAGGAGCGGGTGTAGGAGGTGCCATGGGAGAGCTGCGGCAAGTCACAGAGGGCTTGGGGGCCTGGGCAGACTGTGGCTTCTACTCTGTATGACATGGGGAGGCCCCTCGAGGGTCTAGAACCAATGGGCACCATGACGTGGCTTAGGTTCTAAAAGGCTTCCTCTGGCTGCTGTGTGGCAAAAAGAATGGGATGGGTGGCTTGGCAAGAGGGGAGGAACGAGACCAAGTAGGAGGCTTTGTAGTAATCCAGGTGAGAGGGATGGCAACCCAGACTAGTGGAAGTGATGAGAGATGGTCAGATTTTGAATATGCTTTGAAGGCAGGGCCAGTGAGATTTGCTGATGATTTGAAAGTGGGACATGAGAGTGGGAGCCAGGGATAGTTTTGAGGCTGTCAAGCTGAGCACTTTGCAGAATGATTTCCTGGCCATTTAGCGAGATGGAAAAGCAGGCTTGAGGAGAACTCAAGGGTTGACTTTGGGTATAGGTTTTAGAAGCTTTGTTGAGCCTGTAGGGAGAGGCCAAGTAGGCAGTCTCACGTAGGAGGGTGAAGTCCTAGCTTGAGACCTTCACTGGCATGGTGACCACTGAGCCCTGACAAGCCAAGGGCCCAAGAGGATGGGGCCAAACATGGGGCCAGTGTCAGCTGACACGGATGCCAAACCTGCATGATCACAGTCCTCAAGTCTGGAACAATTCTCCTACATAGTTACCAGGGAAATCTACCAGGGTTGAAATTCCACCCCTCTGAGTAATTCAGGGGCCTTATTTAGTCTGTTGTCTTCATGCTAATGTTCTTTTCCTTTATCTCTATACCCTTATGCTATTTATTGATCAAAGAACCATAAAGTTACTTGTTTTTAACAAGACAGAATACCACAGCATGGAGGTTTCACTTTAGGATTTAAACATTTTGGCTTTTTACTGCTAACTAATGGGCCTGCAGGCTAGGAAACATAAAAGGACCCTCATTTGTATTCCTAGTGAATAACCATCCTGTGTCTGGGAAAGCCTGGCAGTAAATGACAGGTAAGGCTGGGGCAGGGAAGCTTCAGGTCCCTTCTTTGCAGAGGCCTAATGGACCACCAGTCCCTAGACTGATTGATGTCAGGCAAGAACGTCCAGGGAGTCTGCCACTGTCTGCTCCAAAACAGGATTTAGTCCTTCCTAACCTTGGGAATTTCTGAAGCCCCAATTCCTTTATGACTGTTTACTATCCTTAGTCCCCTGGGATCTAGTATAATCAGCTGGTGGATTCCTTTTTCCTTAAACCTAAGTCTGAAGCCCCATGGGCCTTTCCCATAGCATAAATAACATTCTATTCCTGTACATATTGCCTCATTCACAGGAAGTAGTCTCTAAATTACATCACAGGCCAGTTCTACTGTATTCCATTGACGTTTATTATGGAACCATTGTAGGAATGACATGGTTCCTGTCTCCAAAAGCTAGCTAGCATATCCTATCCATTATGTTCAAGATTCTGGAGCGGGTGGCAGAAATGGGAGAAACACAGGTGACTGAAATCCCAGGATGTCTCATCATCCTCTCTAGGTTGTAGCAAATCTTTTCTCCAAATATTTCCCTAAGTTCATAGGGGTGAGTGTATGACAAAGCATGATAACTTAGCTATGCCGTTGGCTGACATGATGGAATGCTAAACACATTTATCTTTGGAAAGTAGATTAGAGGGGAAAAAAGTGGGTTATATCAGTGTTGCAGAAAACCACTAGTCATCTCCCAGTATCTACCCTTCTCTTCTTCTGTGGTGATAACATTAAAGCCCCAATTTTAAGCTGGGCATATGGCCACTTGGGATTAAGACTATATTTCCCAAATTCCCTTGCAGCTAGGTAGGCCATAAGACTGAGTTCTGGCCAGTGTGAGTAGGTTAAAGTGTCTAGGGGCAGCTCTTAGAAACCCACTTAAGAGGCATTGTGTATACACACTTTCCCCTTCTTCTTCATGCCTGCCTTTGTCCTGCTGTCTGAAATGCAAATACTGCCATCTTGGTTGAGTCCATGGATGATGAAACAAGAGAGAAGGAACAGCCCGCCATGCACTGACTGTCGTCAAGGCTTCTTATATGATAGAGAATAAACTTTTATTTATTGGAGGGTTTCTGTTCCTCACAGCTGAACCTAATCTCAATTCAACTAGCTAAATATTCCTCCAATTAGAGTGCTTAGCGACAGGCTCCACAGTATCATTCTCAGCTGCTGAGAACAATGTGCCCATTCCTGCCGAGTCATGGAATCTTTACTCCAAGAGATGGTAATATATCATCAAGATCATTCTAAAAGCTTAATGCAGTGAGCATCACTTAATACCTGAATACCAAAAAGTGAAAATAATGGTTTCATGTCTAATGGGACTTGAGTTCACATGTCCCCTCAGCCACAGGGACTTGTGCTGGCAGACACCACTGTCCTCTGCTTTGGTATTTCTATCACTTGGACTCTAGATATAGGTGAATAAAGCCAACATGGTTTGTTGTTTTTTTTTTTGAGATGGAGTCTCGCTCTGTCGCCCAGGCTGGAGGGCAGTGGCGTGATCTCAGCTCACTACAAGCTCCGCCTCCCGGGTTCACGCGATTCTCCTACCTCAGCCTCCCGAGTAGCTGGGACCACAGGCGCCCGCCACCACACCGAGATAATTTTTTTGTATTTTTAGGAGAGATGGGGTTTCACCGTGTTAGCCAGGATGGTCTCGATCTCCTGACATTGTGATCCACCCATCTCGGCCTCCCAAGGTGCTGGGATTACAGGCGTGAGCCACCACGCCCGGCCAAAGCCAACATGGTTTCTAAAGACAGATGAGAGAAGTACCTACCATTTCCTGAGGCTGGCTTTACCAAGGACGTAACACGTGTAAATTATTCAAACAATACAGAAATGTATAGTAAAACGTGCCCCATATCCCATGACCCCTTATCTAAAAGTCATGATGTTAAAAGCTTTCAGGATATCCTTCTAGATATTTTCCATGTATGTAGAGCCCTTCCTTTTAAAAAGCACACATATACACACATATATATAAACATAAATGGGATTGTACTGCACACACTGTAATATACTTTGCTTTTACATTTAATCATAGTTCTAAACATCTGTCCAAAACAGCATATATATACATCGACTTCTGACTGCATAGAATTCCATTGTACAGTAGATGTACCGTAATTTATTTCACCAATTTCCTGTTAATAGACATTTGTTTCCAGAGTCTTGCTCTGGAAGTCTGGACAAAGATTGCTGCAACGGATTCCTTTGCACATCTATCTATGTACCAATACATTGGTAGACGTGATTCATAGAATTGGAGTTGCTAGGTTAAATCGTATGTTAAATATCTAAGTAGTGCTCCCTGCAGTTACGTTCCCAGCAACTGTGCCAAAGCTGCTTTTTAAACTCAGATGGAAACCACAATTGGACATTAACTTTATTTCTTATTCACTTATTACTTTTGTTATCTGGGTTTCTGTTCAGAGAAAGAATGACGTCTGACTTTTGTTCAAAAGACAAATGAGAAGCAGGTGAGTGATCTGCTTCAGTATAATGCTTTCTTTTGTTTAAAGTGCATTATGGGCAAAAGTTCTGTCTTATTGCTGAAAAGATGCTAGTGATTATTCTTATTCAAGAATTCAAGATATAGGCAAACAGGAGGTCAAGGCTGCAGTGAGCTGTGATTGCATCACTGCACTCCAGCCTGGGCAACAGAGCGTGACGCTGTCAAAAAAAAAAAAAGATAGAGGCATATTAAGCTCTCAAGAAATGATGGAACTAGCAGAAAATCATTGGAGAGGCAGAATAGGGAATGCCACCAGGAATATAAAACCTGGTCTTCTAGATCCCAGGCTACAGAGGGGTTATTTCACCACAAATACAAAATGACTTTGAAAATAGAATTATATTCTAAATAGAATATAGGTAATAGAAAGATACCTTATTTAAAGACTGGAAGAAGATCCACATTTAGGGCTCATCAATATACTGTGATCTCTGACCACCCAACCCTATACTTGACACTTCCCCTCTCTTCTCAGAATCTTTTAAAAGCAGTCTCAGAGTATATGCAGCAGTAGTAGTGGTGATGATGGAGATAATGGAGTTTTTTTGTTTGTTTGTTTTTTCTTTATCCCCAATATCCAGCGAGCTGCTTGGATAAATGCTTAAAACAAGATGAAAATCTTTGTCCTGGATCTGTACATCCGTGTACTCTTTTTGCATCTGCTCTGCTGATATTTTCATGCTCCCTTGACACCTGCCTGCTATTTTAGAAGAGGTCTTTGTATCAAAGGAGGGGTAGGGGAGTCGGGCATTTCCTCTGCACTAGCGAAAGGGCTGCGGGGGAGCCTGAGCCCCAGCCTCACTTCAGGTGGCAGAGGCCTTGCTGCTGGTCTTTCTTGGAGAGGCTGTCTTAGAAGTAGGTAGCACCCTCTCCTGGGCTAAATGCAAACGATCTCTGTGTGTCCTGAAATCATCTGGGATAATAGCAGGCATCTCCTTTTCTCTGGCAAGCTCTGCCCCATCACTGCCCCCTCCTGGCCCCTTCTATTTTTTTTTTATTTGAATGCCACACTGGACCATTTACAAGTCCAAATGAGTCAGATTGGAGATTCTAAGTAAGACTGGTTAGGGAGCAGGAACTTATTTGAGTACTCACCGTGTGCAGGGCAGGGATGTGAATATAAAATGAAATAAAAGCTTGGAGTCAGTATAGATAGAGAATATGAAGACTGAATGACTAAATGTTTATAAAATGCTATTTAAACAATTCCCAACATGCTAGAGGAACTCTGCATATGGTAGAAATCGTATAGCGGTGAGGTGATGTGTGCGACCTGGCAGTCTCTTCATGAAATGGCAGACCCTGAGAAAGGAGTTGTCCAAAGGAGGAGGGTAGAGCCTTAGCTTGCGAAGTCTCTGGAAAGAGATACACTGGAAGTTTCTTTTATTGAACAATTTAACAGAAAACTGCAAAATTCAAACTTTCAGGACTCTCCTACCACCACCTTCTACCCTCTTGTCTTTTCTTCACCAGTCATTTGTTTTTCTCAATGACATTTGCAGAAAATGAAGACATTTTAATGATACCTTCTCCTTTCTACTCAGCATTCTGGTTTCTGCTTCATCTGAACATTTACCCTAATACTTCATCGAACTCCATCTACATGCTACATACTGATGACCATGGCTATTGTTCATTTTATCCCATAAGTCAAAGATTGTGTCTGTTTTGCTTGTTCAATTGTCAGTGTAACAATAATGAAAAATAATGGTAATAACTGTCACTTAGTGAGTTTTTACCTGAAGCCAAGCACATAATCATTTACCATTCTTTCAACTGATGCTCACAGTTACCTGATGGGATAAGAGCTTTATTATCCCAGTTTTTACAGATGAGAAAATTAAGGTTCAAAGCTATTCAGTAACTTGCCCAAGTTACAGAGATGGGACCTGAGCTTGGAAGTCTAGCTCTAAAGACCTTGTTCCTGTCCACTGTGAATATTGTTCTGCTTAGTATTCACAAGTAATAGATGAACGTTCAGGAATTCAGTGACTAAGGAAATAATCATGTTTCCAGGTATAGTTCGTTGCATAAAAATTAATGTGACTTGAGACATCACAGAACTGAGCTAGGAGGGAAGTATAGCATTTCCAGTGTCTTCAGAGCAGTTTGTTAATAGAAGAGGTGTTGAGAGCTGGGTTGGCTTATTCCTAACAGAGCACAGAGCACTGACCTCCAGGGACACAGCCAAGACTTACTGAATACTTACTATGTTCCAGGCAGTGGGCTCAAAGCCCAGCGTGTTTTTCTATTTAATCCTCACAACAACCTCACCTTACAGAGGAGGCTCAGAAAGGTGAAGCAACTTGCCCAAGGTCATCCAGCTAGTGGTTGGTGGAGTCAGGACACTTCATTGCTCTGCTGGACTCCTCTCAGGTGCCCCTGGGGGAACTTCAGATTGTCTTATAGGCCCCAGCTTCCCAAAGGATGCCCTCTGAATGGAGGGAGGAAGTTAGAGGGAGGATCAGGGTCTACCAGGAGGCTGCCAAAGGTGTGCTCTGGGAAATGCTCCTGGTCTGGAGGGTTTGAGGGAGCATGTCTGCTCTAGGAAAATCCAAATGGGCTTAGAAGAATCATGTCAAGGCCCAGGATAAGACTGCAAATATGTTTGGAATCTAAGCCTGTAAAACCTGTAAAATGTGCCCTCTAGTTATCTTTGTGTTTTTTTGTTTTGTTTTGTTTTGTTTTGTTTTTTTGAGACAAGATCTCACTCTGTCGCCCAGGCTGGAGTGCGGTGGGGCAATCATGGCTCACTGAAGTCTCAACCTCCCAGGTTCAAGTGATCCTCCTGCTTAAGCCTCCCAAGTAGCTGGGACTACAGGCACTGTGTCCAGCTATTTTCGTTGTTGTTGTTATTGTTTTGTAGAGACAGGGTCTTGCTATGTTGCCCAAACTCCTGGACTCAAGTAATCCGTCCACCTTATCCTTCCAAAGTGCTGGGGTCACAGGCATGAGCCACCACTGCAGGCATAAGGCCTCTAGAAGGCCTAAGGCTTCTTAAGAAGTCAGAATGTGTCTTATAATTTTATAGTACCTAACTTTGCTGGCCACACCATAGGTACTTAATAGATACGAAGGAACAAGTGAATGAATCAATGAATGACAAGGAGAAGGCAGCCTATGTGTGGGTAGCAGTCTGCTTAGGAACCCTTTCCTCCAGATACACGTATAAAGTAATGGTTCTGGTTGCTCTTATGAAAAGTTTGTGAAATATGTTTTCAAGTTGGATTTGAGTGTGGGGCTCTGGAGACAGTGCCTGGGTTCAAATTCTTGCTCTGCCATCCCTAGTGATTGTCTGTGGCAAGTCAGTGAACCTATCCAGGCCCCTTGCTGTGAGCTGCAGGTGAAGCACCTGGCTAGAGGAAGCGCTTGGTAAATCCCAGCTATGCTAATCACAGTACCAAAGCCCAGTCCAGCTGGAGGCAGTGCATCCGCCGTGGTTTACAAAGGCACCAGGGAATTGTTTCCCTCAGCATGTGAGCGTAAAATTCTCAGTCCCAAGTTGAACCCAAATGTGCAGGAACAAACACCTGGCCCCAAATATAATTTCCTCCCGCAGCTCATTGCAGCCCCGAGGAAATCACCGGGGGAGGGCTCGGGAGTGCGGCGCGGCAGCCCCATAATTTCCAGGGCCCTTCTCCTACACTGACACGTAATTGTCAGATTGTTTTATGAGAGCAGCTTCCTGCCCGCTTCCTGCCTGGCTTCCAAATGTGCTCATTCCCGAGGAAGCCTCACTTCTCCTTCTCGCCCTTAATCGCTCCTTTCCTGCCCGCCCCAGCCCCCAGGCTGGGCGATTTCCTAAATCACTCGGAATTGGCTTCCAGCGCCGGCGCCCCGGGTGGGCTCCCGGAGCGCGCGGGCCTGTGACCCGGAGGTCAGAGATGCCTCCGTCCTGTTTGATGTCTTGCCCTGGGGGCCTTCCCTCGCCCACCCCCTTTCCCCTCCCCTCCGGAGCTGATTTGGCTCCTGAAGTCAGGGAGAGATAATTCCCTGATCTGTTGCTCTTTGCTCTCCCTCCTGGGCTGGAGAGCAGGAGCCCTGCCTGGGTCCTCAGCCCACTCCCCTTCCCCACCCAAATGGGGCAATTCCAAATATTCCACCCTGAAGGAACTCCTTTCCTTAGGACCATTTCCCTGTCTCTCCAAAAGCCAACTGTTAGGAGGAAGTGATAAGCCCTAACGCTTTTAGCTTAATTTTCCCCATTTGAAGAATTTCCGAGGAAGCATCATGGGGCTTTTTATATCTTAACTGTGTATTTTTTTATTACTAAAGAAATATGCAATCACGGTAAAAAATTTCAAACAGATCGTTTCCAGACGGAACCACAGTTAACAGTATTTTGCGTATCCTTCCAGAAGTGTTCCATACACATACAAGCATATAAAAGTATATATATGTTTTTTCTTTGCTTTACACAAATGGGAGCATATTGGACATCTTGTTCTACAACTTGCTTTTTTTTATTTAGCACATTTTGGATGTTTTCCATTTCAATAAATCTAGCTTTATTCATTAAAAAAATTGTTACATCGGGAGGCTAAGGCAGGAGAATCGCTTGAACCCGAGAGGTGGAGGTTGCAGTGAGCCAAGATCGGGCCATTGCACTCCAGCCTGGGTAACAAGAGCAAAACTCTGTCTCAAAAAAAAAAAAAAAAGTTCGTGCCAGTGAAAACTCCAGTAAAAGTGTGTGGTTGCACGTACCATCACAAACACACATACAATCAAACTTTTTAACAGTCCTAAAAGAAATTTTAGTATTATTTAACTATTTAGGGGTGGGCTTCTAACCTTATTCCCAAATAATGACTGATTATTTTCTGTGATTCTCAGCTCATGAAAATTTGACCATTTTTCTATTATTTATCTGCATCTTACTGATTTGAAGATCTCTTCATCTAAATAGGAAAATAATGCTTTTCTATCATAGATTTTATCCGTAGTTCTCAACTTTATCATTTGTCATTTAGGCTTGTTTATGATATATTTTTCACAAATATTTTAAAAATTATTTATTATAGTAGTGAATTTATCAATTCTTTCGTTTTTTGCTTCTGGACATGCTTAGAAACCCTTCCATAAGCCAAGTGTGGTAGTTCATGCACCTGTAATCCCAGCACTTTGGGAGGCTGAGGTGGGAGTACTGCATGAGTCCAGGAGTTCGAGACCAACCTGGGCAACATAGTGAGACCTCATCTCCACAAAAATAAACTTTAAAAAATTAGCCAGGCATGGTGTTATGCACCTATGATCCCAGCTACTTGGGAGGCTGAGGTGGGAGGATTGCTTGAGCCCAGGAATTTGAGGCTGTGGTGAGCTGTGATTGTGCCACTGCACTCCAGCCTGGGCAACAGACTGAGACCTCAACTTAAGAAAGGAAGGAAGAAAGAAAAAGAGAAAAGAAAGAGAAAAGAAGCCTACCTATAAACTAAGCATTTTTGAAAAATAACTCATGTTTTCCTTTGTATTTTTCACATTTAAATCTTTAAAATGTTGAGGGGAAAATAAATCATATAATACAGGTCAGACATTATTTCCCACCTCCCTTATCAGGTATTCTCATGCTATTCATTAACTAATGTGTCCTTTCTTGGCAGTTTTAAAAAATAAAATGTCTTCATATAAGGAAAACACTTATTGTTTCATAATGATAGCTTTCCCAATATGTGAAGCTCTTTAGAGAAGAAAATAATTTGATCCTTAGCAGCTTTAAAGATGATGAGACCCATCTTCCAGAAAAAACAGGTTCATTGCTTATATTTGACTAGTCTTAGTGAAATGAGTGGCCCATAAGATGGATTCTCAGTGGCTGTTTTCCCCTCATTCATTAGGCAAGCCCTCATTGCTACTGTGTAAAGTGGTCTATGGCATCACAGGAATGACCATGTCTAATTTTTGCCCTCAGGAAGTATATAATCAAACAGGAAAATGTCAGACCTTTATTTTCTGGAGGGGTCTGGCTGCACGTGCGTACGTGTGTGTGTTTGTGTGTGTTTACTGTGGGTTCCTAGGGCTTTGAAAATGTAAAGAAAGGAGATTCAGATTCGTTTAGTTGATTATTTCAGGAAATACACTGTTGAATAGTTGAAAGTTGGAATAGAACATCGGAAAGTATTGTAAGGAACATGCATTTTAGAAATGCATACTCTGTGTGAATATTCCTGTTTATTTTCATTTGTCAAAGAAGCAAAGTCCTTTTTGGGTACAGACCCCTCAGATTTAGAATTTCAGAGTCGGGAGATAGGAAGGAGACTAACTTGTTAGTTATTCCTGTATGTTGCTTATCATACCCATTTTACTGAATGAAAACTCCATGTCTTACCCACAGGTATTATTACCAAGTAGCAGAGGTACAATTGCATGCAGCTTTCTCAACTCAAGAGTTGTGGTGGACATTTTTAGTTGCCTACCCAGTAGCTACTCCCCCAACCCTTTCCTGGCTAAGAAAATTGATTTTGTATGAGGTGAGAGTGCCCAGCCTGAGGCAAGAATGCCACTGAATTCCCTTCCTAAATCACCCTTTTATAGACTCTCTTTTGCAGCTAGGGGACTGTATTAGTTTGCTAGGGCTGTTACAACAAAATCCCAGATTGAGTGGCTTAAGCAACACAAATTTATTTTCTGGGTTCTGGAGTCTAGAAGTCCAAGATCAAGGTGTCAGCAGGGTTGGTTTCTCATGAGGCTCTCTTTCTGGCTTGCAAATGGCTGTTTTCTTGCTACGTGCTCACATGGTCTTTCCTCTGTGTGTGCATGTCCCTGGTGTCTCTTTGTGTGTCCAAATTTCCTCTTTTTTTTTTTTTTTTTTAAGACAGAGTTTCACTCTTGTCACCCAGGCTGGAGAGCAGTGGCATGATCTCGGCTGACTATAACCTCCGCCTCCTGAGTTTAAGTGATTTTCCTGCCTCAGCCTCTCAAGTAGCTGGGATTATAGGTGCCTGCCACCACACCTGGCTAATTTTTGTATTTTTAGTAAAGATGGGATTTTACCATGTTGGCCAGGCTGTTTTCGAACTCCTGACCTCAAGTGATCCACCCGCTTCATCCTCTCAAAGTGCTGGGATTACAGGCATGTGCTGCCATGCCTGGCCCCAAATTTCCTCTTCTAACAAGGATGCCAGCGAGATTGGATTCGGGCCCACCCTACTGGCTCCATTTTAACCTTTTTAATGGCTCTATCTCCAAACGGATTCACATTCTGAGATACTAGAGATTAGAGTTGATAAATTTATGGGGGACACCATTCAGACCATAACAGGGACCAAATCTAGTCTGGCCATTGAGACCTAAGGAGAAATCTACTGGGTGCTACTGGGCTGGATTTCCTTCTCAGATCAGTAGGCCCTTGTGAAGAGAAGACTTTTGTCTCCCTGCCTGGCTCTCCTGCTTGGGACACTGACACCTGGAGCTGTGGCAGCTATCTTGTACTCATGAATTGAAAAGTATAAACACAAAAACCCTTTATGCCAGGTGTGGTTAAGCTGAAGAATGAATGGAAAGACCTGCAACCTTCACAAAATTGTTGAGTTGTTGAATGAATCTTCAGATCATGCATTTCCAGACTTCTTGTTAAGTAACAAATAAAAGCCTTTATAGGAGTTCTGTTCTTGTTTATTAGGTTTTCTGTTATAGCAGCTGAAAAACATGTCTAACTAATATGCAACTTCATTGTTTCTTCACTGAACTATACTGACTCCAGGGAGATCATGGCTGATCTGTCTTGTGTTAATTTTAAAACACTAGGGCCAGGTGTGGTGGCTCTTACCTGTAATCCCAGCACTTTGGGAGGCTGAGATGGGAGGATCACTTGAGGCGAGGAGTTTGAGATCAGCCTGGGCAACATAGCAAGCAAGACCTTGTCTCTACAAAATAACAAATAATTAGCTGGGTGTGGTGGCATATGCCTGTAGTCCCAGCTACTTGGGAGGCTGAGGTGGGAGGATCTCTTGAGCCCAGGAGGTCGATCGAGGCTGCAGTGAGCTATGATCATGCCACTGCACTGCAGTCTGAGTGACAAAGTGAGAACCGGTCTCAATAAATAAATAAATAGGAAAAAGAAAAACACTGGGATGCTAGTTAAACTTCTCCAGCTTCCCTCAACTGTTAAGGACCATCAGCCAAGAATTCACCCTAAACCTTCCTGAGCCCTTTTACCTTTTTATGTTCCTGCCAACTCCCCAGGTAGAGAGTTTCAGGAGCTTACTTCCTACTAAGTGTGGCTTTTGTTTCCTTCTAAAATTATTCCTATAAAGTTCTCAGAACTATCGGGGTTCTCATAGTCCAGGATTTGATGGACAAATCTACATTCTGTCTATGCACAAACTCTGATTTTTATGGACCTTAAACTTACCTCTCCATACTCTGAACATTAGAACAAGAGGCTGGGTGTACCAGAAGGGATTTGATTTTCATTCTAGAGCCTTCTCTGCAGTTTTACTTTTCCATTATTACTTTTATTATTTGTATGTACTTGTATCATTTGTACAATGAGTACAAATTGCGATAACCTGTAAGGTAGAGGAGGGAGGAAAAACAGAGCCCATCAGTCTTCCTTTTTCGAAGTAAGTGCCCTGAGAGTTTTCCTGCTTCATTCGATGTTATTTTGTCTCTTTGAGTTAACTTTCAAGAATGTATTTCCTCCATCTTGTAAAGGGAGAAATGGTAGAATGGTAGGTGCTAGGGTGGTGGCAAGTGAGAAACAATCTTTGGAGTTACTCTCTCTAGGTCTGAATTCGGCCTCAGCCTCCTTACCAGCTCTATGACCTTGGGCCCTACCCAGCCTCTCTAGGCTTCAGTTCCCTCATGTAAGACATGGAGATGTAATTAGTGCCCATGTCATAGAGTTGTTGAGAGGTCTCAATATCTAATGGTAGGCCAGTGTGTGGCTCAGAGCCTAGCCTATTATAAACACTTGCTGAGTATCTATTGCTATTAGATTTTTATGCTGTGGCATCATCATAGACTTTATTTTTTCATATTTATAATTTTTTTTTTTTTTTGAGACAGAGTCTCACTCTGTCACCAGGTGGACTGTAGTAACGCAATCTCGGCTCACTGCAACCTCTGCCTCCTGGGTTCAAACAATTCTTCTGCCCCAGCCTCCCTAGTAGCTGGGATTACAGGCACCCGCCACCACGCCTAGCTAATTTTTTTGTATTTTTAGTAGAGACAGGTTTCACCATGTTGGCCAGGATGGTCTCGATCTTTTGACCTCGTGATCCGCCCGCCTTGGCCTCCCAAAGTGCTGGGATTACAGGCGTGAGCCACCGCACTCAGCCTCATATTTGCATTTTTTGCTTTATATTTTGGCATAATTTTAGGGTCAAAGAAATAGTACGAAGAGGGTACACAGAATTTTCATATACTGCCGACTCAGTTTCCCCCATTGTTAACATTTTACATTGCCATGGTACATTTGTCAAAACTAAGAAACCAAGAGACATTGGTACATTACTATGAACTAAACTCTAGGATGCAGTCCGGGGTACATTGCACTTAGCTGTCGTGTCTCCCCAGGCTCCTCTGTTCTGAGAGTTGCCTAGTTTTCCCCTATTTTTCATGACCTTAACAGTCTTAAGAAGTGAGTCCTGGACTCTTGAGTAGAAGCCAAAAAATCCACGCTACTTCCCCCGGACCAAATCTTTTCTGTTCCAGAGACTTCTGAGCCCACAGAAAAGAGCAGAGAACATTAGTCAAAGGAAATGAACTGTGTCTTTTTTTTTTTTTTTTTTTTTTGAGACAGAGTTTCGCTCTTGTTGCCCAGGCTGGAGTGCAATGGCGCAATCTTGGCTCACTGCAACCTCCGCCTCCCGGGTTCAAGCGATTCTCCTGCCTCAGCCTCCCGAGTAGCTGGGACTACAGGCATGCATCACCATGCCCCGCTGATTTTGTATTTTTTTTTAGTAGAGACGGGGTTTCTCCACGTTGGTCAGGCTGGTCTCAAACTCGCGACTTAAGGTGATCCGCCCACTTTTGCCTCCCAAAGTGTTGGGATTACAGGCGTGAGCCACCACGCCTGTCCTGAACTGTGTTTTCTAAATAATAAACCCTCTAAACAACTCTGTGGCATGGATACTAATTTCATCCCCATGTCTTAGATGAGAGAACTAAAACTGAGAGAGGTTAAGGTAGTTTCCCCTCTGAGGGTGTACTCTGTCTTTGGAGGACACCCTTTTAGATGACTCCATTCGCAAATGGAACTTGTCCAAGGAGGATAATGTGAGGACCAAGGGAGAGTTCTCATTGGCCCTCCAAAGTCTCGCTGAAAAATCACCTTGTGAAAAGCAGGTTAATTGGAGAAAAGACATACAAATGTACTTAACACGTATATACAAGAGCCTTCAGAATGAAGATACAATGACACAGGGGAAATTGTCTATTTTTATGGTTAGGTTCAACAAATTACAGGCAGTTGGGTAGAAATATGATTGGACCAAACAGGTATGCTGTAATGCTAATAGACTAAGTGGGGAACCCCAGCCAGGCCTATCTGTCTAGATTGTTGTGGGCCTCTCTGAACTTGTATTCCTTCCTTCTGGGTGTGAAGCAGGACCTTTTCTGGAATCTGGGTCTTTTGGCCTGCAGTCAAACAAGGTAGGTCAGACCTTTTTTTTTTTTTTTTTTTTTTTTAAGAGACAGAGTCTCGCTCTGTTGCCCAGGCTGGAGTGCAGTGGCACGATCTAGGCTCACTGCAAGCTCCACCTCCTGGGTTCACGCCATTCTCCTGACTCAGCCTCCCAAGTAGCTGGGACCACAGGCGCCTGCCACCACTCCCGGCTAATTTTTTTTTTTTTTTTTTTTTTTTTTTTTTTTAGTAGAGATGGGGTTTCACTGTGTTAGCCAGGATGTTCTCGATCTCCTGACCGCATGATCCGCCCACCTTGGCCTCCCAAAGTGCTGGGATTACAGGCATGAGCCACCACGCCTGGCCTTTTTTTTTTTCTTTTTTTTTTTTTGAGATGGAATCTTACTCTGTCACACAGGCTGGAGTGCAGTGGTGCGATCTTAGCTCACTGCAACCTCTGCCTCCTGGGTTCAAACAATTGTCCTGACTCAGCCTCCAGAGTAGCTGGGATTATAGGTGTATGCCACCATGCCCAGCTAATTTTTGTATTTTCAGTAGAGACGGGGTTTCGCCATGTTGGCCAGGCTAGTCTCAAGCTCCTGACCTCAAGCCTCCACCCGCCTCAGCCTCCCAAAGTGCTGGGATTACAGGTGTGAGCCACTGCACCAGGCCAGAACATTTCTTTTTAATGGCCAGTTTTTGACACAGAAAGGCAGAGTAAAAGTTAGCCTAATATTTTTAGGTTTTATGGCTGGGTTTGGGGAAAACGGATTTTGGTTTTTACGACCCACTTTGGGGAAGAGGGATCCTAGTTTCCATGCCTTACCCCAGGGAGAATGGGACTGAGAGACAGGAAGGCAGGGAAGGTCAGAGAAATACTTTTGCTTCTGAGGCTGTTTCTTGGGTCTTCATTTTGGGATCTTGTTTTCTGAGCCCCAACAATGGAATGGGGATTTATGGGCAAAGTAGAATGTCCTGGGGAAACTTGGATGTATTTGTGGTAAGCCTGGAGACGGCTGACTCTTGCTTCTCATTTCTGTTGGGCACTGGAGGACATCAGAAGCTCTCCTGGTCAACCTTCATCAGGAACACCCCTCCTCGGACCATGTTGGATAGCCCTATGATTACCCCTTCAAGGGATATGGTCCATAGCCCTACGGTTACCCCTTCGAGTTCCAGGTGTATGCAGGGACGGGAGGAGAATGCATCACTAAATGAAGAAGAAAGTCTTCAGTTAAACTGATCCACAGTTGTACACTAATACCTTCAGGGGCTTCAGACTTGTCCATTCATGGTCAAGTTCAGACAGCCCCGAAGGACATCTGAGGCCCATTAAGTCCAGATTTACATTCTTCTCCAACAAATGGCAGTACTTCAGAAAGTTTGTTTATTTAATTTAAAGTACAATTAAAAAAAAAATGTAGCCCCTAGAGTACAGGAGTTTATGGGATTTAGTGCCCCTCTTTCTGGGGTAGAATAAACAAAACAGGGCGAGGGCAAATCCTATAGGGTTCTTCCTCTCTTCCCATGGATGCCTAGTCTTTTTTTTTGTTTATAATATTGTTTGTGAAACTTACATGTGGGAAGGAAAAAAGATTGTTTTGTTTTCTCTTGAGCAGAGTTGTTTGTGTTCATATATCGGAAGCTGATTAGTTTTGGAAAACCTAATTTCTTATCACTTTTCAACTGACTTTATTCCTCCTACTTCAAGTTGCAAATTTAATTTTACTGACCATAATATGTGAAGTTTGGGGAAAAATCTTGGATGTGGTGGAACTAAAGAATCTAAAACTGTTCTTTGTGCAAATGTCGAGGGAGGGGGCCAGAGGGCTGTTCCTGAACAGTTCTCCTCCTTAAGGCTTCGTTTAGCCTGCAGGGTTGACTGATCCTAGCAGAGCTTTTAAGCTCTTTGCCACTTTGGGGTGGAGTGGGGATCAAGATAGAGGGCATGGCCAAGGACAGCTGGGAAGACTAGTCAGAGGAGAAGAGAGATGACCTATAAATAACAAATTATGATTACAGTTTTCTAAAAAGATGCAGGTCTTAGTATTAAACTTCTTGAAATGCTGCACAACTGTCAGTCATTGATGTGAAAAATTTATAGAAAAAGTCAATGCTTGGCTGGGTACGGTGGCTCACGCCAGTAATCCCAGCACTTTGGGAGGCCGAGGCAGGCAGATCACCTGAGGTCGGGAGTTTGAGACAAGCCTGACCACCATGGTGAAACCCCGTCTCTACTAAAAATACAAAAAATTAGCCGGGTGTGGTGGCGCATGCCCGTAATCCCAGCTACTTGGGAGGCTGAGGCAGGAGAATCGCTTGAACCCGGGAGGCGGAGGTTGTGGTGAGCTGAGATATCACGCCATTGCACTCCAGCCTGGCAGCCTGGGCGACAAGAGTGAAACTCTGTCAAAAAAAAAAAAAAAAAAGTCAATGCTTGACTAAAGATCTTTTTTTTTTCTTTCAACATATTCATAGGTCAACTTCAATATGAACAATTTTTCAAGGATTATCAGACTCTGGGTTATACTAGAGTTACATGGCATTAAATATTGATAGAAATAAGTGGGCCCTGGTAGAAGTTTGGGTTTGTTTTTTGTTGCCGTTAGAGTCATGGTTATGGAATTTGGTTTTCCTGGAACCAAAAGTTCTTTGTTAAAATGCACATCCCTAACAGATACTAATTCTCATTGAAAGTTATTCTTGGGAATACATGGAGAAGTGTCTAGTTCTCATTTCAGGGGAGAGAGACCCAGATTGAGAGCCTTGTCGTGAAGTCCTATAGTTAAGGGTCCTGAAGGATGAGCCCTGGTAGCTCTTGGAATAAACAGTCTCAGGGCAGGCGAGGTGTGCAGAGTTCATGCCAGGCCCTGGTGTAAAAGTGGTCAGCATGGAGATGTCCAACACTGACTGTTACTTCTCACACAGTCTTGTTTTCATGCTGCTTCCTCTAAGGTCTTTCATCCTGATTCTAACGCCCATCATGACCACATGCTATCTCTAAGAGTCACGGAAAGGCACCACTTTTAAGAGAATGTGCCATGGGAGAGCAAGGGTGGCTCCACATCCTACCGCACTCTTGGTTTGAGTCTGTTTCCGTAATGAGCCTGTTTCATGAGTCAAGAATATTCCATTAACCAAATGGATGCAGCTGCCAACAAGAATGTTCCAAAGAAAATAAATGAAAACGTGTCTACTTTGCACTGTTTTGATGGGCAACTTCTTTTTTAAATCCTGGTGCCTGATCTGTCTCTTCTCAGGTTGTAGTTTATTAGAAAAAAAACTTATACTGAGACGCCTAGGAATGTTCTCCTGCAGTGATAACTCACAGCTCAAATTTTACAGTGCTTTACACTCCTCTCTCCTCAGTGCTCAAGGCGCTGCCTGGTAAGAAGCTAAACATTTAAGGAGGCACATTAACTCTTTGGAGCCATTGGCTTGCAAATCTAAACACTGAATGCAATCTCAAGACAATATTATTTTTATTTAAAAATATCTATTGAGATGACCTCCTATAAATGCTCTTTTATCATTGTAAGTGACAAGTCCATGTCAAGTGAATTTGAAAAGTGAAGAGAACTCTAGTAACATCGAATGACCAATGTCAGTCTTTTCCTCCACATTAGCAAATGTGGAGTTCTTTTGGTAAAAACTGAGGACTTGGCCTGTCATAAGTCTGACTTTCAGCTGGCCCGTCTGTTCTGGGCCTCACAGACCAAAATCAAGGTGTTGGTAGGACCAAGTTCCTTTTCTGGAGGCTCAGAGGAAGAATCCACTTCCAAGCTCATTCAGCCCGTTGGCAGAATTCAGTTCCTTGTGGCTGCGGGACTGAGGCCCCCATTTATTGGCTGGCTGTCTTCTGGGAGCTGTGCTTAGCTCTTCATGGCTTCTCATGAGAAAGCCTTGCCAAGAAAAACAACAGGCTGTTAGAACCTGAAGAAAGGACCTTAACCCTTGTAAGCCTTGATGCCTGAGCCCTTGGAAGCCATCTAGGGCCATCAGGCACATGGATTTTTGATGCACTGTCTCTTCTGGTTAGTTACTGGGTATTCAGGGTTCTCATAGTTTGGGTTAATTGTTTTCTGCTGTTTTCACCATTGCCCCCTTTCCCAAGACTCCTCTCTGACAACTTGCCGAGAATCCTTGGTGTAGGAAATAAGTTTCCATCTGGGTGACTAGAGCTCGTTGGGCCAACTCCACTGAATACTGTGGCCTTTTAAGGATTAGGGCCCCCATTAGACAAGCTTGGTTTCAGACTTTTTAGAAAAAAATCAATTTTGGCCAGGCGCGGTGGCTCACACCTGTAATCCCAGCACTCTGGGAGGCCGAGGTGGGTGGATCACGAGGTCAGGAGATCAAAACCATCCTGGCTAACACGGTGAAACCTTGTCTCTACTAAAAATACAAAAAATTAGCCAGGTGTTGTGGTGGGTGCCTGTAATCCCAGCTACTCAGGAGGCTGAGGCAGGAGAATCGCTTGAACCCGGGAGGCGGAGGTTGCAGTGAGCCAAGATTGTGCCACTGCACTCCAGCCTGGGTGACAGAGTGAGACTCTGTCTCAAAAAAAAAAAAAAAAAAAAAAAAAATCAATTTTATTGAGCTGTAGTTTAGTACCATAAAATGCACCCATTTAAAGTTCCATAATGATGTGATTTGAAAAAGTTATACATCCAGGCCAGGTGCGGTGGCTCACGCCTGTAATCCCAGCACTTGGGGAGGCCAAGGCAGGTTGATCACGAGGTCAGGAGCTCGAGACCAGCCTAACCAACATGATGAAACCCCATGTCTACTAAAAATACAAAAATTAGCTGGGTGTGGTGGCACACGCCTGTAATCCCAGCTACTCGGGAAGCTGAGGCAGGAAAATCGCTTGAACCCGGGAGGCAGACATTGTAGTGAGCCAAGATCTCACCACTGCACTCCAGCCTGGGTGACAACAGAGGGAGACTCCCTCTCAAAAAAAAAAAAAAAAAAAAAAAAAAAGAAAAAGTTATATATCCAGGACAACCACCATGATCAAGATGTGCATTTCCATTACCCCCAAAAGTTTCCTTGGGCCCCCTCCCTGTCAGTCCTCACTGCCCATTTCTTCCCATCGTTACCCCCCAGCAATCACTGAACTGCTGTCATTTGATTTGTCTTTTCTACATTTTGATATAAATGGAGTCATATATATCTATATGTCTATGTCTATACACACATATTTTTTTGTCTGATTTCTTTTACTCCATGTAATTTTTTTTTTTTTTTTTTTGAGAGGAGTCTCCCTCTGTTGTCACCCAGGCTGGAGTGCAGTGGTGAGATCTTGGCTCACTACAATGTCTGCCTCCCGGGTTCAAGCGATTTTCCTGCCTCAGCCTCCCGAGTAGCTGGGATTACAGGTGTGTGCCACCGCACCCAGCTAATTTTTGTATTTTTAGTAGAGATGGGGTTTCATCATGTTGGTTAGGCTGGTCTTGAGCTCCTGGCCTCAAGTGATCCACCCGCCTTGACCTCCCAAAGTGCTGGGATTACAGGTGTGAGCCACCGTGCCTGGCCAATGTAATGTTTTTGAGTTTCATCCATGTTGTTATAGGGATCAGTAGTTGGTTACTCTTTATTGCTGAGTAGTTTTCTGTTATGTGAATATATCACAACTATCCTTTTTCTTTATTTCTAGAATAAATTTGCTAATGTTTTGTTAGGGATTTTTGCATCTATGTTCATAAAGGATATTGGTTTGTAGTTTTCTTTTAATGTCTTTGTCTGGTTTTGGTATCAGGGTAATACTGGCCACATAAGTTGAGTTGGGAAGTACTTTGGGTATTTATTTCCAGGTGGTTTTTCTTGGCCATCTGTTGGGCACTACTGCCCCGAGAGGCCCAGAGATGTCCTTCAAAGAGCTTTTTGTAGGTCCACGGAGGGTGTAGAAGCCCCTGGCACTGCTCTCAATGTTTTGTGGCTTAGCAGCTGTTCGCCGTTCCTGTTCGGTGTATGGTGTGCCAATAGGGTGCAGACATCCAAACACTGTACACGGAAACTCCAAAACCCTGACCTTCTATTGCAGCCACCCTCTCAAATCTGGCTGCTTCTGCTTTTTTGGCACAAGACAGTGGCCTCCATCCTTCCCTCTGGGATGATCCAATGAAACCCCCCTAAACTAAAAAATGTAGTTTACTTTTTTTGTGTGTGTGTGATGGAGTCTTGCTCTGTCACCCAGACTGGAGTGCAGTGGTGCGATCTCAGCTCACTGCAACCTCTGTCACCCGGGTTCAAGTGATTCTCCTGCCTCAGCCTCCCGAGTAGCTGGGACTACAGGCGCATGCCACCATGCCCAGCTAAATTTTTGTGTTTTTAGTAGAGACGGGGTTTCACCATGTTAGCCAGGATGGTCTTGATTTCCTGACCTCATGATCCGCCCGCCTCTGCCTCCCAGAGTGCTGGGATTACAGGCGTGAGCCACCACTCCCCGCCAAAATGTAGTTTACTTCTAAGAGAAGGGGTGACGGAGAGGGAAGGGAAGGAGAGAGGTTGGTGAGAGGGATAGGGTGCTCAGATCTTTAAAAACGAATTCAGACCTTGCCTGAGAGTGGAATGGGGAAAGGAGACAATTTCATGTTCCCCGGTAAGTGCCCAGAAGCAGTAGTTCAAGAAAAAAAGTTAGGTTTTGCCTTAAACACCCTCTGTAAGGCAAACCCAGGAAATTTTAGATCCATATGTAAACTTCTAGAAAAGGAATCTTACACAACATATAATGTCCTCCTCAACCATTTATCTTTTACAAATGTGGAGACTGTCCCTTATCTCCACCCATTACAGATAGCCAAAGATGCTTGAAAACCACTATTTTATGAGGTTTTGGGGGCCTCAGGCAAATAAAATTCCTGCTGATCTAGGCTGATTCCCCAGGTATCCTGAGTTGGCATGCAGATCGGGCTCTAGGAGTTCTGGCTCGGAAAATCAGGACAAAGAACACATTATAATGACTTCCAGCCTGGGATGGAGTCTACTGCATCATGCACGGTAAACTCCCATGATCTTCAAGGGCCTTTATTGCTGGTGTTTTGGGCTAAACATTACAGCAAGAACAACCATCATCAACACATAGGCTCTAATTTGTATTGTGTGAGCTTGTGTCTGTGTACACACATATACAACTATTGTTATTATATGATTAAGGCATTAGTACATTGAAGGTGGACTGTTCCAACATTTGGAGAGCCCACTTCCCTATGTTGTTTGGGAGAGTCACCATAGATTTCCAAGGGGCTGGAACAAGTTACTTGAGCCACGGTCATTTACACAGACCTGAGGATGTCAGTCCCCATTACTAGATAACCTCACTGTAAACCAGGTATGTTGCTTAGATGGGAAACTGGAACTGAGTGGAAGGTTTACAAAGAAAAAGGGTCTGCGCCAGGAGCAGTGGCTCGTGCTTATAATTCCAGCACTTTGGGAGGCTGAGGCGGGTGGATCACTTGCGGTCAGGAGTTCGAGACTAACCTGGCCAACACTGTGAAACTCCGTCTCTACTAAAAATACAAAAATTAGCTGGGCATGGTGATGGGCACCTGTAATCCCAGCTACTCGGGAGGCTGAGGCAGGAGAATCGCTTGAACCCGGGAGGTGGAGGTTGCAGTGAGCCGAGATTACGCCATTGCACTCCAGCCTGGGAGACAAGAGTGAAACTCCATCTCAAAAAAACAAAAAGGGTCTGGTTTGTTAGAGGAGCTGGGGTTTGACCTTGAATACAGCAAGATATTTGGATAAATAAGGAGCCAAGGAAACAAGGCGGTGATGGGAGACTGTGTAGTAGGGAGACAAGTGGGGGTACCCCTCAGGGTGGAGGGACGCAGTCAAGACCTTGTTTGAGTGGCTGCTTGAGTGACCTTGAGAGAATGAAAAGGACCTAAGACAGGCTGTGAAGTCACCAAGTTCAGGTTCAGCCTCTGCCACAAAATAGTTTTGTGTCCTTGGGCCCATCACTTACTCTCTCGGGACCTTAGTCTCCCCGTTTATAAAAAGATAGAGGTTGGTGATTGCTTGTTCCCTGCTGCTGCTGCTGCTGAATCATGTGAAGGCTCAGGTGTGGCCTTGATTTGGCTTCAGTCGTGACCCACCGCCAAGGCCCAGGAAGCCACTGCTGCAGGAAGTGTCCTGGACGTTAACACTGCTTTACAAGAAGTGCTGACCGCCCTCATGCATGATGGCCCAGCATAAGGATTTACAAAGCTGTCAGAGCCTTAGATGAGAGCCAAGCCCATCTCTGTGAGCCTGCATGATGAGCCCACCTCTGTCAAATCAGGGGAGGCCCTTTGTGCTGAACTCCAGGTCAATAGACTTAAGGGAGGGTGATGACAGAAGAAGCCAAGGGGACAGGTAGGTGGTCCCTGTGAAATTGACAGAGAGGGAAGACCCTGTACAGCGGTCAGTTGTGTTGTGTCATAGTTAAGAACTGTGGCAAAGAATCTCAGGTGGAGGATGTTATTGAAGAGTACTTCAAATGCAGAAATGAACAAACAAGCTGGGGGTGGTGGCTCATGCCTGTAATCCCAGCACTTTGGGAGGCCGAGGCGGGTGGATCACGAAGTCAGGAGATCGAGACCATCCTGGCTAACACGGTGAAACCCCGTCTCTACTAAAAAATACAAAAAATTAGTCGGGCGTGGTGGGGGCGCCTGTAGTCCCAGCTACTCGGTAGGCTGAGGCAGGAGAATGGCGTGAACCCGGGAGGCGGAGCTGGCAGTGAGCCGAGATCACGCCACTGCACTCTAGCCTGGGCGACAGAGTGAGACTGCATCTCAAAAAAAAAAAAAAAAAAAAAAAAGAGAGAATCCATTGTTTGGTTTCTTGATTTCTTATTTTGATTGAAAAAACGGGCTCTGTAACTTCCTTCTTGTAGGGAACCAACAAAGGAAGACAGGCTGGTACTGGTGGGTCAGTGAGAGCATCACAGATTCAGGTCCAGTTTTGGGTCTTGTCCCACCACTTGGGGCTATCTCCTTCAAGTATCACCAATTTTTCACCAGGAATGAGATAGAGTAAGAGTCATGGTTGCTTGAATACAACCTAGTTTCTTCCTCTCATTTCCATGATACTGGAGTCAAAAACATAGAAATATCGGTTTCGTTGTGTGAATATTGTTGTGTTTCAGTTCACCAGTCACAGAAAATAAATGGACATGGTTGCAGTTTGAACTACATCCCTGAGGTTTACTTATGTATTTAAAACATAAGTTTAGTTTTGCAGTCGAGTAAAAAAAGGAATACTTGGGCTAAGTTCAAAATTCACAAAAAGTACTTTTGGTTCACAGTATGGGTCAAACCCCTAGCTATTTATTCTTAGCTGTCTGTTTCAGAGAGAAGTTGAGAGAACATCTTCCCCTTTACTAGAAAGGCCTATGAAAAATGAGTTACTTAATATTCCTCCTCTATTTTCCTCTGGGTAAAGGTGCATATTCCTAAATTTAGTAGAGTTTAAGTAGATCTTCCTCCCCTTTTCACATCCTTCCTGTTTTGTTCATGATCTGGGGGATTGGGGGAAGTATTTTTTTTAAGTAGTGTTGCTGTTTCTCTTTCTGCTTGAGCATTAAGGATAGATCCTATGTAGTAATTCCTGAGCATCCTGCCCTCAACAGACGACCAGTGATGAGGTTAATGAGGTGTTGGAAGATGGCAAAACCAATTCTAGTGTTAGGCTTTCCAGCTTTTTAATTAGGAGTCCTGATGAATGGCTTGCTTGTAAAATACTCTTTCACTGGGTGACACCCCCACCCAGACAGGAGAGATGAGGAAGCGCATGGTGAGATAAAACAGGGCAGTCAGTCCTCTGCTTTCTCCCAAGTTTGTCCAGCTCACATCCAGGGCCTGTAGCTGTCTGTAGCTGCCATAAATAATGTCCCAGGGCCTTCCAGAGGCTTCCAAAGGCCAGAGCTGCCAGTGCAGCGTGAATTATCACGGAAATATGAGATAGCTGGGAGCTTTCTCTCGGCATTTTTCTTCTGCAGACCGCTGGGCTGGATCCAGGGTCTCCCACAGTTTTTTGTGTGTGTTTGTTAGATGGAGCCTATATGGGCTGTTGTGGACCTGGGTACTTCCAGGTACTCACAGTCATGAAACCAGAAGGTTTTCAGGGGCTATCCTTATTAAACAACCCAGGAGGCTTGCACTTTGAGAACATGCCAGTGTTGCACCTCAGAGGAAGGGTTCCGAGCACTGCCCTCATTGTGCCGTGATTGACGTGTGTTCCAGTATTTTCCAGGACTCTGTGGACATTATCACTGGGACACAGCCACGTTTCTTTTTCTCAAGTGAAAGAAGTTTTGTCCAGGAAAGACGTCAAGGCTGAAAAGACAAACAGTGTGACTATATGTGGGTGGATGAGGTGCAGGGAAAGAATCTCTTCTAGGAATAGAAATATAAACCCTTTACTGTAATTTTACAAGTTGTATTTCCCCCCAGACTGATCTTTGGACAATTTTAAGAGATTAAGAAACCCACAGATACTATACTCAATATCTGGGTGACGGATTCATTTGTACTCCAAATGTCAGCATCATGCGATACACCTTTGTAACATGTCTGTACATGTACCCCTTGATTCTAAAATAAAAGTAGAAAAAAGAAACAGGAAATCAGAGTTGTAAGAGCAGTGATAGCAATTGGTGCCATTTCTCCTTCTACCCCACTTTTAAAAAATAACTTGGCTGGGCACAGTGGCTCACGCCTCTAATCCCAGCACTTTGGGAGGCTGAGGGGGGCAGATCACCTGAGGTCAGGAGTTCGTGACCAGCCTGGCCAACATGGTGAAACCCCGTCTCTACTAAAAATACAAAAATTAGCCTGGCGTGGTGGCATGCACCTATAATCTCAGCTACTTTGAGGCAGGAGAATTGCTCGAACCCAGGAGGTGGAGGTTGCAGTGAGCTGAGGTCGCGCCACTGCACTTCAGCCTGGGTGACAGTGCGAGACTCCATCTCAAAAAAGAAAAAAAAACTTGATTTTTAAAAAATTTGGTGACTCATTCTATGAATTTTAACATTTGTATAGATTCTTGTCACCACCACCATAATCAGGGTTCAGGACAGTTCCATCACCCACCCCCACTAAGCTCCCTTGTGCTGTCTCTTTATAAGCATACGCTTCCCTGACCCCTAACCCCTGCCAACCACTCATCAGTTCTCTATCCCTATAGTTTTGTCTTCTTGAGAATGTCATATACATGGAATCCTACAGCATGTCACCTTTTTGAGATGGGCGTCTGTGACTCACCAAAATGCCTTTGGGATCAATCCAAGTTGTTGTGTATATCAATAGTTGGTTCCATTTTATTTCAACATATGGATGTACCACCATTTGTTTATTCGTTCACTTGTTGAAGGACATTTGAGTTGTTTCCAGTGATTCAAGTCCTTTATTTTTTTTTAGATTGTGCTGAAACATATAACATATAATTTTCCCCTTTAGCTATCTTGAAACGTACAAATCAGTACCTGGTATTAATTACGTTCACACTGTTGTGCAATCATCACTACTATCTGTTTCCAAAACGTTTCCATCACCCCACATAGAAACTGTGTAACCATTAAGCAATAACTCTCCATTTGCCCCAGCTTCTGGCAATTCTGATCTACTTTTTATCTCTATGAATTTGCCTATTCTAGATATTCTCATATAAATGGAATCATACAATACTTGGCCCTTCGGGTCTGGGTTTTTTCACTTAGCATAGCGTTTTTAAGGTTCATCCATATTGTAGCACGTAACAATGCTTCATTCCTTTTTATGGCTGAGTACTAGTCCATTACATGTATATAACACATTTTCTTTCTTTTTTTTTTTTTTTGAGACGGAGTCTCGCTCTGTCACCCAGGCTGGAGTGCAGTGGCGCGATCTTGGCTCACTGCAACCTCTGCATCCCGGGTTCACACCATTCTCCTGCCTCAGCCTCCCGAGTAGCTGGGACTACAGGCGCCTGCCACCTCGCCGGGCTAATTTTTTTTGTATTTTTAGTAGAGACGGGGTTTCACCGTGTTGGCCATGATGGTCTCCATCTCCTGACCTTGTGATCCGCCCGCCTCGGCCTCCCAAAGTGCTGGGATTATAGGCGTGAGCCACCGCGCCCGGCCTAACACATTTTCTTTATCCACTCATGTTGGGGACACTTGGGTTATTTATACTGTTTGGTTATTGTGAATAATGTTGCTATTCACATTGGCATACAAGTAGTTGTTTGTGTCTGTGCTTTTAAATTTTTTTTTTTTTTTGAGATAGGATGTCACTCTGTCGCCCCAGCTAGAGTGCAGTGGCATGATCTCAGTTCACTGCAGCCTCAACCTCCCCAGCTGAAGTGATTCTTTCACCTTAGCCTCCAGAGTACAGGCACACACCACCACACTTGGCAAATTTTTTTTTTTGATATTTTTTTTTTAGAAATGGGTTTTCACCATGTTGCCTAGGCTGGTCTTGAATTCCTGGGCTCAAGTGATCCACCCGCCCCGGCTTCCCAAAATGCTGGGATTACAGGTGTAAGCCACTGTGCCTGGACTCTTTTTTTTTTTTTTTTTTTTTGAGACAGGGTCTGGCTCTGTCACCCACGCTGTAGTGCAGTAATATGATCTTGGCTCACTGCACCCTCAGCTTCCTGGGCTTACCTGCTTTTGATTCTTTTGCCACTCCTACTTTTTAATTTAAATTGGCAGGAGAAGGAAGATTTTAGTTCTAAGAATCTGATACTTTGTATGAATCTAGTAATTGTTCTTTGTATTTCGTAAGCTTAAAGGATTTTAGGAATTCTACCAGCTTTTTTGCCATTAATGTCTCTTGTGTCCTGAGAGGATGAAGATGGTAGTCAGAATTTGGTTATGGGAAAAGGGGACTCGTGGAAGTGGCCCAGGGCCCATTGGGGGAGCCAGCCTCTGTTTGCGTGCCCTGGCTCAGGTTGTGGTGTAATCGTTTGCTTGGGTCTGGAAGTAGTCTTTGATAGCATCTCATGTGATTGACTTTGTCTGGCCCTTGCTTCATTTCTCCACAGGGTTTGCGAGGCCATTAGAAGACTTAAGGAGATAGGGGCCAAAAGTACCATGTGGGAAGAAGCTTTCACACTCTGCAGGATCTGCTTTTATTTGTAAGATGTGTCTGAACCTACCCAGACTTAGAGCTCAGCTAATTCCGCACTCATTTAGATTGATTGGTAGTAGGGCCAGTCTGAACTGTAAAATGTTTGAGAAATAGATTATGATTACCTTCAAGGATGCACCTTTGTGACAAAGAACTTAATAGGCTTTCTTTAATTAAGAGATAGCTATAATTTATATTTAAGTAGCTTCATTTGTATACGGTAGGGGCTAAAGTCATTAAAAAGCAATGGTATTTTTAAGTAGTGCAGTTTCTCTTCCAATGTTGCTAGTTGGCCTATTAAATTTCCCCTGATAAACATTGTAAAGATAGGAGTTCAGTCTAGCCTTTCTTATCATGAATTGCCACCCCATAGAGACTAAAAAGTATAAGGTTATCGCTCTGTACAGCTAGGATTGCCCTCTTTGTTGACTGGATATGTAGCAGAGTTTTGTTGTTTTTTTTGCGTGCATAAGCATTCTTTTGACCCTAGAGTGTAACAAACCCTCCCCTTTACCAGTCCTCTGCTGTAGCCTTCCGCCAAGCCTAATATTCTCACCCCAAGAGATTCTTTTGGCTTAAAACCCTTCTTTCCAGGAAGTTGTTAAATCTAACAGAGAAAGAGAGAGAGAGAACCAGACTCCGTATATACATTGTTAAGTGTCAGAGAGTTCTAGGAGGGGTGTGTGTGTGGTGTGGGGGGGTGGGAGGGATGAGTGTGTATGTGTGTGTGTGTCTATGTATGTTTCTGTTTTCTTTTGAATGGATGAAAGGACTGTAAATCTATTCTGGATCACCTGGATGATCACTCGGGGACTGTTGACCACACTCTTTCAGTTCCCAAGTTTGCATGGAAGTTGATGCTCACACAGGGACCAAGGGAAGGCTAATACTACCCCATCCCAAGGTATACTGAAGAGAAGACAGAGTGGGAAAACTAAGTCATCAATGGCCCACACTAACTAAGGCATTCCACACTCAAAAAAGCCTGGTAGTTGATACCTTATTCATTGCTGGTGAAGGTGAACACAGAGCCAGCTTTGTAGGTCCTAAGTTCATTAGGATTTTTTCCTTGAATAATCTTTTGGTATTACATTTTGGGGTCTCATTAAATTGATTAACCTTTCAAAATAATGGAACAGAGGTTAACATGGGTTTACCATTAAAAAGGAGTAATTACAACAATGATAATAATAACTTATGAAGCCCTTTGTGTGTCCTGGGCACAGGGCTAAATGCTTTCCTTGTATTGTTGCATTGAATCTTCACAACTTCCCCATGAGTAAGCATTCTTACCATATCCACTTTACAGGAAAGCAGATAGAAACTAAGAGTTTCAGTCGCTTACCCGAATCACACAGTGGGATTTAAACCCAGGCAGTCTGACTCCAGACCCATCATTCTAAGCCACTGTGCTGGCCTCCCACAGTGAAACAGAAAGCATAAAACTATATTGCAGGATTCTAGATTCTAACAATCTGGTATTTTGTCTGTGGAAACAGCTCAAGTGTCCATCAACAGATAAATGGATGGTGCATTCTGTCACATTTATGTCAATGTTTTGGATTTTATTGGCACCGTAACTTTGTTTTTAATTTATAAATAAATCACATATATATTTACACATTTGTTTGGGTTTAATAGTTGTTTACTATTAAACAACTTTATAGTTTAAAGAACTATAAGCATATGAGGTTTATACCTAGTTTTATATATTTGTGCATATTTTAGTAATATTATAATAAAAGTGGCTTAGGTCAACACTGGCAGGCCACAGTAGTATGTCATTAACACCCTGAACACATTAACACTGTTTACTTTAAATAAAATCCCTTAATAGCCTAAGAGACTGAACCTATTTTGATGGCTGAGAATGAAGAGGTCATGAGAAGGTTCAAAACAGAAGTTCAGAAGTGGATCTGCAGTTGGTTACGAGGCACCAGACGGGCGGGTTGATGGTTATTTTCTCTCAGCTTTTTGAAGACCAGATTCTGCTCTCTCCTGGCCACTGTCGTCGTGTTGAGAAGTCTGCTGCCACTGTAAATGCCACTGTGGAGGACATCATTCTTTCCTCCAGCTATTTTTTTTTTTTTTTTTTTGAGACAGAGTTTCACTCTTGTTGCCCAGGCTGGAGTGCAAAGGCGTGATCTCAGCTCATCGCAACCTCCGCCTCCTAGGTTCAAGCGATTCTCCTGCCTCAGCCTCCCTGGGATTACAGGCATACTCCACCACGCCCCACTAATTTTGTATTTTTAGTAGAGACGGGGTGTCACCATGTTGGTCAGGGTGGTCTCGATCTCCCGATCTCAGGTGATCTGCCTGCCTTGGCCTCCCAAGGTGCTGGGATTACAGGTGTAAGCCACCACTCCTGGGTCTTCGAGCTATTTTTAAGATATTCTCTGTAGCATTCTTCATGCTCACAAAGGTATTCCTAAATGTGGATATGGTTTTATTTGTACTGAAGGGGACTCCATGTTTTTCCTGAACCTCAGGATTCTTGTGTTTCCTCAAAACTGGAAAATCATTGGTGATAATCTCTCCACACACCATCTCACCACATTTCCACGCTTCTGTCCTACAGGAACTCCTCCTCTCATTCTATTTTTCATGCCTCTGCCCTGCTCATTTATCTCACCACATGGCATTCTGGTTAATTTCTGCAAATCTATTTTTCTGTTTTCTGTATTCTCTTCAGATGTGTTCAATATATTTAACCCATACATTAGGATTTTTTTTTTTTTTTTTTGAGATGGAGTCTTGCTCTGTCGCCCAGGCTGGAGTGCAGTGGCTCCATCTCCGCTTACTGCAAGCTCCGCCTCCCGGGTTCACGCCATTCTCCTGCCTCAGCCTCCCAAGTAGGGGAAATAATTTTTTTGTATTTTCAGTAGAGACGGGGTTTCACCGTGTTAGCCAGGATAGTCTCGATCTCCTGATCTCGTGATCCACCTGCCTCGGCCTCCCAAAGTGCTGGGATTACAGGCGTGAGCCGCCGTGCCCGGCCACATAAGGATTTTTTTAATGGAGGGGGGACGTTTATGTCATCATTTACTTTTTAAAACAACTTTATCGAGATTGAATTTATGTACAATAATGCATACCTATTTATATTTATTAATATTTATTTTAAGTTCAAAATCATCACATTTATTGCTCCTTTAATTTCCCAAGTTTTCTTTTTTTAACTTTTATTTTAGGTTTGAGGGTACCTGTGAAGGTTTGTTACATAGGTAAACTCGTGTCATGGGGGTTTGTTGTACAGATTATTTCATCACCCAGGTATTAAGCCTCGTACCCAATAAGTATTGTTTCTGTTCCTCTCCTTCCTTCCATCCTCAAGTAAACCTCAGTGTCTGTTGTTTCTTCCTTTATAAGTTCTCATCATTTAGCTCCCACTTACAAGTGAGAATGTGGTATTTGGCTTTCTGTTCCTGTGTTAGTTTGCTGAGGATAATGGCCTCCAGCTCCATCCATGTTCCCACAAAAGACTGGTCTCATTCTTTCTTATGGCTGCATAAAAAAGTACATGTGGTACATATACACCATGGAATACATGGTGTATTCCATGGTGTATATGTACCACATGTTCTTTAGTTTGTCATTGATGGACATTTAGTTTGATTTCATGTCTTTGCTATTGTTAATAGGAGCACATCTATTTAAATTGTACAATTGGATACATTTTGATGAATGTATATACCCATGAAATCACCACCACACTCAAAATACAGAACATTTCTATCAACCCTAAAACTTTCCTTATGACCCTTTGGGAAATTTTCAATAATTATTTCTTCAGATATTTTTTCTATTCCCTCCTCTCTCCTCTTCCTCTGGAATTACAATCATATGTATACTGAACATCTGGATATTGCTCCCCCAGGTCTCTAAGGTTCTCTCCATTTTTCTTCAATCTTCATTTTTTTCTGTTGTTTGGGTGTGGCATTCTGTTGCATTATCTTCATGTTCCTTGATTCTTCCTTCTGCCATTCCCAATATTCAGTTAAGCCTATCTAGTGAACTTTTAAAATGTCAGATTTTGTACTTTTCAGCTCTAGAATTTCCCCCTTTTTTATTTTATATGTGTTTTAGTTTTAATTTCTCCACTGAGAGTTCCAAGCTGTTCATTCAATGTATACCACATTTTCCTTTGATTCTTCGAACATATTTATAATAACTTGTTTAAAGATTTTTGTCTGCTAAATGCAACATCTGGAGCCACTCAGAATCAGTTTCTATTGGCTGCCTTTTTCTCTGAGTGTAGAGTGCACTTTAATGTTTCTTTGCATGTATAGTAATTTCTGGTTGAAAGTTGGGCCTTAAGGCCAGGTGCGGTGGTTCATGCCTTTGATCCCAGCACTTTGGGAGGCCAAGATGGGCGGATCACAAGGTCAGGAGATCGAGACCACCCTGGCTAACACGGTGAAACCCTGTCTCTACTAAAAATACAAAAACAAAATTAGCCAGGCATGGTGGTGGGTGCCTGTAGTCCCAGCTACTCGGGAGGCTGAGGCAGGAGAATGGTGTGAATCCAGGAGATGGAGCTTGCAGTGAGCCGAGATCCTGCCACTGCACTCCAGCCTTGGCGACAGAGCGGCCATCTCAAAAAAAAAAAAAAGAAAGAAAGAAAGAAAGTTGGGCCTTATGGATAATACATTATGGCAACTCTAGATTCTGTTGTATTCTTCTGAGGACTACTGAGTTTTTGTTCTAGTAGGCAGCTGACTTGTTTAGTCTCCAACCACAAACTTTGTCCCCCTGTGATACACAGCAGCCAATATCTCTCTTCTCATGGCTTCCTATTGCTGCTTTTCTGCCTGCCCCTTTGGGGGTTTTCCCTGTTTCTGTGTAATTTGGTAGTTAGCCAAGGATTTCAGCAGAGATGGAAGTCACCTTCTTTGTGCACTTTCTTGCTTATAGGTGCTCCCTCTCCCTGATTTGTAGCTATTTGGCCGATTTTAGGCTGTCTCTGTCATTTCAAGGCTGCAAGATTCAATTTTCTGCCACCTGCATTGTGCATGGTTAGGAAATGTACCAAGTCTGTTTGTTTGTTTGTTTGTTTTTAAAAGGCAACACATTCACATTGCTCTGTATTCAAGGGGAGATTTCTCTCTGGTTTCTGTCTCCTTTTTCACCAGGTTCCTTAGGGTCTTTTACCACATATGTGTAGTTTAGCTTTTGGCCACAGACCTGGACAGAGTTTATACTCAGAGTTTTATACTTCTTCAGTGGTTTTTCTGCTGCCAGTACTTTTCCTGTAGACTTCTAGCTACTCTTCAGCCTTGAACTCCTATCTGTGGAACCTTTAGCTAGTAAGGCTGTGGTTTTCCATGGCTGTTTTTCACAGCCCTAGCTGTGAGGGTTGGGCATCACCCTCGGGTGAGGAAGATATAATCTTGAAATTCCTAGTCCTTCCTGTGGCAGTTTTTAAGATTAAAGTCTCCTGCTTCTATCTGCTTTTGGATTCTCTCCAGGGTCTTTAAATAGTTCTTCTTAAAAAAAGTTGTTTGTTGTTTTTTTTTTCCCCCTAAACCTGTTTTTATCATTGTTATCGGTGGGAACATTTCAAAACCACTTCAATCCTCTGCCATTTCTGGAAGTTTCTGCCTATTGGGTTTTTAATTTCAATGTCTCCATTTTTCATTTGAAGTTTTATTTAGTTACTTTCTGAATTAAATCTGCTAGTGTTTATGATAGCCTTTTTATTTCTCAATTTTAAGTCCTTTTTAAAAAATGTATTGGATCATTTTAAAGATGCTTATTTTATGGCCTGTATCCAGTCAGTGTCCTGAAGCTCTTGAATCTTCAGTATCTGAAGCTCTTGCATGTTCAGAAGTGCCTTTTGGTGTGTCTGCTGACTCTCTTTTAACTTTTTGTAAGTAATTTTTGAATTATGAGCTATTGATCGGGGTGCAGTAAACATGGAAACATCAAGCATCTTGATTTAGGGCTTTAGATCTACAGAGAGGCTTTTCTTTGCTGTCACCTGGTGTTCCAGGAATATCGCGGACCTCTTTCTTATGTTTATTTCTAAGGCTAAGGGTTCCTAGACCAAGCAGGTATAACTTTGTAACCCAAATCGTCTTGAGGACAGGCTCATGATTATAAAGTCTTGGAGAACTTTCTTCTTCATGGCACAGGGTTGAAGAGAGCCACATCCTCAGGCCAATGAATAGGCTATTTTTTTTGATCCATCCCTTCTCTGACTAGAGTGTAGTTCTTCAAAACTCCTGGTTAGGAGATGTCTCAATTGTGGTTCCTGCCTACCTTCAGCTCAAGACCTTGTTTCCTACCTGTTCCTGCTTCCTGAGGAGTGTAAAAAACTCATCTACTTGACTAATGAACCCCCAATACTGCCCACTTACTGCTATGATTTTTTAATTTTCCTTTTTGATTTGACTCTCTACTTTGGGAATTTTAAAACAGAAGTAAAAAGAATAGTGTAATAAACACTCATACGCCCACTGCTTAACAACTTACATTAGAGTTTTCCAGAGAACCAGAACCAATAGGGGGTGTGTGTATGTGTGTGTGTGTGTGTGTGTCTGTGTGTATGAGATAGTTAGATATTTATTTTAAGCAATTGGCTTGCATGATTGTGGAGGCTGGCAAGTCCATTGTACCTGCAGGGTATGATGGCACGCTGAAAACTCAAGTAAGAGCATGGTAGTACTTGCCTGTAGTCCCAGCTACTTAGGAATATGGGGTGGGTGGATCCCTTGAGGCCAGGAATTTGAGGTTGCAGTGAGCTATGATCATGCCACTGCACTCCAGCCGGGACACAAAGTGTGAGACTCTCATCTCAAAATAAATAAGGAAAAAAATACCTAAAGGAAGAGCTGATGTTGTAGTTTGAGTGTGAAAGCTGTCTGCTGGCATAATTCTTTCCTCCTCAAGGGAGGTCAGTCTTTTTCCTATTCAGGCCTTCAGCTGATTGGATGAGGCCCACCCACGTTATGGAGGAGAATCTGCTTT